>NC_000016.10:6260000-6885000 GCF_000001405.40 Homo sapiens
CTTTCAAATCTCTGCACATGGCCCTTTTAAAACAATTCCTTTATCTTCGTGAGAAATGGCATTTGAGTTTTCGAATTCTAGTAAATAGCCACCACTGTAAATCTGCAGGCTCTTGATCCTAGATAGCCATTGCCTCTACAGAAATCTGTTGAGCTGAGGGAAAGTTCTCCCATTGAAAATAATTCTGTACTTTACATGCAGCCTGTGGTCCCTGACAATTGATATATTGCCGCAGAATTAAACACGCTTTTCTTTGTCATTGCTGGGCAGAGATGACTTTGGTTTATGAATGTTCCAGATTACTTTCTACCTGCCTGTCTCTGCTGAGTACAGAGAAGTTTCATGACCCAGTGCCTCCATCTGATTCCAGATGACACATGGATGACCCCAAAATGTTGCAGCCAGGTTGGAATGAAGTGGGCCAGATTGGGAAGGACTTGACTGGATTGAAATGGAGTGGGCTAGACTGGGATGGAGTGGAACAGAATGGTAGAGAGAAATCAGCCCATAGGTTTTAATTAAAAGCCATTGAGAAATGGCTTTTAATTAAATATCTGTATTAAGATATATATAAAGAAGGCATGGCATGCATCCAGGCCAGGCATGGTGGCTCATGCCTGTAATCCCAGCACTTTGGGAGGCCGAGGCAGGTGGATCACTTGAGGTCACGAGTTTGAGGCCAGCCTGGCCAACATGGTGAAACCCCATCTGTACTACTGATAATACAAAAATGAGCCAGGCGTGGTTGTGCACACCTGTAATCTCAGCTACTCCAGGGGCTGAGGCAAGAGAATCGCTTGAACCTGGGAGGCAGAGGTTGCAGTTAGGTGAGATTGTATGACTTCCTTCCAGCCTGGGCAACAGTGCAAGACCCTGTCTCAAAAAAAAGGAAAGAAAAAAAGAAAAGAAAGCATGCACTCTTTGAGAAAATGAGATAATGTTGCTGAGAAGGAGAGTAATGTTGATTTTCCCTCTGGACATGGACAAAATATATCTGTGCATATATATTAAAATTATGAAGACTATCTTTTGCTTAGAGTGCTATCATCAACTTGTATAACTTGCAATGTGTTAAACCTCTGCACAAGAGGGAGAAATTACCTGGAATATACAATTTTTTAAAACCCCACAAATTACAGTCACTTTCTGCCTAGGGTTGTGAACAGATGACTGCAAGGAGTTTGGCTTTCACATTCCCAGTGGATGAGAGAAAAATTGGCAATTGTTTCTTCCCTTCCAAAAAGCAGAAAAGTCCTGGCATATCCTCATTGTGTGTGTTTCACCAAAATCAGTGTCTTTGAGTCCTGGTGTTAGCCTCATCTTTCAGTTTTTCCATCTTGAGGAAGGTTGTTTTTTTCTCTACCTAGTACCAAAATAGTACGTCAAAGCAAAAGCAACTTCCAAACAACTGGCTGTTCCAGCCTCTCCCAGATGTCAGATGATGAGTGTGATTGTTTTAGTGGCTCAGACATGCCCTGTGAGAGTTATTATGACTGTACAGCAGACAAACAGAAACAGGCTGCTGAGCCATTTGCTGGGTCATCCTTGTCCTGGGAATCGAGCCTTCTCAGCCAGTCCATCAAGCTTCACCAGTTTCATCTCTGTAAATGTCCACATTATGGTGTTTTCTTTGCCCATTGGATCAGCGAGGCTGTGAGTGACAGAAAACTCAGGAAAACAGTGGCTTTTAAAAGTTAAAAGTAGGCTTTCTTCAGTCCAGGCATGGTGGCTTAGCTTCTAATCCCAGCACTTTGGGAGGCTGAGGCAGGTGGATCACTTGAGATCAGGAGTTCGAGACCAGCCTGGCCAACATGATGAAACCCCGTCTTTACTAAAAATACCAAAAAACAAAACAAAACAAAAACAAAAACAAAAAAAACCTAGCTGGGCATGGTGGCACACATCGATAATCCCAGATACTTGGGAGGCTGAGGCATGAGAGTTGCTTGAACCCAGAGACAAAGGATGCAGTGAGCCAAGCTCACACCATCGTACTCCAGCCTGGGCAACAGAGTGAGGCTCTGTCTCAGAAAAACAAAAAAAAAAGAAAGAAAGATGGATATTTTCTTTTTAAATAAGGTGAAACGTAGAGATGACAAAGACAGAGGTGCAGAGACTCCTTGACTTCCCTTCTATTGCGGTATTCCACCATCCAGAACTCTTGGTTTCTGCCTTCCCATCCAAGACAGTGGCTTGATTTCGGCCATCATACCCTCATTCAGATGGGCAGGAAAGAGAATCGGGAAAGTTAAGTCACATTTCCTCTCTTTAAGGGTACTTCCTGGAAGCTGCATGTACCAATTTCACTTACATTTCATTATCCCGAAATTAGTCACATGGGTACCTCTACCTGCAAAGGAGGCTTGGAAAAAAGTAGTAGATATTATGGCGGTGGGGGGTGGTGAGTGTGCCCTGCTGAAGAATTGAGTCTCTTCTTAAGAAAAAAAGGAGAGATGGGGAGGAATATGACACTGTTTGCCTCATCCATATTGAGGGAGGCAGTGTTCACTGCAGCAGCATCTCATAAACATTGGTTAAAACTATGCGTTTGTAGTTATTTTGCTGTCAACTGGATTGCAACATCTTTCCCAACAATTGATTGCTCACTTTTATTTTCCCACTTTCATTCGGCCTGGATTATGTTATGTTCTGGGAAGAATCGGAACAAAGGGTTGAGGGCTGTGATTTATTATTTAAAGTTTAGGTGGGAAGAATAGGAACAGAGAAAGATGTCTCTGCCAGCTGGGATTGTGTCTTGCTCATCTTTGATTTTCCTTGCAACCTCAGTGCTCCTTTATCCAAGGAAGCGCCCATTCTAAGTACCAGGGTCACAGTGGGCAACAAGGCAGGCCATCTCACAACCCTCATGGAAATAACAGATCAAGGTAAGTACCATCAAGGAGATTAATGGGATGAAGTTGCAAAGAGGCACTGAGGCCGGGAGAGGGCCCGCTTTAGATGTGGAGTAGACAGGGAAGGCCACTTTGAGATGACATCTGATTTGTAGCCTGAAGGATGAGATTAAAGTCACCCACTCAAAGAACCAGGGAGAGAGCTGTAATGTGCCCAAGACTGAAATGGGGAAAAGTTTGGTGTGTTTAGGAGAACACAGAGTGCGCCTGTGGGTTGAAATGGGTTGAAATGAGAAAGAGATGCCTTATATAGAGAAGATGTCTTATGGTTCTGCTCAATATTGGAGGGTCATACTTTCTGCTTCCCCAGGAATTTTGTTTGAAATCCATTTGTGTAGAAGTTCTTAGTCACCCCAGTCTTAGCTGGAATCATTCTAGCATAGAATTGAATTTGAGCATTGAGAATTCATGCTCAAACTGTGGGGCCGGTGTGGGATGGCAAGGAGAATGATATCTATGTTTTCACGGGAGGGTATAAAGAGAGAGGCTCTGATAAACACATTCAATTGGTTGGGGGAAAAAAGTAAACTTATTTGGAGGTACATTTCTGGAATCGCCTGATTTGAACTGAGCAGTGCAGCCTCCATTTATGAAACCATTTCTCTGAATGTTTCTTTTTTCCAATCTGTCTTCCATTCTGACAGATGTGGCATATCTTGTGCCCAATTCAACAAGAACTAGTCTCCCTCCCTTCCTGTCTCTCTCTCTCCTTCCTTGGAGCTTAGAGCTTCTGCTAGTGTCTGCTCCTTTCCTAGTTGGCATGGTAGTTGCTCCATTTGTTTTTGTAAATTGAGGAATTTTCTTTTTGTTTGTAAATTTGTCATTATCTCCTACAAAGCACCCTGCCATGGTTTTTTAAATATCTTGATGTCTTCACATTGGAAGCACCACTCCATCTGTGAACTAGATGCTTCCATCCCAAAATGCCATTCCAAAGGAGAAAGTTGGAACCAAAAGTGTTGGTAGCAGTGGCCACCACCAGCAACATCCACTATTACAGGATTAATAGGAATTAAATCTGCTTCAGCTGTGAAGTGAGCCAAAGCTTTACTTGCAAGTGGGGCTAAAACATTTTTTTTTAAGGATTTACCTTAGGTAAATTGTTCTAGACTATTTTGACTTTAATTTGCTGAGGGTGAATTTGCAATGGGGATTCGATAACCTTACTTTCATAGAGTCTCAAAACTTATAGTTACACAACTTCTTCTACTGCCTGCCCATTGCTTTGGGTTCCTTTTCTTGCAAGTTGCAATTTGTTTGGTTTTTCAGTGTTCTCTTGGATAATCCATCTGGATCACTTTGACTACCAATTTTGCAGCTTCCTGTCATGAAAGGAGAAAAACTGAGGTCCAAGGAAGTATGCAACCGTTTCCATAACCATGCCATATCCCTGCATGAACTTGGCTTGACTTTCTCCCAGTGAAGTTGCACTGGGTATGCAGTGGGCTCCAGAGTCATCAAAGTGGCTGTTGCCCTTAAATAGTCATTGCATTATACTGTTCTCTTGTTGGAAACCCGTCAAATAGTCTTAAACTGAAGTTCAAATGCTCCCACTGGCTGGTAGGACAGTGAGTGATCAGATTGCATCAGGCCCATCGGTTCTCATTGCTTACCATTCACCTCCTCGCTCACATCACTACAGCCACAGGGCCCTTCTCTGCAGACCTCAGACCCACCACATTCTCTTCCTCTTCAGGACCTTTTGCTCATACTCTCCCCACCGCTAATGTGCTCTTCCCCTTCCTTGTCTTCAGTAATCCGGATCACTGGATAGAAGCCACACCCCTTGGAAAGCAGTCCCTGAGGCCTAAGTGCCAGGCAGGTGCTCAGCTCTTTTTTGCAGCCTATGTTGTCTTTTCTTAGCATGCCACTGAAACTTCTAACTATCTGATTAGTTTTTTTGTTTTATTTCTGTCTTGCTCAGGAAATTTCTTTTCCTTGATTACCTCTGAGTCCATGGCATATGACCTAACATGTAGTAAATGTGCAGTGAGCATTGGTTGAATAATTGAGCGAAGGAACTCCGAGTTCTGTGTGTGGGAACCGACTCTGATAAGAGCAAACGCTTGACACCCAACCTCGTCCTGCCTCCCATGCCGCATCACCCTATTTCCAATATTGTGGGTGGGGCTGATGGTTCAAAGATGTACTTCATTCCATTTCCTTTTTCCCTACAAGCCATTCAACAACCATAACGGAGACAGTTATCTGGGGCTATTTTCTAGATGTTAGACACGAGGAAACCTGAAAGGAACATTATGCTCTTCGCACACTCACGTGTTTGTCTGGTTACCCTCGGGCCTCTCCAAGTGGCCCTATTTTTTTTTTGACATTTTGTTTTTTTGTTTGTTTGTTTGGGGTTTTTGTGAGACAGAATCTTGCTTTGTCACCTAGGCTGGAGTGCAGTGGTGCAGTCTCGGCTCACTACAACCTCTGCCTCCCAAGTTCAAGTGATTCTCCTGCCTCAGCCTCCCGAGTAGCTGGGATTACAGGTGAGCACCACCGTGCCCAGCTAATTTTTGTATTTGTAGTAGAGACGGGGTTTCACCATGTTGGCCAGGCTGGTCTCAAACTCCTGACCTCAAGTGATCCACCCACCTCGGCCTCCCAGAGTGCTGGGATTACAGGTATGAGCCACTGTGCCCGGCCAGTTTGACATTTTGCATAGCTTACAACATTTATTAAACATTTAAAGACCTGAAGCCTTCTTAAATTAGTGTTTCTCAAGCCCTTCTTGTGCAGGATATGTGCGTCAACCACCAAATTAGCTTTGGTGCACCCAGCGTGGGAAAAGGAGCTTTTCTTTACCATGTTAGCTCTCTCAACTGCCTTCCTTGTACTTTTAGCTTCAGCCTTTTTGAACCAACTACTCTGAATTCTTCAGAATCCCTCTGTCTCTCTTCCTTCTGCCCCCTCTTCTGCCCAGATTCTTCTTGCTCCCTCTCCTCCTCACTTCTTGTACATTTGAAAACCCTGTCTTCCTAGAAGAGTCATACCACTTTCTCTTCACATGCAGCATCCTTCCTGGTATTGTGGGTCCATGGTAGGTTTATTATTCCTTACTAAACATTCTGGCTTCTCTTTTTGTGGTATTTCTTACTGCAGGAGGATTTTTACATCCCCATCAGGAATGGCCATACATCTTACTTCAGCTAATGAAACGTGGGGGAAGTGAGATGTGTCACTTCTGGGCGGAAGCTTTAAGAGCCTCTATCTGACTCAACTTATTCTCTTCTCCCACTGTGGAGAGATCAGTGAGTCACTTCTCTATCAGCCTGGACCCTTGAGAGAAGATGACATGTAGCAAAGCCATAGCTAAAAGACAGCCAACACATAGCCTAGTGAGAAATAAATCTTCACTGCTGCAAGCTACCAAAAGTCTGAGGTCAGTTGTTACTGCAGCGTCTAGCCCATCCTGAATGATATTCCGTTGTGTCTCAGAAGCCATTTCTTTGTAAAACCTTCCAAGTCTCTAGCAGAATCTCAGAATCTAAGAGTCTTAGAATCTATTTACTAACAGGCCAGACACAATTGCTCACGCCTGTAATCCCAGCCTTTTGGGTGGCCTAGGCAGGCAGATCACTTGAGGTCAGGAGTTCGAGACCAGCCTGGCCAACATGGTGAAACCCCATCTCTACTAAAGATACAAAAATCAGTCAGTCATGGTGGCACGCGCCTGTAATCCCAGCTACTCAGGGGGCTGAGGCAGGAGAGTCCCTTGAACCCAGGAGGCGAAGGTTGCAGTGAGCTGAGATCGCGCCATTGCACTCCAGCCTGGGTGACAGTGCAAGACTCTGTCTAAAAAAAAAAAAAAGAAGAAGAAGAAGAAGAATCTATTTAATAACAGAATCCTAGAAGAACCTTAGAATGTTAGAATCCTTAAAGTCTGTTGCTTTTATCATGTGTTCCCATGGCATTCCCTCATAATTAGTTTTTTTGTCTGTCTTCTGTATGACATTCAGTTCTGTGCAGGCAGGAAGCTTGATTGATTCGCTTCTGAATTCCATACTCTTAGCAGAGTGCCTTATGATTGGCATTCAGTAAATCACTGTGACTGAAAGCAAATGGAGCAGTGCAAAGAGATTTCTGGCTCCACCACCATCATGAATATTTTTGATGGGATAGGTTCTAGTGAAAAGCGGTATCCACCTCTATGGAAACATGGTGGTGTTTGAAGAGTTCCCCACAGCCACACAAAATGGAGGCACCCACTTGGAACTGAATTGATTATTTATGGCAAACTCTGGATCCCAGTCAGGAATCTGAAAAAGGGGGAAAAAAATCTGGGGCAGTGATCAAAGGAAAAGTATTTGGAGTATATGGGCAGAAAAAAAACTGTCAGAGATATTAATTTAAATTCACAATTCATACACTAACACCGTAGGATCATGTTTCTTAGGTCAATGAACTCTACTCATATTATTTGGTGATTTGTTTGACCTCTCCTGATAAACCCCGATTTCACTATCTCCTATGTGTCCCTCCTCTTCTGTTCCTTATAGGACTTGAGGGGTGTCCCCTTGGCTTCTTATCTCTTTCTCTGTAGCCTAAGAGAAATAGACCATGGATATATCCAGTTGCAATGGAATCCAGTTGATTCCTTTGTGAAAACGAGCAACAGTCCTTTCTTTAGCAGAGAAGCTAGAGTCTTATCTGACAGATTTCTTTTTTTACCATAAGTTTTTCTGAAGGTATGGGTGGAAGACTGCAAAACCCTGAACATCAACAAGCTTCAGTGTTGCAGATACTAGGAGAGATCTACTCCTAAAACCAACAATCAAAACTTCTGTTTTTTTCCCTTTTTCCCATGAAAGAGTCAACTGAATTCGGGTACAAGTCGCTTAGATTTACCAAGTATGATAACCAGGTGTGTGGCTATTCTGAGCATCCATAGCTGAAACCCACAGGTTGGACATCCTGTGACAGTTTCTTAGCCTGCAAAGAACAGTGAGCATGAAAGCTTTAAATGGGCTATTACCTTTTTATATTTATCCCAAACTGCTAAGGTCAGCATTAAAATTTGACCTTTTCCCTGCCAACCCGTTTGAAGTAATTAACCCCTGTGTCTTGAAACACAAGGAAGCTATGACTTTGTTATTAAATTCTCATAAAGAGCCTATTAATATTAAAATTGCTTCACTCTTGGGCTGAATGTATTAATGGCCTTGCACTGGGTAAACACAAACCCTCAGCTCAGTGTTTTAAAATGCATGAGTTGAGGGCAGAGCATGTTCTTCCAGCTACCTTTTCTGTAGCAGAACGTTATGCCTTTTGTGACAGTTTCCTCTCCAATTTGTTCAAATGCTTTTGTTTTGAATCTGTGTCCCTAGATTTACATCTCTTTATGGGGAAACTCATTTCCCTGCTAGCAGGTATGGAGCAGGTCGAATGGAGGAGAACTCCCGTGATGACCTCTGCTCCCATCACCCTAATCATCGCCTTCCAGGACAGTGCTCAGACCCTAACTGTCTTGGTATGAAGCACAGCTTGTGATTATTCTTTTAGTGGGTCCAAGATAGCTGTGTTCAAGCACCTGTGAAATGTGCTTAAAAATGCAGAGGTACGCAATCCAGCATAGACCTCCTGAATCAGAATTGACAGAGATGAGACCTTCCTGAATCTGCAGTATAAATTAAATTCTCAAGGGTTTACTCTAGTAAACCCTACTGTGAACCTGACTATAGTTCAGTTTGTTAATTCAATCATTCAAAATATGCATCGAACAGTTATTATATGCCAGGGTTTATGGCCTTGGGAATACAGTGGAAAATTGAAAGAGTCAGGTGTTTGTTCTTAGGGATCTTACAGTTCATCGAAGAAACACACAACACACAAACATGCAAGTAAATAATTAAAAATAGTTATAAGTGGACTTCTGGAAAGATGAAGTAAACATTTTTTCCCTGTTCCTCCAACAGAGAACAAACAAAATGCCTAAACAGAAGTGCAGTCTTCCCGCAGTATCAGTGGGGGACTGGTTCCAGGACAGTCCAAAATCCATGGATGTTCAAGTTCCTGATATAAAATGGCATAGTGTTTGCATATAACCTAAAAACATCCTCCTGTATGCTTTGTGGGGACATATCTCTCACTTCAAGCATTTATCATTTTATTTGTGTCATCTGATATACTTTAAAACATCTTTACATTACTTATAATACCTAACATAATATAAATGCTACGTAAGCTATGTCAGCAAGAGGGACAACAACAATAAGCATTAGTATGACAGATTTCTCTTCTCTGCTGTTTTCAAAATTATGCTGTATGCTTAAGCAAAAATTATACT
The DNA here is from genome assembly GCF_000001405.40 of Homo sapiens. Taxonomy (NCBI): domain Eukaryota; kingdom Metazoa; phylum Chordata; class Mammalia; order Primates; family Hominidae; genus Homo; species Homo sapiens. Next base: position 6,269,202 of record NC_000016.10, read on the forward strand.
GTCTGATGTGATTGGTGAATATGTAAGTAGTAAATAGTTGTTATACTGTCATTTAATTTGTATTATTTTTATTGTATTGTTATTTATTTTTAAATTTTTGGAATATTTTTGATGTGTGGTTGGTAGCATCTGTGGATATAGAACCCATGGATATAGAGGGCTGACTGGATATAGTTTCAAATCACTGAGTAAATCCCAAGTCAGATTAACTGAAGGAAATCCACACCAAGTCACATGATAGTCAAACTTCTGAAAAGTCAAGGCAACGAAAACATCTTGGAAGTAACGAGAGTAAAATGCACGCCATCCTTATAGGAGGAAACCCATTTGAAAGAGAACAGATTTCTCATCAGAAGCCACAGAGTCAAATAAGAAATGGTGTTTTCCAAGTGCTGAAAGAAAATACTTGTCAACTCAGAATTCTGTATTGAGTGAAAATCTCCTTCGGAGATGAAGGAGAAATCAAGACATTTTCAGATGAAGAAAAACTAAAAGAATTGGTTGGCAGCTGGTCTACCTTAAAAGAATGGCTGAAAGAAATTTTCTAAACAGAAAGGAAAGGATAAAAGCAGGAATTTTAGAACATCAGCAAGGAGGAAAACAAAAATAGCCATTAATATGATAAATTTTCCTTCTCTGGTGTTTTCAAAATTATGCTTTATCTTTAAGCAAAAATTATAATACCATCTGATGTGATTCAAAATACAAGTAGTAGGAAGATTTAAGACAATTATATTTTAAATGGGGAGAGGAAGGGAACATAAAGGGAGTTAAGATTTCCACACTTCATTCAAACTGGTGAAAACATAGCACCAGGCTGTGACAAGTTATGTATGTATATTGCACTACCTAGATAACTGCTAAAAAAATCTGTAAAAGGAGATTCACTCAAACAGACTATAGGCAAATTAAAATTTAATTATGAAAATATTTCAGCAACCTAGAGAAAGGCAGAAAAGGCAAACTGAAAAACACAACAGAAAGAACAAATAAAAAAAAAAGAATAAAGTGGCAAAATTAAGCACTAACATACCAATAATTACATTAAATGGCAATGGCCTATATACACCCTTTGTAAGAGATTGTTAGAGTGGATTAAAGTATACAACCTAACTATATGCTGTTGACAAGAAACTCCTTTCAAATTTAATAGTATAGGTAGACTGAAAGTAAAAGGATGGAAAAAAGATAGAGTATGGAAACATCAATCAAAAGAAAGTAGGAGTAGCTATATTATCAGATAAAGTAGATTTAAGAGCAAAAAAAAAAAAAAACAACTAGAAATAGAGACGATATGTAATGATACAGTGATACAGTGTCAGTCCAACAAGAATAGCATTCCTAAATGTGCACTCATTAAACACAGAGCTACACAATATATGAAGAAAGAAATATATAACTCAAAGGAGAAATGGAAGAATATCACAATTATAGTCAGAGGCTAAACACTATTAGGAATTAATAGGAAAACTAGACTGAAAATCAGAAGGATAAAGAACAATGCAACCATTATCCATCAACGAGGACTAATCAACATTATAGAACACTCCCAATGACAGCAGAAGGCGTTTCTTTTTCATGTCCATGGGAGATATCCTGGGCCATAAAACAAAGTTTAACAAATTTAAAATAATTGAAATGATACAGTGACCACAATGGAATTGAGTTATAAATTAATACCAGAAAGATAACAGGAGAATCTGCAAACATTTGGCCACTAGACAGCACATTGCCGAATAAATTCCATGGATTAAAGAAGGAGTCTCCAGGAAAATAAATAAGTGTATTGGGCAGAATGAATGTGGAAATACATCACAATTTGTGGGACACAGCTAAAGTAATACTGAGAGGAAATTTATAGCAATAAATGAATACATTAGAGAAGAGGAAAAGCTTCAAATCACTAATCTAAACTCCCACCTTAAGAACATAGAAAAAGAGGCCGGGTGTGGTGGCTCACACTTGCAATCCCAGCACTTTGGGAGGCCGAGGTGGGCAGATCACTAGAGGTCAGGAGTTTGAGACCAGTCTGGCCAACATGGTGAAACCCCATACCTACTAAAAATACAAAAATTAGCCGAGCATAGTGGCACATGTGTGTAGTCCCAGCTACTGGGGAGGTTGAGACAGGAGAATCATTTGAATCCAGGAGGTGGAGGTTGCAGTGAGTCGAGAGTGACCACTGCACTTCAGCTGGAGCGACAGAGCAAGACCCTGTCTAAAAAACAAACAAAACAAACAGGGAAGGAAGTTATAAAGATGAGAGCAGAAATCGATGAAATTCAAAACAGTAAAACAATAGAGGAAAATCAGTACAAAGAAGAAGCTGGCTTTTTGAACAGATGAGTAAGACAAACCTCCTGACAAATCTGAGCAAAACTGATAGAGAGATGACACAAATTATCAAACAGGGAATATCACTACAGACTTTGCAGATGTCAAAAAGGTAGTAAGGGAATACCGTAAATAACTCCACAAACTTATCTTTGACAACTTAGATGAAATGGACCACTTCCTTGTAAAATACAAACCATCATATTTTACTCACTGTGAAATGGATAATTTGAATGTCCTATAACTGTTAAAGAAATTGGGTTTTTAAGTTTAAACCTCCTAAAAAATAAATCTCCAGATCAGGAGGTTTTTGTTAGAGAATTCTACCAGATTTAGAATGAAGCATTAACACCAAGTCCATATATCCTCTTCCAGAAAACAGGAGAGAAATAAGAACTTCTCAATTCATTTTATAAAGCTAGAATTACCCTGACAGTGAAACAGGACAAAGCCAGGAGAAAAAAGAAAAGAAAACTGTAGACTAATATTCTTGATCACCATTGACTGTAACAAAATATTAACAAATAGAATTCAACAATATATAATAATAATTTTATACCTTGATCACATAGGGTTTATTTCGGGGATGTTAACACTGGTTCAATATTTACAATTAAATCAATGTAATCTACCCTACCAATAGGCTGAAGAGAAAAATCATTCACCGAATCTTATCAATCTATGTAGAAACATACTTGATAAAATTCAACACCCATTCATGGCAAAAACTGTCAGAAAAACAGGAATAAAGAGAATTGAATTTGTTAAAGAACACCTACCAAACACCTACAGCTGACATGCTGATACCACAATTAAAAATGCAATGTCATGTACAATGACTCAAAAAATATACTTAGGTGAAATTTTAACCAAATACAACTTATATGTGAAAAACTGCAAAACTTTTTAAAAATTTAAGGGGAGACATCATTTTCATGGATTGGAAGGCTCATCATAGTAAAGACATTGATTCTCCCCAAATGGATAAACAGATTTAATAGAATTTCTGTAAAAATCCCGGTAAGCTTTTTTGTGGATAGAGACAACACTATTCTAAAATATAAATGAAAGTGCCATGAAATTTAAAAAGCTTAACAATTTTGTAAATGAAGTATAAAGTGGGAGAAATGAGTCTGTTCAAAAACAAAACTTCTTATATAGCTACAGTAATCCGGTGTGGCAATGGCAGATGGATAGACACATAGATCCATTTTAAAAAGTGTATAGAACCCAGAAATAGACCTACATAAGTATGTCCAACTGATTTTTGACAAAGGTGAAAAGGCAATTCAATAGAGGAAAGATAACCTTTCAACATATGGTACTAGAGAAACTGGGAATTCTTGACCAAAATTTTACATTTTATACAAAAAAGGCTCAAAATGGATCATTAACTTTGATATAAAACATAAAACTATAAAACATTTAGTAAAGAAAAAAGAGGCCCGTTACATTGGCTCATGCCTGTAATCCCAGCACTTTGGGAGGCTGAGGCAGGTGAGTCACCCGAGGTCAGGAGTTCAAGACCAGCCTGGCCAACATGGTGAAACCCCTTCTCTACTAAAAATACAAAAATTAGCCAGGCATGGTGGCTTCAGCCTGTAATCCTAGTTACTCGGGAGGCTGAGGCAGGAGAATGGCTTGAACCTGGAGGCAGAGGTTGCAGTGAGCCATGATCATGCCACTGTACTCCAGCCTGGGCAGCAGAGTGAGACTCTGTTTTAAAAAAAAACAAAACAAACCAAAGCAAAGAAAACAGAAAATCTTTGAGATTTAAAGCTAGGCAAAGAGTTTGTTGTTGTTGGTTTTTTTTTTTTTTTTTTTTTTTGGCAAAGTTTCACTGTTGTTGCCCAGGCTGGAGTGCAATGACAAAATCTAGACTCACTGCAACCTCTGCCTCCTAGCTTCCAGCGATTCTCCTGCCTCAGCCTCCTGAGTAGCTGGGATTACAGGTACATGTCACCATGTCCAGCTAATTTTTTTGTATTTTTAGTAGAGATGGGCTTCTCCATGTTGGTCAGGCTGGTCTGGAACTTCTGACCTCAGGTGATCCGCCCGCCTCGGCCCCCCAAAGTGCTGGGCTTATAGGCGTGAGCCACCATGCTTGGCCTAGAGTTCTTAGAATTAGCACCAAAAGCACAGTTCATAAAGAAAAGAAAATGATAAATTGGACTTCATCAAAAAAATTTTTTAAATCTTGCTCGGCAAAACACCCTGCTAAGTGGATGTAAAGGGAAGCTTCAGACTTAGAGGAAACTTTTGCAAGCCATGTATCTGACAAAGGACCAAAATCTAGAATATATGAGGAACTCTCAAAACTGAACCAAAAAAATCAAGCAGTGAGCAAAGGACATGAAGAGACATTTTACTGAAGAGGATACACAGATGGCAAGTAAGCACATGAAAAGATGGTCTACATCATTAACCATTAAGGAAATGAAAATTAAAACTGCAGTGTGGTATCAGTGCACACCTATCAGAAGGGCTAAAACTAAAACAGTGGCAACCCCAGTACTTGCAAGGTTGTTGAGCATTCGGATTACATACACATCGCTGGAGAGGATGTCAAATGATACATTCCCATAGCCACTTTGAGATATAGTGGAGCAGTTTCTTTAAATGTAAACACGCAGTTATCAGATAACCTAGTAATTGCCTTCCTGGGCATTTATTCCAGAGACATGGAAACATGTTCACACAAAACCTGTTCACCAATGTTTGTAGCAGCTTTATTCATAATAGATAGAAACTGGGAACAGCCTACATATATTTCACTGGGCGAATGGCTACAGAAATTGTGGTATATCCATACCACAAAATACAACCCAGTAACAAAAAGGAGTGGACTGTTGATAAATGCATGCAACAGCCCAACAGCCTGAATGAATCTCCAGAAAATTATGCCGCATGAAAAATTCCAATTTATGTAAAATTCTTGAGATGACAAAATAATGGAAATGGAGAACAGATTAGTCATTGCCAGGGGTTGAGAGGAGACAGGGAGGAGGAAGGAAATGGGTGTGGTTATGAAAGGGCAACATGAAGGATCTTTGTGCAAATGGAAAAGTTCTGTATCTTGACTGTATTAGCGCTATCATCACGCAATCCCCTGATATCATACTATGGTTTTGAAATCACCCTTGTGGGAGGAACTAGGTAACTACACAGGATCTCTGTAACATTATTGCCTACAAATTCATATGAATCTAGAATTATCTCAGAATGAAATATCTAATTTAAAAGGGACATTTATGATGTTAATAAAACTAAGTGCTATTCAGAGAATGAGCAGAAGGAGGACAGTTGAACTTTCCTACATAGGCTGTTCTTTTTAAGAAGAAGAGTTGGTCATTGATCCATTAATGATGAGAAGGAACCAGTTCTGTCTAGTGGAAAAGCATTCTGGACAACAGAGTGAGACACTGATACCGTGTGCTGTGAAAACTTTTAGCTGAGATATGTCGCTCTTGTCCGGAGAGTGACATGGAAATATCCAGTCTTGCTTCTACAGAGAGTCACATTGTCTGGTCACACCTATCCCACTGCAAGACAATGTAAGTGTGTGTACATACCTACATCTCTGAGATTATTTTATCTGCAAGCTTCAGGGCTTGCAAAGTTAGTATATAGCTGAGCATGGTGGCGGGCGCCTGTAGTCCCAGCTACTCGGGAGGCTGAGGCAGGAGAAGGGTGTGAACCCAGGAGGTGGAGCTTGCAGTGAGCCGAGATCATGCCATTGCACTTCAGCCTGGGCGACAGAGTGAGACTCCATCTCAAAAAAAAAAAGAAAAAGAAAGAAAAGAAAAGTTAGCATCTTTCAATCAGCAAACATTTATTGAACACTCACTGTAATAACAACTGGTGGTATTTCTGCAGTGCTTGACTGCTTTCAGAATGTTTTCACACACCTGATCTCATTCGCATCTCATAACTACCCCGTGGAATAGTAATTATTAACACCTTTATTTTCATTTCACATCTGAGGGCACTGAGACTGAAAAAATGGTATGTTGTTGTGTTTGAATGTGCTTGATATGGTAGACATGGGGGAGTCACATCTGTACATATAGTCCTAAAGTCTATATTTATTTCCATTGTGTACTGATGATAGTACTACATTATTTGATATAATAATGGAAGGGACATACCTATTTTTAAAAAACACTACTTTGGAGGAATTAACAGTTTACTAAGGATACATAAATGCCATAGAAAATATTAGCAAGAAATAGAAGAAAGTGATTATTTTGTCTGCCAATTAGTATGATAAAGGTAACTGACCTTGTGAAATAAAGAAGGAACAATATAATAATATTTACCAAATATTTTAAACAATTTTGTCATCACCATTTACCAAATAACCCTAATACTTCCCTCCCCAGTTGATACGTGATGGCAAGCCAGGGTGAGTTTTTGTATATTGCATTGCCTTAATTCATTGATTGATGCTGGTACTGCAGGTGTTGGATTATTATAAGTTTAAGCTATTCTTTAATTGTACAGATAGTAAGTCTTCTCTCATTGGAGGGGATGGATATGAAGGGATTTAACATTTTTTTAAAATTTAAAACATCATTTCTCATTAAATAAATACCTTTTTCTTTTTTCCTGCAGTGAAGAAAAACATAGATAAACGGATGACTCAAAGTGGAAGGGAACAAGTGATTTTGTTACAGTCGTCAGAACTGTGGCCAGAATCATTTTAGATAAATATGTCAAATGTGTGGAATGTCACGGAAGTGGTCGTTTTTTGTCCTCCCAGCTTGGGGCACATGCTCATAGAAATATGTGTTAGTTATTGAGAGTCTTTTTTTTTGTTAAGACAGTCCCATTCTGTTGCCCAAGCTGGAGTGCAGTGGCACGATCTTGGCTCACTACCACCTCTGCCTCCTGGGTTCATTCAAGTGGTTCTGGTGCCACAGCCTCCCAAGTAGCTGGGATTACAGGAGTGTGCCACCATGCCCAGCGAATATTTTTTGTATTTTTTAGTAGAAATGGGGTTTTACCGTGTTGGCCAGGTTGGTCTGGAACTGCTGACTTCAAGTGATCCTTCCACCTTGGCCTCCAAAAGTGCTGGGATTACAGGCATGAGCCTCCGCGCCCGGCTGAGAGTCGTTTTTTAATGTTGGATTCATATTTATCCCACACATTGACTGGTTATGCAGATACTGGTCGCATTAAGTTCCCAAGAAGTTCTCCTCTCTGCTGCTATTCTTTATCACAGCATCCTGTTTATCTGTTTCCCCACGTGTATTACAGTCTGTAATTATTTCTTTTCTTTGCTTTTTTTTTTTTATTAACTATGCTCCTTCCAGGAATGAAATCTCCATGAAGACAAGGACCATGCTCATTTTATTTTGTGCTTTATATTCGGTACTTAGATCAGCGCTTGCCACAGGACAAGTGGTCAGTAACCATTTGTGAAATGAATTTGATTTAAATAAATGTACATTTCCAGAAGAAATGGGAAATAGACCTACCTGGTTAAATGAGTGTTTTTATCTTAACCGGACATGGGTTATCACTTTGTAAACTAAAAACAATCCCATCTCAGTACTGTACCAGACACAATTGCCGGAGGTTCAGAAAATAATTAAAGTTTTGTAATGACTTATAAATTGCATTATTAAAAAGTCAATTTTCAGCTGGGCACAGTGGCTCACACCTGTAATCCCAGCACTTTGAGTGGCCAAGGCAGGCAGATAACTTCACCCTAGGAGTTTGAGACCAGCCTGGGCAACATGGTGAAACCCCATCTCTACCAAAAATACGAAACTTAGCCAGGTGTGATGGTGTGGTTCTGTAGTCCCACCTACTCAGGAGGCTAAGGTGGGAGGATTGAATATGGGAGGCTGAGGCAGCATTGAACCGTGATCGCAGCGCTGCACCCCAGAGAGAGTGACAGAACAAGAGTCTGTCTCCCAAAAAAAAAAAAAAAAAAAACCTCAATTTTTATCAGGACACAGAGGCTCACACCTTTTATCTCAGCACTTTGAGAGGCTAAGGCAGAAGGATCGCTTGAGCCCAGGAGTTGGAGATCAGCCTGGGCAATAGAGTGAGGTCGAGGCTGCAGTGAGCCGTGATTGCACCACGGCAACCCAGCCTGGGCTACAGAGAAAGACCTTGTCTCAAAAAAAAAAAAAAAAAAAAATGTCCATTTTCCAAATCCGTGCTGACTCCTTGGATCCCGACCGCTGTATATAACTGCTGGTTTCCCCTACATTTAATGTGCGGTACAGAGAAGAGGGGTGGCAATGAAGACGTGTGCTAGAGACATACAAGATTCTGATTGCGATTAGGATTACTTTAGAAACTTTTGATCTGCTGGGATTGAGTCATGATTCTGTAAAGCCCTTGAAGAAATACGGTTACCCTCGTGTAAGCTGTCTTTCACAGCTCACTTTTACTTGGCCCGGAGTTTAATTCCAAGTAATCATTGGGTAGGTGATGAGGTTCCGCTTCTCCTTGAGCTGAACGAATTAAAATGTGAAGTTCCCTTACTTTGTAAGTGGGTAGGAGTTCATTGGACATAGGCCATTAGTCACTTAATTTTTATGCCATATAAATGGGGCATCTCTTTGCCATTTTGCATGAAGGGACTTTGTGGAAAGCCATAAAGAGGGGCAGTAAATGTGCAGGCAGGTACTTTGTGACCACGTTGCCCCTTTCGGCTCAGTCCCCTTTTGAGGGATGATTCGTTGCAGGCAATTTCCTGCCCTAGTGGCAGGGAGCAGGCATGTGCTTTAAAATCCTTCCTTTTAAGAATGATTCCTTGCCCTGCAAGGTTCCTTCAAGTTATTTTTTTTTTTCGTCTCCAACTGGGGGAAATTGTAGGACTCACCAAAAAAAAAAAAAAAAAAAAAAAAAAAAAAAAAAATAGAGGCACAACACAAGAAGAGTATTACCTAATCGCATGAAGCATAAATCTGTGCGTCACCTCCTACTTTAATAAATTGCTCTTTAGTTTCAGAATTGGTGAATCTAAGTGGGCACCCAAAGAAGAAAAAAATAACAATTTTCCCCTTATCTCTGAATTTCTCTTTTGAGCTTTTTCGTAGATTATCGTGGGTCTCTACAAAGATTTCCTTTTCCTTCTATTTTTAGGTTGTTAAAAAAAAGTCATACTGTGTACTTTTTTCTCATAATCCTTTATTTGTTATTTAAAGTATAAATAAATCATAGATATTTGCATACAGCTTAGAGCAGAGTAGGTGGGGGGTTATTTTGGTTTATATCAGAGAAAATGGAAATAAAATAGAAACTCGATATTGTTTAAAGACAGCTTAACAGCATTGTAAGGTTCATAAAAGCCCAATAAGCTATTCTTGATCTTAAATCTTAAATCGTTGGTGATTTTCATTTAGATTTTTTTTAATCACCAAGAAGGTTGAGATATGTCTAACCCGTTATGTGAGTTTGAAACAAGGTTTGTGTTCTATTTTCCATTCCTTTGGTCTAAAATTTTATTAGACATTTTTCTTAGTGCAAAATTAATTGATCCTGGTGGTGAGGTGGTGATAAATCATTGCAGGTGGGGGGAAATTGATTTTTATACCACCTCTCACTTATTTCAATCTTAGTGGAATTAACTCTGTTAGGTTCTGGGGGTGTTTATGGGTATTATAAAACATTTACATCTTGATGTATTAAGGTACTTGAGTGGTTTTTAGACATTATTAAGGGAATTATGTTAGGATTAGTCTGGTTATCAATTTCTGTATCTGGCACCTAGCTAAGGAAATGGCTGTTTTATCCTCATTAGAGCCATAAATAGAATTTTATTAACTAGCACGTACCAAGTGCCAAGGCTGGTGGTGAAAACCCTTTCTGCCTTGAAGGGGAGACTGTAGATTCCTGAGCATGAGACGTTAAATGAGTAAGTCTTTGACAATCTGTAAACAGCTTCCTCTGCAGAAGAGTGCCCTGTTGCCTTGGAGTTTGAAAATACTGCAGGGGATAAAGATTCCATGGAAACTTTAAACAATTGGGACTGATGGATTTAATCCCTCTGATACGCTTGTGTAAGTCTCACTGAATACAGATCTGATTATCTATTGGCCTTGGAGAAGGAACACTGAGACTGTCCATATGGAAGATTATTAGGGAGAAGAGAAACATAAACACACTATTAACTATTAACCATGCTGTATATTTGATCTTTACTGAGGCTGTTGATGTCAGGGCTTGGTTTTATTTATCTGAATTTTCTTTTGCCATCAAGATTAGTTTTAATAGGCTTAGACAAAACCTGGCTGAAAGATTATAAACAAAAGATAATGATAAATGGTAATGTTCCCACTTGGCTGGGATCTGGGGAGAGAGGAAGGGAGATTCATAATAGCTTGGTCTAGGTGAGGATTTTTTTTTTAATGATCTGGAAGGGAAAGTAAATTGCATGCTAATGAAATTTGCAGACGATATTAAATTGGAAGGTGTTGCAAATAGGAGCGTGGACTGGGGACATTACAGAAGCCTATCCTAAGCAGGTTAGAAATATGAGCAGAAAAGATTAAAACACGATTCATCCTAGAAAAGACAGACTAATACATTTTGGGGGTCGGGAAAGGGGGATACCCTGAATCTTGCAATGGAACTGATGGGAAAACTCAGAAGGAAAAATAGGGACCAGAGGTAGAGGAAGCTACAGGCAGTCTGCAGGGTGGCATTGTCCAAAGACTCTCTGTTGGTCCGTGGCCTGAGTGGGATAAGCTGCATCGTCCCAGAATCCAAGGACAGCCGCCTCCCTCCGTCCTCGCTTCTCACAACTTCTGGGGCTGCCTTTCTGCTGTCTCTGTCTTTGTTTTCCTCTCTCTTCCTTTTTTTGTTCTTTCATATCTATCAGCTCACCCACCCCTAGTCTGTAGCATTTATTTCTGGTACCTTTAGTAGGAGAAAGATGGAGACAGATTGGAGACAAGTTGGCAATGAAGAGTGAAAAAGATTAAGGGAAGGGGAGGATTGATACATGAGGAGGGATTAAAAGCATTGCATTTGCATCATGCGTCCACACAGCATCCAGAGGAGGACATAAGCACACAGGCACTTAGACAATGTAATGTCGCAGTACTCAGGAAGGTGGCCGTGGCATTATTTAGCCCCACGAGCCAGAATATAGCCAGAAGTAATTAAGATAGGGAAATTATATAACCAAAATTCATTGCGGGAGAGAATGAGGGTTGGAAACATCACGGTTTATGTGTTTATACCGGTCATTACATAAACCAGTCACATCTGAAGGGCTCACAGCTACACTGAACAGGGGCTTGCTTACCAACAGAAAATCCCGAGGACACATACTACAGAGAGTATGTGGCTATTTCCTTTTCCTTTGAGATTTTTTGTTAATATATATGTCTAGGAGCGTGCTCAGTCTAACATCTCCAAAGCAGATCTGCATGCTAGCAATGCTAGCAACATATGTGTGTGTGTGTGTATGTGTGTGTATATATATGTGTGTGTGTATATATGTATATATATATGTATTACATATGTATGTATATGCTATCAACATGCAGGTCTGCTTTGGAGATGTTAGACTGAGCACCCTCCTAGACATCTATGTCCAGTGGAAAGAGCAGTGGAGAGCATTGGGCTAACATGTATTGAGCAGATGGTGGGGGATGTTAGTAATGAGATATAAATTGATACTGTGCAGCCAACTTTCAGAGGTGCTTACTCCATGCCCGGTGCTAGGACAAGCACCTTGCAGATGTGATCCCACGGAATTGTCACCATAACCTTCAGAGATGGGCACTGTTATTGATCCCATTTTTCAGAGGAGGAAGATGCATCTCAGAGAGATTATGCACACCGGGAAGTGTTACTCTGCATAGAAGTAGGGGACAGCCAGGATTTTCCACACCAACTCCGGAGCCCACGCCTTGTAATACCACGTTTTGCTGGTGAATCCCTAATTCAGAAAATTACCATGAATGTGTCATGGGAGAAAACAGCTTCCACCGAGGGTGTGGGCCCCAAAGTGCTTTGTTCTGGAATTCATTGCAGGGGAGAGGAAGAGACTTCAGGGTAAAAGAAACAGGTGAGGTGTGGGGACCTTTGCATTATTTTGTGGGAGAACACCGAGTAAAAAATAGTGGCGGTGGTGTTGGTAGTAACGGCAAAAACCTCAGTTACTTTTGTGCCGACGTAATAACAACACTATTCATAACATTAACAGTTGAATTTTCAGAGCATTTGCTGAGTGCTGTGGATAATGTTGGTGCTTTCTAAGCATTTTTCACAGACTCCTCTTAGAAAGCCTCCAAGGAAAGTGAAGATTAGGAGGATGAAGTAACTTGCCCAAAATCCCGCTGCCACTCTGACTTGATCCAGGTTGGAACCCAGGCAATTTGACAAGGCTACCCCACTGCCCGCCTGAGTTGAATAGAGAGAAAAGTGGAAGAAAATTAGGCCGTACTGCACACCAGAGAGACAGAAACGGGTGAGCGTTTGTTATTGGGCAAAATAAAAATGTACCACTCTATAGAGTGGTATCATATTAACTGTTCCTGAGTAGAGAAAGAATATTATCTCTGTACCATGAGAAGTAAGAGTTCTGAATTAAAGGTATCACCTCTAAGTTTTAATTTTTGCAGAAGCTCTCTTCATCTGAATTCACAAGTATTGACTGTTTCTTGGGAAAAATCCCAGATTGCGCATAGACCAGCATGCTTGATCTCTGAGACAGATGGACATGCTGTAATCTTAAAGTGAAAAATCTAAGGAAAATTTTACAAGGTAATTTTTGTCTCCTTTTCTGAACAGCAAGTTTGACACCTAGCTATGGCTTCAGGGCCTTCTCATTCCTTGTACCTTGTCTGTTTTTTTTTTTTTTTTTTTTTTAATTTTACTTTAAGTTCTGGGATACGTGTTCAGAGAGAGTGTGCAAGTTTGTTACACAGATAAACATGTGCCATGGTGGTTTGCTGCACCTGTCAACCTGTCATCTAGGTGTTAAGCCCTGCATGCATTAGGTATTTGTCCTAATGCTCTCCCGCCCATTGCCCACCACCCCCGACAGGCCCCAGTGTGTGATATTCCCCTCCCTGTGTCCGTGTGTTCTTATTGTTCAATTCCCACTTATGAGTGAGAACATGTGGTGTTTCGTTTTCTGTTCCTGTGTTAGTTTGCTGAGAATGATGGTTTCCAGCTTCATCCATGTCCCTCCAAAGGACAGGAACTCATTCCTTTTTATACTTTGCCCCTTCTTTTAAGAGGTCTTTAAACAATCTCTTAGCTTCCTATCAGCCTGTAAGTCTTCAGAACCAAGGAGAGCAAGCTCTGCACATCAACAAGGTCTAATAATTTCTTGAGCATTTGTTATTTGCCAACTACTTCATTAAGTACTTTGCATCTATTGTCTCATTTCATTGATCCTTACAACCTACTCAGTTCATAGTTAAGAGAACCCTCACTTGAAGAGATGAAGAACTCTGTGTACCATTGTCACCCTGTTGCAAAGTGACTGAGTCTAGATGTGCTCCTACATCTGACTCTAAAACCCTTACGCAACCAAACATGGTGGCCCCTGCCTGTAATCCCAGCCCTTGGGGAGGCCAAGGCAGGAGGATCACTTGAGCTCAGGAGTGGGAGACTAGTCTGGGTAACATAGTGAGACTCTGTCTCTACAAAAAAGTGAAAAATTAGTTGGGCTTGGTGACTGAGGCCTGTATTCCCAGCTACTTGGGAGGCTGAGGTGGGAGGATCGCTTGAACCCCGGAGGTTGAGCCTACAGTGAGCTGTGATGGCACTCTGTACCCAACCTGGATTACAGAGCAAGACCTCATCTCAAAAAACAAAAACAAACAAATAAAAATTAAATAATATCCTTAAGCCTAGCCATTCTTTCCTACTACAGTGAATGGGCTAAATTTTTATTTATTCTGTTTTTATCCCAGTCCTTCTCAAGCAGATTCTGCCATTGAAGTGGAAACATTAACAATCAGAGGCCTGTTTTCTTGGTGTTATGGCACTGGTTGAACTTCACGTAGTATACATAGGTATTACCCAGCCTCAAAAACAAGCAAAAATTAAAAATTCTCTCCAGAACTCAGGTGAGTGAAAAATGGGAAAGGATGCCTAACTTTATAGATATTGCACCAGTTCATCCCTTTGTCCCTACGTGCCGTTAGTATAGTGACGGAGTTTCACGTTGGCACCCAGAGATCCTTCCAGAAGGAATATGCACATACCCGCAGCTACTTTTGTTTTTCTTTCTTTCTTTGCAGTACTCTAATTAGAAATTGTATATCTGGGAAGTCCTCTGTGGTTTGACAGTGAGTGGCAGAGATATGGCCAAATTACCTGCAATGGCACTTTTAATTTATTTTCTACTCCTGGCTTGCCTCACGCTAAACCGACTTTGTTTCTGAAGCTGTTCTTATTTGGAGGGAACAAGAAAAGGAAGGTTTTCCAAGTACAGGAGTGCAATGCAGAAAGTTCCTTTTTCGTGTTGATCTTAGTGAGCTGTGGATGGTGCTGGAATGGATGGAGAGAAAGGGCTTTGCCTGTGTAGCTTGTTTTTAACATTATTCCATAAAGAGCACTGACAATTAATTAGACTCACACAACATCTAGGCCATTGGTACTGAAGTGGTAGATGGTAATCACTTTGCCCCATTTTTCCTATTATCTACTTAGCAGCTACAAAATATAATTCTGCTTGCAATTTATATTCTTTTTCATGCTTTGGCTTTGCTATTGGTACTGAAATTAACCAGTTTGCTCGATCTCTTTTCCTATGCCGTCAGGACAGCTCTGGGGTAGTTCAGAAATCAATTTTCAATCAGTTCACACCTGTACCTAAACCAAATCCCAATGATGCTTGCTGGTAAGCTGCCGATATTTGAAAGAGTCACTGTGCTAATGAGGCCCTCACATATAATATCTGCATAAATGGAAGATGTCATTCACAACCAGTGTTGAGGACAGCAGCCTGCAGAACTGCAGGTGGGTGGGCTGCGAAGTTGGGATAAATGTTTCATTCATTTAATGCCATTTTTATCACCTGTTTGCCTGAGGAAGACGCCATAGCAACAATATTTTATAGCTTTAAATACGGTGTTGATGTTTTCTGGAGTCAGGAAAAGTTGGGTATACTTACAGAAAGTGGAGAGGTCCTTGGTTTCTTTCATGCCACTTTGTAAAGATGAACAACTATTCAATCACGGTGCAGAATACCCCTGACCTTGTGAAATCAGGGGAGAATGGAAATTATTTTCCCTTCTCAGTCATTGGTATTCAGCTAGGTGGTTTATGCTAGGTTGTCTTAGAGGTATTGTGACTCCGTTCACATTATATACGAGTGCATGGAGAACACATTGTTCTTCTCATTAAAGGCTTATTAACTGCAGTTTGTGAAATGGAGTGAAAACAAATACGCTTCCAAATGGCTGGCATGTTTCTTATCCTCTTGCCTGACACAGAAAACCCCAGGGTATCGGGGAAATTCACAGGAACAAGGGCTTCAAAGAAACATTCACAGTTAGCCAGTCTTAAACCGAGAGAGGCAAGGAAATCGCAGGAATGTTGATTTCTTCGTTGTTGTTTCTTTTCAGATACTTACTGTAGGAGTCAAGAAAAATGAAAATTAAAAATAATGGCTAAAAGTATGGAAGAATCTGCTCAGTGGCCCTGGATAGGGGAGAAAAGGGGGTCCCGTTAATTTGCAAATTTGGAATTCCAGATACTAAATATGTTAAGCTTAGTAGGAAGTAGATTCTGCATAAGCCTCCATGACAAAGGCATTTGATTAGAAATATGAAAAGAACCTCAGAAAGGAAAGTTTAAGACTATATCTGGAAGTATGAATTCTGAGGGCGTGTGAACTGAATAAAAGGAGCCATATACATTGTGGTAGCAATGAGTGCAGTCTTCATGCTGACAGGAGTATTTCTAAGTTTATGGGAGCCAAACACCCTGAAATCCCACATCTCTACATATGGCAAAAGGTTTTCATCCCTAAAACACCTCTTGGGTGTTGCCGAGTGCTGATTCCATGCACAAGGAGAGACGTGGCTGTTTCTTTGCCTCACAGATTCTGAGATGCATAATAGCTTCTGCTTTTTGTTCTGGTGAGAGGTTTGCTTTTTAGGATGTAAATGACCATCACGTTGGCTTGAATCTGTTCCCTGCTTTTCCTGCCTATCCATCCTTGTATATCCTGCAACCTCCATGGCTAAGGACAATAGGGTCTGTTGGTAACCTCAGAGGAGATTGGATTGTAGGTAGACTCTGTTTCTCTCCTGTCCTCTTTGTGACTGCTCTAGTTGCAGTGGAGACATCGGATCCCATCCAGAAGCATCTTATTTACATTGATGGCCCATTAACACAACATGTAACCCAAGAAGGAACGCAACAATAAATCATCAGTCACATAATTAAATAAATTGAGGCTTCTTGTGTAAAAGTGGGATAACACACAGTCGGCGGAGCGTTATTTAGTTCAAGCCAAGCTAATATTGTTAGAGCAAACATTAAGGCAGGTGACGAGGCTGCATCAAAATATTAATTATACACCATTTTGGCACTGATAATAAATGTTCACGTATGGCCCTCTTTCCAGGAGAAATGCTGAAATATGTTTCAAAGCAACGCTTTGAATAATTCAATAAATTATTGGAGTCTCAGTGGGAGAGCTCGACTGACATGAAAGTCATGGCGTCCATTTTTAACCCCCCATCCCTGGTTTCTTCTCTTCTCCAAAGGGCTCTGAATGCCAAGTCTCCATGTGTCTTAAATGTATCATTAAAGACACATTCCCAGACAGTGAGAAATGCAGTGTCGATAACTTGGGAAGAGTTCAGAAATCTTGACTCAGATGTGTGAGAACTTTTAAAATCACAGATCTTGGCATGAGGCCAAGTCTGTGTCCTACAGCCTGGCTACCTTGGCTGAGTTGCTCAAAGTCTCTGAGCATCCCTCTCCTCCTTCATACATTGGAAGTACTAGTACCTACCTTGCAAGATTGTTGCAAGGAATGGAAATGAGATATGTGCTACCCTTAGAATATTAAGTTTGGGGAGTTCTGGAAGATAGCAGTCGTCTCCTTAATAAGTGTGGTTGTTACTAACTATTTTTACAGATCTGACTTCTCCATAGCCTTGCCTGGACTCCGAGCAGAAGGTTACTGTGTGTTCTTTTGTTTACCCACTGGACTGGAGAATGATCCAACATTGCTCTAAAACAGGATACTGCACAGGCTCACCTGGGTAGCAGATTCATTCAGCCTAGCCAGTAGGTCTTTATACAAGGAAGACTAGACTTGGAAGAACTTGATAATCCTAAATAATATTATTTATTTCTATTCCTTCTCTATCTCCCTGCACTAGAATGCAACATCTGTAAGAACAAGGATTACATTTTTCCCATACATGGCAATATTTGCTCAGCAACTATATAGTGGTAGAGTTGACTTGAAGGATATATTTAAAGGAATCAATCAAGAGTGAATTAGTTGGGGTTTTAGGTGAGTCTGAAACTCAAATGCCTACAGAGATCTACAGATTTTGAGTTGGGCTGGGTATAAAATGATAAGGGAACAGCATAGTTCATGGCAAACCAAAGAAGGCACACCTCACCCAAGGGTATTCAGAGTCATTTGATCATTACCAACGACAGGCACAAAAAACTCCATTTGAATGCAAATTCAGCCTCCAAGAATGAACTTTGTGAACTTACTGTTTTCAAGTTGAAGTGGGTTAGGGGAACACAGTGACTAATGACTATTTAAAATGGCCAACGAGTGCCACCAAAAATAGTCATGGTGTTGCCAGCTCTATCTTGTCTATTTGTTCGGACTTGAAGTGATCTTCGTTGTTTTCCCAGTAGGAAACAAACTTGCTAAGAATCCTGTATTATCATTGGTGTTTGCCAATATGATATTTATTAAATTAGCCAATGGATGTGTTTTGAGGACATGTCATGTGTCAAAGATGATGCTAGGTGTTAGGGCTGCAATACCAAATACTAGATTATTCACAGGTTCATGAGGCTCATCTAGCATCATTCTCACAACTGCTAACACAGGGCAGTGCCTGATTCATAGTTAGACTTTAGTAAACATTTGATGAATGACTAAATGTGTAATCAGAACAGGAAAGTGAAAATCTTGCAGATCGCCAGCTCAGAGTATGTATGCATATATACATAAAAGCACACACACATATAAGCATACATATATGTGATACATATGAAATGGCATATTAAGACCATTCTCCATTTATCGTCATCTGATTGTCTAGAATTAAGAACATTTACCTATATGTGGAGGAACTCCAAAATTATTATGCTATTGTTTCTAATCTAGAAAGATCTTTAGGAAATACTGGTAGAACTTCACATCTTCAGATAAGCTTTTCAGTCTAGCTTACCCATGCTTTCCTGTCCTAAAATTTTCTAAGTTTTGATATCTTGCTAAAGAAAAAATGAACAGTGTTAAGCGTTGGTGCATTTTGCGTACTTCAACCTTTTCTGTCTATAAACAAGCATCTGTAAGGCACCTGGAACTCTGCTAACATGGCTCACATGTTCCACTTTGTGACTTGATGTAACTCTTAGCTGCGTGCAGCATCCAGGTGAGATGTGAAGCTCTCATTCAGTTTACAAACAGTAAAATTACTGTGTCTTAATAATGTATCTCTATGTTGTTGAAATTTATGGAGAAAATGTTTGTGGTCAACAATGCTTATCAGAATGGTGTGAACGGTTTTTTTATAGCGATGTTTATCAAGTTATGTTGTGCATATGAGTCATGTAGAGTTGATGCTTGGGAAATCTTGTTAAAAGAATTGCTTAGGAGATCTTGTTCAAATATAGATTCAGATTTGGAAGTTCTGGGTTAGAGCCTGAGATTCTGCTTTTCTGCTGAACTGCAAGTGATGGGATGCTACCAAGTCATGGACCACACTTTGGGTAGCAAGGATTTTAAACAAATAAGGTCCATGCATCATACATACTATTGTACATACATGATTTTGTGACAAACCACATACATGTCCTATGCTAGATACTGCGTCATTTTTGTTATCTCCAGTTTACAGGCTGAAAACCTGAAACTCAGTCAGGTGAGAGCTGTTGTCTGAGTTGCACTTCTGGGAAACTGCAAAATTGAGATTTAAACCCAAGAACTCTGACTTCGAGCACATGTTGTTAATGTCCCTGTATGTTGCTTACTGTCTCTGCTGGTACAGCTGAAGCAAGGTCTTAGGTCTCTAAGCAGATAGCACCTGAATACGCCTGTATGCCTCTGTGCTTGGCTGCATTGTAGAGTGTGTTTTTAGTAATACCTGCTTGGGGTACTACTGAATTGAATAGGGTTGGAATTCTGGATCTAAGGTCTAGTGGAACCAACAGCGAATTCTGGACATTAGTTCTCAAGGCAATGCTTCTCATTGAGATGCTGTCACCCCCAGGAGGGTATAGACCAACTTCTTTAGCTCCAGTGGTGTGAGAAGAGTAAGCAGGGATTGAGTGTGTCTCCAGAATCTGAACAGAATGAGCTTTTATCATTTTTACCAACTATGCCCTTGATTTGTGTTCAAGATAGAGAATAACTTTTGGAGGGGGTTATTTCTGGAATAAAAAGGGAATTTACTTATCTGTTTAGTGATGGGGATGATCTTTCCTCCAAATCACACCGTGGAACAGTCTTTGATCAGTAGAATTTTTCTTTGCAGATGTCACAGAGGTATTCGTTCCTTGACATTTTTGGAAGTGTGGATATAGGATGGAAAGGTTTGGAAGGGTGGAGGTAGGATGGAAGGGTGGATATAGGTGTTATTCTTTGCACCATCAATCTACCTGTGACTGGTGATGCAAAGTATAATGCCCTTCCCTCCCAAAAGTGTACCCTTTGCAGAATCAGTAGGAAGTGAGGAAGTAACTCCTTTTAACTTGGATGTTAGCAGTCATCATCCTAATCATTCCCTATTTTAATCACAGAAATAAAAGGAAGAAAATCATTCTTGAGTCGGCTAATGCTATGTTACAGAACCATAGCTATTCATTGGTAATAGCTGGAAGACTGTTCTCTTATGCCCTTTTAATTGAGTGTCTTTCCGTCCTCTAGCTGTCCAATATCTGTTTAATCCACAAACAAGACTAATTTTGACTCAAAACATAGCTGGCCCTAGTACAAGAAGATGCATTGAGCAATAGGAATTATAAAATGAAAAGGTAAGGATGGTTGCATCCTGGGGGGAAAATGCCTTCCCAGGCAATTTGAGCAAACAAAATAATGCAAATGTCTTCTGAATGTAGTAAGGAGTTAAGGCCATCAGTAAAAGAGAGCAAATTGAATGAATAATACAAAGAATCATCCCTCAGTAAGAGAATAATGATTTCATGAAGCAGTGTAGAAAGAGGAGGGAGAGTAGAGAAATCTGAATGCCTTTGATAGTTGAGAATGAAATGGAAATGTAACAGCTTCACAAGGTGAATATGGAGAAGGGGTAGGAGAAGAGGAAACAAGATCATTAGAGATAACCCGTGGTTTTAAGCAAAATGAGGGGAAGACATTTAGAAATTTGTAAAATTGTGACCACAGCATTTTTTGACAGTGGAGGAGGAGGGGTATGTAGCTTGGATCGTTGTATTTAGAAACTACCTTTTTTATGAATTTTGCTGCATTACCTGAAAGTGAGCATTAGTTACTTGTATAATAAGCACCAAAATAGATTGTTGTGAGCATAGCAGTGATGTCCGTGTGAATAACATGTGCACTAAGAACGAAGGTGAATATGGAGAAGGGGTAAGAAAAGAGGAAACAAGATCATTAGAGGTAACCTGTGGTTTTAAGGAAAATGAGGGGAAGACATTTAGAAATTTGTAAAATTGTGACCATAGCATTTTTGGACAGTGGAGGAGGAGGGGTATGTAGCTTGGATCGTTGTATTTAGAAACTACCTTTTTTATGAATTTTGCTGCATTACCTGAAAGTGAGCATCAGTCACTTGTATAATAAGCAGCAACGTAGATTGTCATGAGGCATAGCAGTGATGTCCGTGTGAATAACATGTGGAGGGTTAGATAATTGTATGTGGAAAAGAAAGGGACATGGACAACATAGCGGTCATCCTATTGTGTCTAAAGTGAATTTAGCACACATGGGCGAAAAAGGAAATTTTACGTATCAGGTGTTCAGTGAATATTGGAGGTGTTTGTTGTGGTGGTGGTAGTTTTTACTATTCTGTAAAATGCACAGTTTCAAATAAAGGATATTGTTATTTCCACTTTAAAATACATAAGAAACTAAGTAAGTTCTTCTTGATACCAGAAAGGGGTCCAAATCCAGACCCCTAGAGAGTGTTCTTGGATCTCAGGCAAGAAAGAATTCAGGGTGAGTCTATAAAGTGAAAGCAAGTTTATTAAGAGAGTAGAGGAATAAAAGAATGGCTACTCCATAGAGAGAGCATCCCCAAGGGCTGCTGGTTGCCTATTTTTGTGGTTATTTCTTGATGATATGCCAAACAAGGGGTGTATTATTCAGGCCTCCCCTTTTTAGACCATATAGGGTAACTTGCTGATGTTGCCATGGCATCTGTAAACTGTCATGGCACTGCTGGGAGTACAGCAGTGGTCACTCTGATTGCCATCTTGGTTTTGGTGGGTTTTGGCCACCTTCTCCACTGCAACCTGTTTTATCAGCAAGGTCTTCTTGACCTGTATTTTGTGCCAACCTCTTATCTCAGCCTGTGAATTAGAATTCCTTAACCATCTGGGAATGCAGCCCAGTAGGTCTCAGCCTCATTTTACTCCGCTGCTATTCAAGATGGAGTTGCTCTGATTCAAACACCTCTGACATTCTTGCTGAGAGCCGTGAGTTCTCTTGCTGGGGTTAGATGATATGAGATGGTGGAGGCCGCAGGGACGGAATTGTTTCTTTTCTAGATCTCTTCCTTAGTTTACTTTCTTTCTTCCCTTTGTAAAAGGAAAATAAATCTTGGGACCTCAAACTCACTAAGCCAAAGGGAAAAGTCAAGCTGGGAACTGGTTCATGCAAACCTGCCTCCTGTTTTTCTTCCTCGGTGTAATGGCTACAAAGATGGAAAGCTACATACCTCCCTCACCTCTTGCCCGCCTGAGGCAAATGCATATCCAATGGCATCCTTTGCCGTATTGTCTACATTATCTTATGTAAACATGCAGATTAGCTGAGACAGACAAAGGCATAAATAATTATTTTCTCTTATCCTCCAACATGAAAATTGTATACTTCTCTTGATCTTGCCCTTTCCCCTTTAAATATTGAAACCTTGAAAATCATCTTCTTAGAAAGGTATTAGACCTGTCTCCCAGGCACATGTTCTTAACTTTGGCAAGTAAATCTAAGATGATTGAGACTTGCCTTGGTCATTTTCCTTGATTAACATGTCTTTATAATCTTTCAAAAGTTATAGACTCTGTGTTGGAATGAATGTGTGTGTGTGTGTGTGTGTGTACATACTTGTGTGTGTGTAGTTTGGGTCTGTGTTGTACAGGAGTAAAAAAAATGGCTTTATGTCCACTGTCAGTGAATACTGCTGTGCCTTTGCACTTTGACTTTAAACAAGAGAAGGTGTAATTGATAAAGAAACTAGAAGCCAGGCATGGTGGCATGCAGCTGAAGTCCTAGCTACTTGGGAGGATGAGTTGGGAGGACCACTTGAGCCCAAGAGGTCAAGGCTGCAGTAAGCCATGATCACACCACTGCACTCTAGCCTGGGTAAGAAAGTGAGATGCCATCTCTAAAAATAAAATAGAAAAAGAAGCTGAATTTTTCCAATAAAGTCCCACATCCAACTGTCTGGTGGAACTACCACCAATGGCTTCTCATTGGTGGAAACAGTTCCACAGATTTTTTTTTTTTTTTTAAGAAAAACCTAATTGCATGTGAATTTTTCTCAGACAAAAGTAGTTCTAAGAGTTTACCAAGAAATTAAAGTTCTTCAATAATTCAGTGTCAAATACATACGTTTGAATACTGAAAGCAGCCTCTTAATATCCATCTTCTTATTGGCTTTTTGTCTTGCTTTGCCTTGTAGATTTTTAGATAACGTCTAAAGGAAAACAACAAAATGGTTGAGGGGGAACCTCATGGAGTCAATTTGTTTTTCACTGTGGAAAATTTCTGTAGTCAGACTGATTTTTGCTCCTTCTAGGCGAATTGTTATATTTGCACACATTGTCAAAAAGTCATTGAACTATCTATTGCTGGTGACTGCACACATCCCTGTTACCAGCTCTGTAGTCCTCTGGGTTTGGGTGTAAAAAGAGTTGCCTGAAATAAATAGTTAACTGAAACTCAGCCTGGGAGCTACATTTCTGAGCACTTCCGTTTTCTACTTCTTACAAAATACAGTTCAAAAAATTCTAGACTGACATTCAAAGTACTTTTTCATCTGGCTCCAGCCTGTTTCAACCTTAAGTACACACAGTGATATACCGTAGGCTAGGACATTGTTGTCCCCAGGGTACTTACAATTTCCTTCCTGTCTTCATATCTTTCCCCCACCTGGAGGAATGTCTACCCCCTTTAGCTCCAAGTCTTATCTACTCCTCATAGCCACACTCAGATAGTAGTGATTAATATTCATATATATTCACTATGTGCTTTACATATGCAGAATCTTTCATTTTCATAGTACCCTATTAAGTGGGTAATATTGTCATTTTATAGATGGGGGAAATGAGAACCAGAGAGGTTAAGTAATGTGTACCAAATCACAGAGCTAAGAAATATTGGATCAGGGGTATAAACCTAGACACTCTGGCTTCAAAGTCTGCCTCCTTAAGTATTATACCAGACAGCCTCTCAATACTTACATCTGCCATGCAACTGTTCTTCATCTTCTCCAGCAAAATTTAAGCTCGCTTTTTCCCTCAAATATTCCTATCGCTCTGCCCGGGCTCATCATTTTCTGTTTTGAATATTTGTTATTCATTATGATGAGATGAATGCATAGCCTGTCTGCCAGGTCCTTGGATAAGCTCTTGGGATGCAAAGTCAAACCATTTTCTCCCTTCAGGGAACTGATAATCTAGGTTTGGAGAGGGGCAAGCAATAAACATCTGTGAGGTAGATGATTATGTGATACCTTATGCCGTATCTTAGTGTCTTTTAATAGAGGTGTGAATACAAGATCATAGAAACATAGGGAAGAGGGGCTAGTTCAGCCCTCGTCGCCTGGTATGGGCAGGAAGACTCTACTGAGAAAAGGTACTTGATCTGAACTTTGAAGCATGAATGTAATTTTCCTAACCAGAGGGTCCAGGAATAGGATTCCAGTCCAAGGAAGTGGGATGAATAAAACCTCAAATACACTCTCTTCATATGCCAATGTTCCTGGATGGGTTTACACCATCTCAGAATTCCAGGGTGAGCGGGGGGGTGGTGGAAATAGACGAATTGCAGGAATTTTTACTGTAAGAGTAAAGGAAAAACATTTCAGTGAATAAAATAAAGATGTAATGTTTGCCTTATCCTCTAAATATTTAAACCAGAGATCAAAAAGTCAAATTTCAACTAGGTGTGGTGGTATGAACCTGGAGTCCCAGCTACTCAGGAGGCTGAGACAGGAGGATTGCTTGAGCCTAGGAGTTCCAGGCTGCAGTGAGCTATGCTGGTGCCACTGCACTCCAGCCTGAGCGACAGAGTGAGACCCTGTCTCTAAAGAAAACAAAAATAGATTTTCTGCATGGGGCCAAACAGGAAAAGGGAAATGTCTAAAGGCAATAGAGATGGGTGGGGCCTGGGGAGAGCACAGACTCTTCCTGAAGGAAGCATCAGCTTGTAAGCTTATTAGACTTGGAGACACAAAAATATGGTCCCAGTATGGTTAGATGAGTTGGATTTGTAGATATTTAATGTTGATTGTTAAGCCCTGGTAACTTTGCGTAAATTGTTTTAAGCAGTGAGTGGTTCACATATTTTATATAGATGGGCCACTTAGATAATCTCACTTGCAGTTTGTGGTCTGTGATTTAGACCAAACAGGCTTAGCTCAGAGTTTCTGTGAAACAGGTAACACTAAGTATGAAGGTGCCTGCTTGTAGACCAAGTCTAATCCGTCAGCAATTCCTGAGTGCCTACTTGATGCTGAGCCCTCTGTGAGATCCTATAGAGTCTACTAAAGTAACTGGATGATGAAGAGGGCTCTTAGGTTAATGCAAGTTTAGAAAATTGTGTTTTGGCAATTGGCACATAAATACCAGGTTGTCCTTTTGATATCACTCTGTTAAAATGTATAATTCTGGAAATGTTCCTCTTGTTTTGAGTCTCTGATGGAGAAAATAATGAGTAGCAACAGAATGCATGTAAATAGGAGGAATGTGCTGTGGTGCTGCACATTTACACCGTTCCCTATCATTTAAGGAGACCAGCTGATAAAAAAAGATACATGTTTATTTCGTTTGTTCCTTCCCTAACCCCAATTTGCTGTGTTATTCTTCCGGATTTTCAGGAGGAATCGGCATAGGATAGTAATCAGCATTGTTTTCACCGTGACCATGCTTTTTCCACTATACTCTCTTTCTCCCACTCTCTCTCCTCCAAGTCCATTTCTGGCAAAGAGCTCTTAAGCAGTGAGTTTTTTTTTTTTTTTTTTTTTTTTTTTGAGACGGGGTATCTCTCTGTCGGAGTCTCTCTCCATCGCCAGGCTGGAGTGCAGTGGTGCGATCTCAGCTTACTGCAAACTCTGCCTCCTAGGTTCAAGTGATTGTCGTGCCTCAGCCTCCCAAGTAGCTGGGATTACAGGCATGCACCACCACACCCAGCAAATTGTTTTGTATTTTTAGTAGAGGCGAGGTTTCATCATGTTGGCCAGGATGGTCTCGATCCCTTGACCTTGTGATCTGTCCACCTTGGCCTCCCAAAGTGCTGGGATTACAGGCATAAGCCACCGTGCCTGGCCCCTTAAGTGTGTCTTTATAGTAGAGGTTTGTATGCTCAGCCTTCCAGCCTGTGGAGCTGTGTGCTATTACCAAGTTTTACTCTCTGAGTACATAGCCTGTAGTTGGGTTTGAATATTAAGTGTCAAATTCCAATACACCAATGAGAGATTTGAAGCAACCAGCAGGTAGCTTCTACATCCCTAAAAGCTGCAGAGCGCTGTCTGTGTTTATGAGCGGTCTCATTTCACACATGTCCAATGACTGGAATGAAGCTGGTGATCCAGTGTGTGATGCTGAAGGTACCATTACCTGCAGCTGTCCTCTTTCCTGAAATGAGGAGGGGACAGGGGCAATGGCTCAGGAGGAAAACGTGCAGAGCCCGCTGTTCACAAATGTGAAGGTTACTCCAGAGAGCGCCGGGAGCGATTTGTCAGCTTTGTTTGCAAAGAGATAGGGAGTGAAGGATTGTGATCCTTGGCACCGATAATGTCCCCTGGGCCACAAACTAATCCAGCAGGACACCTGATGTAACACAGCTATTTTATTCACATATGTCTGTATGGTTATCATAGAGGGCAGGAATGGAATAACAAGGCTTAGGAGATAATCATCAAACAACGTCTCCCTCTTCTGTAAAGGAAGCTGAGCCCAGGATCTTCATCCTTTCAGCCGTACAAGCAGTTGTTCTTCTCACAGACATTTATCGAGCATTTTGCTACATGCCTTGGGCACGGTTGGAAGGTCCCTCACTTCGCAGAGAGACCTCATCCATGGATTTAGTCACTCACACGCTCATCCATTCCCCAGACACTGCTTATGACCTTGGTGCCAAGTTCAGTGCTAGATTTTCAAAGAAGAAAGGGGATAAACATTTGGCTCCGGAAGCAGAATCCTGGCTTTATTACTAAAAAGCTGGGTGATCTTTTCTCTAGCAGCCTCACTATACTTATCTGGAAAATGGGTATAAAGGCAGTTTCACCTCATAGGTGGCTGTTACGATTAAGCGGGGAGGGGATGTACTTTTTTTTTTTTTTCGAGGTGGAGTCTCGCTCTGTCGCCCAGGCCGGAGTGCAATGGCGGGATCTCGGCTCACTGCAAGCTCCGCCTCCCGGGTTCAGGCCATTCTCCTGCCTCAGCCTCCCGTGTAGCTGGGACTACAGGCGTCCACCACCACACCTGGCTAATCTTTTATATTTTTAGTAGAGACGCGGTTTCACCGTGTTAGCTGGGATGGTCTCGATCTCCTGACCTTGTGATCCACCTGCCTCGGCCTCCCAAAGTGCTGGGATTACAGACGTGAGCCACCGTACCCAGCCTGTGTATTTTAAGAATACTTAGCATATGGCATGGCACTGTTAGTGATCAGATCCACATGAGTTTACTTGCCAGAGGAAGTCCATGCATGTGTTACCACACCGAGGTACCGGTACAGACCCCAAGAGAGGGTTCTTGGATCTTGTGCAAGAAAGAATTCAGGATGAGTCTGCAGAGTAAAGTGAAAGCCTGTTTATTAGGAAATTAAAGGAATAAAGAATGGTTACTCGATGGAGAAAGTAGCCCCAAGGGCTACTGGTTGCCCATTTTTATGGTTACTTCTTGATGATATGTTAAACAAGGGGTGGGTTATTCATGCCTCCCCTTTTTAGACCACAGAGGGTAACTTCCTAATGTTGCCATGGCATTTATAAACTGTCATGGTGCTGGTGGGAGTGTAGCGGTGAGGACCACCAGAAGTCAGTGTTGTCGCCATCTTCGTTTTGGTAGGTTTTGGCCGGCTTTCTTACTACAACCTATTTTATCAGCAAGATCTTTATGACCTGTATCTTGTGCCAACCTCCTATCTCATCCTCTGACTTAGAATGCCTTAACTGTCTGGGAATGCAGCCCAGTAGGTCTCAGCCTCATTTTACCCAGCCCATATTCAAGATGGAGTTGCTCTGGTTCACACGCCTCTGACACATGGATCACAATTTGGAGAGCACGGATAGGCTCTCATGGATCTGCTGTTTCACTGTGGCTTAAATCCCAGCCTCTACTTACTGGTGGCCTTAGCATTACTGTGACCTTGGGCATTTTATAAAATGCCTGTGAATGCCTCTGAACCGAGTTTCCTGATCTGTAAAATGAGAATAGTGGTGATTTGTACAGTAGTCAGGGAAATACTGGGTAGAAGAGGGCAGTTCCTTGGCAAAGGCTTCACCCTCAAGCCTGGATACTTGTGGCCTTAAATAGCAACAGACATTCCTGTTGCTTTTTGGCCCACCACACCCCCCTATCCTATACCCATATAAACCCCAAACACCCAGTTCCAGAAGGAGATGAAGAGACAAACAGAAGGGCAGAAGAATGGCAGAATGGCATGGCAGAAAGAAGAGAGGGAGCATCTGAACGCTGAGAGGAGTTCAGCTGGGGACAGTCAGAGAGGAGATTGGCCACTGGGTGGCGAAACGCCAGAGGAAGATCATCTTCCCACTCCATCCCCTTTCCAGCTCCCCATCTATCCAGATGAGAGCCACCTCCACCGCTCAATAAAACACCTGCATTCACTATCCTTCAATTCTGTGTGTGACCCAGTTCTTTCGGGGTGCTGGAGAAGAGCTCAGGATGCAGAAAGCTGTTGCACTGGTCCTCTGCATTTGCAAATAGGCAGAGGGTCTGCTGTGCTTGTTAACACTTAAGCCATCCGTGGATGGCAAGGCTAAAAGAGCACACTGTAACACACGCCCAGTTGGGCTCCTGCAGCTGTCTGTCATCATGCTCCACCTCCTGTAAGGGGTTTGAGCAGTGGCAGCAATTGAAGAGATGAGCCACACCCCTGTCTCATGTCCTGCGAGGGGGTCAGGGAACTCTCTTGTTTCAATGGTAGTGTCTGTGAATGCAGTTCTACTGCACAGGGTGCTCCATAGACACCCTGGCTTGTTTTTGCTTTCCATCACACTGATGTGTTAGTCATACCTCACACAGTCACTCACAGCTCCCCAAGTATATCCCATTGTTATGCACTTCATGTACACAATGCATCCCTAAGACATAAAAAACAATCATCAATTTATTTGACAAAGTGTGCTTTGTTTATAAGTTTTCACAATAATCAGAGAGTGACTGCTGGTAAGCCTTGATTTCTTTTCAAATTCAGTTGAACGCAGCTGTAAAGTGCCTGAACTTTGCCTTTAGCTAAGCAGATCCTAATGGGTTCAGTTAGCATTGTATATGCATGTGATTGACCAAAACCTTCCTTCTGGGTTGGCAACAGCGCTCATTAAAAAGTGAAAATACCCTTAGTGTTAATTTACCAAGCAGTGTTCGAGAATGACAAGCCATCTCAAGAGACTGTTTTCCAAAGGTTAGCTTTTGAAATTAAACAAATTATGGTGAGTTTACATATTTGTTGGATGCAAGTGCAATCTGATATTTAAATGGATCATGCCACCCTTTGGATGTTCATGGAAAATTTGGAATTATAGCCTATTTTGGTTTTTTGATGATCTGACATTCCTCATGTGGTGCTTGAGAGGTTAAGAACCCAGAGGGGAGCCTTGGTAGGCACTGGTATTCATTGGTGACAGTGGATGGAAAAGAATATCAGGATCTTGACCCCTTTCCTCGTGCTATTTCTGCCCTTGTCTCTGATACTTCATCTCTGTTCCCAGGTAAAAGGCATCTGCCAATTGCAACCCACAGTCTTGTTTGCAAGGAAAGTAACCCCAAGCAATGCAGCAGCTGGTGGTAACATTAGAATGAAAGGGGCAGGCTGAATACTAGCACCATGGGAAAGAAAATGCAAGTGTCCGATGCAGGGGCCTTAGCCCCACAAACTCATCTGAAACAGTGGACCCTTTTCCTATTTTTGCTCTTCCGTCTCTTCCTCAGAGGATGATAAATAATGTGATAACCATGTTATTTACTGACATCATTGTTAAATGGCTAAAGTTGAGCAGGCAGATCTAATTCTTTTAAATTCATCAATTCATGTAATTCTAAAAATAGCGTTTTGAGATGAGTGGCAGTATCATGACTTCCATATTACGGGTGTAAAGATTGAAGCTCAGAGAGGTCGAGTAACTTGCCCAAGGTCACAGCGCCAGCACATGGTGAAGCGCACGTAAGCCACCAGCCAGAGTGATTTCAGAGACCTCATTTTACTCTACCTTCCCAAGACCCCAGCGTCATCGTCACTCTCACATCCAGGTCACTCTCTACCATTTGGCCAGTTTTTCTCCTAAAATATGGTCAGAACAAGTCATTCCCCTTCTCAGAGATCCCTAATGGATCCTTAATGACTACCTGCCAAAGCCTAAACTCAGTTATTTGCAGTGGCCAAAAGCGTGGACTCTGGCGTCTGCTGGGTCTCAGTTAAAGGCGTGGCTGTCCTTATCACTAAGGGATCTTTGGGAAACAAGTCTGTCGGGGTTCAGTTTCCTCAATGGTAAAAAAATGGCATTAAAAACACCAACCTCAGATGGCTTCACTAGAAGCCCACACCCTCGTTTTAACACAATATACCTCTGTAACAAACCTGCTTGTGTGCCCCCAGAACCTACAGTTAAAATAAATCTAACAAAAGCACCTACCTAACTCACATGTACAATGGGATACCATTCAGCTTCAAAAGACAAGGACATTCTGTCATTTGTGACAACATGGTTGAACCTGGAGGTCATTATGTTAAGTAAAATAAGCCAGGCACAGGGGAACAAATACTGCATTATCTCACTTATATGAGGAATCTAAAAAAGTCAAACTCATAGAAACAGAGAGTAGAATGGTGTTTACCAGAGGCTGGTGAGAGGGGAGGAAATGGGGAGATGATCAAAGGATACAACATTTCAATTAGACAGAAGAAATAAATTCAAGAGACCTATGGTACAACTATAGTTAGTAACAATGTATATACTTGAATATCACTAAAAGAGTACGTTTTAAGTGTTCTCACCACAAAAAAGATAAGTATACACATGTTAATTAGCTTGATTTAGCCATTCCACAGTGTATACATATTTCAAAACATCATGTTGTACACCATAAATATACACAATTTTTGTCAACTTAAAGAATAAAAAGAAATCCCTCCGCCAACCCAACTACCTACCTCACAAAGTTATTAGCGAGACTTGCACCTGTGGTACATATAAAGTATTTAGCGGAGTACTCATTAAATTCGTACTGTTGTTAGGTTGGACTCATGAAGCCTCCTTCATCTAGTTTCATCTTTCCAATTTCCCTCAATATCTTTCCCACATTCTGGCTCCGGAAAACTATTCCTGATTCCCTCATATGGCATGGGGCTTCGTGCATCTAGCTTGTAGCCCTACTCTTTCATTAAGTGACAGTGTTTTCAATCCATGCATTATCACAGTTGCCACTTTTACCAAGTCCATTTACTCCACCACCACCTCCCAAGTCAGGATACATTGCTCTTCAGTTTTTCTGCTGGGAATCTTGTTTTGCTGTGCCTTCTATTAGCTATTATTAATGTGAGCTTGTTTAGAAAATGGAATGCCCCATTTATCTCTGAATCCCTAACTGTACCTGGCATCATGCTTTGATGGTTTTCACAAAGTGGGAACTCAGAAAGTGCCAAATGGATTAATGAGTGGATGTGCACATTAAAATGAACACAAGTAACTTACATTATGTTCCTTTGAAAAACATTTATTTCCTATGAGTTGTCATTGAAAAAAAAATCCTTGAGGATCAGAAACAGAACCTGGAAACTTTGGAATGTAGATTTTTTTCTTTGCTTCTTTAAATTGTAGACTTATTTAAATCTCTACATATTTCAAATCTAAAAGAAATTATGCACAACCAGACTCTAAATCCATGTGGAATAATTCAGTATTTCATATACATGAGTTCTGTATTTTTGATGGGTGTCACATGCCAAAGAATGTAGACTATGGCTAGAAATTAAGTGGGCTTTTGTTTGTTTGTTTGTTTGTTTTTCCAATTGCCTAGATAGGATTTTGCCTTATTAGGATTAAAGACTGCTTTCTTATTAAGCGATGCAGGTCTCATTGAAATAAGTACCTTTATGAAAATGATGCTTTTCTGATTTTTGTGAAAGATTGAAGCATTTTAGGGTAACTTGGAACATTATGAGATCTAGTTTCCGGAGATGTGAGTAAAATTAACTCCATGTTGTGAAGATTTTCAAATGAAAAAAATATTACAGAAAACGTTTAGGGAAGGCTACCCGTGTCTGAGGAGGTGTGTGGGAAATCTCTATAATTTTCTCTTTATTTTGCTGTGAACCCAAAACTACTCTTAAAAAAAGGAAAATTTTATAAAAACAGTTTAGGGGAGTGCCTAGAACTTAGCAAATGCTCTGTAACTTAATGCTCAATAAATGCTAGAATATGCTTCTACTAGATCTGGACCCAAAACATGAGGCTTTACCTATTAAAAGTTAAGAATATTTATCAGAATTATATGCAAGCATTTCGTGAAGCATCAGATATGCAGTATTTCATTTAATCCTTACGGGGATCCGGTAGCACAGGTAGTCCAGCCACTTGGCAGAAGAACATCCTGAGGTTCCAAGGGGTCTGTAAATGCCCCAATATCAAACTCAGGGAAAAATCAGAAACCGAGCTTTGTTTACTGCAGGTTTTCAGTTCTTACCACTATATGTTACTGTCCGTCATGACAAGACCGGAGATGCAAATATTTTTATCTCAAAACTTCCTACATGTCCTGTGGCTTCATCCACAATGTTTATTTCTTACCTGAAATCATGCTATGAAGAAAGTATTGCCCAAAACACATTTGGATGAGGTGGCATATTAGATACATAACTTTTGATGGTTACCTGAGGTGGCCCCTGAACATTTCGCAAACCTTTCATGATCTCACTCCAGTTTTATGACTTTCCTTTCTCCCACACGGAGATGCTGAGTGCTGTATTCATCTTTCTGCCTCGCTATTTTTCCTTCATTTCCTTCATTGTCTGCTTTTCTGGAGCATTGTACCAAATGGCTTGGTTGTTCTTTGCTGAACATGAAGGACTGACTATCAGGAATTTTCTTTTGTCTTCTGGAATTCACTGGCTTTTTAAAAAGTCAGATATCCCCTTCGACTAGATGGATTTTATGTTTTGTTTAATTTTTTTCTTCTTGTGGGTAGGAATGTGTCATACTGAGAGGCACGTAGTATATCTATCTTGGTATTGACAGCGTTGAACCATATGTACACTTTTGAGGTATCTTTGCTCTTAAGCTTGTTGATTTTCCTCTTCTGAGGATGCATACGAACCAGGTCATCTGTTGCAATTAAAAAGAAAGAACATTTTTAAAACAAGAAGGTCTAATCTCTTTCTTGTGCAAACAGGAGACTGAGGCCCAGAGAGAGTTAAATAACCTAATCAAGACCAAATGGCTGGTAATTAGCAGACATGAGACTAAACTTATGCCCCTTTTAGTGATTCATTTAGAAAAATATATTTTTAAGACATTTTTCAGAATACTAAGGGAGGGTTTTTAGGTATAAAGAATGTAGTGAATGCATCTTTGAAAAGTAGCATAAATGACTTGAAAAAATGATATTATCAGTGAAGGCACTTCACATATTTTATGTGGGGGTGTCTCTCATACTTGGGGCAGACCCCACTGCCATTGATTCTGTTGGGATATGATGCTTGAGGTTCTTATTCTTAAAGATAACTGCACCAAGTTTGCCTTGATCGTTTTACTATTTCCTTGAGATTACTTTCTTGAGATGATGAGACCAGCTTGAATTTTCATTGTAGTTGTGAGACCTTTCTCAGGTTGAAATGAATTCTGATAAGCTGATTATCTCTCTGAAGAAAATATGATGTCCACATTTCATAGCTTAGTTCCGATCACTTCAGTGCCATTTTCGTTCTGAGACATCTTCCCGGGTCTGAATTAAATAAGATAATAAGGTGCTCTGGAGTCCAGTACGTATTAAATAGATTTTTTTTTTTTTAAAAAATCGAGGCCTACAGAGTGGAGGATGGCTTTCTTTATGGTGTATTTTCTTTCTCCATGTTGAAGTAGGTAGCAGCTAGCTAGTTTCTTTTTCTTTATAGAGCAATGAGTTATGAAGCTCAAAAATAAAGTGTTCTCAGTGGTGTAAATAAAGCAGTAGTCTGAGTAAATATATCACACTATGTACTGAGGGTTTGCTTTTTGCGTTATTTTGTCTCTTTCTTTTCCTTCTCCGCTCTGGTCCAGTTTATGCCATTGTGTATTGTTGACACATTAATCTTGGTAATAGAAATGGAAAGCTACTTTTCATTGAGAAATAGATTCAAAGGAAAAGATGATTAATGGGCTGGGCACAGTGGCTCATGCCTGTAATCCCAGCACTTTGGGAGGCCGAGGAGGGTGGATCATGAGGTCACGAGTTTGAGACCGGTCTGGCTAACATGGTGAAACCCTGTCTTTTTTTTTTTTTTTTTTTTTTTTGAGATGGAGTCTCACTGTGTCACCAATGCTGGAGTGCAATGGCGCTATCTCAGCTCACTGCAACCTCCCCCTCCTGGGTTCAAGTGATTCTCTTGCCTCAGCCTCCTGAGTGGCTGGGATTACAGGCACGCACTACCATGCCTGGCTAATTTTTGTATTTTTAGTAGAATCGGGGTTTCACCATGTTGATCAGGCTCGTCTTGAACTCCTGACCTCATGATCTGCCTGCCTGGGCCTCCCAAAGTGCTGGGATTACAGGTGTGAGCCACTGCGCCCAGCCCAAACCCCATCTTCACTAAAATACAAAAATTACCCAGGCGTGGTGGCAGGTGCCTGTAGTCCCGGCTATTCAGGAGGCTGAGGAAGGAGGATCACTTGAACCCAAGAGGCGGAGATTGCAGTGAGCCGAGATCATGCCATTGCACTTCAGCCTGGGAAATACAGTGAGAGTCCATCTCAAAAAAAAGAAAGATAATTAATGAACAGAAGTTCCATGCATTCCCAATGATGTGTTTTTTTATCCTGGCTCTATAAATCTGTCTGCATTGCAGCCTCTTGTGAGCTCCCAGATTACTGTATCCCTCCTCCGTCTCACCTCCATGGAACTGGTGGATTTAGCTCCAAAGCTACCTGGTATTGCTAACGGAGGAGGAGGACACTTAGAATCTTGAGGACTATCTTCCCTACAGAGCCGTATGCCTGAGGAGGGGAGACGAATGGCTGGGAATGATCTACTCAGAGGGGAGACGTTACTTAGAATTGCTGTGTTGGTGACCAGCATGGTGGTGCTTGCCTGTAATCCCAGCACTTTGGGAGGTGGCAGCAAGCGGATCACTTGATGCCAGGAGTTCAAGACCAGCCTGGCCAACATGGTGAAACCCTGTCTCTCTACCAAAAATACAAAAACTAGCCAGGTGCGGTGGTGCACGCCTGTGGTGCCAGCTACTCAGGAGGCTGAGGCCGGAGAAGGGAGGTGGAAATTGCAGTGAGCCCACATCATGCCACTGACTATACTCCAGACTGGGTGACACAGTGAGACCCTGTCTCAAAAAAAAAAAAAAAAAAAAGGAATTCCTATATCTGAGAGACGTTGCTTTGTAAACCTGTTGCACAATTTCTCTCTCCAATGACAACAATCAACAGAACTAGTGAGATGATGGATAATAACCAAAGTGAATCTGTTGGGAAGGGGTGATGCATGGTAGAGGAGCTTCCTGTGTGTGTGTGAGAGCTAATCACAGCCCCATGGCACGTCTGAGCTCCTTTCTTGTAAAAGCACATCAATCAGTGTCTTTCTCGGGTTATCCCAAATCCTTCCACGGGTAGTCATAAGCATGTGATGTCTACTTGGGATGGAAGCATTCTCATTGAGAGCAAATATAGCACAACTGCCATTCAGACCACAGTTCAAGTTGTGGCTTCTCAGTGAGAACACGTACCAATACTAACCCTCTCTGAACATCATGCTTAATCTGTGAATTGGAGATAATGATGCCCAGGGCATAGGGATGTCAGTGCAATGCTGCATGCAAATTGTTTATCAGAGTGCATGACACAGAGTTAACATGAGATGCTCCTCCTCCTCCTTCTTTTTCCTGTTAATTTTTATTATTTTCTTGCTATTGGCATTGTCTTTATTTACACATACTCACATGCATATGTCTTTATCAGTCCCAGATAGATATTTACTGAGTTCATTTAAATCGCAATAATTTCCATCACTTTTACCTGTGTCTCAAGGCCCTCTTCAGCTTGGGAGGACTTCAATATGACTCAAGTAGGTACAGCTTTTTAAACACATACTGTAGTCATACTCTTAGCTTTTTTTTTTTCCTGTATTACCTCATTTGATCATGGGGAGAATACTGTAAAAGAGTACTTTTTATTTCCACCTCGTGCATTGGATAATTGTGGCCAGAGATGGACAGTAACTCACCCAAGGTCAAGCAACTAGCAAATGCTGGAGCTGCCAGTTGCACCAAGTGGGTATGACTTCCAAGTTCAAAGCTCTTTCTTCACGTATGCACTTGCCTCTGAATATCATGGTCTGTCCTCTAACTGACCCCTTAGGAGCTGGACATGAGGTAGGTAGGAAGTTGAGCTTCAAGAAGGAGCTGTCAGTGCAGGGTGGTCCATGAAAGCCCCTGGGTCTCAGATGGCAGAGAAACATGTGGTTTCTTTCTAGAATTATTCACTCCTTCACTGAGCCCATATTTAAAGCGCGTTGGTTTTGCTCTAGGCACTCTGTTGAGTGCAGAGTATTTGGTGGGGTGCAAAACCCTCCATGTCTGAGTCCTCAGGCAGCATTCAGCCTGGTGGGAGAGACAGGTACTAATCAAATGCTTATGTTTTCCTGTATAGTTATAGCTGAGATAAATGCAATGACAAGGGAACCTGTCCTAGATTTGCTGCAGAAACCAATCAAAGGAGGCTTTGCTAGGGAGGCAGTATTTGAGCTGAGAGTTGAATCATGGATGGAAACCACACAGGGGATCTCCTTTCCCTTCAAGCCCTGCTGCTGGAGCCGGGCAAGTTGCAGGGGACCCTGAGGGCTCTCAGTTATCGCTCATGCATCGAAAGGAATGGAACTTTCTGCATTAGATTTCTGCAGAGATTAGCACTTCTTTTACGTCAGAGGCATTTTTATGTAAGAAGTCTACTGATTTCTTCATGGATGAAATCCTTTGGCCTTCTTAATAGCACGTGTGTGCCAGGCCAGCTCCAGAAGCTGATAGATTCAGGTGAACTCAGTTCATGTGAACTCAGGAGCATTTGCTGAGAAGCCTGATTCCTCTTGGTCAGAAGAACTCACTGGCCGTTTCTACTTAGATGGGAAGGAGCATTTTCATCTCCCAAACAATTTTGTGCAATGCCTGTAATCAGCCAGCAGTTGCCGTCCATTTCTGCCTGTCTTTTATCATTGAACCTAAAAGAATCTGTCTGCAGGAATTAAAAGTTGTCGTTTTCTCTGATATACTATGCCTTGCACTCAGTACCTCTAAGGAAATGTCACAGACCCCCCAAAACTCCCCCATTTAAGTGGTGGAAACATGGAATTCTCTAGTTTCATGATGGGATTGGTAAAGGAAGATATAGCTACTTTGTGAACTTGGTGCTTATACCTTCTCTCCTTTTGCTAGACATGAACCTGAAGGCACCACCCAAAAAGTCAAACTAGACAACATCTCTATTTTTAAAAAAGGAGAGGCAGACTAAACATTACATCAGCGTAAGGACTTCAGAGTCACACAGAACTGGATTTGCATTCTGGCTTTGCTGTTGACTAGTGGTAAAACCTGCAGCAAGTTCTTTCAGATTCGTAAACGCCCCCCTAGGTCATCCTCAAAAGAGAAATAATGGTGGTTGTGCTTAGAGAGACTTCTGCAAGTAAAGTGCCTAGTACATGGTAAATACTTGGTGTTGGATAGTAATCATTATTGCCGGGCAGGAGGCTGAGGCAGGAGAATGGTGTGAACCCGGGAGGCGGAGCTTGCAGTGAGCCAAGATCGCGCACTGCACTCTAGCCTGGGTGACAGAGAGAGACTCATCTTAAAAATAAAAAAAACATCATCATTATAGCTATTAATATTGTCCAATACTAAATGGATAAGAAATAAATTATTTCTTATTTATACTAAATTATTTCTTTCTAAGTCTAATTGATCTAAATACATATGTAAATAATAGTCATTATATAATATCATTTAATATATTAAGTCATTATATAATATCATTTAATAATATATAATAGAGAAAATGATATAACAATCTGATACATAATGAGTTTTAATTATATATTTTTATAAATGATATTTATGATTTATATCTTTAGATTATTAATATTTATGTATTTTTATAAATGATAATCATTTATGTTATTTATATATTTCTCTATTTTGATAATTATTTCCATATTTTATACATGATGATTGTTTATATTATTTATATGTTTATTTAGATTGTTATTTACATATTTGTATCAGTGATAATTATGTTATTTATATGTTTATTTGGATTATTACTTTTATATTTCTATAAATGATAATTTATATTATTTATATATTTATTTGGATTATTTACATATTTTTATAAATTATAATCATATATTCATTTAGGTTGTTATTTACATATTATAAACTGTAATCATTTATATATTCGCTTAGGTTGTTATTTACATATTTTTATAAATGATATTTATGTTATTTATATAAGTTTCTTTGGATTGTTATTTACATATTTTATAATCATTTATTCATTTATTTATTTAGGTTATTATTTACATACTTTTATAAATGATAATTTCTATTATTTACTGAGTTATTTGGAATGTCATTTACATACTTTTATAAATTATAATAATTTACATTGTGTATTTATCTATTTGGATGGTTATTATTTGCACATCCTATAAATGATCATCATCTGTTATTTCCATATTTATTTATTTGGATTGTGATTATTATTTGCTTATTCCTTATGTAGATCCTTGTGGCCCTGTGTGTGAATCCATGTTCTTGAGCTTGCAAGCCATGTGTTGGATCATCTGTTTTGCTTCGCCTTTGTGGCATGAAAGCAATCTTAGATAACACTTACATAAATGAATGCACATGACTGCATCTGAGAGAAACTTTTTTACATAAAAATACTGGCTGTGTGTTGACTTGACTGGTGGACCCTAGTTTGCTGAGTGACAGGGTTGCCTGCACTTGAACATCCTGCTCGTGTGGCTCTGAGTAGTTCTTACCTGGATGACTTAGTCACCAAAATGTATGTTGTAAGTAAAAGAAGCCCCTTGGAGCTAGGCTGAGCCAGAGAGGCAGTTTTTTGGGGAAATGCATTGGTGTCACGTTTGGTATGCATTGGATGCAGAAATTGCATCCCTGATTTATGCGAAAAGCAGGCTATTCGACCAGGTATCAGGAGTTGTGGAATAAGAGATGCAAATGCTGTCTGGAACAGCAGGTGCCATTCTTAGAAAAATAGATATGGGGGATGTAGAGGAACACCAAAAGTATTTCCCAACTATCACTCCTAAAACAACTTTGCTCAGTAGCTGTCTCCCCCTGCCACTTTTTAAACTCTACAGCACATTTTAAGTGCCTTGTCCGAGCCTGGCCAGAGGGACGTCTCTCTGCTTCTACAAGAATACCTTGATGATATTTCCCAGCTGAAAAGACTTACCTCTCTCCTCTCACCCTATACCCAGGAAGTTTTAATTTTATGGAGATTGAAATAATCAGGTCTCATGTGTATATTTCCTTTCAAACCACTGCGTTCGCCTGTTTTGAATTCAATGGCCTGTCTTATGTACTCGGTGGAGAAATAATATAAACAAACCTTGAAATTTCCCTGGAGTTCAGCTTCCCTTTTCATACTGGGTCTAGCTAAAGTTTGGAGCCAACTAAAAAGAGCCTCATTGCCTTACACACACCCTGTTATCTCTGGCGGGTTCAAATGCAATTTCTCTGAGAAGGCTGTGGTACCTCTGCTCTCTCTGGCCTTGAATCTGAGCGTCTAAGGATTTCTTTGGAGTACACACAGTTGCATCCTTCTGACAGACAGTGCAAATTAAAAGATCCGGCGCGGCCCAGGAACCAGGGACCCAAACTTGCCCCTTGGGTTTTCATTTACAGTTAGGCACTGCAGACACAATTATTGCTGACAGGGAAGCGGAGCTGGTGGCAGAGTGCGCCTGACAGGAGGCTCATGCCAGCCCATAATTGGGAGGATTATTTTTAATCAGAACATACCCTACAGCCCAAACATTAGAAATCTCCTGTAAGGCCAAGACAGGAAATTAAACACACCAACAATAAGGCTCAAAGGGAGGCGGTGTGTGGGGTGTAATATTGTTAGTCTCTCGGAGGTCCCTAGAGCTTCGGGGAGAAGTTTGCTTCCCTACAGAGGGAGGCTGGGAGGAACAGAAGCAGACACAGAGACTATACCTGAGCCCTTGTTGAATGGGCAAATGCAGCCAAATTAAATGCAGCAGAAACACTAATTGCATTTAAGTGCAATGTGTAATGCGTTTGTTTCTTGCAAATGCAATGACGCTTATTGACTTTAGTAGTAGTAGTAGCATTTTGAGACAGAGTCTCGCTGTGTCGCCCAGGCTGGAGTGCAGTGGCACGATCTCAGCTCACTGCAACCTCTGTTCAAGTGATTCTCCTGCCTCAGCCTCCCGAGGAGCTGGGAATATAGGTGCCTGCCACCACGCCCAGCTAATTTTTGTATTTTTAGTAGGGATGGGGTTTCACCATATTGGTCAGGCTGGTCTCGAACTTCTGACCTCGTGATCCGCCCACCTCGGCCTACGAAAGTGCTGGGATTACAGGCGTGAGCCACCACACCCAGCCGCTTATTGCCTTTAAGCAGCATAAGCCACATGTAAACCTTGGAATAGCGGATACAATTGTATTTCATCAGTAAGAGAAGAGCCTCACTGGTTCCTTATTTTTAGGAATCTTCAGTGAGCACTTACTACGTGGCAGGTGCTGTGATGGCTTATGATACTAGGCTATGCTGAAAGTCATCTGGATGATCTTATTGCCTTGGCAAAATTTTGCACAGCACAGTAAAACTTTGTTTATTAAAAGGATTGTTGTTGAAGAAGTAGGCGTAGCGCTTGGCTGTTTGGCTCCAGTAATATTTATTTAGTAGTAGTGCCAGGTAATTTAGCTGTAGTGTCCTCACATCAACCCTCTGAGGTGGGCATTATTATACCCATTCTATGGACAAAAAAACTGAAGCTCCAAGCGGTCAAGCAGCTTGCCCAGAACTAATAAGATAACTGACTTTGAAACCAAATCTGTGTCCAAAACCTGTAGGATGTCAAACTATTTGTCAAACTGTACTGTCACTCATGAATATGACTGGGCACAGCCTGGTGCTTCGAGGTGCTGCCACTCCAATAGAAAAGACAGATGTAGAGACAGATGTCTACAAATGAAGAGTCTATAGAGATGCTAACTGGATTCTAAGAGTGGGGAACATGGCATGATTCACTGTGCTTGGGGAGTCAGCCAGGACTCCCTGAAGCTATGAAGAACAGGTGCAAATTTACCAGTGGTTTAAAAAAAAAAAAAAAAAAAGAACAGAATCCCAGACATAGGAAACAAGTAGTGCACAGGCACAGTGTTATCAGAGATGCTAGGACATTTCAATTTAGTTTAGAACTATTGGCTTGCCTGGATGTGGTGGCTCACACTTTTAATCCCAGCACTTTGGGAGGCCAAGGCGGGCAAATCACAAGGTCAGGAGTTCAAGACCAGCCTGGCCGACATGGTGAAACCCTGTCTCTACTAAAAATACAAAAAATTAGCTGGACGTTGTGGTGGGCACCTGTAATCCCAGCTACTCAGGTGGCTGAGGCAGAAGAATCTCTTGAACACAGGAGGCAGAGGTTGCAGTGAGCTGAGATCGTGCCACCGTACTCCAGCCTGGGTGACAGTACGAGACTCTGTCTCAAAAAAAAAAAAAAAAAAAAAGAATAAAAGAACTATTGGCTTTTGGGTTTTGTTCTTGTTAGGCTCACTCAACAAATATAAAGGGAGAAAATGAATCTCTCTTTGGGGAACGCTCATCACAGAGACCAAGCATCTGATGTGGGGATGGGATGGGAAGCAAAAGGAGATGATGTTGGAGAATCCGCTCCTGAAGTCAAAGGATATTCCATGCTGTCCTCACTGTGTGAAATGCCTACGCCTGATGGCAGGGAAAGGTGGTGCTTTAACCCATGACTGTCCTTAGAAAAGCAACCACAGGTTTACAGTAACATTACGTATTGCTTCTGAGGCTGGAGTTCAGGGTGCAGAGATCTTCAGTGAGTCCAGGAAGGCATGAATCTTTCGCATGGCAGACTGAGGCCCATCAGATACTCTGACTGCAGTAGTGGTTACTGCTAAGCAGCTTCCTGTTATGTGGCTGGGAGTCACTGGATTCCCATGGGGAGGGCTTCTATCTCCAATCTAAGGTGGCTTCAGTGCACTTCCTGTCTAGTTCACTTCTCCCATCCCAGGTGTGATGGGCACTAACCTCTCTACCACCAGGAATCGCACATCATAATCCCTGAGTGGTATCAAGCAACCCTGGGCAGCTTGCTGATTTGGCTTCAGGGTCCTTTCAAGGACAGTTAAACGCCAGACACCTGAATGAGGTCAGGGGCTGCTGTGAGGCTTGGAGAGCATGTATGCAATCATAATCCCTGATGTGATCAAGATACAGTTTGCTTCCCTGCCTGCAGGGTGGGTACAAAATCCCAACTTAGGTGAGGCACCACCCTCTGAGATGGTCTTATACATAATTGCATTGTTTGCTAGCAACAGAAATCCATTCAAACTCACTCAATAAATGGGCATGTTTCTTACACAGCACAGGAGCACAGAAGTGAGTTTCAGCACTAAAAGTCAGGAGGTGTTCTAGGTCCCAGGAAGAACCAGCATTTCTGAACCGCTGTGTAATCAGGAAACAAGGCAGCCCTTACCCTCCCGCCCCAAAACCCTCCTCCATGGCTCTTCCACTCTCTTCTTCTTCTCTCTCTCATTGCTACTTCTGCTGTTTTCTGCACACGTGGCAGAGAAGAGTGACCCCACAGTTACTGACGACACTTAAGTGTGCCTTGCAAATTCCTAGGAGAAAATTGAACCTAGATAGGGTGAGGTTTCGTCTGTTCTGAACATAGCACTTACTAATGGAGCCAGGATCAGGCGCTGCAGACCCAATTTCTGGCACTATGCTAGACAGAGATGGGGAAGGGAAATGACTTTTG
Source organism: Homo sapiens (assembly GCF_000001405.40). NCBI lineage: Eukaryota > Metazoa > Chordata > Mammalia > Primates > Hominidae > Homo > Homo sapiens. The sequence continues at coordinate 6,312,597 of NC_000016.10, forward strand.
GGGAGGCTGAGTGTGTCTAAAATTAGCCATAGGATGACTAAGCCGATAGTTCCTTCTTTCCTTCCTTCCTTCCTTCCTTCCTTCCTTCCTTCCTTCCTTCCTTCCTTCCTTCCTTCCTCCATTCCTTCCTTCCTTCCTTACTTCTTTCCTTCCCCCTCCCTCCGTCCCTCCCTGTTTCCCTACCTTCCATCTTTTCTTCCTTGGGTAAATATTTACTGAATGTCTGCCATATCCATAGCATTGTGATCAGAGTTAAAATAGTGAGCAAAACCCACACAGCTCCTGCCCTCATGGAGCTAACTAACATGCTGGTGAGACAGGCAAACTTTCATCAAATAATTTTTCTAATAATTTTTAATTGGATGCAAAATGCAAACTGGGATATGGGCTATGAAGAAAGGGTGATGGGCTCTTAAAGCCATGTGGTCAGGGGGTTCCAACAGGAAGCAGCAATGCACTGGAGTTAATTAGGTGCTAAAAGCATCCCCAGTCAAAGCCATAGCATGCCAGGCATCCCTGTGGCAGGTGAGGAGTAAAGTGTGGTCCAGAATGGGAAAGTCCATGGTGCTGGTACCCGGGACTGGGGGGAAGTGTGATCTCCTTACTAACAAATAAATAAGGCTGGAGCTGTGTCTAGGAGCAAATCATTAGGGATGTCAGGAGTAAGGTAGGTTTGGAATGAAATGGGAAGCCAGCAATGTAGGATTTAAACAATCAAGTAACACAGTCACATTTACATTTTGTAAGGGTCACACTCCTTGACCTGCATGGGGGCAAGGGGTGCAAGCCTGGAGGCAGGAGGAGATGGCATTGCATTCATTGCCTGGGGAAGTCTATGAAGCAGTTCATGGCAGAATCTATGGAAACAGAAACGTTGCAGTAGCCAGCCCTGTTTAGAGAGTCAGAGTTAGAAAAAAACTACATTCTGGCTGTCCAAGGGTCATCAACACCAGTGTTTTGGAAGTAATCGGTTTGCTATTTTGTGCATCCATTTGGATGGAGTGCATAGGTGAAGGTAGCTAATGCATGAACTGAGCATTCACCTTCATTCTGCCTGACTTTGTTCCAATGTCCTCCGAGTTTCCTTCACTTGCAGCTCTTTAGCTTCTGTGTAATCTTGGTACAATGAAAATTGTGCCCAATTCCACTGGGACCTGAGATTCTCCCTGGTCACAAATTGCTCTTCACGTAGTTTGCAAGAGTAATTGCAAACTCAGAACATTTTAGTTAAAAAAAAAATAACACTAAATCACTCTTCTGGAACTCTAGAGAGCATATTAGGGTTTTCTTGCTGTCTGGTACCATTGTTAATGATCATTTCTGTTCTCGCTTTATAACAATGGTTCTCAGCCTCTGTTTTTATAAAATAATCCCCCTAAATGACTTTACAGGTTCTTATTAGTGGAAAGGAGGGGCTATAAAATTCATTTCAACTGTAGGTTGGATTAAGACCAGATGTAAAGGTGTGGGTTTGGACTCAGATGGACATGAAATTCAATGTTATTACCTGGGTACCAAGTACGGTAGCACCAAAGAAGGCCCAGTTGCTCAGAGAAACCTCTTTCTGGAATGAAGGTCAATGTCCTTTCTTGGTGCTGTAACCCTCTGGGGCAAGGAAGAATCACTTGTTAGGCTACCCAATGTAGTGAGCAGTACATAAGGGGCCGTTTCCCAGACTACATAGTTACAGTGTTGAATTAAACATTGCCCTTGCCTTCCAGAAATTCACAGCCTGGGTAGGCCAAGTCCACAAAAAGTTAGAAAGGATGTATATTCTGCTTCTGATAGAAGAATATGCCAATGGCCATAGGGACCTCCCCTAAAATTCAGGCCCACTGGAAGGGTCAATGAAAGTTACAGAGAGCACGCTTGGGTAGATGTTCAAGTCTCAAGACTCCAGACCTTCCATGAGTTCAAATGGGGCCAGGTGAAGGGCAGTTTAGGATGAGAGAAGGTTGTAATCGAAGGGCTAAAGGAATACTAGTGCACTGTGTCTTAAGTATTTGATTTAGCTGGATCTTAGAATGTAAGGATATGTTCGGAGATGGAGGAAGTGACAGGAAAGAGGGGGTAGGAGCTGAAAAGGTTGAACCTGACCATGGTAGCTATTATTTTTAATAAATGAGAGGATGCATGCAAATTTTGATATGAAGTTTGGGCTGTACTAGGGATTCAGTGAAACTACAACTACTATAATTATTAGGACTCAGATAATCCTGCATTGGAGGCATACTGTGAATCTCTAGAAGAGAACCATGTATTTTGACTATTTCTATTCTAATTATTCTAACTATTCTTCCCAAATCATGTTCTTCCACTTCTCACCTTTACGATGTCAGCTCCGTTGCCACTTCCTTGATGGAGCCTTCCCCACTGTCCCCGGTGAAGATCTGTCTATCTTCCCCACTGGACTGTAGGCACCAAGGGGACAGTTCCTGACATTTAGAAGGCTTAATAAACAATAAACTTTTAAAAAGCACCGACTTTGTGCTAAGCACAATGCTACTTGTTTTACAAATATTAACTTTTAATATTCACCTGAATTCCTTGAGGCAGGTACTGTTTATTCCCATTTTAATGATGAAGAAACTCAGACAAAGAAAGGTTGAGTGACTTGGCCATGGTCACAAAGTTAGAAGGTAGTGAAGCCAAGGATGACTGGAAAGATGGATGGATGGGTAGGTGGGTGGATGGATGGGTAGTTAAATGGGGGACAGATGGATAGATAGATGGGTGGATGGGTGGACGGATGGATGAATGGGTGGGTGGATGGATGGATGGATGGATGGGTGGATGGATCGATGGGTCTATGGGTGGATAGGTGAGGGATGGGTGGGTAGATGGATGGATGGGTGAATCGGTGGATGGGTGGATGGGTGGGTGGATGGGTAGGTAGATAGGTGGATGGATGGATGGGTGGATGGGTGGGTGAGTACATGGATGGATGGATGGATGGATGGATGGATGGATGGATGGATGGATAGATGGATGGATGGATAGATGGATGGATGAATGAGTGCATCATTGCTGTTTGTTGACACTAGCCCATGAGATTGGTCATTTTTATTAGTTGAAAGAAATTGAAAACATCAAAATGCAAAGCAAAAGGCTATTGAAGGGTGAATACTATCACCACCATTTCAACCACTGAATAGCTCTATCTATTCTTGGGTCTCTCTGCAGGTCACCCCTCTTTCCAATATTTTGAAGTCACTTGATGTTTTTAGGTGTTGTAATTTATCAACAAGAGGGGACTCACCAGATGTGAAGACTACACACACATATATATATCCACATACATACACATATGTCATCTTCATTTATATGTATATCTGTATATCTATATATCTAGATATACCTATCACATTAGGAAAGGGGGTATATTGTCTAAACATATCTGCAAATAATGTTTAAAATTTACCTCTAAATCTTGTGAACTTTGTTGAGTCTTGGCGTAAATTGTACTGCTGCTTTATAAGAGTAATTCAATTATCGATGGATCAGGATTCCAGAACCCTGCAAAGTAGTCCCGTCTCTGCTACTTAAGTTTCTCCCCAGAGAGGAAACAAGTCAGTATCCCAACCCCCTTGGGTATAGGATGCCGTAAACATCTTTCAGATCTACCAGAACTCTTGATTTTTCTGGTAGGAGATGACCTCTCTTTCAACTCACTGAACTATAGGAGATTATAATAGCCATTTGCAGTTTAGGTGATATTTGGTTTATTTAAATATCAATGAACATGAATCTCACTCCCTGTGATTGGGTGATGATAGCCATATTTATGAAATTTATTACTGCTAGGATACCTTGTATCATAATTCTACTCATTGCAAAATTAAATCATTTCCATATTTGAACTTTAAGTAAGTATCACCTGAATGCACATTGTAGAATCCTGCAGTTCTAGCGTTGAAAGGAAATTTAGAATTTATTTCATCCAAGCTAATTCCTAGGGGGAAAATCCATAATGATATATCTGAAATGTCAACCTCCAGTCTTACCTTGAACACCTCCTGTGACAAGAACTCATGGTGTAAGAGAAGAATACAGAAGAGTACTTCCAAGCTTGGTGTTGACTTGCCCGAGTTCAAATTCAGGCTTCACGATGTACATGCATGTCTTGTCAACTGTGGGAGCTGTCTGGGCCTCAGTTTCCTCTTCTGAAATAGAGAAGATAATAACACCTTCTTTGCCAGGATCTGAGAGGATGTAATAAAAATACATCGAAGAACTGAATCATTTTCATCATCATCATCACCATCATTGCTGTTAAATTCACAATATAGTCAGAACCTATTTTGAAGGTTGGTCCATATTACTATGACAAAAAAAGTGCGGACAAAATTCAAGAATACATTTCTTGATACTAAAGTCATTCCCCTTTTTCTTCTTTAGGAAACTGGTCAAAGAACTCATGCAAGTGGAACTTACAGCTTCCTTGATCGGACTCAGCATTCAGTAAGTGCAACCCATTTTGAACATTCATTCCATAAATACATCCATGTCTTTGATCCTGTTCTCTCTGAAAAGCTCTTTTCTGCAGGTTTGAAGTTGTTACAAAAACTTTGCTGCCTGCCTATGTCTTTCTCTTCTGCCCTATTGTATCAGAGATGAGAAGAGGGCCTGCAAGGTAGAACCACCCTCCTTTAGCCCTCCCTCCCCAATGAACCTGGGAAATTTGTGAGGTTATCAATGAGTTAACTGCGCCTTTATTAGCTGGGGATTAAAATAAAATGTGTTTTTGGTTTCTTTTTTTCTCCCCCTAAGGTTTTCTTATCAGGAGACATTCTGTCCCCCTTCTGAGTCACATGACCCTGCAAAGTAGAAAGAAATGCCAGCAAACACAGATCAGTTACCGAGAGCATGTATTTCTTGAGGCATTTAAGAACAGTTCATTTGCTCTTTTTGAGCTGGAATACATGACTATGATCTGAAAATTACTGCAAAAAAAAAAGAAATTTTTTACTTTAAGATGCTGGGGTACATTATAGAAATTTCATTTGTTTTCAGCAAGTAAGCATTTTTCCACTTTCTGCCTTTCTCATTGCATGCAAGGACTTTATTTTTGGTGAAGGTAGCAGTATTTTGTCCAATTTTCTCAGCTCTCTTTTTTTATATGCAGATATACTCTAGCATTTGGGGTAGCACCTTCACAAAGTCTCTGATGTCAGCCCTCCTCTGCAATAGTTTTATGGGTGAACAGCTTGTTTTAAGAAGAAATCTGTAATAATTTAATTATAAATATCAAAATTTTAAAAGGCTAGCTGAAAGAAATATTTATTTTTCAAGATGTAGCTTCCTTCATAGGAATGCAGAATTTCTTAGCAGGTTCTACTTCTGAAAGTGCTGGAGTATAATTTGATACATCAAATATCAGCCCATGTCATAAAGGAGCAGGTAGAATTGGAGGACATGGGACTCCAGGCCTGCAAGAGGCTGATCAAAGGGAATTCTTTTGCCCTCAGTGGGATTGCAGGACTCTTTCTATTGTCTTGGAATTTGCATATTCAAATGCAGAGGGGAAGGAGGCAGAGATAGAAAGAACTAAAAAGATGGTGTATTAGCTGTTAGCTACATCAGAATGACTTAGCGTAACCCTGATCAGCTAACGCTTGTATCTCACAGGAGATTAGACTGGCAGCTTTTGTTCCTAATAATAAAGGAAATTCCATGTCTAATTCCCTACGTGCCACATCTATCTTTTCATGCCTTTGAAGTTCAGGCTTCGGCATTTCTTGAAAACTGGGAGGTTTTGTAAGTAAAAAGGTGGGGGCTGTTTGGCATGAAGTCTGTTCAAATCTATTTAGTGTAAAGTTAAATTTGCTTGTTACTTGATCTTTTTCTGTTTAAAGCAGCATCTTTCTCATAGATGCCTTTGTTGGTGCTTGGGCAGGGAGGGGAGGGATGGAGGACATAAGGTTTCAAGGATGGGTTTTCAGATCATACATGACCTTCTCATTCCTCTGTCTTCTGAATATGATTGAAATTGCTGCTTCTCTGAAAGAAATTCCTGTTCCAACCCTGCACTGGGATTGAAACTTTTAACCTAAGGGAGGCTGTGGTCCCTAAGATAATTAGTACATGGATGTAAGGGAGCTCATGTTAATTTGTCTATGGATATGGTATTTCTGTATCTACAACTGCCATCTAAAGAGAGACATTAAAAAAAGTATTAATTTACTGCTCTAAACCAGTGAGCAGATATAATTTTTTTTAAAGAAATCATTTTAGAAAGGAAGCAATGGCAAGATGCCTTATTGGGGATGTTTATGGGTATTGATCCCTCTTAGTGTATCTAGTAGGTTTCCATCCTGTCCTTGGGATTGCAGCTTCTCTGATACAGCAAACCTCAATCCCCTTCAGAGACCAAGCAGTCACTTCCTCTGGAACAAACATTGAATTCTGGGACGTCGCCTGGTTATCAGGAAGGCAGATGATTTGACATCTAAGCTGGCCACATGCCTGGGTTTTGTGTGTTCTTCACCCATAACATGTTGGATGCATGCTGGTTGAGAAATTGCTCCAGTCTCTTACAGGATTTTAGCAGGAGCGATGACCTAGTAGTTGGAATTTGTACATGGCTGACACTGGGCCTGGGCTGATGTTGTGAAGAATGCCATATTTTAGTCTGAATCCAGGTTTTGATATGTCCATTGGCTTCAGAAAATTAATTTTCATTTCCTGCTTCCAAAATTTGGTTATTCTTGTTTAATTTTTTCCAGAATGTTTCCTTTGCATCGGTACCCTTTGGATTGCTGTTTGTTCAATAGTATATTACCCCTCATGATATCCACAGCATTTACTGTCGTGTTGGTAGACCATGAGTACTTGTTGGATATAATGATGGTCGAACAGGTACAACAATGGAAAGCTGAATAGGTAGATGAATGCTTCTTAACTCCTGATGGAGTATTGTGTAAATTGGAGAAAGATGGCATTGACATTAGACAAGAGACCAGTATGGGTGTTTCTGATGGTTGGTTTCTATTCCCCAATACTCTTCTTCAAAGCTTTCACTTCTACTTTGACAGGTCTAGAGTAACAGATTGGCCAATGCACATGGTGTAAGAGAATGAGCTCCCAGGAACCAGCATCTGTTTTCTAGCTCTCCACATCCCTTTGTTGTTATCTGTGTGCTAAGAGGAAAGCCACAGAAAGCTCACAGTAGCAGGGTCGGTGTTGGAACTTAAGCCTCAGCATGATTTTCTACAACTTGAAAATTTAACTTCCAAGAGGTTTCCTTGATCTCTATTTTCCTATCAGGCTAAAAATCCCATGGCATGCTGCATCATGTTTATAATTAATTAATTGTGCAAACTTTATTTTTATGTTTGTCTTTTTCTTTGGTCTAGTGCTATCCAATACACCATGTCTGTGATTATAGGAATATTTTTTTTTCACCAAGTCTTAATGAGGTATTATTGACCAATAAGAATTGCGTCAATTTCAAAAGCATACTCTTAATATAATTGGCTTTGGTGACTGAGAGGGGGAAGGTTGGGAGGAGGTTGAGGGTACAGATAAGAAGAAGGTGGAGACAGAAAGAACTAAAAAGATGGTGTATTAGCTGTTAGTTATATCGGAATGACTTAGCGTAACCCTAATCAGCTGATGCTTGTATCACACAGGAGATTAGACTCGCAGCTTTTGTCCCTAATAATAAAGGAAATTCCATCTCTAATTCCCTACATGCCACATCTATCTTTTCCTGTCCTTGAAGCTCAGGCTTCAGCATTTCCTGAAAAGTGGGAGGTTTTGTAAGTATTGGGTAGAGAGGGCACTGCTTGGGTGATGGGTTGTTTGGGTGATGAGTGTGCCAAAACCTCAAAAATCGCCACTAAAGAACTCATCCATGTAACCAAAAACCACCTGTACCCCTAAAAGTATTGAAATAAAAATAAAATTTAATTTTTTTTTAAATTGCGAAGATTTAAGGTATATATGAGACATGTTAATGTACATATACCTTGTGAAATGATTACCACAATCAAGCTACTTAACATACTTATCACCTTACATAGTTAACCCTGCTAAGAGAATAGATAAGGAATATTCTTTATCTGTGCTGTTCAATATGGTTACCAGCAGCCAGACGGAGCAAGTGAACGCTTGAAATGTGACTATTACACCTGAAAACTAACTGAAAACTAAGTGTTCTTTCAAAAACTGTTATTAAAAAAAAATTTGTTACTTTATTATTATTATTATTTATGAGACAGAATCTCACTCTGTTGCCCAGGCTGGAGTGCAGTGGCACGATCTCAGCTCACTACAGCCTTCACCTCCTGGGTTCAAGCGATTATCCTGCCTCAGCCTCCCAAGTAGCTGAGATTACAGGCACCCACCACCATGCCCAGCTAATTTTTGTATTTTTAGTAGAAATGGGGTTTTGCCATGTTGGCCAGGCTAGTCTCGAACTCCTGACCTCAGGTGATCCTCCTACGTCGGCCTCCCAAAGCGTTGGGATTACAGGCATGAGCCATCACGTTAAAGTAACATAAATGTGTTACTTTAGTTTTAATTGACAAACAATAATTGCACATATTCATGGGGTACATAGTGATGTTTCTATACATATACTGTATAGTAATCAGGTCAGGGTAGTTAACATATCTATCATCTCATTTCTTTGTGTCCGGAGAGTTCATTAATTTAAATTTAAGAACATGTGGCTTGTAACCTGATACTGTATTGTTGTATGGGATGGCTTTAGACTAGCAGCCTTATAAATACAGGGGCTAGGTCAGAAGTGTCCGTCCTTGTACCTAGGCTGATACTTAGCTGTTATAGATCAATTAGGACTCTGACTGATAAATTGCTACTGTCTCAAGCCCCAAAGTGTCCTCTATTCCCTGCTGTTCCATATGTTCTGCTTCCTTGAATTTACCCTTGATCCAGAACTAAAGGTTTAATGGTCCCCTGGGACTCTGCACAATGCCACAGCATTCATCTATTCTAACTGGTTGGTGCCTAATGCATGCTGATTATTCAAATAGTATATCACCTCTGATTATTTCCATGGCATCTACTGTAGTGCTGGCCCATAGTTCACCATCAGTACTTGTTGGATATAATAATGGTCGGGCAGATAGAGGGATGGAAGAATGAAGAGATAGATAAATGCATCCACCTTTTGATGGGGTATTGTGTAAGTGAGAGAAATATAACATCAACATTAGATGAAATACTGGTATGGGTCTTTCTGATGGCTGGTTTTTATTTCCTCAGTATTCGTCTTCAAAGCTTTCACTTCTACGTTGGTAGGTTTAGAATAATAGACTCCAGATCTATCACTGAATTCTAATGCCATATGCAGCACAGATTGCTATACATCTTCACTCATTTCTTTCTGTCACTTAAGGCTCCCAATGCATAACACTTGAAATCAGTCCACGTCTCACTCATTGACCCATGGGCACCACTCTCTTCTCAGGAACCTCAGTCCCAAGCCTTAGTTACTAACATTGTCTTTGTTTTTCATCCGCCACCAAATGATAAGTGAGTGTTTTATCTGTATCTTCTAAGAGACTTCTTTTCATTCCCTCTGTTGGCATATTGCTCCAGGGACTTCTTACTTACGTATCTGGGAATTCTTTCTAGGTAGTCTTCATACCTAAAGCCACCTTCCCTTGGATCCCAGCCAACAGATTGCAGGACTAATATTCTTGAAACAAGAATATCGTCTAGTTGGTTGTTGAATAAGCTCATCCTTACCTAACATTTTATCTTTTCTCCATGAATCCCTCAATACATTTCATTCCAACTGGGCAAGTTCATCTCTTGATATCTAAACATGTTTATTTCCCAGCTCCAAGCACTTGCTACACTTGGTCTCACCAGTTGGGATAGCCTTTCCTATTCTTTTAGTCTACACTTCTATGTAGATCTCTGTTAAGCCCTCCTGATAATGAATTTTTCTCTGTTTATTTCAGCTACTTGATTGCCCCTTGTAGGATAAAGAAAATCCTAAGCCAATTTTCAACGTAGGAAGTTGACCCTATGATTATATTTTAGAACCTGGGTTTCAGTGGAACAGGCAGGAGTGGAACAGAGTAAGGAGGTATTGAAAGAGAAACAACAATAATTGCCTTCCAGGGAGACACAGTTCTCTCACATGCAAAATTCAGCAGATGGGTTGGAAGTGGAAGAGGTTAAAAGGCGCCAGTTGGAATACAAGAGGGAGAGAGAATGAGAACAGGCATGGCCTAGGGCATTACCTTAATTCAAGGCCAGGCACAGGGTGGGTTTCATGCCAGCTGCATTTAGAGTCTGTGGTCTGGAAGGACAAACTCATCTAGATAATGCTCATTGACCATCCCATTTGCTTTGACACTTCCCTGGCCACCAACCACCCCCACACACTGTTGTTTACATTTCCCCTATGAATATCTCTTACCTCTCCTAAGCTGCTGCATAGCAGAGCTCTTTTCCCAGCTTCCCTCTGCATATAAGGGGCAGGAACTCTGCAGACCTTTTTCGATCGAATGAGTACATGAGCATGGGAGGAAAGAGAGAGAGAAAGAGAAGGCAGAGAGAGAAAAGACAGAGAGCTAAAAGAAGAAATAACAATTCCTTCTGCTTCTTTATTGTTAGGACAGAGCAGGATAATAAAGAATGGAAGTTACAAGGAAGGTGTGTAAAGTAGTAGCATGGGTAAGGAAGAGGGAAGCCCAGGCAGCACCCCACTGTCAGCCTCGTTCTTCTTCATCATCTTACCCAGTTAAAATCTGCCATGGTGCTTATGATGCTCCCTGATGACCAGTTTTACTGGGTGTGCACAATCTGTCTTCCCCACTGGACTGGAGGAGTTCTGAGGGCATGGGGTGTGTCAGTCTTGCTTGCTTCTGTATCCTTAGCACCTGTAAAAGTGACAAGCAGGTACATATTTTGAATGAGTTGTTCATTGAGTTGAATGAATTTGTGCTGTGAATGTTGATCACACTCTTTGTACTTTCAAATTATTCTTCTGTCATCCATGACTGCCGGTGGCAACCCCCATACCCCCAATCTAGATCAGTCTTTGAAAGATTAAGGGAGCAATGCTTGTGAATTGACCACACAGCTGTCTTTTGAAAACATTATTTATATGTTTATTAATTTTTCAATTTGCATAAATTTAGAGGTTGCAAGTACAGTTTCCATACATCATGGGTATGTTGCATAGTAGTGAAGTCTGTGCTTTTTTTTTTTTGAGATAGAGTCTCACTCTTTCACCCAGGTGGGAGTACAGTGGTGTGATATCTGCTCACTGCAACCTACATCTCCAAGATTCAAGCTATTCTTGTGCCTCAGCCTCTCAAGTAGCTGGTATTATAGGTGTGTGCCATCATGCTCAGCTAGTGTTTGTATTTTTAGTAGAGAAAGGGTTTTGCCATGTTGGCCAGCCTGGTCTCAAACTCCTGACCTCAAGTGGTCTGCCCGCCTCAGCCTCCCAAAGTGCTGAGATTATAGGGATGAGCCACCATACTCAGCCAACTCTGAGCTTTTAGCGTAACCATCACCTTAATAGTATTCATTAAGTAATTTCTCATCCCTCACCTTCCTCCCGCCCTCCCACCCTTCTGAGTCTCCATAGTTCATGCTCTGTGTTCACAGGTACACTTCATTTAGCTCCCATTTACAAGAACTACATAACTCTTAACAACACATTTGACCAATCTGGCTTCAGTTTCCTGATTACAATACTGATAATGAGGAATTGAACTAGAATGGAGTGTCAATTTGTTCTCACATTGCTATAAAGAGATACCTGAGACTAGGTAATTTATAAAGAAAAGATATTTAATTGGCTCACAGAGCCACAGGCTGTACAGGAAGTATGATGCTGGCATCTGCTCAGTTTTTGGGGAGGCCTCAGGAAACTTACAGTTATGGCAGAAGGCAGAAGGCAAAGGGGGAGCAGGCACATCTTACATGGCCAGAGCAGGAACAAGAGAGGGAGAGGAGGCACCATGCACTTTAAACAACCAGATGTTGTTACAACTCATTCATTGCTGCAAGGACAGTGCCAATGGGATGTTACTAAACTGTTCATGAGAAACTGCCCCCATGATTTAATCACCTACCACCTGGCTCACTTCTGACGTTGAGGATTACCGTTCAACATGAGATTTGGGTGAGGACACATGCTCTATATCAAATGGTCTTTAACTAGGGCCCCATCTAACTTCGAATTTAGAAAGCAAATGAGATATAGAAACTAGGCCACAGAAGAGAAGGTTGAAGGGAAGTATCATTATCTCAGCAAGACAGAGATGGATAAGTTACGACCAGAAGCAGTCAGTCCCTCCCTGGCCCACCTGTGTACAGAAATTAGCCCATTTTCTCTTGACAGGAGAGTGTACTATGTAGCTAAATTAGGTTTGCAACTAAATCAGTACAGACATTTTGCTTTCTCTTTGCTATAATGAGAAACTAATATTAATATAATTTGATCTACATTCATGGGTTGTAGTAACGAATTACAGGAAAGGTACCCAGGCATGGTGGCTCATGCTTATAAGCCCAGAACTTTGGGAGGCTGAGGTGGGAGGATCACTTGAGACTAGGAGTTTAAGACCAGCCTGGGCAACATAGTGATAACCCATCTCTACATAAAATGTTTAAAAAATTATCCAGGCATGGTGGTGTGCACCTATGGTCCTAGCTACTTCAGAAGCTGAGGCAGGAGGATCACATGAGCCCAGGAATCCAAGGCTGCAGTGAGTTGATTGTGGCACTGCACACCAACCTGGAGGCAGCAAAGCCCTGTCTGAAAAAGGAAAAATAAACTAAGAATTATGGATAATGAAAGCAAATTTCACCTGCATTCACCTTCTATTAGCTTTAACACCTATGAGGTGAAATCTTTGTATTTATCATTATCGTTCACCGGTTACCAACTGAAGAAAAACAGTAATGATATTTCTGCTGAATCCCTTCATTTAAACTAAAGAGTAGCTCTGCTTGCTGTCTCAGCTCAACCTGAGGATGTAGTGTTGTTTTCTGAAGACATTAGTGAATCTGGAATCACCTGATTCCTACTGGTGGTTCCTGTAGAAGACTATGGAAGTCACAAAGGATGAACCAAAATTTTGGTAAAATAGGCTGGTTAATACGATATGGAAACAGGAATTTGGTTTTTCCAAATTCAGGAGGCTAGAATTTCTTCCTACTTTTGAGAAGCTCCAAAGCAAAAAAACACAAACTTTGTCCATGTATAGATGGCCAGAATGGTTTTATTTTCCTAAAATATATGCCTAGTTTCTTTTGAATTCAGGTGGTTATTTGCAGATCCTTGCTTCAGAAAATACCAGCCCAACTCCATGCCTGGCTTACAGTTGGTACACAGTAAACAGTAACAATGATTGCTGTTATTGCTATTTAAAATAATTATGTGCTGAGAAGGGATGTCCTCTCCCACTGACTGACTTGTGTGCGTGAGTGTGTGTGTGTGTACATGCATATGCATTGGCAGAAAATCGGTTAACTCTTATTGAACCTCAGTCCCTCTGTTTAAGGAGAATAAATTGTCTTGCAAAACTGCATGGTGGTACATTCTAGCTCAAGTTGCTATGACATTGATATGGAAGTCAACATGCTTATCTTGGTAATGCCATCATTCCTTCCTTCCTTCATTCATTGATTCATTCATAAATAGCTATGGAAAAATTTTGATTTTGGATTCTCGCTAGGTACTGAGGATATCATAGTAAACAAACAGATATGGTGCTGTACACTCATGATAACATTGGAAGATAAAACTTTAAAGTAAATAAAATAATCCATGTGAGATTAACTATCACAGACTAGCCAATACCAGGGAGGGCTCAGGAATGTAAGGATGTGATTAGTTTGACCAGATGTGAGAGAGGACCAAGGAGTATCCTAGATACAAGTACTTTCTTCTCTTTCTTTGTCCCAGCCCAGGTTTTCTCCTTTCTAATCTAGCTGGCTTTCTTCATCCTTCTCAGAGGGCATTCTCCTCTCAGGGTTGTTTCGTCTCCCAGCAATGACCATTTACGCTTCACAGGGACAGACTCTCCCACCAAGTCCATAAACCTGCACTCTGTGCAGAATCATTGCCCATTTACAGCTGCTAATGCATTAATAACAGAAACGTCCGTGGCCATGACCTACCTGAGTCATTACACACTAATCATAGGAGGCAATTTCAAGCAGATTGACTAGTGATCGGTGTCCTCCCTGACGTCCAGGCAGGAGGACACACGACTGCCTTCACAACCCCAGAGCAGATGGCCCGAGAGCATAATCACACACTACAGCCGGTGCAGGTGTGGCTCCAGGAAGGGAAATCTCCATGTCTTGCATGCAAAGCTGGGCTCTCTCACCTGGAGGCTGTGCTCCAAATGCTCGTCTTTCATTTTGGAGCAGAATCCACATCTCAGGGACCTTCTTTGTGCTCGTTTTAAACTTATCACACAGACAGCTCTCTGAAGACATGGAGGAAATGAGATTCACCTGCACCTGAATGGCTCTAACATGCACCACTGTCCACAAGCCACTGTCGTTCCTTCTCCACTTTCCTCTGCAATCCCAGTCCAGATGTATGGTCCAAAGCTGTGGTCATCATGGGCTTGTGATTTGTGTTATTATTTCTTCCCTGAAGCTGCTTAAGCATTGTTTTTTATTCATGTTGCTCTCTCATTCCCTGCGATCATCATTATAATGGCCACACAATATAACATCAGGATGATGTTTTTCCGCTTTATCTTAGAATATCTAGTAGGTTTCTGCTTTTCTCACTAATACCAGAATCACTAGAGTTAATTACTTAGCACCTATAGAGTTTTCATCTTTGGGATAAGTGCCTGAGAAGTATAAGTCAAAGGATAGAAGCATCTTTATGACTTTGGATATATTTTTCTAACCCATTTTTTAATGGATTTGCTCATTTACAGTCAGTTCGTTGTATTTTGGGCTTTCTGCTCTTAGCTGCCTATTGTTTATTTGCCCATAATGAGGACTCAGATTATATTTAAGAGGAACTAGGCAATGACTTTGCAATTAGGAGTCAAATAGAATCTATACCTTCAAGAAACAGAATAGAGAGGGAATCTTGGTTAGAAAATAACTCATTGCTCTATGACATGATAATGTCCAAGAAAAGAAAAAGGAGTTTCAGAATACATAGATTCTGGTGCAAGACATGATTTCTATACAGATTCAAGCCAGGAGCCTCTCTTCTTGACCGATCTGAGATGAATGCCATGTTATTTCTTGACAAAGGTTAGGAAATGAGGGGTCTAATGGCTCTTCAATCCCGTGGGTTACTGTTCTATCCATAAATTCATGTATAAGAACTTTGTTGCATGCACCGTGGTCCCAGTCTGCTTTTATGGGGCGTACACTCAGAAGACAGCTTCTGAAAATGATCTGGGTGGAAACGTATAAAGGTTGTGCATTGCCAATTTGCAGTTGCAAAAATCTGGAACCAGCCCTAATGCCCATCAATCAATGAGTGGACAAACAAACTGTGACACAAACACACATAATGGAATACTACTCAGCCATAAAAAGAAATGAATTAGTGGCTTTTTCAGCAACCTGGACGGGATTGGAGACTATTATCCTAAGGAAGGGAAAACAAAATATCGTATGTTCTGACTCATAAGTGGGAGCTAAGCTATGAGAATGCAAAGGCATAAGAATGATGCAAGGAACTTTGGGCACTGGAGGGGAAAGGGTGGGAGGGGGATGAAGGATAAAAGACTACAAACTGGGTTCAGTGTATACTCCTCGGGTGATGGGTGCACCAAAATCTCACAGATCGCCACTAAAGAACTTATTCATATAACAAAATGCCACCTGTTCCCCCCAAAAACCGATGGTAATAATTTTTTTTAATGTTGTGCATTGTGAGGCCAAATAAGCTAGGATTATTTTTGGGTGTATATGCTCAATAGACCCTATGGGTCACATCTAGCAGTTCATTAAGATTCAAATAAACAAAGCAGCAGTCCCAGTAGAAAATGCACAGCCTTGGAGACAACCAAATGAGGATTCAAATCTTGGCCCTCTATTCACTATGTATGCAAAGTAGGAAAGTTACTTAATCCTTCTCAGCTCCAGTTTCATCTTCTCTCATGAGGATGGCAATAGGAAACCATAGGTCTCTTGTGAAGATTAAATAAAAATTCCTTTTTGGGAGGAGGGGATGCCTGTTAGGGATAAACCTTTTACTATAGAGAATGGGACCCAAGGAGTATAGCTTGGGCAGTGATCATTTCAGCAAAAGGGAGTCGTGATTACTGCTCTGCTGAGTTAAAGAAAACCTTGTGCTCTGATAAGGAAGAAGAGAGAAGAGAGAAAATGAAAGACAAGGATCCAACCAACAAGTGGGTGGGAATCAGATGTCTATGTGAAAGAAAGAGTCCCTAGGAAATCAGCAGCTGGTTCTGAAGTTCAATTTGAAGTGGTTTGCTGTGTGGTAAACCAATCCCCCCGACTCTGTGTGCCCTTTTCTACCCTTCCCCCTGAAGTTAATCTTTCCTTTCAAAACTCATACTCATAATGGTTTGAGAGTGATCATGGATGGAAGTTATTTCAAGTGCTGAATTCCTACCTGACTCCATGAAGTGGAAAGCAGTTGTTGTTCCTAGTCATTCTTAAGATAACAGCTAACATGGTGGAAGTTTTGCTTATGGGCCAGGCTGTGTACTAAGAAGTTTACAAGCATCACCTCATTTCATCCTTATAATGACTGAGTGAGATAGGTTCTGCTAATTATTACTCTTCTACAGATGAGAAAACTGGAACTGGAAGAGGATACATAGATTTCTTAAAGTTAGACAGCATGCAAAAGCTGGAGCTGAGTTTGAATTCCACCCATCTCAACTGTGGAGTCTACGCTCTTGACCACTATACTAAACTCTTTCTATATGCAGAACTCTGAGACAAAAGTTCCAGTGGGACTGTAAGTCTCATCAAAGAAATAGTGACAAAGGCGATTGTCTTCATCAGGAGGTGGCCTTGAGGATTCTGGTGCCTGGAGACCTCAGCTAATGTCTGGGTTATATTTACAACTCCACTTCTTCAAAAGATGGATGAAGGCCAGGCATGGTGGCCCATGCCTGTAATCCCAGCACTTTGGGAGGCCAAAACGGGTGGATCATTTGAGGTCAGGAGTTCAAAACCAGCCAAGCCAACATGGTCAAACCATGTCGCTTCTAAAAATACAAAAAGAAAAATTAAGTGGGAATAGTGTCACACACCTGTAATTCCAGCTACTTGGGAGGCTGAGGTAGGAGAATCACTTGAACCCAGGAGACAGAGGTTGCAGTGAGCCCAGATCACATGACTGCACTCCAGCCTGGGTGACAGAAGTGAGACTCTGTCTCAAACAAATAACAACAACAAAAACAAAATCAAAAACCACAAGGTGGATGAAGTTGATGACTGGTATGATTTTAAAAATATTGACTTCTACTGTGTAGCTTTCCTTCATCTTTCCCTTCTTCCCCATGCAAAGAAAGATGAAGAACATGAGCACACTGTACAATAATGTATGTCTGTAGTTTAATACTACATATCTGTAGTTTAATACTTAGTATGCAAATATTCTAATAAAAAAGTCATAAGGATAGGGAAGTAAAGGAAGGAGAACTATTCTAAAGTTCAAAAATACCTTATTATTCAAAGCACATGGTCTTACTCCTGCGTAGTGGTGGCTGAAACAGATTGCAAGCTCCTTTCCTAAGGCTGACTCTGCAAACATGAGGTTTTGAAGAACTTGAAGGTTTCACACCTGCACAAAGGCTCCCAAGAAGCCTTGCACAGCAGCTCTCGTAGTACTGAGCTCAAAGTCACTGATGATTCTGTTCAAACCCTCTAGTCCCCACTATGAAGGCTTTGAAAAGGGATATGGTGAAAGGTGAGGAATCAGAATAGGGCCCCTAACATTCCTGTGATGCTCTTCCTCATCTCTTCCTTACTGGAATTGCTGTCTCACTATATCAAGCAGGGAACTACAGCAATTCATTCATTCAACAAGTACATAGTGAGTGCTCTTCTATGCTAGGCATGTGCTAGCCGCGAGAGACACAGTGGGAAAACCAGACACCCATGCTGCCTAGACTCAGGGGTCTTACTTTCTCTAGAGGAAACAAATATTAGATAAGTAACTGTACAATAAAATAGTATAATTACAAATCACAGTGAGTGCTGCAATGTAAACACACCAGCGTGTGATAAGAATGTATGCAGTGTGTGGCCATTTAATGTAGGTGATCAAGGAAGTGATATTTAAGTGGAGACATTCTAGGGCAAATTCTCTGGGAGAGGAGCAAGACTTCGGTGGTTTTGGGGAATTAAAGGATGGTATGGTTAGAACAGAATCCTAGAAGGGGACATAGGATGGAATTGAAAGAGCAGATATGAGAGAGATTACCATCAAGGTACAGACTTCAGATTTTATCCTAAGTGCCTTGGGCAGCTCTTAAGGGATCTGAAAAAGTAAGGAAGTTAGTAATACTTGTGTTTTTAAGAAAGTATTGATCTGGCTACTGTGTTGAAGAAGGCTTGAAGAGGAGGCAAAAAGAACAGTTAAGTGGGTTATTGAAATAGTCTGGGGCCGGGCCCAGTGGTTCACACGTGTAATCCCAGCACTTCGGGAGGCCAAGGCAGGTGGACGTGGTCAGGAGTTTGAGACCAGCCTGATCAACATGGTGAAATCCTATCTCTAATAAAAGTACAAAAAATTAGCTAGGCATGCTGGTGCATGCCTGTAGTCCCAGCTACTGGGGAGGCTGAGGCAGGAGAATCATTTGAGCCCGGGAGGTGGAGGTTGCAGTGAGCCAAGTTCGCACCACTGCACTTCATCCTGGGTGACAGAATGAAGAAAAAAAGTCTGGGAGGGAAGGATGACATTGGCTTAGAATAGGGGTGAGTTGTGGGAATGGATATAAATGGAAGGATCCTCCATTTTCTGTTTCTCTCTCTCTCTCTCTATATATATATATGTATATAATATGTGTGTGTGTATATATATATGTGTGTGTATATATATGTGTATATATATATATATAATCTATCTGTTAATCTATCTTCTGTTTTCTATTCAGTGTTGCATAAATCTCAACCATTTGCTCAATTCTCTGGTGCATCAGAGAGTGCCACCAGTATGTCCTAAGTCCTGCAGAAATCATGCAATTTTTTTTGTTTCACCTTTTTTTAAAAAAAAAAATTGTATTTATTTGTGTATTGCCCTGGAAATGTACAAATAGTTTCTTCTTCCCCTATTAAAGTTTGCTTGGTGGGGTCTTGCTGGTTCCTGAGTTTGCCTTGGCTGCCATCTTCCATCCTACCTAGGATGACACCATTTGTTTCACATAAGTTTCTCATGCATGAGAGGCTGACATTCTTAATAGTTCTGTCACTCCTGTTACAACAGGCTGCTGAAAAGAAACAAGCGATGCCTGCAGGAGATAGGGCTGTCTCAGCGGTTTGTGTAACACCAATGGGGTGTGAGGTAGCAGGAAAATAATTAGTTTAGTTAGATGTAAATGGAAGACGAATGAAGAAAGTGCTAATATGTGGATGCCTGGGAGAAGGGGTGGCCTGCCTCATTTAAGGTTTGAGGAAGAATAATTGAATGAATAGCTATGAAAATGAAAGCAATATTAAGAGACTTGTATGGCAACGTAGAAGGCGGGAAGAGCTAAATTCGATCAACCAGCATTTACTGAGTGTTTATTATGTACCTGTCACTGTGTGAGGCATTTTAGCTACACTGGTGGGAAAAAATAATGGTAAGACATAAATAAGACTTTAGAATCTCCGTGGAAGTCAAAATTTCAGAACATATGAATGCACAAACAGATATTAGAAAGGTTGGATAGCAATTGTAAGCTACATTAATAGGCAAAACTATTAGGGATGGCAGGAATAATGTTGAATATAGGAGACATGACTGACTGTGACGATAGCTAGTTGATTTAAATTCTCAGCACATTACTTCTTTCCTTCATAAAATGTTCATGTCACAGCATAGCGTGCTGTTATATCTTCATACACACACATGCACACACATACACATACACATCTGGTCAAGGCTTGTGAGGCCACATTAGGGGTTCTGGGAACAGGAAGGTAGTGGAGAAAAATTCCCTCTCCTAACCATTTAGTGTATAGGAGTCTACTGTTTTAGTGAATAGTTCAGAGAACTTAAAGGTGTTCAGAGAAGAGAAAGTCAGCATAAACCATGCCGTGGACTAGAAGGGTAGATGAAAGGTGTTGGAAAAATGTAGAGATGAATCCTTCATTGATGATGCCCATCTCTTATGAAAGTTATAGAACATAGATGATCAATATATTAGCTACACCTTACAGAACATGGGCCATTCTAACAGATCATAATCATTATTTAATATCTTACTGAGAGTTTTGATTGTATTTTATTATTGATCCAATGTCATGTTTTGATGTCCTTGACATGTGACATTCTTTTTTTTTCTTTTTTGAGACAGCATCTTGCTCTGCCACCTAGGCTGGAGTGCGGTGGCATGATGTCCCCTCAATGCAGCCTCTGTCTCCCGGGCTCAAGCAATTCTCCTGACTCAGCCTCCCGAGTAGCTGGGACTACAGTCATGTGCCACCATGTCCAGCTGATTTTTGTTTTGTATTTTTCATAGTGACAGGGTTTTGCCATGTTGGCCAGGCTGGTCTTGAATTCCTGAGCTCAGGTGATCCACATGCCTCAGCACCCCAAAGCGCTGGGATGACAGGTGTGAGCCACTGCGCCCAGCCAGACATTCTTTCCTTTGCTATACTCTTTCATATTGTTTAAAGCTGTTTTGTTCTTTGGATCTGATAGTTCTGTTGTTTTAGTCCTGAGATTTCTCCATTTCTTTTCTGCTTTTTATTCAGTGTTTTTTCAAATCTCCCTTTGTCATCATAGCTTCTCTTTGCCTCACATTCTTTTCTATCACTTGTCAAATTTCTCATCAGCTTTTCATCCTTGATTTTTCAGAGTTTGGTTTACGAAATGGTCCAGTCATTTCTACACCTCTGAAAAACTCTTAAAATTAAAAAATATATATATCAGAAATGGATACAGGCTTATTTTCGTGGATGGACTTAAGTTTAGAATAGGTGGCATATGTTTAAGTTTTTAGATCACAGACATTAGGAATTGGCTTTTAAAAGATGTTACATCAACGAATGGTTAGAAAGCAGTAACATCTTTTCTACAAAGATACTTGTCATCTGTCAGATTTATTTATCAGTTAATAATAAAGTGATTTTTCATATCACTAGATGATTTTCTACTGTCTCATTAGTTGAAGAAATCAAAAGAAAGCCACCCTATGCTAACTCATAGAAGGGCATAACTATTTAGTACCCCGAGGGCCAAAGAACAATTAAAGTGAATTAAAATTATTTCTTTTTTGGTGGGGGTAGGGGGGAGCAGGAAACAGAATGACTAGACTCCGAAGGATTTTTCTAGAGAAATATTTTAACCATTGAGTAAATTTTCCTTGATTAAAGAAGGAAATAACAACTTGGAGAGGAAATCTAAGTATTACTTTAGGGTTATTGAGAGATGCCGGCTAGTGGTACTTGGAAAGATAAGGACAACTTGTCAGCCACTCCACAGAGAAGTAGTTTTATTAAAAGTCAACGAAAGTGGCCAGGTGTGGTGGCTCACGCCTGTAATCCTAGCGCTTTGGGAGGCCAAGGTGGGCAGATTTCCTGAGCTCCGGAGTTTGAGACTAGCCTGGGCAACATGGTGAAACCCCATCTCTACTAAAATACAAAGAATTAGCCAGGCATGTTGGTGTGCGCCTGTAGTCCCAGCTACTCAGGAAGCTGAAGCAGGAGAATTGCTTGAACCCAGGAGGTCTAGGTTGCAGTGAGCCGAGATCATGCCACTGCACTCCAGCCTGGACAACAGAGCAAGATAGCATCTCAAAAAAAAAAAAAAAAATCAAAGAAATATGCTAGAATCGTCATTATATATTGAGAAATAAGATTCAATATCCCATAGATTTAGGCACTCTTCACATCTGTGTATCTGGATTGGGTCATAGGGAGTTTTATTCCAGGCTGAGTGAAATAAGACAGAGGACAGGCAAGTAGATTTCTTCTTGCTTGCCAGTTCTCATTCGCAGAGGATCCCTGTAGTTCTGTTGAGAATTCATTGGAACTCAGCCGGAAAGTGCTGAGATTGATTAGCAATGTCTTCCATGGGTACAGGAAGGGGAGGTGGCAGGTAACATATATACCAGCTTTTGCCATTCTGCTCTAGACAGAAGAAACTTTTCCCCTGTGGTCAAAGAGGGAGAGATATTTGCTTCTGGAGACTGGATCTACTTGGGTTGGTGAATGCATTTTAAGATGACCTGGTTTCATATTACTGTCAAGCAAGAGAGAACAGTGTCATCCTATAATGTCAGGAGTAATGTTACAGTTCAGTTGGGAATACCTATTATGCCTGTTAGTATTTCTAACTAAATCCCCTTTCGATGTGATAGTTTAATTGTAGGAACATTTTTCTGCAGTTTTGTTTAGGGAATACTGCTTGCTTAGCGCTTAATCCATTTATACTATTGGATTCTGTTGCAAATGACACTCACACTGGAATGTGTGTTAGACACGTAAGGCAGACGGGAAGATGGTTCCATTCATTTCAGAGAAATGGGAGGCAAAAGTGAGTAGGATGGCTTTGAAGGTGGTGGTCTTATGTTTGAATGCGCGTCAGGCCCCAGGTGGTAGGTCTTGGTACTGCATGCTGCTTTATTCATGCATCTCTCTAAACAAATACGTCCTCAGAGAAGAGAGCCAGGAGAGGGAGGAAGTTCTAGAAATGTGCTATTGGTAAATATACCTAAAGACAGTGGCATTTCTTTAACCATGTTCATCATAATGAGAAATGCAGTAAATATGAAAATAAAAAATCAGGCCGGGCGCGGTGGTTCACGCCTGTAATCCCAGCACTTTGGGAGGCCGAGGCTGGTGGATCACGAGGTCAAGAGATTGAGACCCTCCTGGCCAACATGGTGAAACCTCGTCTCTACTAAAAATACAAAAATTAGCTGGGTGTGTTGACGCGCGCCTGTAACCCCAGCTACTTGGGAGGCTGAAGCAGGAGAATCGGTTGAACCCGGGAGCCGGAGATTGCAGTAAGCTGAGATCGCACCACTACAGTCCAGCCTGGGGGATACAGCAAGACTGTCTCCAAAAAAAAAAAAAAGAAAAAAAAAAGAAAAGAAAAGAAAAGAAAAAATAAAACAAAAAAATGGAAAATCTGTAGTAAAGTCAGAGAACCTGCATTGTGATATTTCCTATGTCCATATGTCCATCATTGTTCTCCAGGTATTGCCTGGTTTTCCAGCCTCACAGTAGGCAGTGGGTGAGAGACGCAGCATGATGGGAGAATGAAGCCCATTCATAGTGGAATCAAGCCTCCATCTTTGACCTCAGTCTGTGACCTTGGCAGCTTCTTGACTCTGTGAGCCTTGGTTTCCTCTTTTGGTAAATGGAACAACAAATGGATACTTGCAAATAAGAAGGCTTAAATAACTGTGATATATATATATTCATATATATACATATACATATATATATATATATATATATATATATTTTTTTTTTTTTTTTTTTTTTTTTTTTTTTTTTTGAGATGGAGTCTCGCTCTGTCGCCCAGGCTGGAGTGCAGTGGCGAGATCTCGGCTCACTGCAAGCTCCGCCTCCCAGGTTCACGCCATTCTGCCTCAGCCTCCCGTGTAGCTGGGACTATAGGCGCCCGCCACCACGCCTGGCTAATTTTTTGTATTTTTAGTAGAGACGGGGAACTGTGATTTATTTTTAGTCTCAGTTGAAATGGGGACCCTATGGCTCTGAGAAGTCAAGACCCACTGGTAAGTAAATGTCAGAGCTAGCTTTGAACTTCAGCATTCTTCCTACAGAGCTGATATCTCATGATGTGCTGTAGAGAGGGCTGGATTTATAATCTAGAGAGGGCTGGATGTTGATTCTAAAACTAGTGCTTCAGTTCCAGCCTCATCACACACCACCCGGGAGAACTTTGCCAGTTGTCAACTTCCTTGGCCTCTGTCTCCTCATCTCTGAAAGCCATAAGATTCTGTAAAGAGGTGGGGGGGAAATTGGATGAGATGATAGATGTGGAGACAGTTTGCACAGCAGGACAGGCTATGCAGTGGGAAAGTACCACTGTAAGGAAGACTGGATGTATAGCTGCAGAAGGTCAGAGAAGACATAGAAAATCCTTTAACACCTGAGTGAAAACGATCCATGACAAATGAAGTTACTTCATTTAAAAAGAGCCTAGTCAGAGTTTTATCATATTCAAGAAATATCATTTATTGGCAATCTACTATCTGCAAAATCACTGTTCGAGTTTTTCTTTGTGATCCAGAGCAGTTTACATTGCAACCCTTATTCTAAAGGAACTCAAAATGGCATTGAGGAAAGCATTTTTCAATCTGACCCATTTTTTGGAACCCAAGAGTTCAGAGCACTTTATATTACTCGACAGTTTATTTCCATGGAGGGAGTCTATAAATGCTTTATATTTATCCATGTTATGAATTAATGCATTTCTGAAGAAATCCACCCACCATGTGGCATGTTGATTCCCCTTTTCTCTCATTTCCCCCAAAACACCAAAGAAGGAGGGCCCTATGAGGTTCAATGGTCTCCTTTAATGGTGCATTTAAAGTCGACATGCTGATGCCAAGTCTTTCTGTATTGTGCCGTCCCAACAGGGATGGCTTCTTAGCAGCGAATATGGGGTGAGTAATTTGAATCACCGCCATCAACCTGAAAAGCCAAAGTTGTTCCAGGATAACCCAAACCAGAACAAACCTCAGATATTTGCAGGTGAAAGAACGAGAATACGAATATATGTTGTGGGCTGGGAGAGCCAAAATGGCAAAGGAGTGGAAATAAATTAATGGGGGGAAATGATTGATGTGGAAGTAAGTCTCTCAATTGTACACCTGGATGCCACATTCTTACAAGCAGCCCAGTAGAGGCAGATATATAGGCTACAAAGACACGTGCTGTCAAGCAGCAAGCACTACTTATTGTCTCTGTTTTCTCTCTAATTGATACGTGTCTTAGGAAAGCTTAGGTAATCACTTGGCAAAACACATCTTTATAAGACCATCTCTGTAAAAAAAATAAAAGTATTAAAGTGACAGTGGCACAGAAAATCATAAGAAAATTTTTCCACGTTGAGACGAATCCTCCTGCCTCTTCTTGAGAATCCCTCCAAAGATATCCTGTATGTCTGCCTTGTGAGAAAACACCCCCTTGGGTACAAACTGGTCAATATCAGGAAGGCAGCATGCTCATATCTCAGTCCCAATGCATGCCAAATCACTAAGTGGATGGCATTTTCACAAAGTCAGAAAAGCGACAGTTTTATTCTCAAGGTTTTGTTACTATGTTTCATGATGTGCAAGCAATACTTTGGACAATTTTATCCAGATGGTTTTGTCCAGGTAATTTTTGTCTGCAATATGTGAAATACGTGATATTCTACTATCAGATACTTTGGATTACTGTTTTTTAGTGGTGAGAATAAAAAGATACCTTCATTTTCCATTAAGTATTACATTTTATGAATATTTTCCCCACCTCTTCACTTGAATACCTTCCCACTGCAACACACACACCTACACCTGTATTCCTTTTGATCCATAATTATAAGCTTTTGAAGGGATTATATCAAGATTACCTATTTTTAATACCATGTTAATAATTAGACAACTTGCCAATGTTGAAGTTTGTTAAGGTCCTCTCCATCACAATTCCTGAGCTAATTACTAGAATATCAGTCAGTAGGTTCTAAATCAAAAACTCTGGGCGTGTGCCTAGATGGAAATCTGAATTTTTAATAGGCAGATGAGTTGATCTTTATTAATAGTAGTTTGAAAACTAACACAGTTCAAGCAAAAACAAATTCTCATACAGTTGAGCACTGGGACTAAAATATTTTTTTAAAAACTTGGTCACTGGATGAAATCTAAGTTCTTGGCTTTCTCTTAAAGAGTACTTTAAAGGTTAGAAATCCACAACAGTGGCTACCTGGTTATGTAATTCCAAATTCATTCCTCTTCTAAGACATACAATGGCACTCAAGAGACCTGAAAAAGTTAGTTCTTCTTCAAAGAGTGCATGTTTAACCAACTTCTCAAACCAGGTGACCATTATTATGTTCACTTTCAAAAGTACGGAACAATTTGAACCTGTAGAAATGTATCCAAAGGAACTTAATCTTTTATTTTGTGGTAGGTACACAATAAAAGTTTTCTTCATTGAATGAATTAGTCAAGAACTCATTCTCATAATGCAGGAGAATGAAATGGGAAGGGGTGAGGGGTGGCATAGCTCTAGGAGACTGGCATGATTACAGATTTGGGTAATTCCCAGGATCCAGTAGCCTGGGGCAGACTTAGACAATTAGATAGAAGGATCAGGAGTGGAATGGAATATGGCAAGAAATGTATGTGCATGCAGTGAAAGCGGGCAGAAAACAAAACTCATTGATTCATTAAATGAATATTTTATGGAATACTTACTGTATGCCAGGCACTGTGCTGCTGAGGAAGGCCAAGTTGACAGAGTAACTGGCCATCCCAGGATTTCCACAATTGAGGAGTGTCCTTAGAGGTGGGACTTTCATACTAAAGCCAGGGAAATGCCAAGCAACCCAACCTGAGTCAATCATCTTGAACTTGAAGAAGTGCTGTGATTTTAATAGGTTTGTTGCCTGATGTGTGCAGCAAGTCAATAGGAGACACTGGGTTACAGCAGAGAAAGTGGTTTAATTATGGGGCTGCTGAACGAGGAGCAGCAAACATCAAATCCATCTCCCGGAGGAGCTGAGGGCTAGGGTTCTTGGAGAGGGCTAAAATGTGGAGATCATTCATTGATCAAAGAGGTCATCGTAAAGTCATGGACAGGGAGGTAAACAGTATTCTCATACTGATTCTGTTCCTCTCTGGGAGGTCTTTAAACTGGTTGGCATCAGCTGTTTCACTGGAATGTTGGATTTGATAAACATCTTAAGCGATTCCTTTATTTTTTATTTTATTTTATTTTATTTTATTTTATTTTATTTTTTGAGAGAGTCTCGCTCTGTCACCCAGGCTGGAGTGCAGTGGTGTGATCTTGACTCACTGAATCCTCTGCCTCCCAGGTTCAAGCGATTCTCCTGCCTCAGCCTCCTGAGTAGCTGGGATTACAGGTGCCTGCCACCATGCCCAGCTGATTTTTTTTTATTTCTATTTTTAGTAGAGAGAGGGTTTTACCATCTTGGCCAGGCTGGTCTTGAACTCCAGACCTCATGATCCACCCACCTCGTCCTCCTAAAGTGCTGGGATTACAGGCATGAGCCACCGTGCCCAGCCCATCTTAAGCAATTCTTAAACAAAAGCTTTATGATTCTAGTATCAGAAATCCTATGTACAGGAACAATGGGGATGCAAAAGGTTGGTATCTAGTGACTTTCAGTTAGAAGGAAGTGGAACAAAGTGCAGCCTGATTAATACTTAATTATGACCATATTTCTGCCCAAAATTCTTGTTAACCATGTGAGGATGGCTTCAGTGCTAACAAGAGTGATGAATAGTATGGGTGCTAAGGGGTCACGAAACAGGCCGTCCGACTATCTGCAGCAAGGGGACAGGAAGTATAGGGGTTGGGGGAGAGTTAGGCCTAGCTCACTCATGACCTAAATTAGTTACTGGTGTTACCGAAAATGGGTTTGGATCCAGACTCTAAGACAGGGTTCTTGGATCTCAAGCAAGAAGTAATTTAGGGCAAATCCACAGAGTAAAGTGAAAGAAAGTTTCTTAGGAAAGTGAAGGAATAAAGGAATGGCTACCTCATAGGCAGAGCAGCAACAAGGGCTGCTGGTTGCCTGTTTTTATGATTATTTCTTGATGATATGCTAAACAAGGGGAGGATTATTTATGCCTTCCCTTTTTAGACCATGTAGGGTAACTTCCTGACGTTGCCTTGTATTTGTAAACTGTCATGGCACTGGTGGGAGTGTAGCAGTGAGGACAACCAGAGGTCATTCCCATTGCCATCTTGGTATTGGTGGATCTTGGCTTCTTTACTGCAACCTGTTTTATGAGCAAGGTCTTTATGACCTGTATCTTGTGCTGACCTCCTGTCTCATCCTGTGGCTTAGAATTCCTTACTATCTGGGAATGCAGCCCAGTAGGTCTTAGCCTCCTTTTACGCAGCCCCTATTCAATATGGAGTTGCCCTTGTTCACATGCCTTTGACACAAGAGTGAGCCAGGGAAAGAGAGACATTCAAAGGAGAGGTAACAGCACTTCTGGGGACCTGGGGGATCACAAGCATTAGGAAAACCAGAAGAAAAAAGGGGAAGGGGTGGACAGAGAGTGGCACAGAATGAAGCCACAGAGATGGGCAGTGTCCACTGTCTCTAGGGTCTTGTAGGGCATGTGTAAGCTTTCCACTGATGCTGCATCAAATGATCACAAATCATTGATTTAAAACCATGCAAATTTTCTGTCTTACAGTTCTGGAAGTTAAAAGTCTAACATGGGTCTTACTGAGCTAAAATCAAGGTGTCAATGGGGCAGCATTCCTTCTGAACTCTCTATGGGAAAGAACCTGTTTCCTTGCTTTTTTTTGGCCACTAGAGGCTGCCTACATTCCTTGGCTTGTGGCGTCCTTCCATTTTCAAAGCCGACAATGGCAGGTTGAGTCTCTTTCACATCAAATCCCTCTGATACTGACTCTTCTTTTACCTCGTTCTTCTCCATCTTGTATAGGAGATGAGTAAAAGGAGGT
Source organism: Homo sapiens (assembly GCF_000001405.40). Lineage (NCBI taxonomy): Eukaryota > Metazoa > Chordata > Mammalia > Primates > Hominidae > Homo > Homo sapiens. The sequence continues at coordinate 6,341,397 of NC_000016.10, forward strand.
TGAGACTTCCTGGGCGGCATTCATAGGAAGTTAGGGATTCCTAGCCTCTAGATATTTACAGTTAAGGGAACAGATTAATAATGTTTACTAAACAGACCCAGGCTCAGAATGTCCTGATATCCCCATATCTTGAAAACAAAAGGATTCCTAATTTTGCTTTAAAGATAATAATGCTGATTCTTGCAAAATATAGTAATTAAGAAAATTAATCCTTTATCACAAACCCTGATAGTAAAGCACATCTTCCCATTTTTTTTTTGTTATGCTGTATATAAACAAGCATTGTACATAGGGTGGCTGGTTTCCTCCTCTTACATTATGAATGTCCTACTCTGTCTATGGAGTAGCTGTTATTTCACCACTTTACTTTCTAAATAAACTTGCTTTTGGTTTGCATTGTGGGCTCTCCCTGAATTCTTTCTTACACAAAATCCAAGAACCGTTTATTGGAGTCCAAATCAGGACTGCTTTCTGGTGACACTTTTAACGATTCTCGTGATTCCACTGAACCCACCTGGATCATTCAGAATAATTTCTTGCGTAAGGTCAACTGATTAGCAACCTTAATTCCATCTACAACCTTAATTCTCCTTTGCAATAAAACATAAAATACTTACAGGTTCCAGGAAGTAGCATGTGGACACTGTTGGGGGGCCTATTATTCTGCCTAGCACAGGGCACAGTAAGGATTTTGTGCAAATTCAAACAGGAATTGGCAAACTATCAAAGCCCTGCTTTGAAGGGGAGTGATGGTGGTCAATTTGCATTTCAAAGGATCACTCTGCTGCAATGTGGGAATGGAGGCAAGCTTGTGTAAGGGATTATCAGTTGGGAAGCTGTTGCAGAGCTCCTGGGGAGAGATGGCGGTGGTCTGGACTAGGATGGCACCACGAAGATGGACATGTGGAAATGCATTCTGGCTATATTAAACAGGGAGAATTGACATGAATTAGAGATAGATTAAAAACAAGTAGAAACGAAGGATCCCATGTTTTGCCATGGCAATCTTTTCACATTGAATGAATACAAAACGTCAAGGTGCTTAGCATAGACTAGCCCATGAATGGCACATAACAGAAACAACCTTGATAAGGTTCCTGTCTCTAAATTTAAAGATGTGCACAGCAACCTCACGAGATTCAAGGTTGAGGCATTGAGGGTAGAAGAAGTAATGAAGTTAGGTAGGTTTTGCTGAGTGGCATCCACGTGGATGTCTATTAGAGAGTTAGGTATACATATCTGAGGTTCAGAATGCACATTCCTGTCCATTTCTTCCAAATATAACCTTTATTCCTCTAAATGCTTTTTGTGAAATGTGTTTGGTATTTGATAAATCTCTTCGGTGCGTATCTCCAAATTTGGAGATAGGAACCTTATCAAGGTTATTTCTGTTATATGCCACTCACAAGCTCGTCTATGCTAATCACCTTGACATTTTGTATTCATTTGGTGTGAGAGGAATGCTTTATCCTACATTGATGGGGACACTTGTTTCTAATGAGAAATCTGATGAAATCAGGTGCTTTGAATACAGATCATCTCCAAACTTCTGTCGCTTTATATTTTTTCTGAAGTTTGTCTCCTCCCTTTAGGAGACCATGGTTTTTGATACGAAACTCCATCTGATAGTCATTTCTGATAAGGATTTTACTTTTAAATCCATCAAAAGGGAGGAGAAGTGACAATTTAAAGTGGGCAGATGGAAAAATGAGTCTCTTGGTCTTTCTTTATTTCTTATACCCCTCTTCCTCTCTGTTCTTTTCACAAAAGATAGTCTCATCAGAAATTCGGGGAAAAATGGCTTTTCATTCTTATTCTCATTTTCTGACATTCTTACTCTACAGTCATTATTAATGTAGAAAACTCTGTCTATTAGGTAATCTGTGTCTTCCCCTACCCTGGTGGTATTTCATTATCATTTAAATATGCCACCCACTGCTCCTTCTCAAACCTTTTGAATAGAGGGTCATTAGTAGATTTTTCCCCCTAAATTATGCTCAGCAGTTGTTAAAGGAAGATAGTCTTCAGGGAAGTTCTTTCTACATTGAAGAACTGAAGTGAGGATTTGCGATAATTATCTGGATAACTCAGCCTCTTCTTATCCCTCCTGAGGTGGAACATATTTCCTGTTCTCTTTCATTCCTTCCTTCTTTCATTTCTTATGGATTATCTTTGCCACAAACAACAACAATAATAACCAAAACAAAACCAAATAAGGTATTCATGTTTCCATGCTTCCTATAGATGTAGAAAGTTTTTAAAAAGTGTTTTTTGAATTGCTAGCTACTGTTTAAAAATTAATACAAATGCATGTCAAACTTCCTATGAGACATTTTAAAGCAGGACTCGTCTTGAGATTTGAATCAGTCGTCTTTCTCAGTCATTTTGGGGGATTAATTCTGTGTTTTCCATGCATAATATTCCCTTTGGATTAAGGATTACTATGAACCTGGGCTTTGTCTTCATCCTTAAGAATCACCATCCCCTGAGAATTAAAGATGATGCTTCTCATGTAAATTGCTTGAGGTTTTCACGAGTCTCTGGCTGTTACAAATGTCAGCTGAGCACAGTCTAATTCTAATCTTAGCAGAGTAACCTCTCCTGGGCATCGGAGACTGTGATGAAAGGAGGTAATCAGTCCTTCTTCATCTCTATTTCTCGTACCCAGTGCCACCTGATATGCATCATGGAAACTGTTGTTGGAGGATCAATGTCTAGGAGAGGCACTGCTTGATCTTATGCAACCTCCACCTCCCGGGTTCAAATGATTCTCATGCCTCAGTAGCTAGGATTACAGGTGCCTGCTGCCACACCCGGCTAATTTTTATATTTTTAGTAGACACGGGGTTTCACCATGTTGGCCAGGATGGTCTCTAACTCTGAGCCTCAAGTGATCCACCCACCTTGGCCTCCCAAAATGCTGCAATTACAAGCATGAGCCACCATGCCCGGCCTGGTATTATACAATTACACAATCTTTCCTTCTCTCTTCTTCTTTTTTCTTTTTTTTCTTTTTTTTTTTTGAGACAGAGTCTCTATCGCCCAGGCTGGAGTGCAGTGGCACAATCTCAGCGCACTGCATGCTCTGCCTCCCGGGTTCACGCCATTCTCCTGCCTCAGCCTCCTGAGTAGCTGGGACTATAGGTACCCACCACTGCGCCCGGCTAATTTTTTGTATTTTTAGTAGAGACGGCGTTTCAGCGTGTTAGCCAGGATGGTTTCCATCTCCTGACCTCGTGATTTGCCTGCCTCGGCCTCCCAAAGTGCTGGGATTACAGGCGTGAGCCACCGAGCCCGGTTTTTTTTTTTTTTTTTTTTTGAGACTGCTCTGTCGCCAAGGCTGGAGTGCAGTGATATGATCTCGGCTTACTGCAACCTCCACCACCTGGGTTCAAGCGATTCTCCTGCCTCAGCCTCCCGAGTGGCTAGGATTATAGGCATGTGCCACCATGCTCCACTAATTTTTCTATTTTTAGTAGACACGAGGTTTCACCAGGTTGGCCAGGCTGGTCTTGAATTTCTGGCCTCCCAAAGGGAGGATTACAGGTGTGAGCCACCGAGCCCGGCCTGGTCTTACAGAATCTTTGTGAGCATCAAGTCTGTCATTTGTAAAACAAGAACAATATATGGCGGCTTTTAGGGTGTTATGATGATACAGTAGGATGAGATGTTTGGAAGAGCAAGACACTAGATTCTTGTGAAGCAAAGCATTCTCCTGTTTGCCACTTCCTTGTTCTCTCCTAGGTAGACTTAAACAGCTCCTGCTGCAGAGTAGATGAATCCCCACATTGGCGCTGCGTCCAGGAGGGTTCTTGGCTTTACCCAGAAGAGAATTCAAGGGTGAGCCAGGTGTGTTAAACAGTAACTTTTATTGAAGCAACTGCGTACTGCTCCTTACAGAGCAGGGCTCCCCCTATAGGCAGTGTGCCCAGAGGCAGTTCTGCAGCAATATTTATGCCCACTTTTAATTACATGGAAATTAAGGGGCAGATGATACAGACATTTCTAGGAAATGGGTGGTCATTTCCAGGTGTTGCCATGGCAGTGGTAAACCGACATGGCAGGCTGGTGTGCATGTCTAATGGAAAGCTGCTTCTCCCCCAGCCCTGTTTTAGCGAGTCCTCTATCCGACCTGGTATGGGAATCCCCACATCCAGAGTCAGTTGCCACCTCCTACCTCACTTCCATCATCCTTTATACTTACTCGGTCCCAGCTACATGGCAGACATAATCCTAGGTGTGAGGATGTGTTGGGAGCAAACTCGAGTTTCTCCCTTCATGGAGCTTACATTCTAAAAGAGGGATCAGATGTTGACACATGTGAACCCATACAATCTAAGACTGGTCTCAGTTAATTTAGAAAGTTTATTTTGCCAAGGTTGAGGATGTGTGCCTGTGACACGGCCTCAGGAGGTCCTGACGACATGTGCGCAAGGTGGTTGGGGCACAGCTTGGTTTTCTACATTTTAGGGAAACATAAGACATCAATCAATACATGTAAGAAATACGTTGGTTTGGTCTGGAAAGGCAGGACAACTCGAAACAAAGGCAGGAAGACTCAAAGCGGGGAGGGGGATTCCAGGTCACAGATAGGTGGGATACAAAGTGGTTGTGTTGTTGAGTTTCTGATTAGCCTTTCCAAAGGAGGCAATCAGGTATGCATTTATCTCAGTGAGCAGAGGGATGACTTTGAATAGAATGGGAGGCAGGTTGGCCCTAAGCATTTCCCAGCTTGACTTTTCCCTTTAGCTTAGTAATTTGGGGGGCCCAAGGTATTTTCCTTTCCAACACATATGCAAGTGAATACTTATTATATATAGTGCCAATAATGAGCCCAAAACAAGCAATCCATCTGAGAGAATAGAAGCGGCCAGAAGGTACTGCTGTAGATAGTGTTGTTAAATTTAACTATATTTGGCCTGAGGATGCCTCTGTGACTGAGTCCTTAGTTAACAAACTACAGCCTAATTTAGTATGTGAACTAAGTGAAAGCCTAACTTGGGAATGTGAGTCTGTAACAGGTTGCTGAGTCTCAGCCAATCACGGCAGCTCAGCTTCAGATAATCCCAGGCGGCCAAGGGATCAGGTACTGTTCCAACGAGGCAAGGCTGATCTGTAACTAATCAAGGTGCTTCCCTACCTCACTTCTGTTTTCTGTCCATAAAGGCTGACTGCCTGTGTTGAGGAGTGGAGCTCTCTGAAACTCTTCTGGTTCCGATGGCAGCCTGATTCTCGAATTGTTCCTTGCTCAATTAAACTCTGTTAGATTTAATTTGTCTATAGTTTTTTTATTTTAACAGTGTCTTGATAATGCCTCAAGAAATGCCTTTTTGAGGTTATGATGTTGGAGCAGAGAGTTGAAATAACTTCGTAATTGAGGCTTGTCTTGGGATGGTTGATGTTAGTCATGTCAAACGCTGGATCTCTCATATATTACCAGAATAACCTCTTGACAAGACAGAGTTTTCTGTTTAACTGAATTATGGGAGAGCACTACCTCAACAGAGTCTTGGTGGTGTTCCAGGAGGATGGGCAAATTCAGGATATTTATTGAGATTTCAATGTGTGTTGTAAGGTGGGTCTTTCCATGTACAGCCTTGTTTACATTGAATAAAGATCATGATATTATAGTTTAGAATAGATGGACAGAGCAAGGCAAGGATATTGGGCTGAGGAGTTCAAAGAATCTTAGGGTGAAAGTGGCCATTTGATGCTTTCTCTTCAAGAGTAAGTGGGTCTCTGAAGAAGTTCCTGGAATGGGCAATAAAGCCATTTGGACTTTTAACTTTCTGGCCAAGAGTTTCCTGGAATAGTAAAGTGATGTGAAGAAGAGAGTCAACTAGGGAAGTCATGGTAATGTAGACAGTGAACGGGAGATGGTTCTCATCCTCAACCACCATCATCATCATTGTCTCTCCTCTTTACTGGGGGCTTCATGTGTGCTGCATACTATGCTTGGTTCTAAAGATACAGCTGTGAACAAACAGGCATGTTCCTTTCTTCTCATTTGGCTTATAATCTACCCGTGAAGGTAGATGCTAAACAAATGGTTGCATGAGTTAATTACAAATGCAATAGTTGCTGTGAAAAGAATGTTCTTCACTATGACAGTGTAGTGTCAATCATGGGGCGCTGTGGAGGCCTGGGAGTAACTGAGAGAGGCTTTGCATCTTGCATATGCATAGATGCTAGCTGGGTGAAGGACGCAAGAGACGGTTGGGTGAAGGAGACTGAAGTTTATCTTAGAGCAAGGAGAAACAAAATGTCCCTGTATATCAACAATTATTATATCCTATGTTCACAGAGAACTTGACACAAATAATATCATAAGACACATTCACAGTACACAGTGACAGTGCTTGGAAACATCAAAATTGACAGTCTACCTGCGACTGCCTGGCCCATTCCTCTAACTAAACAGCAGTTGTTTGTTGAAAGAATGAGTGAATGTTGAATTAATCAACACCATTTAGTTCCTCAGTGACCTCCAACAGCTCATTTGCTCATGCAGATCATACAGAAACTGGTGAGAAGACATGTTTGCATCTCAGCCTAGCTTACTCCTGAATACAAGAAAGCAGGAAAACAGGCCTTCAGGCGTGAAAGTGGGTGGTGGAAACCCAGCCCGTTCATACCTCTTGGTCAAGTTTAGCTATCCTAAGTGTGGGAGGCAGAGAAGGGGAAAGAGGCAGGAGTGCTCTGAGGGAGGTTATAGCTTTATGGGTTTGTGTGGTTTGAGGTCTTTGCTCTTGGTTTTGAGCACTGTAGGAGAGGAGATAGGCTTGTGATAAAATGTGGGGCACATGTGGGGTCAGGCCATCCAGGTTCACACTCCAGCTCCACTGTTTAGGAGCTGTGTAAACTCAGGCAAATCATTTAGTTCCTTCTTGTCTATTTGTCTCCTCTGTAAAAGAGAGATGGTATAGATGACACCATATGCTTCTTGGAGAATTGAATGAGATACTTCAGTAGAAAGCACTTATACAGAGACTTATATGGCATTTCTATGGCAAATGCTGCCCTTACGTCAGGGGAAATCTCTTTGCCCTGTTGTAGTCCTACTCATGCTTGGTGAGATGGTATATCAGCCTGTTCTTGCACTGCTATAAGGAAATACCTGAGACGGGGTAATTTATAAAGAAATGAGCATTAATTGGATCATGGTTCTGCACGCTGTACAGGAAAGATGGCAGAATCTGCATCTGGGGAGGCCTCAGGGAGCTTTTACTCATGACGGAAGGCAAAGCAGGAGGAGGCATCTCAGAGCAGGAGCAGGACTGAGGGTGGGGAGCGTGCCACGTTCTTTTAAACAACCGGATGTCCCGAGAACTCTCTCAGGAGACAGCACCAAGGGGATGGTGCTAACCATTCATGAAGGATCCACACCCTTGATCCCATCACCTCCCATCAGGCCCCACCTCCAACACTGGGGATTACAACTGAACGTGAGATTTGGACGGAGACACAGATCCAAACCATATCAGATGGCAACCCAGGAAAAGCAGATTTCAGGTGTACTATGCTTTTCTGGGGATAGAGATGGACAGAGGCAGATTTGCTCATTTTTGGAAGTCAAGCGCTTCAAAAGAAATTCTTATCTTGAGATTTGATTCCTGATTTTATCAGGATCTTACAGCAGACTTCTTCATGGAAAAGAATAACTGTTGGCTAGGCGAGCTGATGCTGTGCCGTGGGTTGCTATCTCTTTCAAATTCCTATCTGCAGTAACCTCTGTCTCTCTGAGGTTGAACCAAACACATACTTATTTTGAGCTGAATTTTAGACAGGTTTAGAGCAGCCAGAAAAAAAGCAGAAAAGTGCCCTTCAGAACTCAAAGCAGATAAAACTTTCTGTTATCCCTTACCTAGCCGACGACTTGAGTGTAGAATTCACTCAGCTGATAAGGAGGCTGACATTTTACCTCTTAGAAGTTTTGTCAGATAAAAGATGTGCAAGCCATGTTTACCATCCACTCTGTGTTTCAAACTTTTGATAATAGATTTAAAGAAAAAATCATCGAGATACGAATATTGTGGTAAAATAAAGCTACCCCATAGAATTAAAATAATGAGGATCAAAGAAAGGCTCAAATTGTTCAACATCCTTTAAAAGGATCCCTTTGAGAAAAGCTGACTTCTTGACCTATGTCATTAGTGGTTGGTAAACAATTTGCATGGCTTACTAGGATTACACTAATGTTCCTGACTCCAGCTCCAGCTTGCAGAGAGTGCAGGTACAGTCCTATTGAGAACACATCTTCATCTCTAGAGAGCAAACCTGGCATTAACAATGGGAGCTAAATAGAAAATCATGGCATTTCCCATGAAAAAAAGAGTAACATTAAGTGCTGGGCTAATTGTCAAGTGGAGGGTTGGATATCTTCTCCATTTTTCCCCATGGTTTTCCAATACTTTATAGGAAAAATGATTAATAAGATATCCAACTCCAAGAATTCAGAGGTCCAAGGAGATAAGAAAGGAAGGCAAGTTGGTTTAGAACTCGTGTCTTCTACAGGGGATGCCATGGGGGGCAGTGGTGAGCTTAACTGCTGGAGATTTCCATGGTGAATGTGCGTGTCTCTCCTTGGCAAAACATGTAGAAAAGAGACTTTTACTATTAATTACTTTGGTACGCTCAAGTATCCTTCTCAAAGCCCTTAAAATTTCAAAAAGTCCTAGGTTTGTGAAAAATCATGCAATTGATATTGGATTCAATTTATTTGTGGCGTATAGACAAAAATTCAGATGAAGAAATCGTAAAAAATACATGGTGTTTCACGCCTGTAATCCCAGCTCTTTAGGAGGCTAAGGCGGGCAGATTGCCTGAGGTCGGGAGTTCGAGACCAGCCTGACCAGCATGGAGAAACCCTGTCTCTACTAAAAATACAAAATTAGCCGGGTGTGGTTGCGTTGCGCATGCCTGTAATACTATCTACTCGGGAGGCTGAGGCAGGAGAAGCACTTGAACCCAGGAGGCAGAGGTTGCTGTGAGCCGAGATCGCACCATTGCGCTCCAGCCTGGGCAACAAGAGTGAAACTCTGTCTCAAGAAAAAAAAAAAAAAAAAAAAAAAAAAAAAAAAAAAAAAAAAAAAAAAAAAAAAAACAGTGTTCTCTAGAATATACTTCCCAACTTCTAAGTACTTCATTTAACTAGTTTTAGGGAATGTTTATTTAACTAAGGTGATGCCTGAATGCCAACAATGGCATCCATACATCTATGAAAGACCTTTTACTAGTAACCTTTTAAATCACTTCTCTGTTGATAATCACCACCCTCTTGTGAGTAATTACTAGGTCCTAAAGCATTGTCCATGGATTTTCATATTTAAGCCTCATTAACAACACTAGGAGGTAGGTGGCATTAATTCTGTTTTATTAATAAGTTCAACAAAAACTTAAAGAGTGCAAGTCATACTCATCAGCAAGGATGCCTAGCTCACAAGTGGATGCATGGGGATTTGAACCAGGGTCTGAAAACTTGGAGGCCTAGGTTTCTATGAGGGCACTCTTCTGCCTCCCTTAGTGGTGGATGGCCTGGCACCTGGTCCTCACCACGAAATGCCTGAAATGAAGACCACAGGCAGTGGGCACTTGGCTGACAAGTAGCAACTTGTGCAAAGTTGTGATATGTCATCTTATCCTTTCAGTTTTCTCCTGTTGCCTTTCAACCACAGCAATGTGGCCAAAACTTACGAAGCAGGAGTTTTATGACATAAAAGACATAATGGAGTCCCTGTCTTGACCTGGGGAGGCAGGTTAGCTTACAGGGAAAGATACATAATCTTTATAAGAGAATATTTTCATGTGTGCGGATAGTAAATATACAACTGTGTAATTATATATATGCATATGCGTTTGAATTGTATTCTAATATATACAAGAATATATATAAAATAATATTGTATACATAAAATATATATATATAACGTGTGTGTGTGTGTGTGTGTGTGTGTGTGTATATATATATATATATATATTTTTTTTTTTTTTTCTTGAGGCAGAGTTTTGCTCTTGTTGCCCAGGCTGGAGTGCAGTGGCATGATGTCGGCTCACTGCAACCTCTATCTCCCAGGTTCAAGCGATTCTCTTGCCTCAGCCTCCCAAGCAGCTGGGACTACAGGCACCTGCCACCCTGCCCAGCTAACTTTTGTGATTTTGGTAGAGACAGGGTTTCACTATTTTGGCCAGGGTGGTCTCGAACTCCTGACCTCAGGTGATCCGCCCGTCTTGGCCTCCCAAAATGTTGGGATTACAGGCATAAGCCACCGCTCCCGGCCTAAGGGAATGTTTTCATGTGTGTGTATACTAAATATACAAGTGTGTAATTATATGTATGCATACATATATGTTTGAATTGTATTCTCATATATTAAATACATGTTATTTCAGAAATGGAAGGCAAAATAAGGATATTAGCATTTCCTGAGGTACGTAAAATGTTGGGTGCTTTGCACGTCTGACCTCATTTATTTTACAACCTACCTACAAGATATGCATTATTTTCATCATTCCACCAATGGGGAGTATACGGGAGATGCTGTAACTGGTATAAATGCACAGAATTTATACACTGCAGAACCAGCATTTGAGTTCATGGCTGTATTTACCCAAACCTACCCTTTTTCAGTGCTTTTTTCTGTCTGTTGGGCAGGGAGAGACATTAGAATGAGCTGGAGGTATCACAGATGGATAAGGTACAATTGAGAGTTTGTAGAGGTTTCTCCAGTCACTTTATATAATAAAAAGCAACCAGCTATCTCAAGTCCCAGACCTCCCAGCCCTATATTCTCTGCTTTATTTTCCTCCTTAGCTCTTATCCTTATCTGGAATGTTGTGTATTAACTTGTTTCCTCCATCTAGTTTATAAATGCTATTTAGGCAGGGGGGTTGTTTCTTTTGTTGCTAGGACCATTGTACCTAAAGTAGTACTTGACCCATCATAGATAAACTATCCGTATTTGTTGAAATAATGATGCCACCTATAATCAAACAAATTCAGGACAAATGACCAAAATTTAGTGTTTATGTTGAACAATTATGACCATCAATGATCAATCATGAATGTGGATTACAATGGAATTTTACTTTGAAAATTTTCTAAACACTAGTTTTTGTTTTGTTTTTGTAGCCCAGGGAACAAAGGAGGGCACTGAGAGCTGTGAGTGGAGATAGCAAAACAAAAAAACAAACAAACAAAATCGTCTATTTATCCTGTCCTTGCTTTGGGTTACCATGCGAAGTCATTCATTACTTTTAGAAATAATTCATACATTGCTCAAAAAGGATATCCTGCGTGTTTGATACAAAGGGCATTTATCATATTGAAGCAGCTAAAACTTTTCAATCCCATCCATTAACTCACGAAGCTGCAAGTTACTGCGACGCTGCCTTGCCCATCTATTTAGTATTTCCAGGCAATCATGGTACAGTACAAAGCAATTTGTTTTTATATAATTTCCTTCATGCTCGCAAACACAACATGCATCACAGGGAAAGCCAATCATGAACTAAAGAGAAAAAGGGATGATTTAAAGCGGGAGAGTGGTTCATTTGCTTTGGGGCATGAGAAACAATTATTTCAAGAGGCCAGGGTTTCTGTGGGAAGTCAGGTGAATAAGAATGCTAGTGCTGGCCGGCTGCTTTCTCGGAGAAACTGCTTTGCCTAAGTAACTTCTTCTTTTGAGAGGATTTCTTACTGAGCCATAAATGCTTCTAATGTGAGGAAGGCTAAATCCGCCTCCTATAAACCTGGGAGCCATAGTTCCATTTCTCCCCATCTTTCCCAAAGATCATCTCCTCTACCATTGAAGGACAATGGGAAATGCTGCCGCTTTTATCATACGTCCTCCATCTGAAATGCACTTGGATTTCAGCCACGTTTGAGAACCTAATCTTCCAATAAACTCCTTTAGCTCTATGAGAGATTTCCATTAATTTATTTATTTCTGTGCTTGTTTGTTTTTTGGGATGGGTATTAGCTCATTTGCCATCCTAGATACCTATTTTTTAACTTCCTTGGTGTTTTACTGACAAATATAACTTGTCATTTATTTGATTTCTGTAATAAGCTGCAAAGTACTTATGGTCCCTTTTAAGTGTAGGGCATGGTGCTGGGTTTAGGCATGGGGATGGTCTCAGGAGACTTTGCTGGACCTAGAGAGCCAGGTAGGATGGGTCCTTAAGCCCAAATGCATTGCTTGTGGGGGATTCAAAGACTTATCTAAGATTCCTTTGAATTCAAAGGGGGCTTGTATCTAAGGACCCTCGATGTCCCTAGCCCTTTGTTCCCTGTAGTGTCACTTGGTTATTTCGGCCACAAAGTCTTTGCTACACTGGTTTCCATAAAATTCATGCAAGCGAACGGTGAGTTTAATCCACGTTGAGGAAGATCTGAAGGACATTGGAGTGCCCCTGTCTCTTAAGGCACAGTCCACATGACACGTTCCTGGGCTCTGGTGTTCTTCCTGCTTTTCCTGCCTTCAGTGAAGAACTTGTTCATGTCTTCTTTTCTTCCCACCTTTAGTCTCCTTTTCTAGAAGCATAAACACATAAACAGTTCACGCCTGTAGTCCCAGTACTTTGGGACGCCAAGGCCGGTGGATCACCTGAGGTCAGGAGTTGAAGACCAGCCTCACCAATATGGTGAGACCCCGTCTCTACCAAAAATACAAAAATTAGCCAGGCCTGGTGGCATGCGTCTGTAGTCCCAGCTACTGGGGAGGCTGAGGTGGGAGGATCGCTTGAACTCAGGAGGTGGATGTTGGAGTGAGCCGAGATCATGCTAGTGCACCCCAGCCTGGGTGACAGAGCGAGACACTGGGTCAACACACAGACACACACACACACACACATAGATATATATAAAAAAAATAGCAACAGTTTTCCGAAACATGTTTCAGAGAGCTTTTGGCTTCTGTTGCTCTCTGTCCATCACCAGTCTCCAGCAGGACCCGCCTGCTCTCCACCCTATCTTCGTTTCTTTGTCTGACCACTCATCACCTCTCCGCTTCCACTCTGAGTCTGCACCAGTCTCTTCTCCACACAGCAGCGAAACCAGTGTTCCAAAACGCTGTCTTGATCAGGTTGATGTCCCTGACTGATAGCTTCAGAGGCTCAAGGTCAAACATCTTTCCCAAGATCAGGACCAAACTCCTTCCTATGATCTCGCAGGCCCCTGCCCTCTTCCTCTGGCTCATTCCCCTTCTGTTTCCTCTTCCTGACTGTATACTAGCTGCAAGAGTCTTTCATTCCCTTGAAAGTATTTTGCTTCCTTCCATCACAGAGTTTTTGCACAGGCCGTTCCTGTACCTGGAACATTTCTCCTCCCTCGGTCTCACTAATCTCTGAAACCACTTGTGTCTGTAGTCTGGTGATGCATCTTCAGTGTTTAACAAAAATTCATGGCACTTACTAATAGAAGATGCTCATTAACTACTGAAGGAATCAGTGAATGAATGATCAATAAATGAATAAATAAACTGGGAGTCCTGAGGTTACCGTCATCTTGATATACCAGTGTTCACATAAGGAGACCCAAGTGCTCTGCAGATATTTGTCCTAAAAAGCCATAGGTAGTTGCAGGTTATTACAGGTTTTCTTCCTCTGACAGCCCAGAGGACATAGGAGCCTGACTTCCCAGTAGCAAAGAACACACTTAGCATCCTCATCTTGGTTTCTAAGACCATTCTCCAATAACCCCTTCAAGGTATTGCTGATTACAGATATATATTCTGTATTCTTTTTTTATTATTAGTATACTTTAAGTTCTGGGGTACATGTGCAGAACGTGCAGTCTTGTTACATAGGTATACGTGTGCCATGGTGGTTTGCTGCACTCATCAACCCATCACCTACATTAGATATTTCTCCTAATGTTATCACTCCCCCAGCCCCCCAGCCCCTAACAGGCCCCAATGTGTGATGTTCCCCTCCCTATATCCATGTGTTCTCGTTGTTCAACTCCCACTTATGAGTGAGAACATGCGGTGTTTGGCTTTCTGTTGTTGTGATAGTTTGCTGAGAATGGTGGTTTCCAGCTTCACGCATGTCCCTGCAAAGGACATGAACTCATCCTTTTTTATGGCTGCATAGTATTCCATGGTGTATGTGTGCCACATTTTCTTCATCCAGTCTATTATTGAGGGACATTTGGGTTGGTTCCAAGTCTTTGCTATTGTGAATAGTGACACAATAAACATACATGTGCATATGCCTTTATAGTAGAATGATTTATAATCCTTTGAGTATATACCCAATAATGGGATTGCTGGGTCAAATGGTATTTCTAGTTCTAGATACTTGAGGAATCACCACACTGTCTTCCACAATGGCTGAACTAATTTACACTCCCACCAACAGTGTAAAAGAGTTCCTATTTCTCCACATCCTCTCCAGCTTCTTTTGTTTCCTGACTTTTTAATGTTCGCCCTTCGTATTCTATATTCTTTCAACTAGAAGTTGGTATATACAAAATGATCAGGAGCAACTTCTATTTCCAAAAACTAATGGAGTTTTCACAAAACAAAATGGGTGTAGGTCAAGAAAACACATGGGCCAAACTTAAAGAACTCCTAATGGGCAAAGCTGAAGCAATTTAAACAGCAGAAGAAAGTAGCATTAGATTATGACCCAAAGTATTAAAATAAATATTCATGAGTCAATAGTGATAGAAATAAATGCATGGATAAATTAATACATGGAAGTAGAGAAACAAATCTCCTGTGCAGAAAAATCCCAGATAATGTATGCACAGCCTTCATCCTTGAAGAGGTAGAGCATGATTCTCCATCTTTAAGCACTGCTTTTACATGGTGGCTTTCTTCCAGAGAGTACAGCATGGAGAAGGGAAGGAAAGGGAGCAATGTTGCAGGGGCAAAAACCTGCCAAAAACATCCTCAGCCAACAGATCAGGGTCACGTCAGCCAGCATGTCACATTAATTGTTGGTACCCTTGATCACTTAACCCCAGGAGATTGAGGCTGCCGTGAGCTATGATTGTACCACAGCCCTCCAGCCTGGGCAACAGAGCGAGAACTTGTCTTAAAAAACTATTAATATATTGGGAGAAAAATGCTATTTTCCCTCTGTGGTTTTCCTCCCCATACCTATAATTCCAGTCTGATTATGAGGAAATAAACATCAGATCAATTCAAAATTGGGGGACATTCTGTAAAGTACCTGAGCAGTACATCTTACAACCGTCAAGGTCTTCAAAAATAAAGAAAAACTGTGAAATAGCTGCAGCCAAGAGAAGCGTAGGGAGACATAGCAAGTAAAGATACCATTACCGTGGTATCCTGGATGGAATCCTGGAACAGGAAAAGGACATTAGGCGAAAAACAAGGGAATCATTCCAAGTGCAGACTTTAGTTAATAATAAGGTGTCAATATCGGTTTATTAATCTGACAAATGTCCCCTTCCAATCAAAGATGTTAATACTAGGGAAAGTGAGTGTGGATATGTGGGAACTCTCTGTACTCTCTCTGCAATTTTTTCTGTAAATCCAAAAGCGTTCTAAAAATGAAATAAGTCTATGAAAGGAAACTAAAAGCCACAGGCAATCACTCCTCCAGCAGCCCGGTAATGGATTCCCCCTTCCCCGTGCCCTGGGCCAAGACTGAACTGTGATTCTGCTGTCCTGCACCCGGGGACCTCTATTTGGAGCAGTATTTGGCCAAGGGAAGCAGCGCTCACTCTCCCCAGTCCCTCCCCTCCTGCCCTGCTTGCGGATTTTATTTTAGTTTGCTTCCAATGGCACTCAGCTGCTGCTACAGGCAAATATCTGGCTGCTTTGCACGCTATTGTACAACACACTGGGGGAAAATGAGCCTTCGTGCTAGAGTCTGGGTCCCTGAGCAAATAAACAGAGAAGAAAAATGGTGCATGTGGGGGTGGTGAGGTTGAGGGAGAGACTGGGGAGCCAGGTGATTGAGAAGTTAGTGGCTAATTCAGCTCAGAGTTTGGGCAGAAATCCTATGCTTCTCCCCATTCAATTTTCCTTATTCCCCGGACTCCTCAGAAACACCCAGCTTATTGGTGGGGGTAAAGAGGGTATTGTTTTCCTGGGGGTTTCTGTTCCAAGGATAAGGGAGTTGGAAAGAGCTGTTGAGGGTGTCTAGCCTTTTTTACTAGGTGGAGGTCGTCTGCACAAGCGCTCTCTCTCTTGCTTGCTCTCTCTCTCTCTCGCTGTCTCGCTCCCTCTTGCTCCCGCTTGTGCTCTCTCTCTCTCTGTCTTGCTTCCTGCTTTCTGAGTTCTCTACTGAGAGCTGGACACAGATGCAGTGGCTCATGCCTGTAATCCCAGCACTTTGGGAGTCCTAGGCGGGTGGATCACTTGAGGTCAGGAGTTCAAGACCAGCCTGGCGAACATCGTGAAACACCCTGTCTCTACTAAAATTACAAAAATTAGCCGGGCGTGGTGGTGGGTGCCTGCAGTCCCAACTACTTGGGAGGCTGAGGTAGGAGAATTGCTTGAACCCTGGAGGTGGAGGTTTCAGTGAGCTTGAGCTGAGATCGTGCCACTTCACTCCAGCCTGGGCAACAGAGCAAGACTCCATCTCAAAAAAGAAAAAAAAAAAAAAAGAAATTAATGGGGCCAGAGACCTTTGGAAATTTCAATGGTTGTGTCAAAGCAACCTGAAGTTTCGGCTTCATCAACTTCCAGAACCCTTTGAGAGTGTAAAGGTGAAGAGGAGGCTCTGAGGCTGCCTGGATGTACCCTCCAACTGTGTGGCTTTGTGGAAGTCGTTTAACCTCCATGAACCTCAGCTTCCTAATGTGCAGATCCATGAAACACTGACACCTCCTTCATGAGACTGTGTAAAAATTAAATGTATCAACCCATACAAGGGACTTTTAACAGTTTCTGGCATCATGTAATTTTCCAGTACATGTTACCCCTCCTCCAAAATCAATTATGTATACTTTAATATGTTAAGTGGTAACATTTCACATTTTACCTTCTCTTCATGTAAGGAGGTGGAGAGCCATTGTCAGGCCTTGTCTCATCTTAGAAAAAGATTAGAAGTTGCCAGCTTCAACATAATTGTCATTGAGAGGGCTTAAATTTTGTTTGGATTAATAATTCACTAATTAATCCCATAGATAAAGATCCAGCTGAAGAGTCTCATTTTTTCATTATTAACAATTTGAATAGATTTCATTTATTGAGCAATTACTATGAGCCAGATTCTTTACAGAGTGCTTAAGGTGATTATGTCTAATCCTCCCAACAGCAGGAGGTAGATACTATTATTCATTTCACTTACCCTAATGTCAGAGAGGTTAAGTGACTTTCCAAGCTTGCAAGGCTAGTAAGAGGTGAAGCTGGAGTTTGGAACAGGGTTTACAGAGTCCAGAGCTTGTCTCCTGATGGATATGCTACATTGCTTCTGTTTGTGAATTTAGAGAAGAGTGGTTTAAAATATCTTTTATCTCTCTGTTTTTATGGAGAGAGGGGAGAAAGTGCTGTTTGACGAAGATTTATTGCCGGAGGGACATATTGAGTTCGAAACATGAAGGGTAGCAAAGCTGAGATTCTGGCATCTGTTTTCTTGCTTGTTTATCCCATTGCTCTGTCGGCGCCTATAGAAGGTAGCTGGTTTGGTTTGAGTTCCTTCCAAAACCTGGCTCTAAGGAATTAATCCCTAATAACAAATGCTCAGCTTGTTGTTGAAAGGGTTTTTGTTTGTTTGTTTGTTTGTTTGTTTGTTTTGAGACGGAGTCTAGCTCTGTCACCCAGGCTGGAGTGCAGTGGCACGATCTCAGCTCACTGCAACCTCTGCCTTCCAGGCTCAAGTGATTCTCCTGCCTCTGCCTCCTGAGTAGCTGGGATGACGGGTGTGTACCACCAGGCCTGGCTAATTGTTTGTATTTTTAGTAGAGACGGGGTTTCACCATATTGGCCAGGCTGGTCTTGAACTCCTGACCTCAAGTGATCCTCCTGCCTCAGCCCCCAAAGTGCTGAGATTACAGATGTGAGCCACTGCACCTGGCCTAAAAAGGGTCTTTTTGACTGTTGGTGATCTTCATTACTCGGTGAAGGTGGAGACTTTCAGCCACCTGATAGGAGGATTTGCAGTGACTTGTCTTAGGATGGGAGCACATTCTCATAATGAAAGACACTCTTCCCAAAATGTTAATTCTTTTGGTAGCCACATGCTTGTGTTAACTATTGCTTTGCCACTGGTGTATGGATACAGGAAAAAGCACTTGAACCAGAAAACATCAGACCAACATGTCCTGCAATGCTTTATTCCTATTGCTGGATGTTTCTGCAAGTAAGTCACTCTACCAACCTTTCGAGCATCTACTGTCTTCCACGAAGGGATCAGGCGTGTATATAAGCCAGCCTTATACTTATACTTATACACAGCCGACTTACTGTGTTTGCGACCTGGCATCATCTAAGTCAAAAAAACTTTGGTGATATTAAAAAAAATGCCCTCAAAACAACTTAATAGTATTTATAGAAATTATAAAGCTTCATCCAGTGCCTAAAATGAACATTGGGATGTTAGATCATTAAATTAATGGGATGTGATCTATGTCCTCCGTGATTTCAAAAACACCATTCTTTTAATTGTTAATTAGAGAATGTAGTGATTACAGAACGTGAGGAACAATTTTGCTTATTTTCAATATGCTGGTTGTGATTATGTGAATTATTAACTCTGAGCAGCATTCAATTTCGTTCATTTCCATGGCTTTATGAACTATTTCCAGTATGCATCTGTTCTTGTTTTCAATTAAAAAAAATATAGATTTCAGCCTGTACCTTGTAATGAAAATAGGAAGAAGCAGGAAATGAATTTCTTATACATCATTGTGTAATATTTCTTTATAGATTTTTTTTTTTCCAATGTGGACCTGCCTGGAGACCTGTCCATGAAAGATCATGAGGTGCCAAAATTCTCGCAAGAAAAACTTGGACTGTTATTGGCTATATATTTAATACTATTATACTTGCACTGCAGGGACCAAAAGTTTCTTATCAAATTTATTGAGATGATTTTAACATTCTGAAACAGATTGTCCACACTATATTTGGAAAAAAAAATGTCCAAGTGATAGATGGATTTACAGCTTACACCTCAGGTTTTTATTATAGTTGACATTTACACAGTCTTGAAAGTCTCTACTCCTCTGTTTTATAGAAATGGCAATGCCACTCAGTCTCATCCAATATTATTATGGAGCTGTAACACTCTGGTGAAGGATGGACCATCTATTACTTGACAAACCCTTTGTCAAGTATATCATGCCGTTTCAGAATTATCTGAAATAATCATCACAGAAATTCATTGACCCATCTTATGTTTTGCGAATGTATGCTCGAATGTTAAGAAGCTATTCATTTGTTTTTCTCAGATGACTAAGGATGGGGCCATGTGCCACAGAGCTCCATGTCTGCTTTTACATAGTTATCATTGTGAATGGCGCCCCCTACAGTTGTTCAGTGTGTAGTCTGAAATTTTGGAGACCCTGAGTTTCTTGACATTGTTTGAGCCGAAGACCGTTATCTTTACTTCAGGGGTGGTCCTTTCACATCTTTTTTATTTTATTTTATTTTATTTTATTTATTTTTAGGCAGGTAATTTTTGCATTTGAAGAGACTCTGAAATGACCAAGCTGAGCCGTTGCCATTAATCCTGTTTGTCTAAAAGTTTAATCTTGAGCCACCCCTCTCAGCAATGCATTGCCACTTTCTCATACATTACAAATATGTAATATGGGCAAAGTAACGAATGTCATGTTATCAGGTTATGTGTCTCAATCACTGAAACAGGCTCAAAAGGAATGGGACCCAGTGTCGAGGAGAAGAAAGGCACAGAGGAAAGATTCTGACACTTGAAGCACTGCTCAGCAGGGCAAATTTGGGGAAAAGATGTAGACAAGAACTTTAGACACCAGGAACAAGATTGAGAAGGTGCTGAGAAAAGATCATGGCTGGGCCAGGCGCGGTGGCTCACACCTGTAATCCTAGCAGTTTGGGAGGCCGAGGCGGGTGGATCACAAGGTCAGGAGTTCGAGACCAGCCTGGCCAATATGGTGACACCCCGTGTCTACTAAAACTACAAAAATTAGCCTGGTGTGGTGGCTAATGCCTGTAGTTGCAGCTTCTCGGGAGGCTGAGGCAGAAGAATCGCTTGAACCCAGGAGGCGGAGGTTGCAGTGAGCCAAGATCGCGCCACTGCATTCCAGCCTGGGTGACACATTGAGACTCTGTCTCTAAAAAAAAAAAAAAAAATCATGGTCAATCATTCTTAAAGCTGGCTAATTAGTGTTACCTGGAGAGCTTTACAAACCCCCTACCTTATCTTTATACCAATTGAATCAGAATGTCTGGAATGAGGGCACAGGCGTCAGTGTATTTTAAAGATTTCCCCAGATATTTCTTATCCACAGCCAAAATTGAGAACCACTGGGCTGGAGGAGTGCTAGGGAAGGAAAAGGAATACAGGATCAAAAGAACCTTTCATTTGTTTATTGATCCAGCCGTTTTTGTTTTTTTTCACTCATTCATTCAACAAACACTTCTCATGAAGTCCCTGTGTGATATACACTGTTCTATGATTTGAAGATACAGCTGAGAAGAAAACAAGCAAAGCCTTCATGCTCAAGGAGCTTATGTTCTAGTGTCCTGAAGCAAATCCTTTCTGACTCAATAGAAATCAGGTTCACGTGGCAATTATAACACATGACCTTTCATTAAAAGCATGACAGAATCATTTTCATGAGATTGTTAATTTGGACCACAAAACAAGTCCTGCCCACCCCACGCCCCCCCAAAAAACAAAATTAAATTACTAAAATTTGATGTAATCGATGCATATCACATCTATTTGTGAAACACTGCTGTTTCTAATGCCCGTCCTTCCTCTAAGTACTCTTCACCTTCATTTGCCTAATTCTTCAGGAGTAAACTTGTAACCAAAGGCAAACATCTTACAAATTTGATGATACTTAGACCTGCTTCCCAAATGCTTGGGAAGTTTTCATAAAATTGAATGTACATAAATAATACATGGTCAGGGGTTCGGAGACTTAGGCAAGGTGCTAAATTTGTCCAATATGAGGCCACCTGCTCGTATGTCATCTGTTGGCACTGGCTCACGCATTTGTGTGCCAGGACATATGAAATTAAGTTTACCTGATGCTCTCTGACAGCAGCTTTCTGTTACAACGTGCAAATTAGATTAGGTTAAGGTAGAGGGCAGAGTAAATGGATGGCTTCATAGACTGATACTAGAATCCTGACGGCTTTAACCAGAAGGTGACTGGTTCTGGTCTAGCTTGGGTCATTGGTAATCACAAGTTCCTGTTATTGATGCCTGTGCAGTGGCCTGTGGGGAGATGGATGGCTTATTTTTTATTGAATTTTGCCGTTATAGCCAAACATCACACTGGCAGTGCAACTTCATTGACCTTCACCCTCGAATTCGAGGAAGGAAGGTCGAGGTGTAAACAGAGGATGGAGACTAAATAAGGTAGTTGTCTCTTGAATGTTGCTTGGTCCCCCTTCTAAGTGTGTGATACATGAGCAAGGCTAAAAGGTTGTACAGCCTGCCACCTGGGAACCACCTCCCTTGGGCTGAAGCTGGCATGATTACTTGGGTCTTCAAAGCAGGCGTGCACAGTTTTTCTCTCAATATGAAATGATCTAATGCAAACTTGAAATTCTACCAGAAGAATCATTTTTTAACTTTAAAGGAATCTAGAGTTGTCTCTGCCTCATTAAGTAACTCAATTGGCTTCAAAAGCATTTTTTATTTATATTGAAAATATAGAAACTGTCAACTTCATCCTAATTTTGAAGACTTTTTTTCTATAATGTGGCCTTCCGTTGTGTAGTAAACTTAGTAAAGCACCTGTTGTACAACTCAATGGCATTCCATCCCAAGGGATGGTTTAATGGCATAAACGAAGGGCCGAGGGAAAAATAAATTCAGATATTTAAACAGACTAGGCACCATACCCTAAATCTTTGCTTGCAAAGTTGACCAGTGATGCACAGAATGAGGCAGAAATACTGTCAAAGGGACTGGAGACTGATCTCGAGATGTTCTAGCGTGGAATGGATGGGTTTACTTATTTGTTTAAATAATTGCGTTCTTTGGAATTGCCTAAATTTTGCACTTCTGCCGGTTTAAATAGAGTCGAATTGAGGTTGTTTCTGGCAAGAATGAGTGTCACATTTTTGAAGGGAACAGCAGTGACAGCACAACAACAGACAGTTCGGAGACTAAATACCATTTTTTAAAGTTTCCGAAGATTAAATAGAAAAACACTCCGGGGCTTAGCTAAAAGGCTAACAGGAGAAACGAATTTCACGTAGAAATCAATCGCTCTGTTCACTGACACCCAGTGACAGAACTAATAATTGTGTCCATGTAAAATCAGACCCTCTTGTTACTTTTTAATGAAGTCTGTCTGATTCTGTGATATTTTTGGCCTAGGAAATGAAAGAGATGTTTTATTAAATGAAACTAGGTCTACATAGGTGAAGTATCTGAATATAACTATGTAATCATATCGTACAATAAAAAGAAAATATAAAAAAATTGGAAAGACATGAATGTAGTTCAAATAAGCTTATCCCTCCAAGAAGGCTTCTCCGTGTTTTCAATGGAATAGTGGCCTGTATTTTGCATTTGAACAATGGCACAAAGCCATTGGAAGGGGAAGAAAGGTTTAGCCTACCCCTCTTGGATCCTTATGCCACAACGTCTGTTCCCTGCTGTACTGAGAAGTCCAACTCTCCTTTGCAAGCCAGGAAAAATAGGACCTTTTTCAAATTGCATGCTTCGAAGATGCTGGCAGAATTCAAAAGTGCTTTCTCCACACAGTATAAAGCCCTTTACCTGATTAAAGCTGGTTATTTGGCTTGCCAAGGTGAAAAGTTTTCTTATGTTTTATCTTGCATTTTCCCTCTCTTCTTCCCTCATTTCCTCTCCTCTTCCTCTTTCTTTCTTTCTCATCTTCCCTCCAACATTAAAGACATTTGGTGCAACCTCAGCATTATTATTTTTAACACCCACCTTGCCAAGAAGAGTATAACTCCAAGGAAGCTTCTTTTTTAAGCAGACCTCATCTGTTCTCTGTTGGTCCCTGAGTGGTACCTTTCAGCTGGCCATTTTTCCCCAGCGGTGCATGTGAACACATGTGCGTGTGTGCAGGCATGTGTGTACACACACTTTCATGTTGATGGAGACATATGGTCATATAGAGGATCTTTGTGGTCCATCTAGTTCTTTAGTTTCAAATGTGATGTGTTTTATCTAATATCTGAAAGGGAAACATCTTTCTGTGTAATTTCTCACCCTGAATTACACATTTAAACCCCACAAATATCAGAGGACATTCTAAGAAATACCTTGTGGGTGGAAAAGTTGACCTTTTGTTTCCCTCTGCCTGGTTGGCTGACTTGGGAGAGAGTAACTGAAGGCAAAGGGAATGTCAGAGTGGAGGAAATTCCCATCCTAGACTGGGCGAGGGGCAGGGGGTGTGGTCCTTTTACGATATTCACCCAATTCAGAGCGCCCTACTTCTGTTCAAAACTGTGATAAGAAATATCAATATGGGCATATGACAGTATGTGTGGGAGGGTACCTCCTTCACTTGTAGCATCTCACAGGGAGAGGTCTTGGCAAAGGCACAGTCATCAAAACTGATGAGCCCAAAATGGGATTCACCCTTAAAAAAAAGGTTTTGATAAAATTAGCTTTCCTCTTAACAATCTGGGAGTGCTATCAGAATAGCAGCTATAAATCTGTCTGGTAGGGCCCTCTCTTCTTAAAATAGATGGATGGGTAGATGAATGGATAGATGGGTAGATGGATGGATAGAGGGACAGATGGATGGGGGGATAGGTGGATGGATGAGTAGGTGGATGAATGGATGGGTGGATGGATGTTTGGATGGGTGGATGGGTGGGTGGATGGATGGATGGATGGATGGATAGACGGATGAGTGGATGGGTGGATAGGTGGATGGATGAGTAGATGGATGGATGGATGGGTAGGTGGATGGGTAGATGAGTGAATGGATGGGTGGATGGGTGAATGGATGGGTGGGTGGATGGGTAGGTGTATGGATACCTTGGATACATACATGTAATACATTTAAATTCTTAATAGGTACATCTTATGCTCTTCATGTCTCTTTCTCTGGGGAGGGGCACTGGGGTGCTGACATATGCTATCTTTTTTTGTGGTTAAGACCATAAGGATGAGACCACTTCACCAATTCTTCTAGGCATGTTTTGAAGCAATGTGGTATAGTGGAAAGAACACAGGATTTGAATCACTGGAAGCCAGATTTAGGTCTGAGCACCATGTGCTTTTTAGCTTGAGTACCTTTGCTCAAGATGGTTAACCTCAGTATCCATGTCTGTAAAATGGAAAAATGTTTTCTAACTTGCTGGATTGTTGAGAGAATTAAAAGATATCTAGATCTAGGCAGATAGTGTTTAACTCAATACCTAGAATAGAGAGAGCATTTTGATTAATGGGAGCTACAGCTACTACTTCAACTGCTGCTAAGGATCTTTCTTGTTTTTACTTTCCCCTCCTTCTCTGGGTGTTTTTTTTTTCCACGATACATTTTAGAAATAGAAGCCACATTCTAACTTCTTTGGCTCCTTGCCTGACTTTCATATGGTCTCTGGTCGAGAATGGTGGCCATTCTATGTGTGTGTGTGTGTGTGTGTGTGTGTGTGTGTGTGTGTCTGCCTGCCTGTATCTATGTCTGTATCTAGAAAATATATATTTATACCTGGAACATATGTACGTATAAATAAAATTCTGGAAGATGCATCTTGCTGGAAGATATATGTCTTGATATGTATATCTGGAAGGTATATATCTTGTTTTTCCCTTGCTTTTGACAGATGTTCTAAACTCACCATACCTTTTGGATATTGAACTATAAAGACTTCTACATTCCTATTTTATACATTTAGAATTGTGAATATTGTAATAAAAATTCCTCTGACATTTCTCACATACTACAGACATCATGTCCCCTACTTTTTCTTCATGGAGAGATATGAGACAATGTTGAACAACCCAGAATAAGCCAAAATATAAGGAGGTAAGAATGGATTCGTTGTCTGAGGCTCAATATGACACCACCTGAATTTTCTCTATATCACCCTTCAAGGGGGTGAGGATGGCTAAGACCACTGATACTTATGTCATAGCATGAACAAATAATAACTACTTACCATGTGCCAGGTTCTTCTGCAGGCACTTTACATAGATAATTTTATTTAATCTTCATAGCAAACTTAGGGAGTAGATGCTAGTATTATCCCAAGTTTACAGAGGAGGCAACTGAGTCACAGTAAGCTGAAATGACATGCTCCAGGTTGCAGAATGATCATAAAGCAGAGCCAAAATTAGGCACCAGTGTCTTTTGGTGTCAGGAATCTCTGCTTTTGTGCTTTTCTGTCTCATGAAAATATCAGAGTGGCTCTCTCTATTGGGTCTCATTATTGCATGCCATTGTGGGTTCTTCTGACTGTGTGTCACCTTTCACAAGGAGCATTTCCTACACTGTGAAAGTGCACATGACAATTTTATGTACTTCTTGTTGAAATCCTTGTCTTCCTTATGCTGCCCATTGGTGCTTCACACTATTTTCTTCCTCATCCCACTTCCGCAGCTTGTAGCTCCTGCCTGAGCTTTGGAAGTGAAAGCCAAAGTTCCACCTCGATGCAGGTGATAAAACTAGGGCAAAATGAATAAAGTGAGAGCTTTGACGTCAGCACGTGGAACACATACACAGGTTATGCTGAATTGTAAGCTGGACATTATGTCACTGTAGGTTTAGCCCTTCTTGGATTTTCTTTGTTTGTTTGTTTTGTTTTGTTTTGTTTTGTTTTGTTTTTAAGGTGTAGTCTCACACCGTTGCCTGGGCTGGAGTGCAATGGTGTGATCTTGGCTCACTGCAACCTCTGCCTCCCGGGTTCAGGTGATTCCCCTGCCTCAGCCTCCTGAGTAGCTGGGATTACAGGCATGCACCACCATGCCCGGCTAATTTTTTGCATTTTTACTAGAGACAGGGTTTCACTATATTGGTCAGGCTGGCCCCGAACTCCTGACCTCATGATCCACCCATCTCGGCCTCCCAAAGTGCTGGGATTACAGGCGTGAGCCAATGCGCCTGGCCCCTTCTTGGATTTTCTTATGCATTTGAAATCAGGTAAAGCTAAAATTGTGAATATGTAAATAAAAATACCATGAGAACATGGGAGAGGGAGCTGGGGTGTTTTGCTTTCATAGGATGGGAGCCAATGCCTACATGTTTTCTATTGTATCTTTTGGACAGGTAGAATGATTGCAATTGTTAAAAAAAAAAAAAAATAGGGAAAATGATGCCAGGAGCAGAAAGCAAAGATGTTTTCAAAGAGTCAGAAAGACTCTGTTCCAACCACAAACCATCCTATCTTCCCCCAGTTAATGGGGTTGCCTAAATCGTCAACTCCTACTGTGAAACTCAAACCCTTGTTGTTCCAACTTAACTTTTTGCCCACAGAGTAGTTTAGGACAATCCAATGTCAGTATGGCAGGTAGAAGTAGCACAAAGTAAGATCCATTTGTGTCTTGATTTGAGGGACATAAATGTCCTATTTTCTTTACGTGTCTTGGTCACCCCCTCACACAGGCTCTCTGAAGTTGTTTCCGTCATTTTGTACCCTTCCTCTTCTTCTCTTTGTAAGCTTAAGTTTCACATTCATTGGCTGTTTTTCTCTCTGAGGTTTCAGCTTCAAGGGATTATGCATATGAGACTTGTATTATATACCCTGAATGAAAAATATTGAAAATATCTCACAGCTAGCTGGATCTCTCTTAATCCAGGCTTTCCAGAAAAATGGTGCTGGGACCACCCCTGGAAGCTCAGCCTGCCCCAAACCCCAGGAATCTTCAGTCTGCAAGGGCAGAACCAGATAATGAAATGGCATGCTAGCAGGTAGTAGTTCTCTGATCTAACCACTGCCACACATAAAAAATGCTGCAGCTTTGATTTGGGTTTTATGTCCTGTGATTACACGGATCGTGCTGGTTCCTAATGTAGACCTTTCCAGTTCTCTGGGTGTGCACCTCTGCATCCACATCTCCTTCCAATTCATGGAACCTCCTTTATTTCTTCCCTGCCTGTAATTCTTCTGCTCTATGATCTGAGCTTCCACTCATGCCCTTATTATTTAGCTCTTACATTCCTAGAAGAGTATATGTTTATCTATTTTACCACTTTGGGCATTGTCATATGTCATAGGTTCATTCACCATTCATTGAACAAATGGTTATCAATTAGTCATATGTACCAGTCCATGTTTACACATGACAGGCACATCAATAGGTAAGAGAGGAAGAGCCCATGCCCTCTGTTTCAATGTTGGTAGTAACATGGCTTGTGAAGGTTAAAAGAAAAACCCAGAAGCAACCTAGTCTTGTCATCAAAATGAGAAAGTAAAGATGGATTGTGGTAAAGTAACGCAGTGGAATACTACAGAGCAGTGAAAAATAAACCAGGACGAATCTCACAATTTTAGTGTTGGAAAAAAGGAACAATAGGATGTGTTATCCTCACTTGTGTAAAATTGAAAACATGCTTGTGTAAAATTGAAACTATGGAAAATAATGTGAAACAAATTAGTATATTTCTTAGGGATATATGTATATATACATGTATGTATGTGTGTATATGTATATATGTTTGTCAGGGATAACTAAGGGATTCCTAATCTATTGGTAGTATTTACTAACTTGGGCATAGGAAGCAGATACATCTTGTATTAAGTAATATACTGCTTATGTGCCTTAAATATCTCATTTTAATTTTTTATAAACAAAATTGATATGCTCACTTCAAATTCACCTAATTTTAAGGGATTGAATTATTCCTTAGATGTATTCTGCTGAACTTGCTGGGTCGGATAGTGTAAAGATTGAAAGGATTGATTTAAAAAATGGAAAAACATTGTGAAGGAAAAAGAAAGGAGGCATTGTTTGAGAACGTTTGTCTTAGACATAGCATCTCTACCCAACAGTGCAACCACTCATTATTCCTAGCATTGAGGGAAGAATGGTTAATTTTGGTGAAAGTTCTAGTTCATATGAATTCCTCTCTTTAGTCCTAAAGTTGTTGGGAGTGAAGAGATCTTTCCATGTCCTCGAGGGCTGGTAGGAAAAATCTGTGTCTTGTTACTACCATGTTCCCCCACCATCTTTCCTTTATAAGTTTTAATTACCCTCCAACCTATACCTCATGTAAAGTTTTTCACTATCACGCATTTTCTACACCTTCTATGTACGTAAATACACATATATTTTTAATACTCTTACCTATCTTAGTGTCAGTTCCAGACATGTTGCCTGGTTAACTTTGAATACTTCAGTGTGTTCCTAAAAACAAGGACCTAACCACAATACAATTCCAAAATTAAGAAATTTAACACACTGGTATAGTCCTCTGGTCTCATCCACAGTTTGTTTTCCAATTTCATCAATTGTCCCAATAATGACCTTGATGGCAGTTTTGTTCATGGTCCAGAATCTAATCCATCATGCATTTCATTTAGTTGTCAAGTCTCTTTAGTGTCTTTTAATCCACAACAGTGACAGTCTTGCTTGGTCTTTTATGATCTTGACATTTTTTTAAGAACACATACGCTGGGCCGGGTGCGGTGGCTTATGCCTGTAATCCCAGCACTTTGGGAGGCCGAGGCAGGCGGATCATGAGATCAGGAGATCGAGACCGTCCTGGCTAATGCGGTGAAAACCTGTCTCTACTAAAAATACAAAAAATTAGCTGGGCGGGGTGGCGGGCGGCTGTAGTCCCAGCTACTGGGGAGGCTGAGGCAGGAGAATAGTGTGAACTCAGGAGGCGGAGCTTGCAGTGAGCCGAGATCATGCCACTGCACTCTAGCCTGGGCGACAGATAGAGACTCCGTCTCAAAAGAAAAAAAAAAAAAAAAAAAAAAAAAAAAAGAACACACCCTGGACTGCCCATTGCCGAATCACCTGAAGAGAGCCCTTCAATTTTAACTAATCATTTTTGCAAGCTTAGTTGTTTCAGCTGCTACAAAAAAGCACGAGTCTTTTAAAAAGGAGTAAAATTCTGACACGTGCTACAACATGGACAAACCTTGAAACATTACGCTAAGTGAAAGAAACCAGTCGCAAAAGGACAAATATTGTATGATTCTACTTATTTCAGGTACCTAGGATAGTCAAATTCATAGAGACAAAGTAATATAGTGGTTCCTAGGGACCAGGGGGAGGATAGAATGGGGAGTTGATGTTTAACGGGTATAGAATTTCAGTTTTGGAAGTTGAGAAGGTTTTAGAATACTGATAATAGTTGCACAAGAATGCAAATGTTCTTAATGCCACTTAATTGAATACTTTAAAATAATTAAATTGGTAAGTTTTATGTAATGTATATTTTGCTACAATTTTTTACAAGAGAGTGGGTCCTCAATATGTAAATATAATGTCAATTAAAATAACAAGAAAACACAAGGCAGTTATTTACTTTGTGGATGACCCTCAATTTGGGTCTTTCAGCTGTTTCTTTATGATCCCAGTTGGGGTGTGCATTTTTGCCAGGGATACCCCCAAGTAATAATGTCCTGTTTTTCCCAGGGTGCCATATTAAGAGACACATGATATTAGTTTGTCTATTATTGGTGATATTAACATCAGTCCTTTGGATCATATGATGTCTCTCAGATATCTCCAGTAAAAACTTTCTCACTGTAATTAATACATAGTTTGGGGGTGGGAGGAATGGTTTTAGACTTTTAAAATACCGATTTGTCATCAATCCTTCATTCACTAGTTTTACCATTCATTGATGATTCTTGTCTGAGTCAATTATGATTATTACGGCTATCAAATGATGGTTTTCTAACCCCATTGCACTTATATGTGTGGGTTGGCATTCTATTTCCTTTCCTATATATATACATTTAATTACTTATTTCAGTATAAAGTCATGGATTCGTGTTTTTATTCTATGAACTACAATCGGTTACTTTCGTTATTTGTTTTGATGCTCAAGTTGTATCATATGTATTCACTGGGAGCCCCTTCAAGCTGGCTCCTGTATCATTTTGACATAAACCCGTAAGTTTTTTTTAATAACATCCTTATTCCTTGGCACCAGAAGATATTCCAGGTATATCTTGACTTTTCTTGCCCCAGTCCTAGAGCCAGGAGGCCATTTTTCCACAGAGTAATCCTTCCTTTGATTGGAGAGTGGTGTTTAGAAACAAAGTTCTGGGCGATTATGGCTTCTGGACCCTCTAAATAGACAATATAGATAGAACTAGGAAAAAATACACACATGCACATACACATGTATATATAATTATCTTTTCAAAGCCAAGAATTTGTTAATCCTTCCTAAGGATTATGTTCTTCCCAACAGGATACATTATCTAGGTTAAAATTTCCCTGCCTATCTGATATCACTTGTTATTACGAGTTATCTTTTATCTGTCTGTTAGGCTGTGAGACCCTTCAGAAGAGAGACTTCATATTTTTTGTCATCTTTGTATCCCCATTGCCTAGGAAGATGTCTGGTACAGATTAGGTACTAATATTAATTCATAGGATTGTTGGGTGAAACGATGGTTGAATGAAAGGATGGTTGGTTAGGATCATTGGGTAGGAGGGTGGATGGGTGGAGTGGAGATTCGATGGAAAAGTATAGTTGGGTGGGAGGATAGTTCTTTGGGATCCTGGGTAGGAGGGTTGTTGGGTAGAATGGAGATTGGGTGGAAGTATACTCGGATGAGAGGGTGGTTGGTAAGGATCTTTGGGTAGGAGTATTGTTGGGTGGAATAGAGATTGGGTGGAAGTATACTCGGATGGAAGGATAGTTGGTTAGGATCTTTGGGTAGGAGGATGGTTGGGTGGAGTGGAGACTTGGTGGAAGTATAGTCGGATGGAAGGATGGTTGGTTAGGATCTTTGGGTAGGAGGATGGTTGGGTGGAATGGAGAATTGGTGGAAGAGTATAGTTGGATGGAAGGATAGTTGGTTAGGATCTTTGGGTAGGAGTATTGTTGGATGGAATGGAGATTGGGTGGAAGTATAGTTGGATGGAAGGATAGCTGGTTAGGATCTTTGGGTAGGAGGATGGTTGGGTGGAATGGAGATTGGGTGGAAGAGTAGAGTTGGATGGAAGGATAGTTCATTGGGATCACTGGGCAGGAGTTTTGTTGGGTGGAAAGGAGAATGGGTGGAAGTATAGTTGGATGGAAGGATAGTTGGTGAGGATCTTTGGATAGGAGGATAGTTGGGTGGAATGGAGATTGGGTGGAAGTATAGTTGGATGGAAGGACAGTTGGTTAGGATTGTTGGGTAGGAGTATTGTTGGGTGGAATGGAGATTGGGTGGAAGTATAACTGGATGGGAGGATGGTTGGTTAGGATCTTTGGGTAGGAGTACGGTCGGGTGGAATGGAGATTTGATGGAAGAGTATAGTTGGATGGAAGCGTAGTTGGTTAGGATTGTTGGGTAGGAGGATTGTTGTGTAGAATGGAGATTGGGTGGAAGTATAGTCGGATGGGAGGGTGGTTGGTAAGGATCTTTGGGTAGGAGGATGGTTGGGTGGAATGGAGATTCAGTGGCAGAGTATAGTTGGATGGAAGGATAGTTCATTGTGATCACTGGGTAGGAGTATTGTTGGGTGGAATGGAGATTGGGTGGAAGTATAACTGTATGGGAGGATTGTTGTTTAGGATCTTTGGGTAGGAGGATGTTTGGGTGGAGTGGAGATTCAGCGGAAGTGTATAGTTGGATAGAAGGATAGTTCGTTGGGATCACTGGGTAGGAGGATAGTGTAGAATGAAGATTGGGTGGAAGTATTGTCGGATGGGAGGATGGTTG
Organism: Homo sapiens; assembly: GCF_000001405.40. Lineage (NCBI taxonomy): Eukaryota > Metazoa > Chordata > Mammalia > Primates > Hominidae > Homo > Homo sapiens. The sequence goes on from NC_000016.10 coordinate 6,373,301, forward strand.
GTAAGGATCTTTGTGTAGGAGGATGGTTGGGTGGAATGGAGATTCGGCGGAAGAGTATAGTTGGATGGAAGGATAGTTTTTTAGGATCACTGGGTAGGAGCATTGTTGGGTGCAATGGAGATTGGGTGGAAGTATAACTGGATGGGAGGATGGTTGGTTAGGATCTTTGGGTAGGAGGATGGTTGGTGGAATGGAGATTCAGTGGAAATGTATAGTTGGATACAAGGATAGTTCATTGGGATCACAGGGTACGAGGATTGTTGTGTAGAATGGAGATTGGGTGGAAGTATAGTCGGATGAGAGGATGGTTGGCAAAATCTTTGAGTAGGAGGATGATTGGGTGGAATGGAGATTGGGTAGATATACAGTTGGATGGAAGAATGGTTTTCATGCAAGAGCATTTGGGTTAGGGGATGGTTGGATGAGAGGAGTTGTTAAGTGGAAGAATTGTGACGATAAAGGATCATTATGTGGGAAGACGGTTGTGTGGGATGTGGTCTGCATGTCTTATTTAGCAATGTATGTCTTTTTTGTTATACTTCTGTACTCATTGCATTCAGGTGCTGTTTAAGAAGTTATTTTGGTTCCTTTTTGTCTTTCAGATAGTAGGTGTTCATTCAGTATCTATTGACTGTGTGACTATGACTTTCAGGAACAGGAATGGATGATTTATCTTTCGATTCTTTGCATTCTCCATAGTGCTCAGCTTGGCGTAAATACAGATTTAATATTCAGTTTGACAGTAAGTCAGTTAGAAAACCACAGCAACATAATATCTGCCCTATTTACCTTTTAAAGAAAACTAAGGATGCTGTATTAGTTTCTTCAACACTGAGTGTGGACTTGATTCATTGTCTCTGGATATTCAGTTGCCCCAAAATTATTCAAGTAGTCTACTTGGCAAGTATTTCAAGAATGGAGGGCATTGTTTAGCCTTGTAATTATTCATTGGCTCATGTAATTAGGAGACAAACTTTTGCTTTGGAATAAGGGTTACACCACACAATTTGGGATCATTTTGTGATCAGGCAATTGAATAGGCTAGAAAGAATTCCTTTACTGATGGATAGACATTCTGAATACCTGTTTTATCCTTTTCTATTTTCTCATACTAAGAAAGTAAGTAGCAAATTCTTCTCACACTGATATTGTGAACAGAAAGGAACTCTACTATTTTTGGCCATATATATGTTTTTTTAATTTTGGATCTATTATGTGTTCTAGTGTCTTTAGAGAAAATTTTCGTAATTGAACCTTAGAAGAGAAGACAAATGCTGTGTAATGTACATAAGAACAAGAAGACGTTACTCTAGCTGAAAATGTCTTTTTTCCACAGTACTTTATATCCTGGCCAACTGCTCTTGTGCAAGGCGACCAAGTAACATTTTCCCATTCAGCTATAAGAACGAAGAGACTGTTATTGCCACTGGCTGGTATTGAGTAATCGTACATAGGTGGGGTGAGTTGAAGGCAATCTGAATTATAAAACACCTTCCTTTGAAGTCAAATCAATTTTTATTCTTAATCTGTGAACATGAGATGGGAACAAATAACTTCTGAGTGAAATAAAGATTTCTTAGCCTGTCAAGATTTATCTTATCAGGCTGAAGAGGTGGGATTCCTGTTAGCAACTGGCAGTTTTAAAAATCCATTCGCCTGAGGAAGTGTGAAAACAGTCTGCAGAACAAAGACACTGAGCTATTGCTGCATTGAGTGCTTATTTGCTCCTTTTTTACATTTCCTGCTTGAGACCTCGCCAGGTCCAACTTTAAAACGTTTGCAGGCTAATGGGAGTGTGTGCACAGGGAGTATCAGAAATCATTTCCTTAGGGGAGGAGGTGTTTTGTGGTGCAAAATGTTGAGGTTCTGTTGCCAAAACACCAACTGCAAGAGGGTATTTTCTGTGAACTTCATGGGTGGCTTTCATAGGGAATTCTCCATGTCATTCTCTGATGTCTTTTATTGGCCCTTGTTTTGCCAGAGTGGGGAAAAAAAACAAAAACAAAAACAAAAACCACCTTCCCTGTGTCATTTCTCTTTTAACAAAGAAAGCCAAAATAATTCTATAAATGAAAGTCATGCACATGTAGAACTTTGGGTGCAGCTCTAGAGTATTTTTTTTTTTTAACCCTCCTAGGATGAAGCCAAAAGAAGAAAACTGGTTGTATTTCTCTAACATTTTTAGGCAGATGATCGTTTCTGGGCAGGGGGAAAATGCCAAAGCCTGTGCAGTTTCTCTTTCGGCTCATTTGAAAATACTCTAGGAAAAGACCCCTGTGGATTCTCTGCCCCTTCTGTAATGTGTGGAATCATGTGATTGCTGGACAGCCCCCTTGGAAGCCTGCCAGCCCAGCCTCTTCAGCATCCAGATGGGAACCCGGAGGCGCATCTCACAGCGGACCGTTGATTAACCCAAGGTCACCTGGCTCTGGTTTCTGACGGAGCGAGAATGAGTACCCAGAGGTTTCCAGAACCTCAGCACAAAGGGTATCCATGATGAACAGGCATTTCCCTATCCCTTCTCTCTCCTGTCCCCTGCATAAACAATGCAAAAAACACACTCCCTTCTTGGCCAGGACCCAAAGACCTATTATCCTACACATGTCTTTCTGTGCTTTGAGGGATCAGCAGGGGTGCCAGTGAACTTGGATTACTCTTTGGATCACCCTGCTGCCTCCAGCTCCCCCTCTGTTTTGTTTCATGACTCAGTCATCCTGTTTGAGCTCATTTACCACTTGTATAGGGGTACATTCCTTGACTTCTCAGAGCAAACCAAGCCCCCATCCATGATTTCTTCTTCTTTTACAATGAGCTCTCATATCACATTTATCCCAGTGGAAATTTCATATCAATATCTGTGATTCTTTGACTGTTCTCTCTTTCCCCTAGACTCCAGGATCCTTGGGATCACTGGCCTTGTCATTTATGTTCCTGCTTATGTCCTATAGCCTGGCACTTAGTGAGGCGGTGTGTTGTGTTGGGTTTTGTTTGTTTGTTGGTTGGTTGTTGTTGTTGTTGTTTGCAAGGGCCCCTGCAAAGTATCACAAACTAGGTGGCTTAAAAAAGCAGACATCCATTCTCTTGCTGTTCTGGAGCCCAGGAGGCTGAAATCAAGGTGTTAGCAGGGACATGATCCCTCTGAAGGCATTAAGGGTGAATCCTTCGTTGCCTTTTCCAGTTTCTGGTAGTTGCTGGCATTCCCTGGCATTCTGCGGCTTGCAGCTGCGTTTTTGAAAGCTGCCTCACTCCTAACCTCTGTTTACATTGGTGTCTGTTCACGTCACCTGTCCTCTATGTGTGTATCTCTGTGTCCAGATTTTCTTCCGTTTGTGAAACCAGCAGTCCTTGGTTTAGGGCCCAACTAATGGTTTCATGACTCCTGTGTTAGCTTCCTAGATTGCAGTAAGAAGTATCAGAAGCTCAGTGGCCTAAAACTACAGAAATGTGTTTTCTTACAGTGCTGGAGGCTGGAAATCTGAAATCGGGGTATTAGCAGCGCCATGCATTCTTCAAAGGACCCAGGGAAGAATTCTTGCTTTCCTCTTTCAGCTTCTAGTAGTCGTTAGGGATCTGGCGGCCCTCAGCTTCGAGATGTGTCACTCCAATCTCTGGCTTGGGTATCACATAGCCTTCCCTGTGTTTTTCTCTGTCTCCAAACTTCCTTCTTCTTATAAAGGTATTGGTCCCCAGACTGGGCTCGGTGGCTCATGCATATAATCCCAGTACTTTGGGAGGCTGAGGCAGGTGGATCACTTTGAACTCAGGAGTTCGATACCAGCCTGGGCAACATGGAAAAATTCCATCCCTACAAAAAAAAATTAAAAATTAGCTGAGCACGGTGGCCTGTGCCTGTAGGCCCAGCTACTTGGAGGCTGAGGTTAGAGGATCACTTAAGCCCAGGAAGTGGAGGTTGCAGTGAGCCAAGGTCATGCAACTGCACTCCATCCTGAGTGACAGAGTGAGACCCTGTCTCAAAAAAAAAAAAAAAAAGAAAAAGAAAAAAAAAGGTATCAGTCCCTGTATTTAGGCCTCATCTTAATTCCATATGAACTCATCTTAATTACATCTATAAAGACCCTATTTCCAAATAAGCCCACGTTCTGACATTCTGGGGGGCCATGGATTTCTGGGGGTTGTTATCCAACCCAGTGTACAAGGCAGTACACATTTATTGAATGCATGAATGAATGATAATGCTCTGGGCCCTGGCAAGTCTCAGCCTGGAGAACTGAGTCTGCCTGCCTGCGTAGAATCAAGAACAACATGCACTTCAGTGGAATTTGGGAAGGGTCAGGGTCTGTGCCGACAGAAATGGAAAAATCCTCCAAGCGCCTCACCCTCTCTTAAAAGACTCCTCAAGATTGCTTTGCTGTTCTACCCTCTACAGTGTTTTTAATATGTCTATTTAAATGCAAATTTTGACTTTCTGTCTGTAATCATATAAAATGTTTGGCACTAAAATTTTAATCAGGAATGTAATTTTAGATAGAGGCGGTAATGGAGTGGTAGGCCACACATAACAGAATGAAGCTTCCCCAACGTGGATTCCCAGACTATGGAAGTGCTGGCCTCCCTGCTCCCAGCTGAGCCGGGAAAACTCTGCCCCACTCCAAGAGGTGCTTCTCAAAGATGATTCCTGATCCCAGGCATGTCCTGTGTCCTGTCACCAATCCTGGTGCTTCATCGTCCTTTAAAATCCAAACGAGGTGATCTAGTGTTCTTCCTCTGCGTCCTCTGGTCTTCTAGCATCCTGGATAGGCCGTGTATGTTTAGAAAGAGGGGCTCCACCCTGTGCCCGCCTAAGATGATGGCTCATTTATCAAGACCAGGCTGGAGGCTCAGCTACCAGAGCTTCTGTTGTTTGGGAGGAAGGCTGCCAGCAGCAGATGTTTGTCCTCGCCTCAGCTCCCTGCAGCCTTTGAGCTCCATCTGCCGCACACTCGGGCACAGCTGCCAGTGCTTCCCCTCCGTGCTCACCTTTCACCTCTCACGGAGGCTGGGGTTTCATGCATCTGGGCCCAACAGAGAGATGGTGACCCAGACCCTGCGATCCTGGTGCCACAATCCTTCCCAACAGCTCGCTGGGCATCTTTCTGCACTAGCCTGTCAGCATGCTGGAAGCAGCACCGATGGAGGTTGTTGAGCAGGGTTGCAATTGTAGCCCGTCACTTTGGTCTTGGTGTTCCATCTTGTTAGGGCAAGAGAGTCAGAGCACACACAGCCATCTCCTGGCTGGATCATCTGGTGGAGTGGGAGTGTGCACATGCCCACCCCCATTTCTAAATAAGATATGCATTGTCTCAGGGCCTTTGCAATGTCCACTCCCTAGTCCTCAATGCTCTTCCCCATTGGTCATCCCAGAGCTCATCTCAAATGTCACCCTTTAGAGGGGCAGCTGTCAGTCTTCCCAGTTAAAGCATATGCCAACCCCCTCATCACTCCTGGTCTCAACAACCTCTTTATTTCCCTCATTGCTATTATCTTCATCTGTAATTCTCATCTTTATAATATCTCTTGAATGAATCTTTAGGAGGATTACTCTTCCTAGAGTGTGCAAAACGGATTGCAGGGATGGTGAGAGGTGGGCGGAAATGTTGGAAAGGGGACAAGGGTGGAATTGGTAGCACTGATCTTGTTGAGAGAGGATTGGCCCTGGAAAAAGAAAGTAGCAATGGAGCAGGAAGTAATTAGACATAGAAGAGAGCTCTTCACGTGGGAGGTGAGGAGAATCGGTGTTGGGATTGTGTGTTAGGACTGAGGAAGGAGGAGGAGGAGGATGCCCAGCTTTCTAAACTGGGTATTTGAGTGGATGGGGGTGACTTGCCGAAAATAAAGAATGGTTTGAGAAGAAAGATGCTGTGCTCATCTTGGAAATGTTGAGTTTTGGGCCCCTGTAGAAGACCCAGCTGAGATTTGCAGGTCTGCATCAAATGGAGAATTCATCAGAGAGGCAATGGTACTCAAAACCATGACAGTGAAAGGTGCTTCCCTAGGAGAGAGGCAGGATAAAAAAATAAGGTGGCCCAAAATTAGGATGGCCACACATCCCAGTTAGCCAGGATATTCCTGCCTTATACCTGTTGTTCCACCATAATTTCTAATGGCCCCCGCCCCCCTACTTTCACTTTCACTTGTCTCAGTGAACTATATCGTCACCCTACCCGCATGAGAAGGTTGGGGAAATTCAGAGTTCATAGGAGGGCATAAGAACCCACTGAAAAAAACTGAGTATGAGCAGAAGGGTAGAAAGAAAAACCGGGGTAGTGTTGGGTAATGTATGCCAAGGGTAGAAAATTGACAAGAGAAGAATCATTCATGTCAAATGGGTCACAGAGGTGAAGTCATGCAAGTGTCAAGAGCTGTGCATTGGATTTAGCTACCAAAAAAAAAAAAAAAAAGTCTTGATGACCCTGTAATCATGATGGTGGGAATATGCCAGAGACAGGTGGCTTTGAGGAGAAAATCATTGATGAGAAACTAGAGACAGTCAGTTCCACTAAGTTTTGTTGTGCAAGAAGGGGGATATGTTAGAGGAGTTTGCAGACGGGCATGAGAGAACAAGAGAAGGTTCATGGGATGGGAGGCATTTGAGCATGCGTCAGTCCTGGAAAGGGGCCTGATGGAGAAAGCTTCAGGAGAGGGGGTGTCCACATGATACAGCAGTGTTCCCAAGGGAGAGAGAGCAGATGCAGGAAGGGACACCTTCCCTGTTAACAGGCAAGAAAGAGCAAGTTGGGGTGTAAGGAAGTCCGTAGGCTTTATGGCGGGGATTTGAAGAGAGTAGCATTTATTTTCTCCTCTGAGGTAGGAGGCATCTGAGAGGTGGGGGAGGTTGAAGATGGGAGGAAAGTAGACAGTTGCTTTAAATAGCCACATGGAAAATGGGAGAAGGAATTGGCTCATTCAGATGACTTTTATTGGGTGCCTTCTGTGCTCCAAGCCCTGGGAATCAACTAGTGAAGAAAACAATCCAATGGGACTGATGTTCTCCTTGGAAAGAGAACAGTGACGGTGGTGGAGGCAGCAAAGGGAACACTGGAGGCTGAAGACCCCTCCCCAACTTATAATGATGCGTCTGTGAGTGGTGAATGGTGGGGATTTTTTTTTTTTTTTTTTTTTTTTTTTTTTTTTTTTTTTTTTTTTTTTAGTAGAACTCAGCAGCTTGGGTCTAGACACAGAGAAAATGGACAACTTATGGTCTAGAGATGGCAGCACAGAAAGGAAGGTGAGTTGAAGTTCTGGGGGGAAAATAAATGGCAGGTAAAGTTATGGACCATTTGATCAAATCCTGGTGTGAAATAAAGAGCATACTTAGGATATGTCTTTTGTTTTTTCTTCTTTTCCTCTGACATGCATTGCTATCATGAGTGTCCTTGAACAAATCTCTTTGGGGGCATACAAAACCATTTCTGTAAAACAGGTGTTAAGTATAGGAACTCTGGGTCCAAAGGAGAACACATAATCAATTTGGATAAATATTGCCAAATTGTCTGTTGCACATTCCTCACCAGTTTGTGCTGCCTTCAGCAGTGCCCAAAGCGCCTCCTTCCCTTCACATACCGTTGCCAACATAGGCCATTATCTTTCTGAGTTTTACCAAGTGGAGGAACAAACCAAAGGTCCTCATATTTTTCTGTGCATTCTGGTGATTGCTTGTCTTGGCGAGCATCTTCTTTTTAAAATAATCTTGCTGGGGGACTTGTGGTATGCAATGATGACTGTGGAAGTATTTTAGGGGGCAGGTCAGAGAGGAGATGCCTGTCAGTTTGGGGCAAGGGGATTTGGGAAGTTTTTGGAGGAAATCAAATGGGAGACAAAAGAATTTGTCTGAGAGCTGGAGAAGAAGGAATAGATCCTAGAGACATTTTCATTTTTGTTGCATTTTATTTTTATAGATTTAAGATGTGTAAGTACAAATTTCTCATGTGCATATATTGCGTAGTGATGAGGTCTAAGCATTTAGTGTACCCATCACTGGAATAGTAAACATTGTACCCAAAAGGTAATTTTTCAACCCTCACCTCCCTCCCACCCTTCCATCTTTTGCGATCTCCAGTGTCTATTATTCCACCCTGTATGTCATGTGTACCCATTGTTTAGCTCCCAGTTATAACTAGAGATATGTTGGAAGTAAAATGCAACGGGCTTGATGACCTTGCAGGAAGTCAGCGAGGAGTGATCAGCGCTGATAGAGGCTTATATCTTTGGAGTTTGTGTGACCATGCTAACTTTTAAACAGGAGGAATGATACAAAATAAGATGCAGGTTTGGGGTTCTTTTCCAAGGTCTTGCCTTTACCTATTGGATGTCAACTATCTTCTTGGGTCATTGAACAGGAGCTCTTCCTCTTGGCTTGTGGCACAGATGAGTTTGCTTCTGTCATGACGCTGGGGACATGGGGTCCTGTGTGCTAGGCCAGGCATTGGGCCGATGTATGCCTGGGGCTACCGCATCTGCTGCTGCTGGAACTGGGTCTGCCCTGTGTCCCTCGGGATTCCAGCAAGTGGACTTCATCGCATTATCATGCATTCACCTGGTCAGTTTCTGCACGGGCTGTTTATAGGGCACGGGTTTAATAGCTGTCTCCCCTGCTGCACTGCAGATTCCACGAGGGCAGAGACCATGTCCGGCTGGTCGATCATCCTCTCCTAGGAAAAGGCTCTGCAAAGTTTTCCTGTAAAGGGCCACACAGGAAATATTTCAGGCCTTTTGGGCTGTGCCATCTCTGTTGCTATTCAACTGCCTTTGTAGCGTGAAAGCTGCCTTGATGATATGTAAACAGATGGGTGTGGCTGTGTTCCAATAATACTTTATTTATGGATGCAGAAATTTGAATTTCCCATCATTTTCATGTGTTGAAGAATAGTATTCTTGTGATCCTTTTTCCCCAACCATTTAAAATTGCAAGAGCCATTTTAGCCTGTGAGCCATACAAAGACAGGCAGTGGGCCTGCGGTCTGAAAGCATAGTTTGTTGGTCCCGTCCTAAAGTTTAGCACAGGGCCTGTAATGGCAGTAAACACTCATTTCATATTGTGGAAGAAAAGAAAGAAGGTGTGTAAGTTGTGTTTTTGTGCTTGCTTTCTCCTGCAGAGTGGGTAAAGGAATGGTACTGAGGACTAGTAAAATGCAAAGATTTGGTATCGGTAGGTCTTCATCCTGCTCCTAATGCATAGTGTGACCTGGAGCCAGTTTGTGCAGCTCTTTGGGCCTCAGCTGTCCTATCTGTGTGATGAGGAGAAGCCTAGCTTCATTAAGGGATGTGAAAATGCTTTTAAGACTGGGTGCAGTGGCTCATGCCTGTAATCCCAGAACTTTGGGAGGCTGAGGCGGGCAGATCATCTGAGGTTAGGAGTTCTAGAGCAGCCTGGTCAACCTGGTGAAACCCCATCTTTACTAAAAATACAAAAATCAGCCAGATGTGGTGGCAGGTGCCTGTAATCCCAGCTACTTGGGAGGCTGAGGCAGGAGAATTCCTTGAACTCAGGAGGTGGAGGTTGCAGTGAGCCGAGATCATGTCGCTGCACTCCAGCCTGGGCAACAGAGTGAGACTCTGTCTCAAAAAAGAAAATGCTTTTACTCTCAAGCCCACTGAAAAGTGTTAAGTTATTACCCAAAGCAGGAGAAGCAGCACAATAGACCAGGAAGCTCTAAATCCTGACAAGCCAGTATTTACGCTGCAGCCAGCCCAGGGCTCAGCTGCAGAGGCAGCGAAATCCTAACAGTGAGCAGGAGGATTTGACATCTGGTGCCCAAGAAGTTTGTTAAGGTTGCCCAGTCACTTGCTGACATGTGCTAGCAAATTCTCATGCTTTCTCCAAAAAAAGGGTATACTATGGGCTTCGCTCCCACAACATTTTGGTAAATCTTCCAAGAAGATCTGGCTTTCTTCTTGTTAAAGGAAGCATTTGATGGCAGCCTGGATGAAATAGATATCAAATCTGAGTGACATTATTGCTGTTGTTAAACTAAAGCTGAACCTCTTAAACTTGGCATCAGTTGACTCTCCTCTTTGTCAGAAAACCTATGCAGGATGCCATGTGATCTGGAGGACACAAAAGCATGATTGTGTCATTTCTTTCTGTATGGAGTCTGTGCAGTCAGACAGTTCTTTTCTATCTTGCTTTCTTCCTTGGGTCAGGACAAGTCCAATTCACTGAATGCACCAAGCCCCTTCTAGAAAAACAGCACAGGGCTGGACACAGTGGCTCATGCCTGTAATGCCAGTATTTTGGGAGGCTGAGGTGGGCGGATCACAAGGTCAGGAGTTCGAGACTGGCCTGGCCAACATGGTGAAACCCCGTGTCTACTGAAAATACAAAAATTAGCCGCGTATGGTGTGTGCCTATAATCCTACCTACTCGGGAGGCTGAGGCAGGAGAATTGCATGAACCCGGGAGACAGAGGTTGCAGTGAGCCAACATCGCACCACTGCACTCCAGCCTGGGCGACAGTGCGAGAATTTATCTTGGAAAAAAAAAAAGAAAAGAAAAACAGCACAACAAACAAGAAGAGTTCAGTGGTTACAATCAAATTTTAAACCAATTGTCAAAGTACAAGCCACCACTAAGCAGATGGTGGGATCTGGTTTTTGTTTTGTTTTTTGAAGCATAATGGATCCTCTGTGGTATGGGAATTTTAAGGGGAAAAAAAAGAGAACAATTTCTCCTTCTCTGCAGTACATTTACTGCTGCTATCACTCTCTTTCTACCCTGAAATGTTTCTGTTTCACCACCATTCATCTCTCTTGATTGGTTTTGCTTTTTTTTTTTTTTTTTTCTTCTAAGATGTTGCTAAATTTGCTTGTAAAGTTTTGTTTATTCATTGGCGCTTGGTTGAAAGGTGCTGGATCATTAATCTAAGTATTCAAGGTTAACCATGCTTTATGCTGAAATTGCCTTTTTATGGAACAGATTTCAAGGTTTTGCAAGAGTTGAGTGCTACCTCATTTTTGACATTTCAGCAATGAATCCTGTTTGAAATGTGATTTGAATCCAATCATCATCTTATTTGTGGAGGAAGATAAAAATAATATACAAATATTGCAGTAAAATTGCATTTTTCCCTGCCCCCTGTTTTGCATTTCAATTCAGCTAGATTCTGCTAGGGTGGCACCCAGCAATGGCATCCCTGCTTTAATTCTATCTTTCATTTTTTTTCCCTCCCAGAAGGCTTAAACATATTTCCTTTCTATCTAACATAAGTTGTACAGGGCTTCTGAAGAGTGTGCATTGAAGAAATGGAGCTTACACAATTACTTCTATACCTTATTATGGAATCTGAGGGTAAACAGGGCTTTGGAGGTCATCTAATTCGTCTCCTTTTGCAATTACAGAATTATTTCTTTGAAGGAACAAATGAAGAATCTCTTCTTCCAGGCCTCTTTGTAAATGTGTGAACAAGTTTATAAGTGCCTCCATCTCAGAGTGTGTGTGGATGTGGCTTTTTAATTAAAGACCAAGGCTTCAAGCTTTGCTGTTTTCTCCGATCTGATATAGCCACTGTTCCTAGTCACATCATGGAGCTCTTGGTCAGCCTGTGATCTGGGAGGTTTCTTTTCTAACTAACGTGTATCCTTCCCTTAGAACTAGTCTGCAGGGGCTGGTACCAGGCAGCCTCTCTTAAGAAACTTACACCCAGAAACTGCTCCATTTCTGTGTAAATGGTAGCCATGTCCGAGTGGGTGTCACTCACCCTATTTCAGCAGCACCCCCTCCCTGTTTGCTATCTACAAATTATCTCTCCCCTCATTAAAGTTTGGTCTTCCAAAGCTTTTCAAACTCTCAGACTCTCATTCACTCTAAAATATTTACAGATTAACCATGTTCAGCCTCAGCATGGTGTCATCATGGGAAGATGCTCTCAGTGTGGACAAGATAAAGCTGTTAAAGCTGGTTGAGCCAAGCTTTTTCGTATTTAAATAATGGAAACAGGAACAGGCAGTATGCATAGTTAAGGACGTAGGTCTGGGTTCGAACTCTGCCTTTGCTACGTCCCAGCTGTGCCCATGACATTATTTAACCTCTCTTGCCTCAGTTTTCCCCATCTTTATTTTTGTTTTATTTTATTTTATTTTTTGAGACAGAGTCTCCCTCTTTTGCCCAGGCTGGAGTGCAGTGCCGCCATCTTGGCTCACTGCAATCTCCTCCTCCCAGGATCAAGTGATTCTCCTGCCTCTGCCTCCCCAGTAGCTGGGATTACAGGCATGCACCACCACACCCGGATAATTTTTGTATTTTTAGCAGAGACAGGGTTTTACCATGTTGGCCAGGCTGGTCTCAAACTCCTGACCTTAAGTGATCCACCTGCCTCGGCCTCCCGATGTGCTGGGATTACAGCAAGTTTTTCCCATCTTTAAAATGGACACAATAACAAACCTACTTTCTAACACTATTGGGAGAACAGAACAAGGTAATGAACAGAAAGTGATAAGCACAGTGACTCATGCGTCACGTCTACACATCGTATTTAGCAAAAAGCTAAGCAAGTTATTCCCTTGCTGTGAATTATCAGATTCTAGTACCAGGGAGCTGAAATACTAGTCTGGGGGAAGAGTGTGCCAATGAGATCTTTGTATGGGACAGCTTCCCCAACATTAGTGTGGGAATTCCATTAAGAACTCATTTCTTTTTTTTCTTTCTTTTTTTTTTTTTTGAGATGGAGTCTTGCTCTGTCGCCCAGGCTGGAGTGCAGTGGCGCGATCTCGGCTCACTGCAAGCTCCGCCTCCCGGGTTCACACCATTCTCCTGCCTCAGCCTCCCCAGTAGGTGGGACTACAGGCGCCCGCCACCGCGCCCGGCTAACTTTTTGTATTTTTAGTAGAGACGGGGTTTCACCGTGTCACTCAGGATGGTCTCGATGTCCTGGCCTCGTGATCCGCCCGTCTCGGCCTCCCAAAGTGCTCGGATTACAGGCGTAAGAACACATTTCTAAGCTTCACACTGCTGTCCTGTTGTCATGATGATAGGTCAAACTTACTGCAGCTTAGTTTGGGCGGGACATTTTGGCTGGGAACACCAATACCCGTAAAGGTCATGTTTACATTCTTGTGTGAGCCTTTCTTTAACCACTGAGTGTATTTTCTATCATGATTATCATCCACTTCTTGCTGTGTATTGGCATGAGGGAGTCTTTGTCCTCCTCCATTTGTTCATCCAAAAATTACTGAATAGCTAATTAACCCCGATGCTGGGGATACACCAAACATGATTCCTGCACCTTTTCGAGCTTATATTTGGTGGAAAGGATAGAAAAAGCAGCAACAACCAATAAATGGAAAAATAAATAAAGCCATCACAGGTGGTAAGATGTCTGTAAAAGAAACCATTGCGTCCCAAAGAGAGAAAAGAAGTTCTTTTAGTATCTCCAGTTGTTAAAATAGTGTCTGACACATAGTAGGAACTCAAGTGATTATTCACTGAGTAAATGTTTACGGTAAATGGAATAGTTTAGGTAGGGGAATCCACAAAGATTCTCTGGGGATCTACTATTTCAGCAGAAATATAAAGAATTATTCATGAGATGATCAAGGGGCCAGATAGGGCTGGGAGGAAGGGAAGTATGGGTGGTGAGAAAGGCGGAGAGCTGGAAAGATATTGGATTGTTTGAGGAATTGTGGAATAAAGAATCTCTATGGTTGAAAAATAAAGAGAGAGGTGTTGGGGTAGTTATTGATTCCGCAAAGATGAAGCTCAGAGAGTACCCAGGAACATGACTGGGGTCATAGGTTCTGGAGAGGAACTTGGACTTTAATTGAAATGCAAGGGGAAATGACTAAAGTCTTGGTAAAGTCAAAGTCCATTGGCAACCATTCAATGAACTTCAAATCCATGCCTTTTAGGGTTGGTGACCCTGAAGGATGAAGCGTTGGCCTTGAGAATAAGGCAGTTCTTGTAAGTTCAACCACTGGCTTTCACTTACAGCCTTCATCACATCACTCACCTCCTGTAAGCATCCGTAGCCTTCATTTTCAATGGAGAAAAAAGAAGTTGAGATGCATTTCTCCCCATTGCTATTTTGGAATCCACTCAGAGCACTCAGCGCCTGCTGTTGTTCTCATTGGAATCTTGCTGTCCCATGCAACTTGACTTCTATTTACACTCCTCGGATTCGTATGTGCAAGTCTTGCTTGTGAGGGAAGAGCCACCCTAGATATGAAAGGACTTGATTAGGAAAAAAAAAAAAAAACCTTTTGAAGAGAGAGGTGTAAAAAAAATGAAGCCATTAGCGTCAACTTAAATTCAAGATATTTGGGATGATACATCTGCTTATAGGCTCATAAAACAGGCACCAGCTCAAGGTTATGTGAAACAAAGAAAATGTCTAGCATTGCTCAGCTGTTTTAGGCTACCTAATTATATTTTTAGCTTTATGCACTTGGGATTCTCTTTTCTTTTTTATTTGTTTTGAGGGTGTATAGTGGGCACCTGTCAATTCTGCAGCCCAGAATCCATGCCCCTACTTCTCTAAGAGTGTCCATTTTTCCCTCTGGTGATCATTCCTCCCCATTCTCAGACCTTTTGACTTCCAGGAGAGCTTCGTCTGTCTCAGTCTACAGGGAACAAGTGTGTGGCTTCCACCTGGCTCTGAGAAGCACTGTGTACCCCAGTCACTATGACTGTTGAAAGGTGAGCATGCGCACCTATCAGAACCAGTGACATGAAGTTTGTGGAACATTTTTTTTTTTTTTTTTTTTTTTTGGAGACAGAGTCTTGCTTTTGGCCAGGCTGGAGTGCACTGGAACGATTTGAGCTCACTGCAACCTCTGCCTCTCGGGTTCAAGCGATTCTTCTGCCTCAGCCTCCCGAGTAGCTGGGACTACAGGTGCATGCTAATTTTTTGTATTTTTAGTAGAGATGGAGTTTCACCTTGTTAACCAGGATGGTCTTGAACTCCTGACCTTGTGATCCACCAACCTCGGCCTCCCAAAGTTCTGGGATTACAGGTGTGAGCCACCGTGCTTGGTCCTGTCTGTGGAATTTTTAAAATGTGTTTGAACTTGGGGGACGTAGGTCTGAAGCTGTTTGCAGCCATTTTGGCACCATGTGGAGCGTAGGAATGAAACTCACACTCACAGAAAGTGTGAAGAAGAGCAGAAAGAAAGAAATGAAGACCAAGGTTCAATGGCACCATTTAATGGTGATTTAAAACATGTGTTTGTTTTTATTTTTACTTATTATTTATTATTTTTAATTAATTTGTCTTTTAGTTGACAAATAAAAATTGTGTATATTTGTCGTGTGATATATATATATATAATGGAATACTACTCAGCCTTAAAAAGAAGGAAACCTGGCTGGGCACAGTGGTTCCCACCAGTAACCTCAGCACTTTGGTAGGCTGAGGTGGGAGAATTGCTTGAACCTAGGAGTTTGAGGCTGCAGGGAGCTATGATTGTGTCACTGCCTTCTAGCTTGGATGACAGAGCGAGATGCTGTTTCAAAAACAAAAACAAACAAAAAGGAAATTCCATCACTTGTGGCAATATGGAAGAACCTGGAGGACATTCGGCTAAATAAACTAAGCCAGGCACAAACATACAAATACACCATCTCAGTAATATGTGGAATCTAAAAAAAGTTGAACTCACAGAAGCAGAGAGTAGAATGGCGGTTTCCAGGGGCTGACAGGTGGAGATGGAGAGTTCAGGAGATGTTGGACAATGACATCACTTGAAAGGTCCCTGGATCCAGCTAAGCCTTAACCCTTTTATCCCTCTAACTACTGAGTTACCTAAACTAGTAAATTCCCTTTTTTTAGTCTTTTCACCCAGCTTGGCTTTGCACTTTTGCCAGCTGCAACCAGCAAAGTTCACACTGTGGCAGGGGTGCTCATCAGTACGTTCAGTTCATGAGGAGGACTCAGATGATGCATGCTGCAGGGATTCAGAGGGAGAATTTCTTTTCTCCTTCATAGAGCCCATTTTTCTGTGTCTGTGGGCACAAGTTGGGAAAGGAGAGAATAATGAAACGACATGCACAGATGCATACAGGACTCTGCAGAGATGGTGCAGGCATTGTCAAGATGACCTGCCCACCACTAGCTTACATATCCTTCATTTTTTTGTGTGTGTTTCTTTCAACACTCTTCGATCATGAAACTACATCTTTTATTTTCCTTGACAGTGCTCAAGAAAATGTGGTCATTAAGTTTATCATCATGAAAGCAGGCACCTGGTTTCTGAAATACTAGACTTCTTCATGTGTATCATCTCTGTGGTTTTTCAGAACTCTAAAATGAAGGTCCACTTAGTCCAATTGCTGTTCTAGGAACCTGTGATCTTTTAATCTTGGATGTCTCTACCTAAACTATGGTGTGAGGGTGGTGTACTAACAAGCAACTGAAGTTGAATGACAAGAGTAAACATGAGGTAGGTTTTTCTCAGTGCTAATCAATGACGAACCTCGTGCTCAAAAATTCAGCTCAGGCTGTAGCCACCAAATAAATCATGGGCCAGAGAGGTTCAGGGACTCAAAGACATGAGGCTGTACCCAGGAGAAATCAAGCTATGGACTGGTAAGGCTCAGAATAAAAATTGATGCTGTCTTCCCAGTATTTGGGATAATAGGATTGTACCTCTTTGAGCTACTTATGTGTACTGCCATCTGAGTCGCTGTCTCAGCATTTCCAGCAGAAATGCAACAGGGCTGGTGAAGTGTCCAGGAGTGAATGACTTGTAAGCCATTAGGAAGGCCGGGGAAACTGTGTTTGGGCTAAATTGCTTTTGGTCAGGAGCTCCATCTTCTCATGGCTGTGAAATGACGGATACCTGAGAGAAGTCCCAGCTGAAAGCCGTGTCTGCACTGTTGTTTTCTAAGTGGATGCTAATCCGTTAATTAGAAGGTTTGCAGTTATCCTTGGCACTGTATGCGTGCATACATTAGTATTTCTATTTATGCACATGCAATGGATGTATTTACATATCCGTAAACCTGAGTCTTTTTACCTACCTCTTAGAGGTGCCATTCTGATTATTTTCTGGTTTAGAGATGGAAAGACAAAATCTGCCCCTCCCCACCCCCAAATCCTGAACTTGAGTGGAGCTGTGGTGATAATACTGAACTGAAGGGCTGTGCAGGTACCTAGTGTTTTACTTTGTGCCAATTATTTGTTAATGCAGGTATCAATTTTTTAAAAAATGTTTTGGATGACTTCAGTGTGCCGGGCACTGTGTTTGTTTCTGGGAATAAAATAGAGAACAAAAAACAGAGAAGGTGTCAGCCCTTTTGCAACTTATAATTTAGGGAGGGAGTGAGAAAAAAAAAAGCATGGAAGAAACATATCAGATAGTTATGATTTAAATTAAATAAAATAAACTATGAATTAAAATTAGTTGATGCGACAGTATATGGCTAGGTGAGTCTCTAAGCTTAGGTTATAAATGATGACTTTTACAAAGAGACTACCCTTAAGTTGAAATCTGTATTATAAGTAGGGAGCACCTATAAATATCGGGGCAGGGGGTTAGTTTTGAGCAGGTGGATCAATTAGTGCAAAGGTCCTGGGGCAGGAAGGAGGCTGGAGTGGTTTGGGAACCAAGAAAGAGCCGGGCCAGGGTTGCATTTTAGTGGATGATAGGGAAGGCAGCATGGAATGAAGTGGAGACGGGCTTGTGGGGCCGGGTTTCTCAACCTCAGCACTACTGACATTCGAAGCTGGAGAATGCTCTTTGGTGAGGGCTGTCCTGTGTATAGTAAGATGTTCAGCAGCCTCTCTGGCCTCTACCCACTAGACGATAGTACCTCGCACTCCTCCAGTTGTGACAATAAAAATGTCTCCAGACATTTGCCAAATGTCCCCTCCAAATGTGACAAAATCTCCCTTGGTTGAAAAACCACTGAAATTGGCCTTGCCTGCAAGAAGTTTGAGTTTATTCTAGGATCCATGGAAAGCCACTGAAAGTTTGAACCAATTAAGTATCACGATTTGGGCCAGGCACGGTGGCTCACGCCTGTAATCCCAGCACTTTGGGAGGCCCAGGCGGGCCGATCACGAGGTCAGGAGATCCAGACCATCCTGGCTAACACGGTGAAACCCCGTCTCTACTAAAAATACAAAAAAATTAGCCAGGCATGGCGGCGGGCACCTGTAGTCCCAGCTACTGGGGAGGCTGAGGCAGGAGAATGACGTGAACCCGGGAGGTGGAGCTTGCAGTGAGCCGAGATCGCACCACTGCACTCCAGCCTGGGCAACAGAACAAGACTCCGTCTCAAAAAAAAAAAAAAAGAAAAAAAAGTATCATGATTTGATTCACATTTTTAAAGATCATTCTATTTGCTGTAAGCAAATGGGTTGCAGGAAGGCAATGTGGAAAGGAAAAAAGTTCATGGTCCCAGAGAGAGGTTATAATTGCCTTGATGGAAGGTGATAGTCATGGGAAGAAAGTTCTGTAGGCAGATATGATTTGGATAAAGTTGACAGAATTTATTTGTGGACCAGATGGATGGGCAGGGAGAGAAGGAGAAGATTAAGTACAATTCTTAGATTTTTAAATAACAAATAGGATACCCCTCCCATCCTCGAAGAGCTCACACTGAAGTAAGGGAAAACAAACATATATATTGCACTCATTACAGTGTGCTCTAATAAATGCATGAACAAAATGTTTCGGCAGCGCTGAGGAGAGAGTGAATAAGTCTTTCAGAGAAAGTCAGGGAAGATTGCTCAGAGGCTGTAAAAGCTTTTGAAGAATAAGTAGGATTTTTCTAAGTGGAGAAGGAGCTCAGGTTCCTGGTCTATACTAAGAGGAAACCGTAGGAGATAATCCCTCTTCAATAATTCAAACTGCTGTCAAGGAAAATTATGCCCAGAGTGACTCTGTTCTATGGCCTGGGAGGGAAACTGGGGTGAATGTCCTAAATTGTTGTCTTTGAAAAGACCGTTTCTAAAATTCGTGGCCCAACGTAGCCTTTTACTGGTTAACTCTAAGTATTTAAGATGTTCTCCAAGCGTTTTAACTGAAGACACTGCGTCTTATTTTGTCTTCATTGAATTTCGAAGAAGCATCTGTAGTAAGAATATTTACACGGTTTTTCTAGGTAATTGTTTGTCTCCTGGACCATAGAGTACCTTAAATACGTTACATTATATAATTTACTAATAGTAATACAATTTTATGAAGATATCTAGAGGTAACAAATTCAAGATTATGTATTTCTATCTCTGGAATAATAATTACTGTTTTCATTTGTAAAAGAGATTGTAAGGGAAATAAAATGTAAAGTTAAAGCTAAATGTCATTGTATTCTATGCTTGCTGTAAGGTCAAAATATGTGATCCTGATGGAATATGGTAATATCCCTTTGCTCTCCTCCGCACACTGAGGAACCTTTTCCTGGGACTAATAGACCCCCCTAATGGGATGCAGACAGTGCCTCAGAGTAGATGTTGTTCCATAAATATCTGGGGGCACTCCAGATTGGGACCTTGAGAACTAGATGGTATGCTAAATTCCCTCCTTCCTTTGCAGGAATTAAAAAGCATCCCTCAAATTGACAAGAAAATTGGATAATAAATTAACCATTTACAGTTTGGTAAATATATGCACAACTGAAGTTCCACGTCATGGGCCATATTTTTATCAGACGCAACACCAGATGAAGGATAAACCATATGACCCACCCTCTTCTGCCATGAATGAACAATGGACTGAAGTCTTTCATAATTGCTTGTTTCAAGATGCTCACTAAATCAGACAAGGAACTCCTGTCTTGTGTCTTTAAGGGAGGTTGAACAATAGGCTGGGACACTGGAGTAAATGGGGCACTCTGCCATACTTACACTTTCCTTTGAAATTTGTGTTTGGGAGGCTTTAACTATGAGTATATTTTGCAGCCAAATGCAGTTAGCTTTTTGACTAATGGAGCTGGTGTGAATTTTACCCCTCCATCTGTAGATGCTGAAATGTCACATTATTTCATTTTTCTAAAACAAATTAAATGACTCTGAGCATCCAGTCATTAGGGTTTTAAGAAACTCAATCACAACTATGAGTATAGGGAATGGGGATGAACAGTATCCCTTTCCCATATGCTAGATAGACAGTCACCTGTGGAGCTTAGCAGTGCTTCGGATACAGGGAAGGACAGCTGGTCTTTGAGATATTGTGGGCATTTGGGTGTTAGGATTCTTATTACTTAAACCTGCCCAGTCCCTATAAAAAGGGACCGCTTTGCAAATTCTGATCCATGCATGGAACAGGAAATCTTTCTTAATATTTAGCTGCTTCATGCATTCAAATCCTTGAAGACCCCCCACATGCCCTGCACCCTTCTCAGTTCCCTTTCAATCTTGGGGTATCTCCCCTTTCTGAGAATTCACTGCTGTTGCTGACCTCCTCCCACTCATTTCCTTCCATCTTCTCTTACTTTCTTAATACCCCACATTATCTCTGCTGACTGTGTCTTTAGACACACAACACTTTTCTTTAAGGAAAGGCAAGGCTGTGTGTTCCTTACCTCATCATGTTATGTTAGAGGTCCAAATGTTTTATGGGTGACCAATTAATTCATCATGTCATCTGGATGACTGTTGAAAGCAAAAGCGGGATCATTGTAAGAACTGTGTCAGGAAACCAGCAAAACCAGCCCTGTCCCAGGCAAACTGGGAATTATGATCTCTCTCTGGAAGGAAAGAAGAAGAAAAGTGGGAGAGGTAGGCTGTTCTTTTTCCAACAAGAATCTTGGAAGGCGTTTTCATTTTGGAAACTGTTTAGAAGACTATACTAAATTGTTACTCCTTATTACCAACATGCATAGCATCCTGCAATGCAGACATCCATGACTGTGCATCTCCACTGCTTCAAACAGGGCACTAGTGTTCCAAGCTTTGTGTTTCTATTGCCAGCCCTGAATGCAAAAATATGGGATCCTGAGTTCAAATCGGGCTCAGAAGTTGACATATTGTTTGACCTTGAGCAATCTGCTTAATTTCATAGTGTTTGTTTGCTCATCTGAAAACAAAAGGGATAATGCTGATCGAGGCATATTGTGGAGATTAATTAGTTTCTGAAGTGCTGAGATCCACAGATGAAAGGCTTTAAGTGGAAATTATTTTGTTTTTAAAGGAATAATCGATGCATGTGAATAAAAGAGAACTAACTGAACTGAATTACAGGCACTTGGCTGCTGGTGGGAGTGGGGGAAGAAAGAATATTGCTTCTTGCAAAGAACCTTAAATTTACCCCCCAGAATAGCAGTGGGAAAATTGCTTTTTTTTTGTGATTCTGAAAGGATGAGAAATTATGCAAAAGAAACGAGCTAGAATAAGAGGAGAATATATGCAGTTAAGACATATTTCAAAGTAACTTTCCTGGATAAACAACTAGGTATCTAATATA
Organism: Homo sapiens; assembly: GCF_000001405.40. Taxonomy (NCBI): domain Eukaryota; kingdom Metazoa; phylum Chordata; class Mammalia; order Primates; family Hominidae; genus Homo; species Homo sapiens. The sequence goes on from NC_000016.10 coordinate 6,394,637, forward strand.
TATATTATGTGTATTAGATATATATATGATATATATGATATATTAATGTATTAGATAATGTGTGTGTGTGTAAGTATGTATATACTCCACCAGTCCTCTGTGATTAGGTTCTTAGCCAAATGCTTGTCTACCAAAACAGCTCAGCCACGATCCCCAAGGAGCCTTAATGACCCCTAAGTCCTTGGTGAAAAGATCAGTTTGGGAAGGAGAAACTAACTGTTTAAAAATCTCACAGCTGTGTATCGTGGTGAGAAAACTAGCACTATTAAGCGTGTTACTGTTTAAAACCACTTTTGCTCTTGTTACATTTGGTCTTCTCTCCAATAAATATTATTATTGCCCTTGATGTACAGATAGGAAAATGATAATCAGGGAAATTAAATGGCTGGCCAATGGCCATTTGTTTGGTTAGGTGGTATAGGCAATATTCTGACCTCAACATTATGACTCACAAGACTCTGACCATGTCACTGTCACCGAAGGGTTTGCTAAAGATATGGTGACATTCAGCTGGCATGTGGAAATGAATTATTGTCTAAGGACTACAGAAGAATTGGAATGAAGACAGGATTTTTTTTGTCAAAGAAAATAAAAAGTTCTGACCATTAAACGAATGCGTTTTTGTCATAGACGTGGTGGAAAATGCCAACAAAGTCAGATTTCAAAATTGGCTCAAAGTCTCCTGAGTCAAATGAAAACTCTGTCAAAGCCATGTTATACTTCTTCTTAGTCTTTTATCCATGCATTTTAATAATATAGTTATGGTCATGTTATCCCAAATTCTTTTCAAATGTTGTTTTAATGGCTCTGTAACTTTCTACCTTGTGACTATTGCATGGTTGTTTTGACCTTTTTCTCATTTTTTGTAGATATTTAAGTTCTTACTTTTTTTTTACTTTTATAATTAGCTCTGTAATGAGCTTTTTGTGTGAAAAAACATATAATTATATACAGAGTTATTACCTTACTACAGATTCATAACATTTGGATTATTGCATCTTGGGAAATAAATATTGTAGTGTTCCTTGTGTATATATCAAGTTTATATCAATACCATCTATATACTTATATATCAGATTTTATAAATTAAATGTGCAATTTATTGTGTACCAAATATATTTCAATAAAGCTGTTTTTTAACATGAGGGCCTTGCACAGTAGCTCACGCTTGTAATCCCAGCAGTTTTGGGAGGCTGAGGCAGGTGGATTGCCTGAGCTCAGGAGTTCATGAGCAGCCTGGGCAACACAGTGAAACCCCGTCTCTGCTAAAATACAAAAAATTAGCTGGTCATGGTGGCGTGCACCTGTAGTCCCAGCTACTTGGGAGGCTGAGGCAGTAGAATTACTTGAATCCGGGAGGTGGAAGTTGCAGTGAGCTGAGATCGCACCAATGCACTGCAGCCTGGGTGACAGAGCAAGACTCCTTCTCAAAAAAAAAAAAAAAAAAAAAAGGACAACTAACACCTTTACTCTTATGGCAGTAACAGAGTAGCTTGTTTTGGAGTAATCCTATCATAGATAGCAATTATAAATTCTAGATAGGATAGTAAAAATCACCTTCTGTTTGATGGTACTCCCCAACAACCATAAGTAGGCAGAAATTGAAGGGGCTTTGACCCTGGAAAGAGAGGTACTGTAACTTGATAAAATGAGATGCATTTGATATTCACCCCCAAAGTACACACCAATCCATGTGGTGCAAGGAAGACGAGACTCAGGAAGGCTACAGTCTTACTGAGTTTGAGAAATAAAAGACAGATGTCCAGAATAGTTAGAAAGTATCAATGAAAGACACATAGATAGACTAGGAAGGAAGATGCAGATTTACCTATAAAATCTACACACATTCTGGTGGATCTCTGAAGCATATTTATATAAAAGAGGCTCTAGGGGAGCCCGTGGGAAGCCATAGCTGGACGACTGAAAGAACCGAGTGGATACTCGAGTTGCTAAACAGGTAGAGGATGCAGAATGGGAGTGTGAATCCAGCAAGTTAACTGCCTGCTATAACAAAAATCAGCACTCTTCTGAGTAAGTTAACAAAATTCAGCCTCATTAATATATTATCCATGATGTCCTTTTAAATAAAACTTACTAGATGTGTGAAGAAACAGAGAAACATTACTCATAGTCATGAGAAGAAGCAGTTAACCCTGACATAAAAAAAATGTTGGAATTAACAGATAAGGACTTTGAAACAGCTGGTATAAATGTGAATAGTAATTAAAGAAATAACTAGTTATATAAAAATGAAAATTTTAGAATTACAAATAAAATATTTGAAATGACAGTTTTACTATATGGGCTAAACAGGAGAATGGGGACAGCACAACAGATCAGTGAATTTAATATAGATTAATGTATATCATTCAATTTGAAAAAAAGCAAATGATTTGATTATTAACAGAAGACTAGTGATTTATGGGATAATATCAAATGTATACAGCTATAGGTACTTGGAGTCCCAGAAAGAGGAAGGAGAAGATAATGCATAAGTAATAGTTGAAATTTCTTCAAATTTGGTGAAATACTTTCAAGAAGCTCAAGAAACTTCAAGCAAGCAAAATATAAAGACAAGCACACCTAGTATGATTTTAATTTCCACGTCATAGTCACAGTGATGAAAATAAAAGATAAAAACATCTTGAAAACAATCAGAGTGAAAAAGAGGCATTTCCTACATGGGGCATAGTGATATCCGTGATGGTCAGCTTCTCATCAGAAACAGTGGAAGCAAGAAGACAATATAATGACGTCTTTTAATGGTTGACAAAGAAATCTGCCCACCCAGAATTCTGTTTTCATAAAAAAAAAATCCTTCACAGAAATTAATAGGAAGATGCATTCAGACAAATGAAAATAGATGTTTTATTACCATTAGTCCTGTACTATAAGAACTGTAGCTTTAAAGGGTATCTTCAGAGTGAAAGGAAATGATGCTAGGTGAGACTTAAAGAGATGAATGAAGAGCAGGGAACATGGTAAATATGTGGATAATATAAAAGGTTATAATGCTTCTTTGAAAATATATGTAACTGTGTAAAGAAAGATGACATCACTGTTTTTTGGAGTTTGTAACATATGCAGACACAAATGATGAGAATGTGAAGCAAAACTATACTGTTGAAAATTTTTTACACTTGCCATGAAGTAGCACTGTATTAATGCTGAGTAGACTGTGCTGTGTTAAGATTACATAGTTAATTCTGAGAGCAACTACTAAAAATATTACAAAAGTGTATAGTGAGAAAGATACGGAAGGAACTAAAATGAAATAATAGATATATCACTTAACCCAAAATGAGACTGAAAAAGGGGAATAGAGAAACAACGGCATAACAAAAACAATAGTAACAAAAAGCAAACAGAAATTAAAGAGCAAACCATAAACATAAGTCCAACTATGTCAGGAAACTTACAATTATGGCAGAAGGGTAAGCAAACACGTCCTTCTTCACGTGGTAGCAGGAAAGAGAAGTGCTGAAGAAAGGAGCAAAGCCCCTTAGAAAACCATCAGATCTCATGAGAACTCACCATCATGAGAACAGCATCAGGGTCACCGCCCCCATGGTTCAATTACTTCCCACCGGGTTTCTCCCATAACATATGCGGATTATGGGAACTACAACTCGAGATTTCGGTATAGCCAAAGCATATCATTCTGCTCCTGGTCCTTTCCAAATCTCATGTCCTCACATTTAAAAACACAATTATTCCTTTTCAACAGTCCCCCAAAGTCTTAACTTCTTCCACCATTAACCCAAAAGTCCAAGTCAAAAGTCTCATCTGAGACAAAGTAACTCTGTTCTGCCTATGAGCCTGTAAAATCAAAAGCAAGTTAGGTACCTACTAGATACAATGGGGTACAGGCATCGGATAAATACACTCATTCCAAATGAGGGAAATTTGCCAAAACAAAGGGACTACAGGTCCCATGTGAGTCCAAAATCCATTAGGGCAGTCTTTAAACATTAAAGTTCCCAAATGAGCTCCTTTGACTCCATGTCTCACTTCCTGGTCATGGTGATGCAAGAAGTGGGCCCCCATGGCCTTGGGCAGCTCTGCCCCTATGCCTTTGTGGGGCACAGCCACCTTTCCACCTGCTTTCATGGGCTGGCATTGAGTGTCTGCAGCTTTTCCAGGTGCACAGTCCAGGCTGTCGCTAGATCTACCATGCTACCATTCTGGGATCTGGAGGATAGTGGTCCTCTTCTCATAGCTTCACTAGGCGGTGCTCCAGTGGGACTCTGTCTGGGGGCTCCAGCCCCACATTTCCCTTCTGCACTGTCCTAGCAGAGGTTCTCCATGAGGATTCTGCCCCAGTAGCAGACTTTTGCCCGGATATCTGGGCATTTCCACACATCCTCTGAAATCTAGGCGAAGGTTCCCAAACCTCAATGCTTGTCTTCTGTGCACCCACAGGAGCAATACCACGTGAAAGCTGCCAAGGCTTGGGGCTTGCACCCTCTGAAGCAATGGCCTGAGCTGTACCTTGGCCTCTTTTAACCATGGCTGGAGCTGAAGCAGCTGGGATGCAGGGGACCATGTCCCGAGGCAGCACAGAGCAGGGTGGCCCTGGGCCTGGCCCATGAAACCACTTTTCCCTCCTAGGCCTCTGGTCCTGTGATGGGAGGGGCTGCCATGAAGGTGTCTAACATGCCCTGGAAACATTTTCCCCATTGTCTTGGTAATTGACATTCAGCTCCTTGTTACTTATGCGGATTTCTTCCACCAGATATGCGAAATCATGTCTCTCAAGGTCAAAGTTCCACTGATCTCTAGGGCAGGAGCAAAATGCCACCAGACTCTCTGCTAAAACACAGCAAGAGTGAGCTTTGCTCCAGTTCCCAAGAAGTTCCTCATCTCCATCTGAGACCACCTCAGCCAGGACTTCATTGTCCATTTCACCATCAGCATTCAACAAGTCTCTAGGAAGTTCCAAACTTTGCCACATCTTTCTGTCTTCTTGTGAGCCCTCCAAACTGTTCCAACCTCTGCCTGTTACCCAGTTCCAAAGTCACTTCCACATTTTTGGGTATCTTTACAGCAGTGCACTCCACTACCTCAATAACAGCTTATGTATTAGTTCATTCTCAAGCTGCTATGAAGAAATACCTGAGACTCGGTGATTTATAAAGAAAAGAGGTTTAATTGAATCACAGTTCCACATGGCTAAGGAGGCCTCAGGAAAGTTACAGTCATCATGGAAGACACCTCTTCACAGGGCAGCAGGAGAGAGAATGAGTGCCCAATGAAGGGAGAAGCCCTTTGTAAAACCCCCAGATCTCGTGAGAACTCACCCACTATCACGAGTACAGCATGAGGGTAGCCAGCCCCACAATTCAATGACCTCCTGTCAGGTCCCTCCCACAACATGTGAGGATTATGAGAACTGCAATTCAAGATGAAATTTGGGTGGGGACACAGCCAAATCATATCAGGTGATTTGAACAACACTATCTACCAACTTGACCTATGACATTTATAGAATAATGTATCCAACAACTACAGCATGCACATGTTTTCAAGTGCTCATGAAATATCCCCTCAAAGTAGACTACATGTTGGGTATGAAATCTTAATGCATTTAAATTTTTGAAATATTGTTAACTATGTTTTCTGGCAACAATGGAATAAAATTAGGAGTCAGTAATTATAACGTACCTATAAAAGTACCAAAATTTTGGAAATTAAATAGAATACTTCTAAATGACTCTCACATTAATGCAGATATCACAAGAGAAATTAGAAAGTATTTTGGACTGAATGATGATATCTCAAGGCTTATGGGATCCGGCTAAAAAACAGAGTGAATGTATAGCTATAGATGCTGTAAATTTACTGGTTGAAATGTTAGAGAGATTTAAAGTGAATAATCCAAGTTTCTCCTTTAAAACTAGAAAAAAAGAAAATTATACCCAATATAGTAAAAGGATGGGAATAGTAAATATAAAAACAGAAATCAGGCTGGGCCTTGTAGCTCATGCCTGTAATCCCAGCACTGTGGGAGGCTGAGGCGGGCAAGTTACTTGAAATCAAGAGTGATTTCAAGTGAAATCACTTCAAATCTGGCCAACACGGTGAAACCCTGTCTCTACAAAAAATTCAGAAGTTAACCAGGCTTGGTGGGCGCTTGTAGTCCCAGCTACTCAGGAGGCTGAGGTGGGAGAATCACGTGAACCCAGGAGGCAGAGGTTGCAGTGAGCTGAGATTGTGCCACTGCATTCCAGTGAAAGAGCAAGACTCTGTCTCAAACATACACACAAAATCAGCATTGATAGTACCTGATGGTGTTGGATTGAAATTGGAGCTATCAGTATCAATTTAGTTTTTTTAAAGTATATACATAATTATAGAAATACACAAAACTTGGAAACTCCAGGAGTAATCAGCACAACTAGCTCCCAGATCTTGGTTTCTAAATATCATTAATCATTAAAAGGAACCAAAACTTATTGGAGAAAGGGTGATTCCAGAACTGGGGCAAGGAAAGAACAATATGAACCTGGAACAACTCTTTCTTTTTGCCAGAAAGTCAGGAATATCAAAGAATGATGGGAGCATGTCCAAAGGACACAGGCCTCAGCTTCAAGTACCATCCACTGGCCAGATCTGGGATAATCTGAGTATCAAAATGTAAATAATAGCAAGAGATTGGAGCTCACTGAATGAAAGGCAAATGCATAAGTGTACACTGATATAAATAAATTAGAAAATGAAAAATTCTTCCTCACAATATAAACACTACTACTAACTTATAAGCATAACTCACACCTGTGAAAATGAGTTAGGGTAACTTCACTTATGATAACCTCACCAACATTGGACTGTGATCATTTTAAAACCTACGCTAATTTGAAGGGCATGAAATGATCTTTTATTTGGATTTATAGGACTTTGGATCATTAGGGGACAGCAGTGTTTAGCCGTATGCTTATAATGTGTCTTTAACTAAAATATGATCATTTTTCAGTCATTTTGTAGCTTTCATTTACCCATACCCCATTTCAAATCCCTTGTATAATGGAAGCCACTATTGCTGTTCCCAGAGTGACTCCATTGTTCTTAGACGCAGAGAACGAAGGAAGAAATCAAAGTTTAAAGATAAGTTTACTGTTCATGGAAAACATTAAATGATAAACTATAGTTTATTTAAAATAGAAAATGATTATTTCTTGGGCAGCTATTGCATTTATGGGATCCATTTTATATGTATCTAGTAAATCCATCAATAACCCTGTGATGGAGTAATTAGAGAAGAGAAATTGCTATTGTTTCCACTTTAATGATGAGAGAAGAAAATACCCAGGGAGATTAAGATCGTAACTGATCATCATGGCTGAGCCAGACCAGCTAACTGTCGAAACGTTCCTCTGGCCCCAACCGTGATACCTTTGTCTAATGGTGGGGCCAGGGAGAAGGGTCAGAAGGATGAGATGACTGGGGAGAAGAAAACAGAAAAAAAAAAAAAAGCATTTTCTTGTGAGTCCTGTCCCAAAAAAATGCTAAGCATGCATGCAGACACCCATTCATTTTATACATTTTGCTTGAGTCCCTGCAGTGTACCAAGAGCTAAACTAGGCATATAGGAATGACCCTGACATTCATCCCCACCCACTGGTCTCTGGGGTAGAATAAACTTCGGAAGCTTCCTATGTAGAGGCGACCATAGTAGAGAACTGAAATCTCACCCTTTGTTATAGGAGGATAAGAGAAAATAAACGTGGATATTTAGGTGTGTTCTTTTCCAAACAAAATAAAAATGAACAAACACATTTGCTTGCTTTTTTTTCCTTTGGATCTTTTATCTTTTAATGCACTTTCATTGGAATTCAATCCATACATACTGAAGGGTGGTTGAAGTAATAAATACAGTCTTTTTCTCCAAATGGTACCCAAATGAAAGCAAAGTACTGCTTTCTGCTTAAGAGTGTTCAGTTTGTCCTTGACCTATACATTTACACTGGGTTGCTGTCCTCTGCCTCCTTCCACTACTGTCCACACAATACCTATGTAAACACATACACACACACAGGCCTTAATGATGAGTAAGGCCCATTTATTTAGAAAACATGGTTTGAAGGATATGTTAAAATCATTTGTAGATAAATTGATATTTTTATATTATTACTTCTTTCTTGGGTTTCTGCCTTTGATTTAGACTGTAGCCAGTTGTGCCTGCTATCAGTTCTGGAACCTAAAATTCATGTGGGAAGAATTTAAGTGTAACCGAGATGTAATTGTGATTGAAGCAGGGAATGAAATATAAACACTAATCAAAGCTTCAGTAGACATGTTTTTTTTGTGGATTAATACATCACATTTTAAAACCTTCAACCCTTGGCTTCTCAGTTTTTTCTGTTTATTGTTTTGTTTGTTGATGTATTTGTTTAATTCATGGGTTAGAGGCTTGGGTGCTGAGAGAGTCGATTGTGTTAAAACCTTTAGTGTGGAGGTCATGAAGAGGACTGAGAATGTTTGATCTTTCACTGTGGGTGCTGAACCAGCAGCATGAGTATCACCTGGGAGATTGTTAGAACTACAGACTTGCAGGCCTGTATTCAAAATCTGCATTTTAAACCAAGATACTCAGGTAATTTGTAAACAAAAGTTTGAGAAGCACTAGGTCAGTTTACTCCAGCTGTCTAAACCAGACCTGCCACTCAGGTGTTAAGAACCCAAGCAATAAGGGGTGGCTTGCTTTTGATAATCTCCCTCTAATCTTATCAGAGACTTTTTTTTTAAATAGAGGATTCTACTCCCATCATCCAGGCAGGAGTGCAGTGGTGTGACCACCACTCATTGCAGCCTGGACCACCGGAGCTCAGGTGGGCCTCCCTCCTGAACCTCCCCAGTAGCTGGGACTACAGGCGAGTGCCACTACAGTTGCCTAATTTTTTAATTATCTGTAGAGATGTGGTCTCACTATGCTGATCTCAAACTCCTGGGCTCATGGGATCCTCCTGTCTTGACCTCCCAAAATGCTGGGGTTGTAGCCATGAGCCACCGTGCCTGACATCAGAGACACTTCTGATGAGCCCAATATATTTCTAATTATTGGACCCTCAAGTGCATCTGGAGAGGACACCGAAGGACTGTGGAGGCATCGAGCCCTATGTTCATGCATTGACTCAAGTGTGTCCCTCCAAAATCCATGTATGGAAACCCTACCCCTGAGAATTACTATATTTGAAGATTGGGCTTTTAGAAGATAATTAAGGTCCAATGAGATTATAAGGGTGGGGTCCTGATTCAATAGGACTGGTGGCATTATAAGAAGAGGAAGAGACACAGTAGGAAGGTGGCTGTCTGTAAGCCAGGAAAAGAGCTCTCACCAGAATCCAACCATGCTGGCACTCCAATATCAAACTTCCAGCCTCCAGAAATCTGAGAGTGTAAATTTATGTTGTTTAACTCACCTAGCCTATACAGCTGGCTCTCCATGTCCATGGACTCGGCATCCATGGAGTCAACCAACCACAGATCGAAAAAATATATATTTTAAATTGCATCTATACTGAACATGAGCAGATTTTTTCTTGTCTTTATTCACTAAACAATACAGTATAAAAATTTATTTGCATAGCATTTGCATTTGTATTAAGTTTTACAAGTAATGTAGAGATGATTTAAAGTATATGGGAGGATGTCTGAAAGTTGTATGCAAATTCCATGCCATTTGCTGTCAGGGACTTGAGCATCTGTGGATTTTGGTATCTGTGGAGGGTCTTAGAACCAATTTCTGTGGCTACTGAGGGACCACTGTAGTATTTGTGATGGTAGTCCAGGTACTCAAGGAGAGTTCAGTTACAAATGCAATTTTCCCCTAAAGTAACTTGGTTCCAAAAGAGTACGCATTTGTAGTTGTATACTACAAATGGAGTGCGTGTGTGTTCTCTACTCTAATATTTCATGCCAGAGTGAGTTATTAGTTTTTGATCCTTTTTCTTCTTTTTCCTTCATGAGCAGCAGTCCTAGTTTGCTTGGGACGGGGAGGTTTTCATGGACGCATCATCCCTTCAGTGCTAGAACAGGGAGAGTACCAGGCAAACTTGGGTGGTTGGTCACCTTTTGCTGTTCCCAGATTCTTTCCTGAGCTGAAGATCTCAGCTCCCTTATGAGAACTTCACATTGCTTCAAAGAAGAGCAGATCTCATCAGAATCCAGCAATGACATGAAGCATTTTGGTGCAGAGTAACTACCAGATTAGAGCTCCTGGAATACTTAAACCTTCGTGGATCCCCGATATGGAAGGAAGAAGCCTGGCTATCCTAGCTTGAATGGAATTCAGCATTGGTAGACGGAACCACAAATGCCTTCTATTTCTTCCCAAATATCCTTTTAGAACTTCGAACTAATTCTAGATAGAGTCTTAAGGTCAGGTATAAATGAACTGCTAAGTATTTATGCCTGCATAACACAATGATCAAGAGGCTTCCTGTGAGCCCAACATTCTCATGCTTTAATAGAAAACTTATTGTAAAATTTGCACTCTACTCTATAACATAGAAATGTCTATCATTTCTATAAATACTATGCAGTCTCTTCTGATATATCTGTTATCCTATCATACAAGAGCAGATGGCTGGGATTTTATCACAGTTAGAGGGTGTTTTGAGATGGGCTGCAAATCCTCTGGAGAATTTGATTTGGAGACTCAATTAGTCATGACAAGTTAGGTTATGCTGCAGTAACAAGTTGGCTCCTGAATCTCAATAGCTTCATAAAACAAAGCTTTCATATGTCCAGTGTTGGGCATTGGGAAGTGCACCAAATAGTGCCTCAGGGACTCAGGCTATGGAGGCTTCACCATCCCACCACCGTATCATCTGGACACACAACTTCCTTTGTCAGCATGATGGGAAAGAAAACATGGAGAATTGTACACCAGCTGATCCATGCTTAGGCCTGCAAGTGAAACTCCTTGGTCAGAACTAGTGAAATGGCCCCACCTAACAAGGTGGAATGAGAATGCTGCTCTTCTGTAGCCATAAAGGGAAGGAATAGCAAAAATGAAAGTGAATAGGCATAATATCTAACACAAGGGTCCAAGAGGTAGACCCTATACATGACAAACTGTAATTCCACAGAACAGCTGGAGTCATTGATTTGGGAACTAGCCACTTTACACATGGGCTATTTTTACATTTGTTTCAAGGAGTAGTGGCAGGGATGTATTATTTAATAATGATCAATAAAACTCATAAAATATTGAGGGAGAAAACAACTTCTATTACAAAATGCAATGGTTTAACCTCCTTTCCACAGAATAAAATTGCAAGTGCATGAGAATTATCACATATGTCCAAGGATACACATATTCCTACCTTGGATGCTCACATACTGTGTGCAGGAAGGTGAGAACGCAGAGGAATTAAGGACTCAGAACTTGTCTCCTCTCATTAACAGCCAATGTCTCACATATGTCCTGGTGGATCTTACAGGGCTCAGCCTGAATGCTTCTCTAAACTTTTCCACATGTAGTAAGGCTAAAGACCATGTGTTTTACAAGATGGCAACACTCAATCCTATGCTTTTCACTGAAACAGAATGCTCTGTCATTGAAGCATTTCTCTGGGGACCTCAGATTCTCTTTACAGAGGCAATACCCATTAATTCTAATGCAGCCTCCTGTCATCTGGGACTCATGAACTTCCACCGCAGTGGTCCCTTCCTATAATCAAACTGTAGTAGCTTCTGTCTCCATAGAAGATGTTAGACATGCCCAGAAACCTGGTATGCAATGTCACACTCTGCCAAAAGAACATAAAACTTAGACAAATATGGAAGTCATTAACACTGAAGAGTTCTTTGCTATTAAAAATAGGAAAATTTTATTACTTTCCTACATGAGAAGAATATATAATACCTTTAGGGTTATTTGGTCATTTGGAGGCTAGCTTCTTTTCTCTGTTTGTAGACCTATTTTTGGAAGTCGAACATTTTTTTTTTTTTTCATTTTAAGCACCCTATTGATACTTGGCATCTCTGCAGTAATAGAATTTTGAAGAGTTCATCCTGTTCCTATGCTCGGTCAATTTTTGGATAAGTCTGAAAATGATGCTGTGGATAGAGGATGCTGGGACCCCCATCATGGCAAGCATGCATCATTGCAAAGGGTCTTCATAAGGTTATGTGGAGGCTACCTGGGGTCAGGATCCATTCAGAGCTGGAAAACTTAAATAGACCAACTGATGTTAGAAATAGAATAGATCCATGGCTTGAAATGAACAGTTGTGTGTTTATATGCTGGCTGACCCCCCTACTGACTGTGTGACTACGGAAAAAACAAAACTCTGCTGCCCATCGGTAAAATGGGATTATGATCCTTGCCTAACTTCCTGTTTATAGGGTTCTGGAGGTCCCAATGAGATAAACTCTTTTGAAAGAGGTTTGGAAAATGATGCATTATTTCACAACAACATGGTGTTACGGTTGAATATCAATGATAGAGAGTAATTGAGATGGCTATGTAACATAGTGGCCAGTCATCCATTTGCCTAGCAACCATCTATATTATTTGTATCTGTATCTATCTATATGTCTATATGTCTATACATCTATAACTATATTTATATACCTACATCCTTATCTGTATCTGTACCTTTATCTATATATATGCTATGGATTTGCCTATGTCCAAGTCTATATCCATATCAAATATGTACATATACATTTTCTATATATGTAATCCATTTCTATCTCTATATGTCTATGTATATATCTATATCTATATCTTTACCTATACCTATATGTATATATTTGTCTTTGTGTGTATCTATGCTTATATACTATCTCTATATTTATTTTTATGTATATCTATGTCTGTATTTATACACACACACATATATATAGAGAGAGGCAGAGACAGAGAGAAAGAGAGGAGAAAGAGGGAAGGAGAGGGGTGTGTGTGTGTGTGTGTGTGTGTGTGACAGAGAGAGAGAGAGAGAGAGAGAGAAGTACATTCTATCCTAGGAAATGGGAACAGAGCCATAATCAAGGCAGCATGGTTTTGACTTATAGTTCCCAGGAGAGACTTTCATTAAACAAAAATATCTTGAATGAATTGCAATTGTGGTAAGTGCTATGAAGGAAAAGTACCCAATCACAGTATAAATCTTATCCCAGCAGGGACCATCAGGGAACACAAAAGAAATAAAACACTAAATCACCAATCCTCACGCAGCATACATGGACCGTAGGTGTGGACCCCAGCCTTTGTGAGTAGATCCCCACTATGTTCTGAATGTTCGCTTTTCCCCAGAATTCATATGTTGAAGCCTGATTCTCAGCACAATAGTATTAAGAGCTGGAGGCTTTAGGAGGTGATTAGGCCATGAGGGTAGACCTCTCAGTAATGGGGTTTGTGCTTTTATCAAAGAGGCCAGAGGAAGCTTGTTTACCCCTCCCATCATTTGAGGACACACAGAAGGCACCATCTATAAGAAATGGGCCTTCACTGGACGTCAAATCTGTCGACACCTTGATCTTGGACTTCCCTGCCTCCAGAACTGTGAGACATGCATTTCTGTTGTTAATAAGCCACTGTGTCTAAGGTATTTTGTTATCACAGCTCAGGCAGACAAAGACATTCCCTAAAAGAAAAGCACTTTATTCTATAAAGTGCTGTTGTTTGAGCTTAATAAAAAGTTAAAAAGGCCCTTTACAGAGGTCTGTCTTAAGGAATAAGGTGTGTGTGCAGGGGGGACTTTAATTACCAGTGGGATGTATTTAATGTATGATTTCATTTAGAATCCGGGAGCCAATGGTTAGTGTTTTTTAATAGACTGAAATTTTCATCAGGGCGAGTTCTGGATCTTTATGCAGCTGGTGCTCAGCTCATCTTTGACCTGCCTGGGTCCTTTTCTCACCCATTCCATGGTGGGAAGCAGACACTTTGACTTTTCAGAGCGTTATTGATGGAACAAATGTAGTTTGAATGAGCTTATTAGAGTGTCTATGAAGTGTCCTCTGTTCTTAGGCAACAAGGCCAGTTTCTCTCCTCTTCCCTCCCTCTCTGACACCGTAGTGTTATGTTGTCTGTAACATGTTTTGTTACGGTTTTAGCAAGTTTTCAAGGCAAAGGGCATGGCATTAGGAAAATTGAATTCACAGGTCAAACAACAAGTCAGGTGACCTCAGGAAAATGACAGTGATTTGTGTTTGCATTTTAATTTAATTCAGTCCTAAAAATGACCCATCTTGCTGCTATTTTCTGTGATCACAACTTTTATGTTTTCTTGTAGCTAGCTCTTCATGTAATTAATCATTGCATGAATTTCTATTTTATCATTTTCTTTTGGTGTCGTTTTACCACCCCTTCTGTGATCTCCCTGAAGGTAGAAAACTTTTCTGTTTTGTTCATCAATGCATACTTAAAGCCTAACACATATTTGACATTTTATAAATATCTGTGACTTGAATAAATGAATAAATTCACAGTCTCTCCCTACATACTACTTCAAATACTAATGTTTTATAACAAATAAAAGTTTACTGTCTGGACGTGGTGGCTCACTGTAATCCCAGCATTGTGGGAGGCCAAGGCAGGTGGATCACCTGAGGTCAGGAGTTTGAGACCAGTCTGGCCAATATAGTGAAACCCCATCTCTACTAAAAATACAAAAATTAGCTGGGCATGGTGGTGCGCACCGGTAATCCCAGTTACTCAGGGGGCTGAGGCAGGAGAATCGCTTGAACCTGGGAGGCGGATGTTGCAGTGAGCCGAGATCATGCCATTGCCCTCCAGCCAGGGCAACGGGAGCGAAACCCGGTCTCAAAACAAAACAAAACAAATAAAACTTTACCAAACACTTTGAAACTGGAAAACCTTAAAGTTGTTTTCCATTTGAAAGTTAAGATGCCTTTGAGTGTTAATTACATGAGTCTGTTCAATTGTATGTTTTTTGATAATATACCTCCATGAAAAGTTGTGGGATTTTTTTAAGCTAAGACACATGATTTAAAATACCCTGTGAAACTTTTAAAAAGGAAAGAACCTGAATGAACAAAATAATATGGTCCCCAAATGGCTGTTGTAGTGGAGGGGAAAAAGGTTTCGGCTAAAATTTATCCAGCTGCAAACCACTGTCTTAAGCCAGCAAGAAATTTATATTCTTCCGAAGCTGAGGGAAAATCAAAATCCACAAGTGACTCTTCTCTTCCCCTAGCTGCTTCATACACTGCTCAGTTTCCGGAGATCTGAGATAATCATTTTGTCCTTGAGAGTCTCGTGGCTGTGCTCTTGGAGGGTTTGGGTTTAAAATCTTAGGATTTGATCCTGTTCAGAAAAACAAGGCAGGAGCACCCGAGAAGCATCTAAAATCAGCCACTGCCAGAGGCTGCTTGCTTTACCTGTCTTGCCTGTTCAATTTGTCCTCTACGAGGCAAAGGTGAGACTAGGAGCCCTGCTTCTGGGAAAATGCCTCTGTTAAAGAACCATCTCACATTCCTGGAGTTTGTTTTGGGATCACAAAATTGGCAACTTTCTTTTCTTCTTCATTGCAGTTTAGAGTTTTAAGCATCATAAGGCTGTGTGTGTGTGTGTGTGTGTGTGTGTGTGTGTGTGCTGGTGCATATGAATGTGCTTTTACAGGTACAAGAAAATAAATAATCCAAAGGTAGCCTTCTCCTTGGGGTGTCCTGCTGAAACGATGACCTAGGGTTCTTTTTTTTTTTTTTTTTTTTTTGAGACAGAGTCTTGCTCTGTTGCCCAGGCTGGAGGGAGGGCAGTGGCGCGAACTTGACTCACTGCAAGCTCCACCTTCTGGGTTCAGGCCATTCTCCTGCCTCAGCCTCCCGAGTAGCTGGGACTACAGGCGCCTGCCACAATGCACGGCTAATTTTTTGTATTTTTAGTAGAGACGGGGTTTCACCGTGTTAGCCAGGATGGTCTGGATCTCCTGACCTCATGATCCACCCGCCTCTGCCTCCCAAAGTGCTGGGATTACAGGTGTGAGCCACCGCGCACCTTCTATTTGAGGCCCTGCGCTAGGAGGACTGCATTAAGACCAAGGCGTGCGGAAGCACACTGATGTTGCTGCCTCTGGTGGGTGCACGTTGAATCACGTGTGTCTATCCAAGAGGAATTTGTATTAACTTCTAGTGCATTTGGCCAGAAAATGCCATGAGAATCAGTGGAACATGCTGTGTAGGCTGTTGGAGTGGAAACAAACCTACCTGGAAGTAGGCACTGTGGTCTGCACCATTCGGCATAAGTCACTTAGCCCCTCTGAGCTTCAGGTTTCTCAGCGCACAGTTGGGGATAAAAAGGAACATATTACTCAGCATTTGTGGGCTGGCTAAGGACACAGCAGGCATTACCTGAACATCCCCACAATAACCCCGGGATGTAGTTATCACTTCCCTTATCGTTCTCATTTAGACAGAAGAGGAAACCATGGCTCCCGCTGCTCACAGGAGAAGCTAGTATTATTCCCCTACTCTGAAAACCAACTGGATGTCCCGCAATCATGGGAATACAGGTGCAACCCATCACATATGGCCAATTGTTTTTAAATTTTTTTTGTAGAGGTGGAGTCTTGCAAAGTGGTCCAAGTTGGTCTTGAACCCCTGGGGCAAGCAGTTCTCCTGCTGGGACCTCCCAAAGCATTGGCATTACTGGTGCAAGCCACCACACTTGGACCCTTTTTATCTAGATAACCATAGGTCCGGAGATGACTGTGACAAAAGAGCCATGTGCTGTACATAGCTTGATCAAAATGGCAAAAATGTATATGTTTATGACTGCTGTTTTGTGTATTCCCGATGAACACATGCCTTTGTTGTTGATTCTTCATCTATCTTCCAATACAATTTTAGGTCTGGTGATAATTTCTGGATTTCTCTATTTATAGAAAACTTTGAACTTCATAAATATTAAAATGTCCTATTAGCTACATGCAGACTGCTTTTTCTATGGCCATGGACATTATGCAATTATTACCCGAGCTATTAATTAAATTTGAAAATAGATAAATAATGGATAGGGATGCTATTTATGAGTTAAAAGTGAGAAAATGAAAATTATTCTCCATTCTGTTACCTTGGATGAGTCTAACCTACTGCATGCTCTCAGCTTTTATTATTGAAAGTCATTATGTTACTTTGCATAAAATGAACAATTGGTTGTAACAAGTCAGCCCTGTACAGTGACCAGTTTTCAGATGAAGTGATTAAAATATTTTCTCAATAAAACAATCAAAACATGGCCCTTGGCCAGGTGTGGTGGCTCACGCCTGTAATCCCAGCACTTTGGGCGGCTGAGGTGGTCGGCTTACGAGGTCAGGAGTTTGAGACAAGCCTGGCCAACACAGTGAAACCCTGTCTCTACTAAAAATACAAAAATTAGCTGGGTGTAGTGGCAGGCGCCTGTAATCCCAGCCACTCAGGAGGCTGAGGCAGGAAAATTGCTTGAAACCCGGGAGGCAGAGGTTGCAGTGAGCCAAGATCGTGCCATTGCACTCCAGTACAGGCAATAGTGCAAGACTCCATGTAAAAAAAAAAAAACAAAAAAACAAAAAAACAAAAAAAAACATGGCCCTTTCACAGTAGTCAAATACTGGGTAATTTCCATATTATACGAGTTAGAAACATGAATCTCACCAGAGAAAAGGTATGTCCCCAAGAACAGAGTGAACATGTATTTTGGGAGTTACTGCAGAAAGCTTTCATGAACTCTTTCTGATAATATAATGCGCTGGTAGATTTCCTCTGGTCAACTTGGATTTCAGTCTTCCGTTTCTACCTTTTAAAGGAGGCCTTATTAGTCTCTCTGGTTGATAGAGGATGCCTGTTTGTTCAATTCACACTATTCATGGACCCCTATATGCCTTTCAATGATCATCCTATAAAAGTTATCTTTCCACTGCGTTTACTAGATTTGAGTTATCAAATGGAAACTCTCACCAATGTCTTTGAAACCTTTTTGTTTTCACCATGCCTCATAATAAGAAATACATTTTACATTGAGGCAGCATGCACCTGCAATAATAAGCAAGCGCTTCACATGCACTTTGATGTGCTCCATTTTATTTCTTTTTAGAAGAAAATGTTGGTCACAAATGACACTCCCAGTTTTGTGGCTGCTAATGGACATGTGAAGCACTTACTTAGTTGTCTCGGAACCATCTAATGATCTGATTCAGTGAGCAAGAGTGTGGAATTGTGAGCCCGACATGCTTACACATCAGTCTTTCTGCTGTTCCAGAGTTACTGGAGCGTGCACCTGGCATTTGTTGAGTCTCTCTTTGGATGGTTTGTGTGGCACTATCAGAAACGGAACTTTCAAAAACTGATAATTTTGGAAGATAAATAATTATGGAATACTCTTGCCTCAGATACTTTAATATTATTGAGAAAAATTACAACACCAGGCTCAGCTATTTTTAAAAAAAATTTTTGGCCAGGTACAGTGCCTCATGCCTATAATCCCAGCACTTTGGGAGGCCAAGGCGGGTGGATCACCTGAGGTCGGGAGTTTGAGACCAGCCTAACCAACATGGAGAAACCCTGTCTCTACTAAAAATACAAAATTAGCTGGGTGTGGTGGCACATGCCTGTAATCCCAGAGACTTGGGCGGCTGAGGCATGAAGATCACTTGAACCCGGAAGGCAGAGGTTGTGGTGAGCTGAGATGGTGCCATTGCACTCCAGCCTGCGCAACAAGAGAGAAACTACATCTCAAAAAAAAAAAAAAAAAAAAATTGTAGAGATAGGGGGTCTTGCTCTGTTGCCTTAGCTGGTCTTGAACCCCTGGGCTCAAGCAGTCCTCTCATCTTGGCTTCCCAAAGTGCTGGGGTTACAGGTGTGAGCCACTGTGTCCAGCCAAAATTTATTTTTAATAGATAATGGTTAGGACAGTGAAATTTTTAGTCGGCTATCATTGCAAATGACTGTTTGCCATATGAAACCTGTGCTTTTGAAATGAGGGTTTTTATTCTCATAATCGGTCAAAACAATTGACAGAGAAAGAAAGAAAGAAAAAAGTGTTTGTGAAAAGATTCTAAATAAAGAGTGCATTGAATGAGAGCCATTTTGTTGGAAGAAATCCAGGATCTTTTGATGTGACTACTGGAAGAACAAGACCACATGAAGGTTTATCTTTTGATACTTAATTAACTAAGAATCAGGTATTTCTCAGTCTCTCATCTACAGCTCTCCTCTACACACTCACACTAGCCCCTGCATGTTCTTTTTTGTTGGGGGGAACTATGGCGACAACTAAAGGCTGAAAGAGTTCAGGAGACAAAGAGGAACTCTTAGCGAGGTTGATGGGGACCTGCATTTTAAAGGGTGAATGCATGTTCTCCAGCTGGCCATATCTTAAAGGCTGAGCACATATTCTATAGGTGCACATAGACGAGAAGGAAATTCCAACCATAGGGATCGTTCCGCGCAAACACAGCAAGTGCAAGACCTCAGAGAGTGCCAAGAACACCCAAGTACTGTGGAAAGGGGCTGGAGGAAGATGCCTCCCAAGAGAGCCAGCACAGGCCCTTGGACAATGAAAAACTCTTGGAGGCTTTTTAAGCAGGGGAAGATGATCTGATTTCCATTTTGTGAAGAACCTTGGAAAGGTGGATGAAAGCAGTGTTTCTAATATCTGCCTGAATTGATAAGTCAAGTCACCTAATGTACTTGTGTATGTAGACATATGTACTTATATATGTATATGCAATTTCCCAGTCCTCTTCTCTGGGATTATGTGTATGGAATTTGTCACATCCATTTGCGCATGTATTTCCCGGGCACCTACTGTGTTGTCTACTCTGCCCCAGGTGTGGGAATTAGGCAGTGGCCATGGCCAGTAATTCTGATCCTCATCCATCTTATGTGCTGTTGGGAGAGAGGCAGATATTAATAAGCAAACATCTAAATAAACAAGATAGTTTCCGGCAGTGACAAGTGCAAAGAAGAAAATAAAGTACTGTGTAAGTTCGTTAAGCAAAGGGGTCTCATTCGATTCAAGCTTATATCCCACCCAAATATCTAGCACCATGTCTGGAAAATAATGATAGCTGTGCCCATGGATTGTAGACTGTGTGCCAGTCATTGTCACCGGCCCTGTACATATAATACAGTCTCTCTTCAAAACCACTCTACAAAGCAGGGATTCTTACCCAGGGTCAATTTTACTTTTAGTGGACATTTGGCAATGTCTGTCTTGAGACAATTTTCATTGGCACAACTGGAAGAGGTTAGGGAGTGCTGCTGACATCTAGTGGATATAGGTCAAGGATATAGTCAGACATCCTGCAAGGCATGGGGTAGGATGCAGAGCAAAGAATGAACCGGTCCCAATATCAATACTGTTGAGTCTTACTGGCCAGGCACGGTGGCTCACACTTGTAATCCCAGCACTTTGGAAGGCCAAGACAGGCGGATCACCTGAGGTCAGGAGTTCGAGACCAGCCTGGCCAACATGATGAAACCCCGTCTCTACTAAAAATACAAAAATTAGCTGGGCGTGGTGGCATGTGTCTGTAATCCCAGCTACTAGGGAGGCTGAGGCAGGAGAATCGCTTGAACCAGGGAGTCGGAGGTTGCAGTGAGCCAAGACCATGCTATTCACTCTAGCCTGGGTGACAAGAAAGAAACTCTGTCACAAAAAAAAAAAAAAAAAAAAAAAATAGCGTTCAGGTTGAGAAATCCTACAGTGTAACAGGGTACTAGTGTTACCCCATTTTCAAAAGCACAAAAGATGCAGGTGACTTAAGTGATAAGCCCAAGCTCATACAGCTAGGAAGAAGATGATGCGTTTAAAACTGGAGAGTCTGGGCCGGGCGTGGTGGCTCACACCTGTAATCACAGCAGGGAGAGATTTGGGAGGTCGAGGAGGGCGGATCACGAGGTTAGGAGTATGAGACCAGCCTGGCCAATATGATGAAATGCCATCTCTACTAAAAATACAAAAATTAGCTGGGCGTGGTGGCAGGCACCTGCAGTCCCAGCTACTGTGGAGGCTGAGACAGAAGAATCGCTTGAATCCGGGAGATGGAGGTTGCAGTGAGCTGAGATAACACCACTGCACTCTAGCCTGGGCAACAAAGCAATACTGTGCCTCAAACAAAAAACAAAACAAACAGAACAAAACAGGAGAGTCTGTGTGCAGAGCTCCAATATGTAACCCCCACAACCTCAGGATATCTGTGAGATACACAAATGCAGACGCAAATGACTGTTCTGACAGCTAACGTAGGGACTTCGAAGTCTCTATCGGTGTGAAAAATAAGAAACATTTTCTGCAGATGGGTGCCAGGTAAGATGGGTTCACTTTGAGGACCTTGGTTTAATCAGGATATCAAAATTTGTTGTTTCCTTGTGCTTGTCACAATATCCCATTGTTAACACCTGCCAGCGTTGTCATCCTAAACTGTTGCTGCTGTTTCTGAGATGAGCTACAACAGGTGTGCCAAATATTGGGCCATTAGCAAGCGGTAATTCACCTGCATGAATATTTATCGTCTTGTAAGGAGGAAACAAAAGCCGTGTCTACTTTTTGGAACATGGTGCAGCAGTGTCCTCGAAACCAAATTGTTTGAGTCTCTCGCTTATGCGGAAGGAGAAGGGCTCCTCTGTAATTTTCCATCGGGTGGATTTATTTTCTCAGCCATCTCCACATCAAAACACAACACTGACAGGCGCTTGATTTTATTAAGCCGGTAAAATCACCCGACAGTTTAGATAGCTCAAGCCTCTGATTATCAAAATATCTATTCTTAAACTGGTTTTGAAGCCAGTCGCTTCTCCATGGGGAAATGGCCACAATGATGAGCAGGACAAATTTTTGCTTTTCTCCCCTCTAATTCCTTCCCTCCCTGCCTCCTCCTTCTCCTTGTCTTGTTCTTTTTTTCGTTCCATTTTTCTTTTTTTACTGAAAGAGATTGTATTAATGAGGAAAGAGGAGAAAACTCAGAAACAGATAAGAAAGAGTGGCACCGAGGCTTCTTGTACAAGGGTGATTGTAAATTTTATGTCCTCAGTAAGAACCCCAAGGCGTGTGTGCTTTTAAACAAAAAGAAAGTCTAAGGGAGAATATGCCATTTCCACGCCCATGTTACTGCTGCATTCGCACCTGTCAGCACTGCGGCCTGTACCTCCTTGTCCAGCAATACCATACTAATAACATACCTTACAGGATACACGGATACATCAAACAGGTTGCAGTGCTGGTAATCACTGACTTAGAAACCAAATGTGCTGTCCTGAATTTTTAAGTATTGCCATGACTAAGGAAGTAATGATGGATTCCCAATAAGTGTGTTTGCCATTTGTGTTTGGATATCATCACTAACAGTAACTTTCTGTGCATATTTTATGGTGATCACTTATGGGATCATTCCTTACCTTAAATTTGTGCAGATCATTCCTCTTTCTTTCTTTTTATTTTTTTGAGACAGAGTCTCTCTCTGTCACCCAGGCTAAAGTACAATGGTGCAGTCTTGGCTCACTGCATCCTCTGCCTCCCGGGTTCAAGCGATTCTCCTGCCTCAGCCTCCCAAGTAGCTGAGATTACAGGTGTGCGCCACCATGCCCAGTAAACTTTTGTATTTTTAGTAGAGATGGGGTTTCACCATGTTGGCCAGGCTGGTCTCGAACTCCTAACCTCATGATCCACCCACCTTGGCTGTGGAAAGTGCTGGGATTACAGGCGTGAGCCACCATGCCCGGCTGAATTTTCACCTTTCTTTCCCTTTCCATCGGCCCTCTCTACTGATTCTATGTTTATACTTGATCAAATAAGAGTTTCAGTTAGTCAAATATAAATGTGTTTACTTTTTTTTTTTTTTTTTTTGAGACTGGAGTGCAGTGGCACTGTGTTGGCTCACTGCAATCTCTGTCTCCTGAGTTCAAGCAATTCTCCTGCCTCAGCCTCCCGAATAGCTGGGATTACAGGCGCCCACCACCATGCCTGGCTAGTTTTTATATATGTAGTAGAGACGGGGTTTCACCATGTTGTCCAGGCTGGTCTTGAACTCCTGACCTCAGGTGATCCACCTACCTCAGCCTCTCAAAGTGCTGGGATTACAGGTGTGAGCCACCATGTCTGGCCTTAAACTCCTTTCTTTTTAAAAAAAAAAAAAATTAAGTTCAAGGGTATAAGTGCAGGTTTGTTGCATAAGTAAGCTTGTGTCATAGGTTTTTTTTTTTTTACAGATTATTTCATCACCCAGATATTAATCCTAGTATCCGTTAGTTATTTTTCCTGATTTACACATGTAAATCATTAACCTAAAGAAAGCAAAAGACAGAACTTTCTTCTGAGAAAGGATGTATGTTTTCCCTTTTGGAAAGTTGTATTAATAACATCTAATCCTTGGGGAGTGCTCAGAAATTATTTTCTGAAAGAATGAATGAATGAATGATCAAGATCAAATAAGAGACACAGGCCAAGCCTTCAAACAAGTTATACTGAACCCAGAGGGTTCCCTCAGGCTCCTTACTGCCATGACTAAGTACGAATGGTAAGTAACATTTGCTAAGGACTTACTGGGGAGTGTCATGGTTTATGCCATTTAACCTCATGAGGGAGGCACTTATATTTCCCCTATTTTACCGAAGGGTAGCTGAGGCTTGGAGAGACCATATGGCATGCCCATTTTAGCCAGTGAGTGGCCGGGTCTGGAAATAAATCTAGGAGGTGTGTCCTTTAACCACTTTGTAGAACCATTCTCATTATAGTAATGGAGAAAGAACAGAATCTCTTATGGTGACTTCTAGGACTAAGGGCACATAATAAGAGCTGCTATTTGGGGAATATGTCTATAAACCTGGGAGTTATAAAGTAGGGTGAGAAATGGGGGTGCATTATGATGTTATCTGAGAGGGACTTGGAATTCACATCATCTACAATTTTGGACAGATGTCTTTCTGCAAGCCTTATTTTTTTTTTTTTTTTTTTTTTTTGACAGAGTCTGGCTCAGTCACCCAGGCTGGAGTGCAGTGGTGCAATTATAGGTCATTGCAGCCTCTAACTCCTGGGTTCAAGTGATCCTCCTACATCAGCCTTCTAAGTAGCTGGGCTACAGGTGCATGCCACCACACCTGGCTAATTTAAGAAGTAAAATTTTTATAGAGATGGGATCACACTATATTGCCCAGGCTGGTCTTGAACTCCTGGTCCTTAATCAGTCCCCCTGCCTTGGCCTCCCAATATGCTGGGATTACAGGCATGAGCCACCACGTCTGGCCCTTCATGCAAGTTTGATATGCTTTTCCTTCACTGGGGCTTTCTCCCTGAGTATTACCTGAAAGTCAGAAAGGTCCTATGTGGAAGAACCGTTGTATTGCAATTACTGGGGAGCAGAAGGAAAGTGATTTTGGAAAAAGCGTATGTATGGGCTTGGAAACTTTTCCCCAGAACAGAGACCATTTGCAGACTTTTCACTGTGGCCGTTTCTCCCAGTCTTGATAGCCTTTCACACATCTCCAGGGTTATCTTTGCAGTGACTCAGTCATTATTCTACAGGCCAGCATGATTTTTCTTAAATTTTCTAAACCTTTTTCCAAACCTTCAATTTTATAAAATGTGACACACATTTTGACTTCTTTTATAAGACCTAATTCGAATGCCCCCTCCTTTTTGAAGCACTCCATGATTTTTTTCTACTGTCCAGGTATATGCTGTGGTATCGTATTGCAGAGTCATTACTCTTTGCCTGACTGGCCTGGAATTGCCTGTTGACATACAGTTTCCCTGCTGGAATGTGTGAGCTCTCTAAAAAGTGTGGAGTGTATGGCTTGGTTTGTTCATTCTTGATTCATCACTCACGTGTGTCTCTAAGTAGCAGCTGCTCAATAAACATTGAAGGGAGGCAGAGACAAGACAGTGCTAAGAAAGGAATGAAGACAATAAGCAAAAGTTAATTCAAGTACATTTCTACCAAATTTCCGGAACCAGATTCCTAAGCAGTGGAGGCAGAGGAGAATGAAAAGGTAGAGTGGGCCCCGTGCCAATTTCATTTCAGAAAACATTCAGAGAGATGCTTCCCTGCGTGGTGTGGTTGCAGAGGGCCCACCTGTACATCTGGGATACCTACAGGCATCCCACCATTCCCGTTCTTCATAGACTATATGACACATCCCAGTCGTGTTCTATCTTTTACACGCAGCACACACACCGCAATTTTTGCCTTGCTGAGCTTTTAAAACTCTTATTATCTCAGATTATGAAGACAAGCTGTGCGGGGTATAGGCATGATCTCAAACTGAGTTAATTGAAGGTGGAGGTCAGTTCAGCTTTCCTGGACCATCAATCAGTAAAAAGTTTACTTGTTTAATGCACGGAGAGTCAAAGACATGCTGCAGGCCCCCCCATCCCTTCCCTTCTGGCCTGTCAGGTAGATGTTAGATTTCACTGAGCTGTTAAAAATCTTAATGGATCCCACTGAGCTGTTTCAGGTTGTTTGTGACAATCACTTAATTTCCTTGTTTTGCAGCTAACAATGATTTTAATCTTCATTTCAGATTAACCACATAAAGCCTCAGTGTCCTTTTCTCCCGTTGTCTTGCCTGCTTCAACTCTGCAGTCGATGAAAGGGAGAACTCTTTCCCTTTCTCTTCAGCAGAGCCTGAAAAAAATGTACCTTCAGCAAAATTATAGATGCAGTAATTTCTCATATATGTTAAAAATGCACAGTAGCAAAGACTGGAAATCCAGCAAAGTAGTAGTAGCAATTGCCTCCAGGTGGTTAGAGTGTGGGGAGATTTTTTTTCCCTACCTCTTTCATTTTTTATTTTTTTACACTTTCAACATTTTCTGTGATGCACTTTATAATTTTTACAATAAGAAAATGTAAATTAAAGAATTGGTGTTTCTGAATCAAGGATGAACAAAGAAAATGTAGTCTTTTGAAGAGATGTTAAGCCAGATATTTTTCTACTTTAAAGGGTGGAGAAAAACCACATCGGGATAAAAGAGTGAGGCTGCAGAATTAGCTTGCAACTTGAAGGATGGGCCCTATTACAGATAATGCTGCTGACAGCCTCAGTTCATCACGTTTCTCATTTTTAGTGTATTGGTGTTTGCTCATATGAAAGTTCCCAGCTTGTGCTACTAATTATTTCATCACCATTCACTTGTACAATTGACAGCCTTTGAACCAATATCAGTGCAGAGACCAGAGAAACGATTCTGAGAGAGATGATTCAAGAGGCAAAGATTGGGGAAATGAAGAAGACTTATTTGGCACTCTCTGAGTGCTTTATGTGTGGGATGAGGGTGACATAGTGCAAGGAGTAAATAGTGTTGTCATTTTAAAAGGCTAGACCTGCATCAAAGGGCACTTACTGTAAGCCTGAAAGTGGGTGGACTGAAGGGCTCTTTCTTCCAATGGCCCCTTGTTGCAGCGTGAACATCTCCCATCTTTATATTGTGATGGCACTATTCCTCAATGGCTAATTGCTAGGCAATAGAAGACATAATTTAGACTCCAATTTGTAAGTCAATCACATGAAGGCTGGATGTGAGCAAGCTTGGAGATAAATGAACCGTGGTGTAAACAAGAGAGGCCCAGAGGCTTCTTGATCCAATTTCAGGAATCCCAGGCTACCCTGATGCGTTGGTTGAGATTACATCCTCTCCTTCGGGAGGGGACAGAGGGCAGCCCGCATCTCTGCTCTTCCATCTGGAGCCGCTCTCTATGGGAGAAGGAGTCTTGAGCCCTTTGTTGGCTGTTGATTTGATTTTTAAAAGGAAAATCTGACAAATCATGTTGAATGAGAAAAGCGTATTATGTGAACGTAAAAACGTTTGCACATCTGAGGACCACGCGATTTTATTCAAGGAAGTTCTACCTTTAAGGAGGTTATGAATTCTGAATCAGAATTTTGTCGTCAGGGGAATGCTTCTTAGAAGGAAGGAAATGTACTTTTTAACAAGATTTTCAGCAAACGTTGACACATTCATTATGGCCATGAGCATGGAGGTGGCTCAAATATATTTTGCATAATGTGGAAATAATATTGCATTCTATTTGTTCCTGCCTCCTAGCGTCACCACGAATGACACTGGCACAGAAGAAAACATGGGTGCTTTAGATCACACACACAAAAAATGATCGGGATAAATTTAACACACTAATCATCGTGAAGGGGCTTCTCCATGTATCTTTTCAATACGCAGGTTTATCTCAACCTTGGCCCAGCTCTGTGCAGTTTTATACCATAAACCCAGTCAGACTCCGTCTTATGCTAAAAGACCTCCCCCCTCCTCAGTCACAAATCCCATCAAATAGACTGTGGTCCCATTTCCTGGTCCTGTTCCTCCTGTTTAGGGACCAGACCTTTTTTTTTTTTTTTTTTTTGTGGAGTCTCACTCCGTTGCCCACCCTGGAGTGCAGTGGTGCTATCTCGGCTCACTGCAACCTCTGCCTCCAGGATTCAGGCAATTCTCCTGCCTCAGCCTCCCGAGTAGGTGGGATTACAGGTAAGTACCACCACGCCTGGCTAATTTTTGTATTTTGTTAGTAGAGATGGAGTTTTCCCATTTTGGCCTGGCTGGTCTCAAACTCCTGACCTTACGTAATCTGCCACCTTGGCCTCCCAAAATGTTGACATTACAAGTGTGAGCCACCACGCCCGACCACCTCTCCTTTTTTTTTTTTTTAACTCAACTTTCTTTAGATTCAGGGGTACATGTAGGTGCAGGTTTGTTACATGGGTGTACTGTGTGATACTGAGGTTCGGGGTGTGGATGATCCCATCACCCAGGTAGTGAGTGTAGTACCCAATAGGTAGTTCTTCAGCCCATGCCCTCCTCCCTGTCTTTCCCCTCCAGTGGCCCCCTTGTCTATTGTTCCCATCTTATGCCCATGTATTAGTTCACTTGTATTAGTCCATTCTCACACTGCTATAAAGAAATGCCTGAGACTGGGTAATTTTTAAAGAAGAGAGGTCCATGGTTCTGCAGGCTGTACAGGAAGCATAATGGATTCTGCTCCTGGGGATGCCTCAGGAAGCTTCCAATCATGGCAGAAGACAAAGGCGGAGTAAGGTGACTCACATGGCAGGAGCAGGAGCAAAAGAGAACAAGAGGGGCGGCGCTGAACGCTTTTAAACAACCGGATCTCAGGGGAACTCTTTCACTAGCACAAAAATAGCACCAAGGGGATGGTGCCAAATCATTCCTGATAAATCCACCGCTGTGAGCCAACCACCTCCCACCAGGCCCCACCTCCAACATTGGAGACCACAATTTGACATGAGATTTGGCAAGGACAGAGATCCAAACCATGTCAAATGCTTAGCTCCTACTTACAGGTGAGAATATGCAGTATTCAGTTTTCTGTTCCTAGGTTAATTCACTTAGATTAATGGCCTCCAGCTGCATCCACATTGCTGCAAAGGAAATGATTTTCTTTTTTATGGCTGCATAGTATTCCATGCTGTATATGTACTACATTTTCTTTATCCAGGCCACCGCTGATGGGCAGCTAGGTTGATTCCATGTATTCACAATTGTGAACAGTGCAGAACTCTCCTTTCATCATTGTTTTTCCTCCCAGGTTGCTGCTGTTCACTTCTCTGTCCAGTCTGTCAACACCCAACTTTCTCTGATAACAATACAGTGTTTGTTGTATCTGACCAACATTTTGTTCGGCCTTCCGCAAGCTGCAGAGAAACTTTTTGAGAGTTTGATAATAAATCTTGCCATGATCCCTGTAGGAGGCACGTCTTCCTGACCAGGCGTGGTGGCTCAGGCCTGTAATCCCAGCGCTTTGGGAGGCCGAGGCAGGCAGATCACCTGAGGTCAGGAGTTTGGGACCAGCCTGGGCAACATGGTGAGACCCCGTCTCTACTAAAAATACAAAAATTAACCAGGTTTGATGGTGCATGTCTGTAATCCCAGCTAGTTGGAAGGCTGAGGTGAGAGAATTGCTCGAACCTGGGAGGTGAAAATTGCAGTGAGCCAAGATTGTGCCAGTGCACTCCAGCCTGGCTGGGTGACAGACTGAGACTCTGTCTCAAAATAAAAAATAAAAAAAAGGAAGTATGTCAAGTATGTCTTCCTACACAGGGGAGCAGAGAAAGACCAAGAGCAAGACACAGTGGAGGAGCAGCACTGATGGAGAGACATGCCCCAGAGGACGTGGGGAGGTGTAGGAATCCCAGCCGCCAGATGAGAGTTCAGCTACGACGCAGCACTGCAGGCCCAGGAAGGCCATGGTCCAGAGGGAATCAGAACAGAAGAGAAATGAGGAGCCCAGATAAGAGATCCACCCTGAATCCTAGTAACACACAGAGGGCGGGGAGCTCCGGTCTTGAGGCTAGGAAACAGTCTTGCATTTGGGCAAGTTGTCCTTGTATGAAGTGCCAGTTGTGTCCAGGCGTGGTGGCTCACGCCTGTAATCTCAGCGCTTTGGGAGGCCGAGGCAGGTGGATCACTAGGTCAGGAGTTCGAGACCAGCCTGGCCAACATGGTGAAAACCCATCTCTACTAAAAATAACAAAAATCAGCCAGATATGTTGGCATGTGCCTATAATCCCAGCTACTCGGGAGGCTGAGGCAGGAGAATCACTTGAACCCAGGAGGCAGAGGTTGCAGTGAGCTAAGATTGCACCACTGCACTGCAGCCTGGGTGACAGAGCGAGACTTGTTTCAAAACGAAACAAAACAAATGAACAAACAAACAACAACAACAACAGAAGTGTTGCCTGCATTAAGGAGGCAGTCTAAGCTGTCTGGCAACTTGGAGGACAAGTATCAAAGATAAATTGAGATTATGTCTCATTCCACTGGGTGCTTCCATTATAATATTGCAGTGGTTATCAATAGGCAGTAATCCCGTGTCCCCTGGAGGACATCTAACCATGTATGGAAACATTTCTAAACATTAAAAGTGAAGGAAAGGGGCTCCAGGAATGCTACTGCTCAGCATCTTTCAGGACAGCCCTCACTTTAAAGAATTATCCAACTTCACTTGTTAATAGTGCTGAGGTTGAGAAACCCTAGTACATCTTAAGAGCACTGTGTGTGTGTGTGCGTGTGTGTGAACGTGGGGAGATAATTATAACTTTGTAAAGATGGATCTACAAGGATGTTCACTG
The DNA here is from genome assembly GCF_000001405.40 of Homo sapiens. Classification (NCBI taxonomy): domain Eukaryota; kingdom Metazoa; phylum Chordata; class Mammalia; order Primates; family Hominidae; genus Homo; species Homo sapiens. The sequence goes on from NC_000016.10 coordinate 6,424,685, forward strand.
CAGCATTGTTTACAGGGCTAAAAGCATAAGCAACCTCAATGTTCAACTATAGGGATGTGGAAAGACATGTAATAATTCCTCTTCTAAGATGAAATGACGTTGCAACCATGGTAAATAATGCCTTAGGTTAAGGTTCAATGGGATGGAAGAGTGTTCCTGAGATGCTATTAAATGGAAACAAACAAGTTATACAACACTATTTGCACTATGTTTTACTTTCGTTTTGAAAAGGCTATCTATAGATATTTGTATTTATTGCATCTAAGTCGACATACCAAACAGAATACAGGAAAAAATACTCTACAATATTATTATTACTTGGATATTGAAGATGTGGATGAACTAAATATTTTCACTATGTGTTGTTTAATATCTTTGCAGATTTCCACAAATAATTTATTTGACTTTAATAATAAGGATGAAACAACTTTATACCTTTTAGTAATATTATTTTTCAAAGCATGGAGCTGAAATCTGAGTAGATAGAGGAACCAGGATTTTCTGTCCTGGGTTGATTTTTTAGCCAGAATCTACTTCCATATGCAGACAGGAAGGAGAGTATGGTCAACAGGTATGAAGTTTGGGGAGGGTAACATTGGGCTCTCACTTTAAGCATTGATAGCTAAGCTGAAGGAGGAATACTCTAAAATCATTGTCTTCTCATTTAAATGCTCTTGATCAAATTAACAGCCTCTCCTGAATATTCCAATTATATTAAAAATGGCAGTAGTGTTCAATTTGCCTTCTGCACACCCCCTACCCAACCTCTCACCATTTCTGTGGGCTTGGGATTAGGCGGTGCTGTGTTGTGTATAAGGGTCAGTCTTATAGGGCAGGAGCCTGGGCTAATAGAAAGACTGTGACTTCATGTTCCTACCAAAGAAAAACAAGTTTATCTACTGTATGTGGTTTATCACTATTTTTTTTTTGTGAAGAAAATTGTTTGTTTTGAAAACAGTTTGATGGACTTTGTAGGCATTTCTGTGGGGAAGATTTGTATTGCCTGGTTTATTCTGTGGATCTAATTCATACACACACACACACGAACGTTTTGATAGAGTTTGCAGAGTTTGCTTCTGTTTCAGAAGGTTTAAAATTTCTTTTATTCAGGGAGAAAGAGTTTAATCACCATTACTCTTTTTACCTTTTTATGGAGGGAAAATTTACATAGCATAATGTCAATCATTGTCAAGTGTACAATTCCGTGGTATTTAGTACATTAGCTTCCCAAAAAGAATCCCATGCCTATTAAGCAACCCCTCCCCATTTACCCCTCCCCCAGCCCCTGGCTACCACTAGGTACACCTCATCTATTTAATGTTACTGAATTGTAGAATCTTGTTGGCATTTTACTTTCTATTGTAGCTAGCTGTTTCTCTGTCTCTCTGTCTCATTTTCTCCCTCTCTCTCTCTCTCTCTCTCCCTCTCATTGTCTCTCTCTTATTCTCTCTCTCTCTGTCTCTCTTTCTGTCTTTCCCTCCCTCCATCCCTCCTCCCTTCCTTCCTTCGTTCTGTCCCTCTTTCCCTCTCCCTGTCTATGCAATAGACAAACATAGAAAGGCAGGTTCAAAAACAGATGGGGAGATGAAGAGAAAGAGAGAAGGGTGAAGAAGGGAGAGAGAGAAGGGAGAAGGGAGAGACAGAAGAGAGAGAAAATGAAAGTAAGAGAAAAAGAGGGAGGGAGAAGGAAAGTGTCCAGGAAAGAGAGAGAAAAGAATGCAGAGGACAAGAGGAGGGGAAAGAGATAATCTAGGAGTCGGAGAAAGGCAGGGTAGGTTTTGAAAGAAAGGACTAAAATAGGCCTGGTGTGGTGATGCACACCTGTCGTCCCAGCTACCTGGGAGGCCGAGGTGGGAGGATCTCTTGAGCCCAGGAGGCCGAGGCTGCAGTGAGCCATGATTGTCCCAGTGCACTCCAGCCTGGGCAACAGAACGACACCTTGTCTCAAAAATCAAAACAAACCTACTCCTTCTCACAGGCACACCTCAGAAAGACCGGCAGAGAGGCCCCTATACCCCCATTGAGACAGAAGCAATTTGAAAGAACTGTTCTGAAATTTCAAAAGTGTCTCATCATCCAGAGAATGAAAAAAGGAAAGTAGGTTAGACCTGTCTTGACCTCTGCAAATTCCTGCCACATGTCTCCTGGGTTCTGCCCATAGCAGGCTCTAGCTCTCAGTGGTGTAAACTTCTTGAGCATTTGGGGGTCACGCTGTCATCCCTGGAGTCCTTTCGTTAATGTCCTGAAACCAACTCTCCATCAGTGTTTTGCCTTTTCAGTATTCTATCTCGCTGTATAATTGAGTTTCTGTGATTCCAATGCAGACTATGGCATGAACTCCTGTGTGTCTAGTTATTATAGATTAGCCCTGCTGATATTATGAGGTAGGGAAGGGTTGATATGCTGTAGAGTGACACAGAAACCCGATAACAATGGGAAAAGAGAGTTTCATATAAATCTTCTTAAGTATAGTATTTCCATATTAAATGTTATAAAGTGAAGGTCTGGCTGCATTGATAATGTGCCCTCTGCTGATGGAATGTGCTTCTGCCCTCTTGGCAGGCTTCCTGTGGATCCTAGGTGATAAAAGCCGTCCAGAGTATTTCTTCATTATCATCGTCATCTTATGTTTACATTATTCTCCTTGTCACTGAGAACTCCAGACCCCAGTCTATAGGAAACGGTTCCCACATTGTTGAAATATGGCTGGTGGTACAGGGAGTAGTTCTGAACGCTGAGCATGGCCTCATTTGGAATATTTTATGCAATGAAAGTGCCGGTGAGAATTTAGACAGCAAAGCTTACCAGTATGAAGCAGAAAAAGGCAAAATAAAGAGGCGTATGTATGGACATTGCATTCATGCATTTGTGCCCAATGGTGTTGAATTCTCCTTACACCTTAATGAAAGAGTAAAAATGTTGAGGAGGACGTGGAGCTGCCAAGTAAGGTGGATTATTTTTTGCAAACAATTGTATTACCATTATGATATAATGTATTACTAGTATGATATAATTCTATCTGCCATGATGTGATATGATTTATAATGATTTAAACAGTTGTATTATCAGTGTGATACAATGGTAGGATGATACTATAAAGAGATAGTGATTTCAGAGTATTGCACAACCTCTGAAGCCATTTGGCCTGAGTTCATGCTCTTGGTTCACCCGTTACCAGGTGTGTGACTGGGAGCAAATCACACCCTGGTCCTCAGTTTTCTCATCTGTAAAATGGAATAATAAGGATAATTTATAGTATTGCTGTGAGGGCTCAGGAGTTAATGCATGAAAGCACTTAGAAATGTGTTTGATGAGAGGCCGGGCACGGTGGCTCATGCCTGTAATCCCAGCACTTTGGGAGGCCGAGGCAGGCAAATCACTTGAGCCTGGGAGTTCAAGATCAACCTGGGCAACATAGTGAGACCCCATCCCTACAACAAATACAAAAACACTTAGCCAAGTGTGCTGGTGTATGCCTGTAGTTCCAGCTACTTGGAAGGCTGAGGTGGGAGGATCACTTGAGCCTGGGAGGCAGAGGTTGCAGTGAGCTGAGATTATACCACTGCACTCCAGCCTGGACAACAGAGGGAGACCTTGTCTCAAAAAAAAAAAAAAAAAAAAAAAAGTGCTCGATGCCTAGTTAGCATTCCATACATTGACTATTACCATTTTCATTATTATTAAGTTCATGTACTGAAACCTTCAATAAAAGCAGTATTTACTGGGTGGAATACAAAACTAATGTATGTGTATGTAGTTTATTTATATTGTAATTTTTTATTCTGTATAATAGAGGCATATTCTGTTATTAAGGAAGTAACTTGTGCTTTCTGTGCCTTGATTTTCTCATCTGTAAAATGGAAGTAATTCTGTTACTTTATAGGGTTGTTATGGTGATTCTAGGAATTAATGTATGTAAAGTACTTAACACACACTGGATAATAAGCTTGCTGTCATCATCACCATCATTGCTGTTACTATTATCTAAAAGCAGCTCACGTCCTGAAATCTACAGTGAGAAGAATATTCACTGGGCTACGTAAACAAAATATACATGCTCATCTATATAGTTCTTTGATATAATCATTTTTATTCTATATAATACAAGAAGTTCAATTTTTGAGTCAAAATGGCAATGGGAAGTCTAAATTAATTCAACACACAAACGAGGCTGTGATTGTTTGTTTTACTAGAGATTTATTAGCTTTATCAAAGTATCGTGTAGGAAGTAGTAAAGCGTATTCTTAGATCACAGCGCATTTGAGATGTGGTTGGGTTTATGGACCTGCGGCGTGCACAGACTTGTCTGGGAGGTGCACATTCGGTGACATGCACCTGCTCTGTGCTGTTTCCTGGAAGAGGAGAAGGTGCGCCCCTCCCACTGATTAGGCAGGCATCCTTGTGTGGGGGATTAAGGAGCATATTCAGTTATTAGCTGTGAAATGTCGTGGCTGCCTCTGCATTGCCAGCTGTGATTGGTGCTGGATTTTAATTATCATCAAGCAAGTTCCAAATGTTTGAAATGTGTCTGTGGAGAGAGCTTTGGTGGAGAGTGGGAGAAAAGGTCTTGATGAAGGAGCAAAACCTTGGCATCAGCCGTGCACACGGCCCTGGGATCTTTGCCAGCTCCCCACCACTGCTGCTGCAGGGTTTCTTGTTGACCCTAGGGGCTAGCCCCTTCCATTATAGAATAACAACAGTTGTCAGAAAGCCATTTCTCATATTTACCCAACATTCACTTTTCTATAGATCCTAAAGGCCCTGGTATTTTCTCAGGTGCAATGCAGATGATTCTTCATTCATTCATCCATGTGCACCTCTTTGTCTGTTTGTTCCTTGTTCAATAAATATTATGTCAATGCCTGCTGATATGGTTTGGCTGTGTCCCCACCCAAATCTCATTTTGAAATGTAATAATCCCCATGTGTCAAGGGTGGGGCCAGGTGGAGATAATTGAATCATGGGGGCAGTTTCCGCCCTACTCTTCTCATGGGAGTGAATAAGTCTCATGAGATCTGATGGTTTTATAAATGGGAATTCTCCTGCACAAGCTCTCTTGCCTGCTGCCATGTAAGATGTGTCTTGCTTTCCCCTTTGTCTTTCGTCATGAATGTGAACTGTGAGCCAATTGCACCTCTTTCCTGCCCAGCGTGGTGGCTCATACCTGTAATCCCAGCACTTTGGGAGGCCGAGGTGGGTGAATCACCTGAGGTCAGGAGTTCAAGTCCAGTCTGACCAACATAGTGAAACCCCCTCTCTACTAAAAATACAAAATTAGCCAGGTATGGTGACACATGCCTGTAATCCCAGCTACTTGGGAGGCTGGGGCAGGAGAATTACTTGAACCCAGGTGGTGGAGGTTGTAGTGAGCCTAGATCACGTCACTGCATTCCAGCCTGGGCAACAAGAGCGAAACTCCATCTCAAGAAGAAAAAAAAAAAACAGAAAAACAAACAGAAAAAGTCTTTCCTTTATAATAATTACCCAGTCCCAGGTATGTCTTTATTAGCGGCATGAGAACAGACTAATACACCTACTGTGTGCTGGCTGAGGTTCTCAACGTTGTGCTGGGCACCAGGGAATATAAAACAGTAAGACTCAGTCTCTCCTCTTGAGGAGCTCAGAATGGATGTGGCCGGGGAATGACAAAATGCTATGATGTACAAATGTGAACAATTAGAATTTGTACAAAGAAAGGAAGTTTGGATTAATGCTGTCAGAGTGCAAGAGCTTGGGGATTCTTCATGGAAAAGATGATGCCAGAGAAGAGCTTTGAAGAAGGAAAAGGGTGTTTTCTAGGCAAACTCAAGTGGAGTTGAATTAGGAGAGAAGTGCGAAGACATGACGGATGGATGGAATGACACAGGCCAAAGAATGGAGTTAGGAACGATGTGCTGTGCTTGGGAGCTGCAAGTTCTGCTGACGGGTGGAGAGTAAGGCCAGGTGTGAGAGGAAACAAGCCAGATGGGGGAGCGGGATGGTCACATAGGCTTTGAATGCTGTGATGGGAAGTTTAGACTTTACCTGGCAAGAGGTAGACAACCACCAAATGCTTGGCAACAAGGTTCTATTTGCATTTTAGAAAGGCCACTCTGGCTGCAGTGTGGATGATAAGTCAGTGGATACAAGATTAAAGGCAGGGAGACTAGTCAAGAAGTTACTGTGGTCAGGAACAGTAGCTCATGCCTGTCACCCCAGCACTTTGGGAGGCTGAGATAGGAGGGTTTATTGAGGCCAGGAGTTCGAGACCGGCATGGGCAACATAGTGAGTCCTCATCTCCAGAAAAAAAAAAAAAAAAAAAAATTAGCCAGGTGTGTTGCTGTGCACCTGTAGTCCCAGCTACTTGGGAGGCTGAGGAGGGAGGATTGCCTGAGCCCAGGAGTTTGAGGATGCAGTGAGCCAGGATTGTGCCATTGCACTGCAGTCTGGGTGACAGAGCAAGATCCTATCTCAAAAAATAAAATTAAAAAGATGCTACTGCAATGGTCTAGGTGGGGAAAGGCAGGTGATTGCACTAAGTTAGGGGTAATGGGTTTAGGAGAAGCAGGTGGTTTGAATAAAGTTAGGAGGGAGAATAGAGGATCCTATGGCTGTGGATGTGGTGCAAAGAGTCAAGAAGGATACCTGCTTCTAGCATAGGTGAGGCAGGTGGATGGCAACAGAGGAAATATGGAAAGAAAAGTCTTTCCACAAGCCCTGGAAGAGGGAGGGAAAAGGAGCGTTTTGGTGGCATGCAGTGACGGTCCAGCCCACTACCTAAGCCCAGGAAGCGTCACGTGGTACTTCTCAACAGGCAGACCAGGTATCTGAGTAAATGTCTGCTCAGTTGGCAGGTGTCAGAGAAATCTACAAGCAGATAAAACAGGGGCTCCGAGGGTGTAAATGGTGGGATTTGAAGGAAGGTGAGTACAAAGATGATGCTGGGGGTAAGTGTGAGATGTGAATGGCATGAGGTCTTGGCAGGTATTACAAGGACTTGGGCACTTAGTCTGAATATGATGGGAAGCCAGCCATCACAGGATTTTGAACTTCCAATGGGGTGCTCCTGTAGTCCTGGCTACTTTACCAGCTTTGTGACTTGGAGCAAATCATTCTTGGTGACTCAGTTTTCTCATCTGTAAAATGGGGCTAACACTGGTCATTTACAGAGTTATTGTGATGATTTAAGGAGTTTATTTATGAACATGTCCAGAAATATGCTTGCTTGCTTGCTTTCTTTCTTTCTTTCTTTCTTTCTTTCTTTCTTTCTTTCTTTCTTTCTTTCTTTCTTTCTTTCTTTTTCTTTTTTGAAATAGAGACAGGGTCATATTCTATCACCAAGGCTGTAGTGCCACTGCACGACTATAGCTTATTGTAGCCTCTAACTCCTGAGTTCAACGGAACCTCCTGCCACAGCCTCCCAAGAAGATGAGACTATAGGTGCATACCATCAGGCCTTACCTATTTTTGCTTTTTAAATTTTTTGTAAAGATGGGGGTCTGACTAGTTTTCTAGGCTGGTCTTGAATTCCTGACTTTAAGCAGTCCTCCCACCTGGGCTTCCCAAAGTGCTAGGATTATACGTATGAGCCACGTTGCTCACCCTGAAAGTGCTCAGAAACATGCTTCAGGCATAGGTAGTATTTAACAAATTTGCTATTATCGTTTACATTATTTTACCTGAAGCTTGTATCTCAAAATCTTCAATAAGAATAATATTTAATGAGGCCGGGCACAGTGGCTCATGCCTGTAATACCAGCACTTTGGGAGGGCAAGGCGGGCGGATCACCTGAGGTCAGGAGTTCAAGACCAGCCTGGCCAACAGGGTGTAACCTCATCTTTACTAAAAATACAAAAAAAAAAAAAAATGAGCGGGGTGTGGTGGCGGATACCTGTAATCCCAGCTTCTGGGGAGGCTGAGGCACAAGAATTGCCTGAACCCAGGAGGCGGAGGTTGCAGTGAGCCGAGATCGCAGCACTGCATTCCAGGCTGAGTAACAGATTGAGACCCTGTCTCAAGAAAAATAATAATAGGCTGGGTGCAATGGCTTATGTCTGTAATCCCAGCACTTTAGAAGGCAAAGGTGGGCAGGTCACGAGGTCGGGAGTTCGAGACCAGTCTGACTGATGTGGTGAAACCCCATCTCTAATAAAAATACAAAACTTAGCTGGGCGTGGTGGTGCATGCCTGTAATCCCAGCTACTGAGGAGGCTGAGGCAGGAGAATTGCTTGAATCTGGGAGGTGGATGTTGCACTGAGCCGAGATTGCACCACTGCACTCCAGCCTGGGCTACAGAGTGAGACTCCATCTCAATAATAAAAATAATGATAACAATAACAATATTTAATGAAATAATCATGCTGTCTTACTTGTGAGATGCCATCCTTCGGGCTGTTGATTTGGGAACAGAGAGAAAGTCAGGGGAGAAAGTCAGGAGCTCAGATGGAAGCCATTGCAGCAGTTCAGGTGGGAGTTGATGCTGCCTTGGCCCCACATGGGGCTATGGATACAGTGAAAAGCAGTCAGGTGTTGTGTAGGTATAGCTGATGGGAGTTTTTGGCATAGCAAATGAGAAGTCATAGAGAAAGACAAGAGTCAGAAATGAGAAGCAGAGAAGGTTTGCTTCATTTCAGCATTATGTTCTGTTGGATGAGCAACTTTTAAAAATGGAGCCACTATTTCAGTTATCACTTCCACCAGACACTGTAGAGCCTCTGTCTTGAAGCCCCTGACCTGCCCCTGGGTGTAGCCCATCACCTTTCTCATGGGACTCAGACATGAATGCAAGTGTGGGGCCAGAGGCCAGCCTAGGAGTGAGATAGACTCGCTATTCTCAGAATTTCCCATTCCTCTGTATTTCATAGTTTCTCATTGGTGCTGTAACAAATTACCACAAATTCAGTGGCTTAAAGCAAGAACCTTATGAACGTATTATCCTCGGGTTCTAGAGATCAGATGTCTGGAAAGAGTTTTAGGGGGATAAAATCCAGGTGTTAGCAGGGCTCAGTTTCTTCCGGAGGCTCCAGGGAAGAATCTGTTTTCTTGCTTTTTCCTGTTTCTGGGGACTGCCACTTTCCTTGGCTCATGGTCCCTTCCTCCACCCTTCAAAGCACATCACTCCAACCTCTGCTCCATCATCACACCTCCTTTTCCTCTAGCTCCAACCTCTTTTCATTTTTCTTTTTTTTTTTTTTTTTTGAGATGGGGGTCTCACTCTGTTTCCCATACTGGAATATAGTGGCACCATCTCTGCTCACCGTAACCTCCACCTCCCGGGTTCAAGCAATTTCCATGCCTCATCCTCCCAAGTAGCTGGGATTACAGGCATGCACCACCAAACCTGGCTAATTTATGTATTTTTCATAGAGATGGGGCTTCACCATGTTGGTCAGGCTGGTCTTGAACTCCTGACCTCAGGTTATCCACCCACTTTGGCCTCCGAAAATCTTGAGGTTACGGGTGTGAGCCACCGTGCCTGGTCACTTCTAAGGGCACTTGTGATAACATAAGACACACCTGGGTTATCCGGAATAATCTCCCCAGCTCAATATCCCTAATTACATAACATCTGCAAAGTCCATTTGGCTATGTAAGGTAACACATTCAGAGGTTCTGGAGATGAGGACATGGACGTCTTTGAGAAAGGCCTTATTCCTCCTACATCTCCAATGGCCAAGGCTTCCTTACTGGCATGGGTTCCTTCCCCAGCTTCCTCTTCTCGATGGCCATGAAGGCTCCTCAGCCTTCCTGCAAATAGGCCCATCCCACAGTTTTTCCCCCGTGCCTGACTCTCCCTTAGTCTTGAGCTGAAAGCCCTCATTTGTGAACTGTGTATTCATTTAACTCGATTAGCTCATGTATGTAATGCACGTCGCATAGTGCCTGGCACATAGGAAGCAACTTCTAAAATAGAATTCAGTCTATAAATATAATTTTGAATCATGGTTCTGTCACTCTGCTTCCAAGCTGACTATGGGTCTGCACCATCTGTAAATATGATAAACACATCTTCTCAGGTCATCCTTTCCATCATTGATAAAAATGTCCAACTAGACAGAGAACTCTGACATTGCTAACAGCCTATAATCTGTTTATAAGTATTTTATATATTTTTTAGAGAATGACCACCTGCATTTCCAATGTATTCTTCTCTTCCAATGATTTGTACCTCATGATCCTTCATTTGGCATTTACTGAGTTATTACTATGTGCTAGGCACCCCAGGAGGTTAAATGATAAATGACAAACATGAGGCCAGCTTCCAAGGAGCTTGTGAATCATGCTGGAAGATATGTACATATACGTGCACAGCTGTTCCATTTATTAACATTCTTTGGATAAATTGATGGATCAGCCCTGAGTCTAAGCTCCAGCCCACATTCCTCATTAATTCCATTAATACTGCAATACACTCAATCTATAGCATTAGTCAGTCGAAGTGTCTAGGACCTCAAAGGAATGGAAGAGGATTTGCTTGCCATCACTTTTTCGTAGTGAACGCATGTTACCACTGAAGGATCACCTTTACTCATTCAGAGTGGTTTCAAGGCACCAATTAGCAAACTGTTGTGTAACAGATGTTTTGTGTCATTGCTAGCACTCATTTTGTTATTGTTGTTATTGTTGTTGTTTTTTGTTTTGTTTTTGTTTTTGAGACAGTGTCTCATTCTGTCGCCCAGGCTGGAGGGCAGTAGTGTGATCTCGGCTCACTGCAGCCTCTGCCTCCCGCATTAAAGTGATTCTCCTGCCTCAGCCTCCCGAGTAGCTGGGACTATAGGCATGCCATCACACCCAGCTAATTTTTGTATTTCTTTTTCATTAGAGGTGGGGTTTCCCCATGTTGGCCAGGCTCGCCTTGAACTCCTTACCTTCGGTGATCCACTTGCCTTGTCCTCTGAAAGTTCTGGGATTACAGGTGTGAGCCACCATGCCTGGCCAGTATTCGTTTTATATAGCATCTACCCCCAGCAAGATTTATAGACACTGGGGCATTTACCCATTTCCAAGTGGTTTGCCTTCTCTTCAGTTACCTATAATCACTGCATCTAATTCTGAAATCATAATGTTTGCAAGATTTTATGGCACCTGGGACACAATTGATTGGGGTCTAGATTGTTCATTTTAATCAAAGTAGGAGCTGGTGCCTATGTGGTAGTCAAACAGTAGATGGACTTATCTCACATGTGCCATTCATCAAATTCCAATGTTCCATACATTTATGAATGATCTGTGACACACACCATGACTTCTGTTGCATCGTTTTCCCACCACGAACTTCACTTAGCATGTGATGGTTTTTCATTCTTCTCTTTGTTGTTTGGAGGTCATTCTCTTGGGGCAAAAGTTAAAAGTCAAGTTAGAAATGGTTAAAATCTGCATTTTCAACACATTGGAGAAAAACTCTGGCTCCTGGAAACAGAATGAGGAAAGCATGAAAATGTGGTGAATACTTTAAAAAAGAAATATGCATTTTCTCTTCTGGTTAAAAAGATAAATGCAGCTCAATACAGTTAAGTAAATGTTATACCTGCTTTAAGGGTGATATTGACCATGGGAATGCAAGAGCTACCCGAATTAAAAATGGCTGTTGGAATGGTAATGCAGTATCTTGAATTACCAGTGAAATTACTTTTCCTCCTCTTAATGCCTTTTCTCTGTTAGTATATTTTATACCACCAATAGCCATAAGCACATAAATACCTGGAAGATTCAGTCCTGTCCTGTGCTAGGCTCTTGCTCAGAAAACAGGTATTTAATTCCCTTATACATGATACAGACCAAATTGCAGTTGTTGTAAAACATGCTGTGAACAATTTTGACAGTATCCTGCCTGGTTTTTCTTCACTTTTTTTTTTTTTTTTTTTTGCCTTAAAAAGTTTTATTTCACATATAGGTCCAAGTTGAAATATTATTTTTTCTGGGGGGAAAAATTACCACCCCAAGCCCAGTTTCTTCTCAACACTTACTGTCTTTATAATTAATTAATTTGTTGATGATTTTTCTGTCAATACCCCAATGGACTGTAAGTTACATAAGGAAAGCCATGATAATTTGTATCCCCAAACCAAACACAGTTTCCGAGATGTAGTAGTAACTCAGTGATTATTTGTTGGATGAATGAAAATAGACACAAAATGGTACACGTATATTGAATAAATTAGGGTTATGGAAAAGGTCACATTTCTTTAGGAAGTTTGTAGAGGTGGTGACATTTAAGCAAACTGATAACATAGGGGGATTTATTATAAATTTTCTCTCCAGTCGATGGGCATAGACATACTTCATCCCTTGCAGGCCCAGAATCCGAGATGTCTATTTTTGACTTGCTATATATAGAGAGAAGAAACAGTCCCTCTGAATGTGAAGTTACTCAGTATTTTTGGCTCTTTGGCTATTTTCAAGGTTCTTCATCTGGACTTAAAAACCAAATTAATAGGCGATCGTTTCCTCCCATCTTTTGCACAGACACTATTTTAGGAGAAGAAGATCTATCACCCACAGCATGTCAGTGAACGAAGGGGCTGTTTTTACTGTTCAATCAGGAATGAGCGTCCACAGCATCGTTGCTCACATACTCCAGTAATTCCCTACTGACCTGCATTTACTTTATTTAATTCCATTAATTTAAGCTAAATGAATTTTATTTTTAAAATGTGTCTGTGCAGAACTAAGCACAGAGAGCATATTTCTGTTTAACTCCTTTTGTTTGCAGCTTGAAAACCAATTTGGATCTTTTATTTTCTTTTCCCTTGGTTCTAAGCTTTGCTTGGTCAGTGTCTTCAGCACCTAATTTGACAATTAAATGTATTTCACAACCCACTGACACTGCTTCATTAGGTTCTCCAGGAGTCATCATTTCCCTGCAGCCTCATTCCAGTCATTTCTAATAGATGGTGTGTGTATTAGTCCATTGCTACACTGCTATGAAGAACTACCTGAGACTGTGTAATTTATAAAGAAAAGAGGTTTAATTGACTCAGAGTTTCACAGGCTGTATAGGAGGCATGGCTGGGAGGCCTCAGGAAACTTACAATCATGGTGGAATGGCGAAGGGGAAGCAAGCACATCTTCACATGGTGGCAGGAGAGAGAGTGAAGAGGGAAGTTTTACAGACTTTTAAATAACCAGACCTCGTGAGAACTCATTCATTATCAGGAGAACAGCATGGGGGAAATCTGCACCCATCATTCAGTCACGTCCCACCAGCTCCCTCCTCCAACATTAAGAGTTATAATTCAACATGTGATTTGGGTGGGGACACAGAGCCAAACCATATCAGCATGCCAATGAGGCTCTTCTGATGGGACAAGGAAACTGCCAGGCTCCTCTTGGTCTTGACTCTTGTGCCAGGAAAGAGTAGCTGGATTTCATCCCAATGCCGTTCACCCTGGGGAATACCTGGGTTAAGAGAGTTTGTATTTCTACTGATGTCTCATCAAAGACCTTGCTATTTATGCTGTCCATATCGGTGTCTTTTGTAAACCGAAGTTGGAAAGAAATGTTTAAAAAGACCGTACAATGTAATAATTACTAATTACTTGATAGCCAGCACTTAATAAATGCCTGACGCTGTGCTCTGTGCCTCACAGGTATTAACTAAATTGTATCCTGAGAGAAACCTGTGAAAGGTGTACTGTTGTTTCTATGTTAAAGATGAGGAGAGTGAGGCTTAAGGAGAGTAAGTAATCTGGCCAGGCCACTTACCTAAGAAGTGGTGGAGTTGGACTCACACCCAAATAGTCTGATCTCCAAACTTTGCTTGACCACATCCTGTAGCCTCTTGGTTTCATGGCATAGGGCTGGATGCTGTGTGCTTTGCTAGTCAATTTTAGTAAAGACTTTAGACATTGTTTGGTAGTGGACTGGGATCCTCAGGAGTTAATCACTTTTACTGTTTTTAAGTTACCCCGGGATTTATCAAATAAATCGAATTACTTACAGTTCTTCCTCTAGCTATAACTTATTTGAACCCTCTGAGTTGGGGTTGGCGTTGTTTGGTCACAGATGAGGAGGGCAAAGTCAAGAGGCAGATGTTCGGGCTTTCCATAGACATTTCCTGAGCCTGTATAAGAGCCTCACCATGCATATAAGCAATGCAGTGGTTACTGAGACATGCATAATGCTACTAGGACATTATGCATGATAAGTGTTTTTTCTGTGTGTGCTCACCACTGTACCTGAGTATTCTTAACATTGTGCATGGTACTTTGTTAGTTATCTGCAATATCATATGTGCTGAATTTTGCAACTCATAATATGGACAGTTGATGATTTAGTGTATGACATCTTCCTTTTGCATTGTCACTGCTAGTGGCTTGAAGTTCTGCACCCTTAGAATAGCCTGGTTTTCTGTGGGTGTGAGAGATGTCCTGGAAACTGACCCCAGTTGAAAATCAATCTAGCCTGTTTTTGTAGGACAACTCTGTTGTGAAAACCTATGCACTCAAGGGCAGCTGGATCCCACTTGAGCATGCCGATGGCCCCTTGCAGTTTGAAGTTTGTGTTGTCATGAGGTCAGTTGCATACAGGCAGTGATGATGAGACTACAGGACAGGCAGGGCAGATAGCACATCCTTCGGCCTCTGATGAAAGATGCAAATGGAAACTGCAGTCAGGAAGGTATAATCAAACACCATCCACCCATGTTAATGCAGATTGTCAGGACGGCCAACCTCTCCTTTCCCCAGGAGTGTCACAGGCATGATTAACGTGCTCTGAGTTCAGCAGAAACCACTGTGGCTCTTACCCCGGGCTGTGCCTTAGCTCAGGCCTAGGTGAAATGCCTGGGCAAGTGATGGGATTGTCGAGGAATGTGGAACATCCCCTGCTTCCCTTCTGCCCCTTTCCTCATGCCTCCTGAGCTGCCCCAGTCATCCAACCTGCAGTTTGGGTACAGGGAAGTGTTGACTGGAGTTCAGTGCAATATACCCTTCCTGATTTCTTGACAAATTGTTTCCCCGAACCACTATTCTCTCCTGTGTGGCTCAGAACTACTTCTAGTTGCTAAGCAACCCACAAGCAGCTGTAGCCCACAATATCTTCTAGAGGGGTAGACATATTATTTGGGATACTTCTCCAGTCTCATCTTTCCCTGGGAGATGTCCCTTCCCAAGCTCTGGCCTTCCACATTACAAACACACCTGAATGAACCAAGGTGAGCATCCGACCCAGGGATGCAGCTCAGATGGGATGCAGAAAGCTGGGCCAATTTGATATCCTCTTTAAAATTTCAATGAAAATGCAAAAACAATACTCAGAAGGTCTTAAACTGAAATACTGTGTAGACTTGGGACTTAGGTGGCCATTAGTCTTACTCTGTCACCCAGGCTGGAGTGCCTCAGCTCACTGCAACTTCCTTCTCCTGGGTTCAAGCAATCCTCCTGCCTCAGCCTCCTGAGTAGCTGGGACTACAGGCATGCACCACCATGCCTGGCTAATTTTTGTATTTTTAGTAGAGACGGGGCTTCACCATGTTGGCCAGGCTGGTCTTGAACTCTTGACCTCGTGATTCGTCCGCCTCAGCCTCCCAAAGTGCTGGGATTACAGGCGTGAGCCTTAGGTGGCCATTTCTAAATATACATGTATTGATGAGTAAGCAGAGAAAGGTGTGGTACATGGCATGAAATAGGATATTGAAGAGAAAATAAAGAAGATGGGGCCTGTGGGATGGGAGAAGATGGAGAGAGTAGTACTCATCTATGTCTGCAAGGTAGCTGGGCTTAACCAAGCTTATAATTTGTCCAGGGGAATCTGGGTACCTGCCAGGAGGTGGTTTCTGTTCTGGCCTATGGTATTTAGGCTGAGAAATTAGGAAAGAGACTATATGACAAGGGTAGTAAAGACTAAAAGGATTGGCCGGGTGCAGTGGCACATGCCTGTAATCCCAGCAATCTGGGAGGCTGAGGCAGGCGGATCACGAGGTCAAAGAGATCAAGATCATCCTGGCCAATACGGTGAAAACCTGTCTTTACTAAAAGTACAAAAATTAGCTGGGTGTGGTACTGGGCATCTGTAGTCCCAACTACTTGGGAGGCTGAGGCAGGAGAATCGCTTGAACTTGGGAGGCAGAGGTTTCAATGAGCCGAGATCGTGCCAGTGTGCCTCAGCCTGGGTGACAGAGCGAGACACCATCTGGAAAAAAAAAAAAAAAAAAATCAGTAATAGGATCAAGAGGGTGGTGATATCGAATGAGTCCAGTCAAGTGCAACAGTGAACAGTATGGATGAGCTGGGAGAATAGAAGGCAATGCTCTAAGAATGGATGCTTGATATTCAGAGCTGGAGAGAGGGTCTAGGCTGCGTCTGTGGAGTGTATGGCTGAGGTGGAGTTGGAAGCAAACATGATTGGAGTCAGTGATGAGAAAGACAAGGGAGACCAGGATGTTGAGTGCACCGTCCAAGAGTGATGACCAGAGTCATGGCGGACGGAGAGGCAGTGAGCCCAGTGCCGTTGCTCTCATTGAGGAGGATGAGGGAACATGCCCTGGGGGGTGGTGAGTGGATGGCAGCTGTATGAGGGATGGGGCTAATAATGTCTAATGCCGCTGATCTCAAGTGAGCCAGGGTTCTAAGGGAGGCAGGTGAAGAGAGAGTTGTAAGTATCTCTGGGGAACAAATAGGACCCAGACATCCTAAGGGAACGAGCTCTCTCCTGTGTACATAGCTTCCCCTAAAGTCCTCTGCTAGATTCTTTCTCTCTGACTGCTTGTCAGCTTCGTTTTATTTTCTTGTTTTTTTGTTTTGTTTTGTTTTGTTTTTTCTTTTTTTTGAGACGGAGTTTTGCTCTTGTTGCCCAGGCTGGAGTGCAGTGGGGCAATCTCGGCCCACTGCAACCTCTGCCTCCAGGATTCAAGCAATTCTCCTGCCTCAGCCTCCCAAGTAGTTGGGATTACAGGCGTGTGCCACCGTGCCCAGCTAATCTTTTGTAATTTTAGTACAGACGGGGTTTCGCCATGTCATCTAGGCTGATCTTGAACTCCTCACCTCAGGTGATCCACCCACTTTGGCCTCTCAAAGTGCTCGGATTACAGGTGTGAGCCACCTCGTGCAGTCAGCTTCATTTTCTCTTATTTCTGACTGTCTGTCTTCACGTAGCCAGGATATAGCCCATGTTTTACGTCTCACAGCTTTAGCCCTTGAAGAGAGATGGACTAAACACTCTCTGTCTCATCCCAAGTCTGGGGAAGACAGTCCTTCTCTATTGAATTGGATGCTTATCTCTGACTCAGGCAGCAGTGGTCAGCGTGGCGGGAGGGTCTTCCTAATTTGCTATTAGGATGAATTCCTAGCAAGATATTATGGAATGACAATTCCACATGCCTGTGAGAGTCACTTTCTAAAGATTGCTCTGAGGAATTCATAGGCTTTGTTTCCAAGCTTTTAATTCTTCCAAGCCCTTAACTCTCAGTATCTAACAACCTTCCCTCACAGGCTGCCGGGTGATAGAAAGGGTCATTGACGTCCAGCCCTTCAGCAGCCAGTGAGAATAGCAGGGGACAGAGCTTGACTTAGTGGTAGCTTCTCAGAAAAATTCCTGGGTGGGACTTTGGTGCTTAAAGGGGGACACATCCACTCGAATGTTTGTCTTTCTGGTTAGAAATAAACACTGTTGGCCGTGCACGGTGGCTCACACCTGTAATCCCAGCACTTTGGGAGGCCAAGGTGGGTGGATCACGAGGTCAAGAGATTGAGACCATCCAGACCAACATGGTGAAAATCCTGTCTCTACTGAAAATACAAAAATTAGCTGGGCATGGTGGCACGCGCCTGTAATCCCAGCTACTCAGGAGGCTGAGGCAGGAGAATCGCTTGAGCCTGGGAAGCGGAGGTTGCAGTGAGCTGAGATCACACCACTGCACTCCAGCCTGGGAGAAAGCAAGCCTCAGAAAATAAAAAAAAAAGAAAAGAAAAAAAAAGAAACAGTGTTCCTCTGCTGTCTTCCTTCTCGTAAATTAAAACTGCCTAACACACCTTCTCTTCAGGTATGCAGAAGTCGCCAGAAACAAGTGTTTTGTGATATCAGTCTCCCTGTCTTTTCTCTTTGTAATTCCCAACAATTGAGGCTGTATTTCTAGGAAGTGCTTTGAAAGACAGCGTCCCCTTCTCTTGTCCTGCCGTCATTGGTCAAAACATTTTGGGGAATTGCAAGGGAGTAGTCAGATTCATCTTTTAACAGAAGAATATGAAAACCTTGGAATATGATATCAGTTTGGTGCAAAAATGATTGTGTGTTTGCCATGCGAAAGTAACCGCAATTACTTTTGCACCAACTTAATAAAAATGTATCTTTCTGAGTCCCACCCTGAGACATTCTGATGTGAAAGTGAGTACCAGGAATCTGTACTTGGAGCCAGGGTCTGGAAATTCAGCAGGACCCACTTTGGAAATATTGCTTTAATACTTTATTAGAATGGAACTTGGAAAACAGTTCCCAGCCCCCAGTTTTCCCTGAACACCTACTGCCTGTTTTTCACATAGGCCTGGGTGAGCTATTGTATCCCTTCCATGTATATGAAGGAAGCATATTCCTTTCCGGCTGAATCTTGGCCATCTCAAAGGTGTGAAGATTTCTTTCCTCCCTTGTTTTCCTCCCTTTCTTCCTGTAGGATTCCTGCGTGCTATCTCTCACGTTCATTCTCTTTTCCCTACTACTACAAGCAAAGCAAACACAAAGTAAACTAAAATGCCCCTTGTTTTATAAAAATATTTCTTCTGTTGCTCATTTTCCCATCCCCCCCATCCTGGCCAAGCATGCCTTGTTTAGGAGGTTTTGCATTGTTTTGATTTCTCCTTGTGAAGCATTTATCCCCAGAAACTCTCTAGTACACAAGGACCTTCCTGAAAATCTCTCAAGGATGTGAGCAGGAGCCTTAACAATACTTGAAAATACCCAGTGTGCTCTGTAACTTCTCTCCCACTGGTAAACGATGTCCTCACAAGCTCATTGATGAGAGTCTCTAAGATGTACTTGTTACCAAGGATGCAATTTTAATCAGTGATTTATAAAACTGAAATGATAGAGAAAAATGCTCTTTCATTTACTAAGTCATTCTTTAATTTGTTCATCCAGCCATCTTTCCATCTGTCCATCTACCCATCTACCCATCTACCCACAATCTACCTGCCAGCCTACCTATCCATTTACCCATCTCTCCATCTAGCTATCCATTCATCCATGCACCCATCCATCCATCCATCCATCCATCCCTCCATCCATGCACTCATTCAATTAACATTTATTGAATCCCCATTTATGTTCTACAGTAGAGCCAAAAGTGATGATTTGAACAGTGTTAGTACTCAGGAAGGCCACTGTCTTGGTGATAGGGATATATAAATATATATGTGTATATGAACAGATATTGTATAATGTAGTGGCCCTAAGCACAGAGTCACTGATATTCACAAAGCATAATGTGAAATGAGGAAGTTATTCTTGTCACGCACTGCATCCTCATCGATTGCTGTCCTGTTGTGAACCACGGTTGAAGTCAGGTGTGTTTCTTTACTTGGTTTTGTCAGTGTGCACTGGGCAGGTTGTAAATACCACAAGAGCAGGAACAGTGTCTGCTTAATTGAATATGCTCTCCCCAGGACCCGGCACAATGCCTGGCACATGGTGGACGCCCAAGGGCTCCAAAAGCCAATGTTCCAAGCAGAAGGTTTGACATGGTTTGGCTGTGACCCCACCCAAATCTCATCTTGAATTGTAACTTCCACAATTCCTACGGGTCATGGGAGGGAACCCGTGGGAGGGAATTGAATCATGGGAGTGGGTCTTTCTCATGCTGTTCTTGTGATAATGAATAAGTCTCATGAGATCTGATGGTTTTATAAAGAGAAGTTTCCCTGCACAAGCTCTCTCTCTTTGCCTGCTGCCATCCATGTAAGACGTGACTTATTCCTCTTTGCCTTCTGCCATGATTGTGAGGCCTCCCCAGCCATGTGGAACTGTAAGTCCATTAAACCTTTTTTTTTTCCTAGTCTTGGGTATGTCTTTATCAGCAGGGTTAAAATGGACTAATACAAGGCACAATAAGAAGAAAAGGCCAAAGAGGCCAAAATGCAGAGTCTGTGTGGCTGAGGAGAGAAAGAAAGGTATAGGGAGGCAGGGGAGGAACCAAAACTGCTTTTGTTAGTGGGTAAAATGCAGAGATGACCTTCTGAAGGGCTGGGGCTTGGTTCTGTGTGAGAACAGGGAGTCACACACAGGTTTGAAGCAGAAAAATGGAACGGCCAGGTTTTCGTTTTCTATGGGTTCCTCTGAAGGCTGAGTGGAGAATGGATTTGAGGGAGAGTAAAACTGATGGAGGGGAGGGTGGCAGAAGTCAGGAAGCTGTTTTAAGTATTCCAGGCAGGAGATGATGAGACCCTGTTGAGGTGGAAACAGAGAGGAGAGATGTGTGGGAGGCATTCATGGCCCAGGCAGAAGGAGAGTAATGCAGAATGACTTCTAGATGTTAGACTTGGGATGATGGGAGGATGCAAGTGGATCAGCAGGGAACATGAGAATAAGAGAGAACAGACTGCAGAAATAATAAGTTTAGCCTGAGATTTTCTTCCTTTTTTTTATATATATAATTTTTTATTATACTTTAAGTTGTAGGGTACATGTGCTCAACGTGCAGGTTTGTTACATATGTATACATGTGCCATGAAGATTTTCTTTTAGAGACTTTTGAGAATATCACAGGGAGACATCTGGTCAACTATTGCCTTTATGCATCTAAAGCTCAGAGAAAAACTCTCTCAGTTGAGGTTATTGCGTTGAGATCAACAATGTGGTGTGGTTTAACTCATGATTATAGTCAGTTCCTGCAAAGAGCTGGTATAGAATGAGACAAGCCAAGGATAAAGTGGGAACCAGGGAAGCTTATTAACCTTGCCTCTGAACTCCTTTTTTTTTTTTTTTTTTTTTTGAGATGGAGTTTTTTTTTGAGATGGAGCCTTACTCTGTTGCCAGGATGGCATGCAGTGGGACAATCTGGGCTCACAGCAACCTCCACCCCCTGGGTTCAAGCGATTCTCCTGCCTCAGCCTCCCGAGTAGCTGGGACTACAGGCACACACCACCATGCCCAGTTAATTTTTGTATTTTTAGTTGCGACAGGGTTTCACCATTTTGGCCAGGATGGTCTCGATTTCCTGACCTCGTGATCTGCCCTCCTCAGCCTCCCAAAGTGCTGGGATTACTGGCGTGAGCCACTGCGCCCGGCCATCTCTGAACTCTTTAAAGGTGAGGCTCATTTGATTCAGCATCCCTGTTAACTATACACAGAGTAGGTCCTTTCACTTTTTTAAATTTTTTTTTATTTTTTAGGGATAGGGTCTCTGTTTGTCATTCAGACTGGAGCGCACTGGCGTGATTATAGCTCACTTCAGCCTTCAACTTCTGGGCTCAAGCAATCCTCCCACCTCAACCTCTCAAGTAGCCAGGAATACATGCACGTGCCACCTAATGTTTAAATTAATTTAAAAACTGATTTTAATTTTTAAGCCTAGTTAATTTTCAAATTATTCATTAGAGCCAGGGTCTTGTCATGTTGCCCAGGCTGGTCTAGAACTTCTGGGCCCAAGCAGTCCTCCTGCTTAGCTTCCCAAAGTGCTGGGATGACAGGCGTGAGCCACCACACCTGGCCAGTAGGTGCTTTTAAAAATATTATTGGTTTCTGGAGTATTGGTCAAAAGTTTTAAGATTCCCATTGCATCTTCAAAAGGTAGAGAATTTGGTTTAAATCACTTCATTGTTTTCGGAAAAATATAGATTTTAAACTTAAAAAAATTTCTCATGTAAGGGACATTCAAGTAACATAGAAGGGACCAGGAGTTTGGAGTATGTTATTTATTTACTCAATATATATGTATCAATGCCTTCTGTATTCAAGTGATGAATGTGGGACCCTAGGGGGCAGTGCTGGCTAGGAATTATGGCCAATGACTTAAACAATTACTTACAGATCCTTGGTTTCTTCATCTGTAAAATGGGAATAAGAACATCTACTTTTTAGGATTACTATTCTAATTAATTTAAGTTAATATAGATTAAATAGAGTTAGTTATATTTACTATAAATGTTATTCTAAATCATTTTATTTATTTAGTGTCTGCATTATAATAAGGGCTGAAAGAAAACCAAAGAGAGAGGTGTCCTGATGCAATTATGATTACATTACCTTTGCTTGTCAGCCACATAGCGCTCTTTTTACTGAGACCTAAAAGTGTTTGGATTTCCCAAACCATTGCCAAACTGGTAGGTGAGGAGCCTCTGTCTAGCATACTAATAAGCTAAGGTTTGTGTTTTGCCTGTACTTTTCATTTTCCAGGAATGAAAAATACATTTTCACTCTTTGTCATTTTAATGAAATCAAGTCTAGGGAAACATGAAACGCAAGTCACATTCCTTTTCAACGGGAAAACTTCGAAAACCGCACACCAGATTGCGAACTGTTAAAATTCATTCATTAAAAGTTCATGGTCTATTGGACTTTTTTTCCTTCAAGCGTTGCATTATGTACATTTCCTATCTGTGTTTGTGTGACAGATTGTCTAACAGATTTCTTGTACAGTGGAGTTACAGAGTCTGCCAGAAAGGCCTAGTTTGGAACCTGTGGCCATCGGTGAAAGGGATTTGGAAATGCCATCTTGTTAGCTACCGGATAATTTAGTAATCATGGCCTAACAGATCCCTCAAGACCAACAATTACATACCTGTTTGAAGCTAATTGGACTATACAGAAATGGGAGTTATATGAATTATATGTTATAAAAATGAGGTAGGCGTTAAGTGGACTGATATTACATTCTGAAACCTAGAATGACTTTCAATCATTTTAGTGCACAGGCTTAGAGTAGCCAGGATGCTTGGCGGAGGTTGTCTGTCATATCAGAGTGCCTGTTTTTAGACCGTGTGCTAATTCTGTGTGTCGCTATATGCATATGAATGCATACTGTGTATCTCTACGTGCGCGGACAAATCACATATTTGTTTACCCTTAAAGTTTGCTGATAACAAGCGTTAAAAATTAGAATTCATAATCCAGATTTTGAAAGCCGCCTGTATGCCACACCAAATGCTGCTGAAGAGTTATGGGAAGGCTTTTATTTTTAGCACTCAGTAAATTAAACCTTTTATTCATCATTCCCAAAGAAGAGAACATCCGTTCTTATTAATTTAAGGAAGGGGAAAGACAGCCGTCCAATCGGAGTGAACCTGTGTGTTAGGACTTGTTCAAGGGAGTGACATCACACACGCTGTCATCCTTACATCAGTTAATTAATTATCTGTGTTACAATAACAAGATATTTCAGACAAGAGTCTCTCTCTCTCTCTCATAATAACTTTAAGCATGGTAGTTAGAGTGTTGAGTTCTGGTTGCAAAGACATTTCCCTTAATTCAATGCATTTTCTCTGAATAATTCATGTTTGTTCGTTTGGTTTTTTTATAACATATAACTGATCAGACATTTTTCTTTTTTTTCTTTTCTTTTCTTTCTTTTTTTTTTTTTTTTTTTTTGAGATGGAATCCTGCTCTGTTGCCCAGGCTGGAATGGAGTGGCGTGATTTTGGCTCACTGCAATCTCCCCCTCCTGGGTTCAAGCAATTCTCCTATCTTAGCCTCCCAAGTAGCTGGGATTACAGGTGTGTGCCACCACACCCAGCTAATTTTTTTATTTTAATAGAGGCGGGGCTTCACCATGTTGACCAGGCTGGTCTTGAACTCGTGACCTTGTGATCTGCCCGCCTTGGCCTCCCAAAGTGCTGGGATTACAGACGTGAGCCACTGCGCCCAACCAGGCATTTTTCAACCACAGCAGTTTTGACATTTCGGGCTAGATGAATTTATTTTAGGTATGGACATTTCTGTGTATCACAGAATGTTTAGCAGCATTCCTAGACTTTACCTGCCCATAGCACCCTGTGCAGTTGTGACAACCAAAAAATCTCTAGATGTTTCTTTTTCCCCCTAAATGTCACCTGGAGGACAAAATCACCCCTGATTGAGAACCCATGCTGTCTACTCATGAGACTGTCATTTAGGATATCATCAACTGAAAAAATGTTAAAATGAAAGTATATGTGCTTCAGTTGTATTCATCCTGCAGTATTTTTTTGTGCCTTCAGCCACCTTATCCTATTAAACATTTTCCAAATGTAAGGTACATATGTAGCCACTATTTTTGTACTGGTTCTAGACAATATATTTTATTTTGAGTTGAGAGATAGCAGCCATTTTCAGTCATTTTAAATTTGATTAAGATTTAATGAGAAGAGAAAAAAGGCATACATTTTCGTAAACTAATTTCAGCAGATGTGTGGATGCTTTTATATAAACCTACATTGAAAAAGAAGGTAGCAGTTATCATTAGGACAGAAAGACATAAAGTCCTATATTTCTGCCATTGTAAGTATATGTACATCATACAGGTCTGGAATAAAAAAATGTAAAGTGTTTCTATGACCCTTCGCTAATCACAGAGGACCAAGGAGGAGAGAGGAATGGAGACTTTGGAACAGGTCAAGTGCTGCACATAGCATAATATAGCTTCCCTAGATGGCTCTGTATTAAAATCTCAGAATTAAGTTATTCTGTCATCGACTCATTCCGAAAGAAATCATGCTTGCTCGTTTCTCATGTCTACCCTTACTGCCTTCTGTGGGGCATCCAGATGTTTCAAAGGTCTGAAATGTAACAATTATGTTGCAGGAATTGCAGTGGCTTTGTTTCGGGGTAGAACATTCCAGGCTGTGAGTTTCTTTGGAAGGCAGGCTTCTGATTAGGTGTTGCCAAAGGCTCTGCCTAAACGTTTGTTTTCTGTTGATGGAGTCTAAGAGCTGAGTGGTTTTATTTTCCTAGAAACAGCTGCTTCCTTTCAGTTGGCTGAATCGGAGGATTTATTCCCCTTTTCCACTGCACACAGAGCCTTATGATGGGCACTGGGATGTGGAAGGAGTGGTATCAAAGGAAAAGTCATCTTGTCTTTCAGTGTTTAGCGTCAACACTGGGGTAAATCTCTAACGTTGCATTCTGGAGTGCTGTTTAAGAGTGTTTTTATTTTCTTTGAATTCAAGCATACTGGAAAGAAGGGGTACCTGGTGGCCCATATTTTATTAGCAACGTACTGCAGCCTCCCATCAGGTTCTTGCTAATGAAGGTGGCATGGCCCCACTGCCCCCTGAATCTGCAGGAAAGTGGATATGAGAGGCAGTATTCAGGAAGATTTTGAAAAGGATGTTTTCCCTTCATTTCTCCAGATGCTGTAAAACTTCATGCTGGATGATGCCAGGTCAGGAGAGAGCTGTGTGCATGGAGTGGATTGCGTTAGTTCCCTGCTAGAATTGCTTTTATTGGATTGCAATTTGGGGTAATATTAGGAGCCCATCTTTAAGGAGATAGTAAGAAACAGGCATGCCTTTTGTGCCTCTTTGAGGAGGTGGTGGGGATATGTACATCTCAGGTCCTCTGGCATGGTGACTATAAATCCTGGCTTCCCTGTGTTTCAGAACACCTGGATCCAAATCCCAGCTCTGCTTTTTTACCTAAGTATTTTTTGACTCCTATAAGCATTTGCTTCCTCATCTATAATATGAGGGAAATAATAGCTCCCACATCACGAGTTGTGAAGCTCCCGATAAAGAGAGTGGGTTAGTCACTTACCTGCACTGAATGTTCAAAAATTGTCACTATCCTGCTTGTTACATGATAAAACCTCCGTTTGCTCCAGCCTTAAGGAATAACTGTGCTAATTTTATTGGTTATTTATTGGTTTATTTTCACAATATAGGTACCTGGAATGGTGGATATCAACCATAAGATTTCCTTCCATGCCGATTGGTAGGAAAGCCAGCAGGAAATGTTGGCCTCTACCCAGCCAACATGGAGTGCTTTGAGGTTTGTGTGTGGGTATTAACTTCATTCCTGGCTTCAGTATGTTTCCAACCCCTGTTTCCATTTCTTTACTTTTATCACCTCTTAACAAGATAGATAAATAAATCTGTTTTATGCTGCTGTATTGTGTTTGTCAATATGAAGCAAATTAATCCTTTCTTGACCTGTGGTGGTGGCAGGGGAATAA
This sequence comes from Homo sapiens, assembly GCF_000001405.40. Taxonomy (NCBI): domain Eukaryota; kingdom Metazoa; phylum Chordata; class Mammalia; order Primates; family Hominidae; genus Homo; species Homo sapiens. The sequence continues at coordinate 6,450,738 of NC_000016.10, forward strand.
ATTTTATATATATATACATATATATATGTGTATATATATATATATATATATACATATATATATGTATATATATATATATACATATATATATATATATATGTGTATATATATATATATATATATATATATATATATATCTCCTCTGAAATATTGATCTTCTCTTCTTCTTTATAACCCCTGAATAACAGGAGCCACAAACTCAAACATCTAAGCAGATAGCATCAATGAGAAAAATGGGCCCAGTTTAAGACAATAGGGATTAGTGGGTACTGCCATAAATAGACAGGATATTTTCCATTCTCCAACCACACCTCCATATTTCTTCACCATTGAGTGTCTCAGTTACCCCGATGTCCACTCTTCCTTTCTCATCCCATGTCTTTCAATTCAACACAGTATTCTTTTGATCCAGTGCATGCTTGTAAATTTTGCTAAAACTCTACCTATTATTCTTTTATTTTTTTATTTTTGAAGCAAAATAGCATGTTCTGAGGTAGCCTAGAAATGTGTCTGACACAAAGCATTCTGTGGGGTTAGAAGAACAACTAATAATTATGGAAGTATCAACATTAGGAATAGTGGTTGCTGACATTTATTAGTACTTGCTATGTTCTGCTTAACTATGTTGCATGCTTTAGATGATTTTTTTGACTTTCAACCCCAGGAGTTAGGTAATCTTCTTATCTCCATTGTTATCACTAGGAATATGGAGATGCAAGGAGACAGAGAGACTCACTCGGGCCAAAATCCAGTTGCTCAACACTTCCACCTGTCAGCCTCCTGGGCGTGACTTCCCCAACGTGGGGAAGATCTGATGTGTGTTTTGTAGGTATTACCACCTTCACCTGGAAATAATTCACCACTCTCTAACTTAGATACTTCCTGGTCATCTTTCGAGACTCAGCTCTGGGCTATCACCAGCCTTAGAAGCCTTCCCTTACCACCCTTTACTGGGGCAGGTGTCCCCTCCTGTGTTTCTTGGCTCACACCACCACAGACAGAGCACATACAGTATTATGAGCAACTTTTGGCCCTGTGCTGCTCTTCCTCCCGTGACTCCATCCATGACTCCTTCCTCCCATGACTCCATCCATGGCTCTTTCCTTCCATGGTTCCATCCATGGCTCCTTCCTTCCATGACTCCATCCATGGCCACTCCCTCCCATGACTCCATCCATGGCCCCTTCCTTCCATGACCCCTCCCTCCCATGAGTCCACCCATGGCTCTCCTTCCTTCCATGACTCTATCCATGGTTCCATCCATGGCTCCTTCCTTCCATGACTCCATCCATGGCTCCTTCCTTCCATGGCTCCATCCATGGATCCTTCCTTCCATGACTCCATCCATGGCTCCTTCCTTCCATGGCTCCATCCATGGCTCCTTCCTTCCATGACTCCATCCATGGGTCCTTCCTTCCACGGCTCCATCCATGGATCCTTCCTTCCATGACTCCACCCATGGCTTCTTCCTTCCATGACTCCACCCATGGCTCCTTCCTTCCATGACTCCATCCATGACTCCATCCATGGCTCCTTCCTTCCATGACTCCATCCATGGCTGCATCCTTTCATGACTCTATCCATGGTCCCTTCCTTCCATGGCTCCATCCATGGCTCCTTCCTTCCCTGGCTCTCTTCTTTCCATGTCTCTTTTCCTTCCATAACTCTCTTCCTTCCACGTCTCTCTTCCTGCCATGACTCCATCCATGGCCCCTTCCTTCCATGGCTCCATCCTTCCATGACTCCAGTGCCATATTTTGTAGGCAAAAACTCATGGAGAGAAAAAGACCCTCTGAGAAGCATCTACCAGGGATGTACCTAGAGATCGTCAAGTGATACCTGAACAATAGGGGCCACAAACTCAACTATCTAAGCAAATAGCATCAATGAGAAAAATGGGCCCAGTTTAAGACAATAGGGATTGATGGGAGCTGCCATAAATAGACATGATATTTGACTATAGGTGGTTCACAGTTTAGCCTTTGCAGTTAGACTGCTTTAAAGTGGATCCTTGTGCCTTATTTCACTAGCTATGTGACCTGGGTTAATAATGAGTCTCTCTGTGTCTCAGTTGCCACATCCACAAAATGAGGAAAATAATTATGCCTACCCTAGGGGGGTCCTGAGTAGATATAAGATGGTGTTCATAAAGCCCTTAGCACACAGCTTTGCACCTAGAAGGTGCTCATTAAATTAGTTCCTGTTCTCCATGCTTAGTATAACTTCTGTATGATGTTCAGCGTTGCTTTGGGGCAACACTGCAGGCAATTAAATTGTCTTTCTTTAATTGTCATTTCTTCCTCTTATTCCACAGGTATGTATTGTACAACTACTCTAAAGTGGGGCACAAAATAGACAAAGCCCCTGACTTTCTTTTTTTAATTATTATCATCCTTTTAACTTCTGGGATACATGTACAGAACGTGCAAGTTCGTTACATAGGTATACACATGCCACAGTGGTTTGCTGCACCCATCAACCTGTCATCTACATTAGGTATTTGTCCTAATGCCATCCCTCCTCTAGCCCCCCACCCCTTGACAGGCCCCGGTGTGTGATGTTCCCCTTCCTGTGTCCATGTGTTTTCATTATTCAACTCGTATTTATGAGTGAAAACATGCGGTGTTTGGTTTTCTGTTCCTGTGTTAGTTTGCTGAGAATGATGGTCTACGCAAATAAACTAGAAAATCTACAAGAAATGGATAAATTCCTGGACACATACACCCTCCCAAGACTAAACCAGGAAGAAGCCGAATCCCTTAATAGACCAATAACAAGTTCTGAAATTGAGGCAGTAATTAATAGCCTACCAACCAAAAAAAAGCCCAGGACCAGACGGATTCACAGTAGAATTCTACCAGAGGTGCGAAGAGGAGCTGGTACTGTTCCTTCTGAAACTATTTCCAAACAATAGAAAAAGAGGGACTCCTCCGTAACTCATTTTATGGAAGCCCCTGACTTTCTAAGCTTATTGGTTTCACTGGTGTTGTCTGTAATGGCAGCCATGAGCCCCATGTGACTGTTTAAATTTAAATGTAAAAATTCAGTGCCTCACTGGGACTAGTTACATTTCAAGTGCTTACTGACCACACAGGGCCAGAGGCTACCATACTGGATGGCACGGATATGTGAGTTTGCTGAAGCTGCCATAGTAAAATGCCACAGACTGTTTGGCTTAAGCAATAGAAACTTAATTGTCTCTCAGTTCTGGAGGCCGAAGTCCAAATCCAAGGCGTTGGCATGGTTGGTTTGTTCTGAGGCTTTCCTGCTTGGTTGGTAGATGGCCGTCTTCTCTCTGGGTTTTCACATGGTCTTTCTGTGTCTGTGTCTTTGTCTTTGTCTCCTCTTCTTGCAAAGGCAGCAGTCATGTTGGATGAGGGCCCACCCTATGACCTCGTTTTAACTCAGTCACCTCTTTAAAGACCTTCTTTCCAAATACACATTCTGATGTACAGGGGGTTAAGGCTTCAATATATGAATTTGGGAGTGGGGCAAGTATGCCATTCAGCACATCACAACAGGATAGAAAATTTTTATAATTACAGATGGTGGCTCATTCCTGCAACTGTAGCACTTTGGGAGGTCAAGGCAGGTGAATCTCTTAAGCCCAGGAGTTTAAGACCAGCCTGGGCAACATAGCAGAACCATATCTCTACTAAAAATACAAAAATTAGCTGGGTGTGGTGGTATGTGCCTGTGGTCCCAGCTATTTGGGAGGCTGAGGAGGGAGGATCACCTGAGCCTGGGGAGATCAAGACTGTGGTGAGCTGAGATTGCTCCACTGCACTGTAATTTATGTGACTGAGTGAGACACCTTCTCAAAAACAAGGAAACAAAAAATGAAAACAAACAAAAAACACCTTAAACAAATAAATGTCCGTGTTATTTACTAATACTGAATATATACTTAAAACCAGCACTTCACCTACATGTGCATTCTTCTGCCTGGGAGGTGTTGATAGAGTGACCTTAGGAAAATGTCTTTGTCTGTGGTTCAAAAATGAATTGGACTTGAGTGAGAAGAGGCACACATCTTCTCTCCCCCTCCCTCCCCTTGCTTCTTCCCATTTCCATGTTCCGTCCCCTATTATTCTCTCATACTCTATTTCTCCTCATATACAGGTTTTTTTTTTTTTTTTTTTTTTTTTTTTTTTTTTTTTTTTTGAGTTGGCGTCTCGCCCTGTCACCCAGGCTGGAGTACAGCGGCACATCTCGGCTCACTGCAACCTCTGCCTCCCAGGTTCATGCCATTCTCCTGCCTCAGCCTCCCAAGTAGCTGGGACTATAGGCACCCACTACCATGCCTGGCTAATTTTTTTTTTTTTTTTTGTATTTTTAGTAGAGACGGGGTTTCACTGTGTTAGCCAGGATGGTCTCAATCTCCTGACCTCAGGATCCACCCGCCCTGGCCTCCCAAAGTGCTGGGATTACAGGCGTGAGCCGCCACGCCTGGCCTACCAGGTGTTTTTCTAGGCCCTATTTTAGAAGAGGAAGAAAAGATTTTTACCCTCAAGGAATCTTCAGTCTACTGGTGTCTGAGAGACCTGAACAACCTAACCACGATGTATTGCCAAAGCTGGTGAGACAGAAGCAGGGGAAAAATGAAACAGGATCCCTTGGAAGGGAGATGTCACTCCTGCTCTGCGGTCGTGGGAAAGGCTGCAGAGAGAAGGCATTTCCTCTACACCCAACCTTGACCTTCAGCAAGTCCCTTAGCCTCCCGTTGAGTGGCAGGCAACATGTAAACAGCAGCTATCTCTTAGAGGGCAGGAGTTCTATGAATGCACTTATTAATCACTGTGAAGCTGATGAAAACGATCACCATAAAACTATGACACACTCCTTTTCTTTTCCAAGACCAGTAGTGCTGAAAGGCCTTCTTGTCCGAGGCTTACCATATAGACAGGTACCTCATATCACCATGAATATATGACGACTTTTTAATCAAGTGTTAATGGTCTCCTACACTTCACAAAGCAGGAATGGAGGGGGTCGTTGCAGCTGGTAATGACCGTATTTGCTTTTATTGTATGATTACCTTTATTCAATCTCTAGTTCCAAAAAGGGTTTTAGATGGCTTATAATAAAGGTGCAGATTCAATAAACCATGAGATTATTAAAAGAAATTACGTGGTGAGCCTAGTAATGAAATAATTGGGGGGTGGTAAGAAAATATTCACAGAAATCTTAAGATTTCATTTTTTCCAATTGATTAAGAATCTTAGACTAAAGCTAGCCACTGGAACTGAGCACAAAGCTTATATCTAAGGATTCTGATAAAATGCAAAGAAAAGAAGAAAGAAAAAAAGAAACAAAGATTATATGTCTTTATATGTCGAGCTATATTGCTTTCTTCTTTCAACAATAATTTATTTAGCACCTACTCTGTTGCTGGGGTTTTGATAGATGCTGGGGAGTGGAGGGAGAAAGATATAAATACTATTAAGACCAAGTCCTTTCAGATAGAAGAATTATGTATTTCTGTAAAAGAGAATTGTGTATTTTTAGAAAAGAACATGGATTAGTGTGTGTGTATGTGTGTGCGTGTGTAAGAGTGTGCATCTATTCAAGCTTTGTTTTTCCCCCTAGATATGGGTGTCTCACCCTGTCTTCCAGGCTGGAGTGCATTGGCATGGTCATAGCTTACTGCTGTTCTGAAGTTCTGGGCTCAAGCAATATTCCCATCTCAGCCTCTAGAGTGGCTGCGATTATTCAAGTTTATCATTGATGATTGGGAAGAGCCACAGTCAATGAACCTAGAGACCAGATAACTTAGGGCCCTGTTAAGGCAAGTTAAGGAGTTTAGCTTTTACTTTAAGGACAATTGGGAACCATTGAAGTGGATCAAATTTTCTATTTAGAAAGATAACTCTCCCTGCAGTGTGGAGAATGGATTGCGGTGGAAGGAGAGAGGAGAGGAACATCAGTTAGAGGGCGGTTGCAGGCTGATGGGCACTTTGGGTGGGAATAATGGCTATGGGAATGAAGACAACTGAATGGATCCGTGAGACACAGAGCAAGATAAACTATTTAACTTGTAGATCAATTGTACATGAAGAATGAAGTTATGAGAGGAAGCAACGTGGACTCAAGTTTCATTCTGGTACCTTCTAGTTGGATTCATGTACCATTTAATGAGATGGCAGAATTAGAAAAAAGAGAAAGTATTGGGTCTTAGTGAGAAGATGATGTATTAACTTGTAGGTATGATGTCTGAGATGTTTGGAAGACACTTAGGAGAAGATAGATGTTAAGTAGGCAGCTGAGTATAAGAATCTCACACTGAGAAGTGAGAGGGGATTGGTGATTTGGGAGCCTTGGAGTATAAACAGGTTTTAAGCCATGGGAATTGATGGAGTCCTCTAGGTAGAGTTTAAAGAATGAAAAGAAAAGAAAATCCAAGACGTCTTTGGACCCCAAACATTGAGACGTTTCCCAGAGGAGAAAGGATTTATAAGACAGTCTAAGCACCAGTAGCTAGAGATGTCAGAAAATCAGCAGGAAATAGTGGTGTTATGGAAGCAAAAGGAAAACTACGTATTACAGAGCCTGTGATGGAGTGGCCATAGGGTCCCTTGCCAATGGAAGCCATGGCATTGGATGATAGACTCAAGAAGTACTCAGAGTGAGAGAAGATGAGAGCCCAGGACACATCTCTGGGCCCTTGTGTTATTTTCTGGTGACTGTGAATTTCCGGAAGTCCCCCCCCCCGCAATAGCTTTGATTTGACATGGAGAGAAGTGTGCCTTCCATGATACACTGTGAATTACTGACTACCGTTCCAGGCATCTTAACTATAACTTTAATCATCTGAGCTCTAGCTCCCATCACCATTCCTGCAGTGCCCCAGGACTCATTAAATCGCCAGGGGTATTCGAAGACCTCCCAATTAAGGACCCGTTTTATGAGCATAGTTGAAATCCTGGAAATTATTGCCTCTTTGAGGCACAGGAGTAGGTGCTGGTATCTGCTAGGATGAATGATAATGTGGACCCCGGTGATTTGCTGTCCTTCATCGTTTGATCTGCTTTAATGACCAGAGAGTAATTAGTCCGTTGTTGTGTGCAGCTAGGTGTTACAAATGGAGTTGTAAATTCAGCGCCTTGGAATAAAAAGTGGCTATTAGTTTCTCCCCTGCAATTCAGTTTACAGATAGTTCTGGGGCAAAGTGAGAAGAAGCCCAGTGTGCCCTTTCAGGGGTGACATGGTGGTCACGTACATGTGCAAACAGATGCGTGTGCACACACATACATAGGTTTGTGTTCTCAAAACTGAAAAAAAAAAGAATCTCTTTGATGTAATTTCTTTGTAGCATGTTTTTAAATGAAGATATTGAAGCTGATGGCATCCAGGGCTGGGGAAGTTTGAAGAAGGGAACAGAAAATTTTGCAATTGGATTTCCAGCAGTAACTGTGTGCAAACACGGCCCCTCCCTGTATAGCAGAACTCTGTGTTATCCTGAGCTCTGGAAGTTCGTCTGCAGCATGAAGTTTTTTACCTTGCTGGCATCACTCAGGACCACAGAGGGAGCATGCCTGCTGGTTAAGGATCTGTGGGACTACCTGTGTTCTCAGTCTGGCTGTACTATTTACTATTGGTTTCACCTTGGAAAAGACACTTAATGCCTCTAAGGCTTCATTTCTCCATCTATTAATGAAGATAGCCGTAGAACCAGACTCATTGATTTATTAGAAGACTCAAATGAGAACATTCACGGAAAGAGCTTGCCATGACACCAGAGATATACCAGGTGCTAAATAAGTTGCTTATTATTCTCACATCTTCATCACAGTAAACAACTTGGAGAATACAGACAAACCAGGCATCAACCATTGGTGTTTCAGAGCAAGAGAATAACTGACATCCAGTATCGTTTCCTAAGTTGATCAAACTCTTCCTGACCATGTGGCGATATATGCAGAGGCCCCTCAAACCACAGGGAAAACAAGGTAAAGTGGCCAGTGCTATGCTCATTTGACCTAGGAGTAAGGAATGAAAAACGGTATCTGTGTTAAAGCAATTACAGATATACGACAGAGTTGCATGTAAAATGCATGTGGATTTCTAGGACAAACACATCATATCAAATGCATCTTGCCCTTGCAATACTTGATTCCAGTTGTGTTTCCCAGAATTACTGGAGGGTTAGGTCACTCTCCTCTGGGGACAGCTGATTTTCTCCACAAAACTGGTGATTAGGAGGACTGTGGAAATGTGCCCACACTTCCCAGTAAGCATTTCTTCTTGTGCTTTATTGAAGATTCCACTAGAAATTAAGTGCTTTGGAAATTGAAGTTTTGAAATCAGCACATTTTCAGCCAAGCCTGGTGGCTCACGCCTGTAATCCCAGCACTTTGGGAGGCCAAGGTGGGTGGATCCCGAGGTCAGCAGATCGAGACCATCCTGGCTAACACAGTGAAACCCCGTCTCTACTAAAACTACAAAAAAATTAGCCGGCCATGGTGGCGGGTGCCTGTAGTCCCAGCTACTTGGGAGGCTGAGGCAGGAGAATGGCGTGAACCCGGGAGGCAGAGGTTGCAGTGAGCCGAGATGGCGCCACTGCACTCCAGCCTGGGCGACAGAGGGCGAAATCAGCAAGTTTTCTTTATTCAGGATACTCACTCGGCTTACCATGCCATCCTTTCAAAAGAGTTTTAATTTTATTTCTCCTCTCTGCATCCCCTCAGTATGAATTTAGGTACACCAAGAATTTATCAAGCTTCAAAATAATCTAAACTATTTGAAATGGAAGACACCTAAGAAAGAAAATCGCTTTAGAGCTGATCAGTCACTGACCTCTATATCTCATCTCAAAGATTTTCTTTTAATTACCCTATATCTCATGCTTCTGATATCTTTAAAGATTAATAAGGCATCCATATATCCAAACAATATAGATATATGGAATATAGAAAATACCAATGTCTTTAGAGTCAATACTTAAAAAATCTTGCTCTTGCCGGGCACAGTGGCTCATGACTGTAATCCCAGCACTTTGGGAGGCTGAGGTGGGCGGATCACCTGAGATTGGGAGTTTGAGACCAGCCTGGCCAACATGGAGAAACTGAGAAACCCTGTCTCTACATAAGATACAAAATTAGCTGGATGTGGTGGCGAATGCCTGTAATCCCAGCTACTTGGGAGGCTGAGGCAGGAGAATAGCTTGAACCTGAGAGGCGGAGGTTGTGGTGAGCTGAGATAGTGCCATTGCACTCCAGCCCGGGCAACAAGAGTGAAACTCCATCTCAAAAAAAAAAAAAAAAAAAAAAAAAAAAAAAAAAAAAAAAAAAATTCTTGCTCTTTCTCATGAATAGCTGCCCAATATTCTGTAATGTAGGTTATATTAGATTGCTTGGGGCTGCCATAATACAGCATTGCAGACTTGGCAGCTTAAGTAACAGAAGTTTATTTTCTCATAGTTCTGGAGGCTGGACATCCAAGATTAAGGTGTCAGCAGGATTGGTTCCATTGGTTCTCTCTCCTTGGCTTGTACGTGGCCATCTTTTCCCTGTGTTTTTCCCTGTGTGTGTGACTGTGTCCTAATCTCTTCTTATAAGAACACTGGTCATAGTGGACAACCTATAGGATGAGAGAAAATTTTTGCAATCTATCCGTCTGACAAAGGTCTAATATCCAGAATCTACAAGGAACTTAAGGAAATTTACAAGAAAAAAAACACCCCATAGAAAAGTGGGCAAAGGCTATGAACAGACACTTCTCAAAAAAAAAACATACATGCGGCCAAACATATGAGAAAAAGCTCAACATCAGCGATCATTAGAGAGATGCAAATCAAAACCACAATGAGATACCATCTCACACCAGTCAGAATGGCGATTATTAAAAAGTTAAGAAACAACAGATGCTGGTGAGCTTGTAGATAAATAGGAACACTTTTACACTGTTAGTGGGAATGTAAATTCATTCAACCATTGTGGAAGACAGTGTGGTGATTCCTTAAAGGTTTAGAACCAAAAATACCATTTGCTGCAGCAATCCCATTACTGGGTATATAGCCAAAGGAATATAAATCATTCTATTATAAAGATACATGCACGTATATGTTAATAGAAGCACTATTCAGAATACCAAAAAAAAAAAAAAGTGGAATCAACCTAAATGCCCATCAATGATAGACTGGATAAAGAAAATGTAATACATGTACACCATGGAATACTATGCAGCCATAAAAAGGACTGAGATCATGTCCTTTGCAAGGTCATGGATGAAACTGGAAGCCATTACCTTAGCAAACTAAAGCAAGAACAGAAAACCAAACACTGCATGCTCTCACTTATAAGTGGGAGCTGAACAATGAGAACAGATAGACACAGAGAGGGGAACAACACTCACTAGAGCCTGTTGGGAGAGGGTGGGGGGAAGAAAGCATTAGGGAAAAGAATGAATGCATGCTGGGCTTAGTACCTAGGTGATGAGGCTGATAGGTGCAGCAGCCCATCATGGCACGCATTTACCTATGTAGTGCACCCACACATCCTGCACATGTATCCCAGAACTTAAAAAAATTAATTAAATTTTAAAAAAAGAACACTGGTCATAGTGGATTAGAGCCTACCCTTATGGATTCCTTTTAACTTAATTAACTCGTTAAAGACCTTATCTCCAAATAAGGGCACATTCTGAGGTTTGAGGGATTAAGACTTCAACGTATGAATTTTGAGGGCTACTATCAGCCCATGACTTAGGTGTATGTAATTTATTTAACTATATTCCCATCCATGATCTTTCAGGCTAATTTTACTTGTTTTGTATTTCTTCACATTAAACAATGTCATATCAACTAATCCAACCATAACACTTGTGTGGCTGGATAAAACAGAAATGTTTTATTGTGATGTGGAATTTTAACTTTGTCTTTTTTGTTCAAACTAAGAATGGCTTATGTCTCCCCATAGGGATAACATGATTTTGTTTTGACAGAAATCTTTAATGGAAGATTATTTTTTTTCTCAGTGGCAATCTGCAGATTAATGGGATAATTTTAGGTGAACTGAAGAGAATGGAGGGCTGTTCTGTTTAAGCTATCTTTGTGCTTATGTAGGGACAGTAATATCATCCAATAAAAGGACATATGCAATTATATCAGCTTTGTGGTAATTATATGGATATTTTCATTGTTCAGTACATTTAATTATGCTTTGTTAAACAGCCTGTATTAGCTTTTGGTGGGGCAAGCTTTGACTGGATTAATGCCAGGGGCTTGTATGTTGAATGTTTCACACGATGCATCTTTCTAGAAGGAAAGAGCAAACAAAAATTAAGAAAAAGGGTCATGATTACCTTTCCCTTATTTTTCCTTTTCAACAACATTTTTAATGGACAGTTCCAGAGACAATTTCATCCTTTATAAAATCCTTATATTAGTCATTTGAAAGAAAAGCAACTAATATATGGTTTTGGAACCGTTAACCCAACACAGAACTCTTTAGAGTTAATGTGTGGCCTCCTCCCCATCTACCTTCGCAGTCCTCCAGTCTCACTCTGGGAGGGGCAGAATTTCCATTGACAGCCTGATGCATGCTCTTCTGTATGGTCCCCTTTGCTGATACAATTATCCATGTGCATGCTTATGCTTTTTAAAGGGTGGCCTCATCCTCCGCCTTTTATTCAGTAACTTGCCTTTTTTGCAAGGCATGGTTATTGTCCACACATGCCAATTATTAAAAATCTACTTACTCCTTTTACATATCTGCATAGTATTCCATAGTATGGATGCGTCACTATTTGTTCAGCCATCCTTCCACTGATGTTCTTTAGATTAATTCTTCGTTGGATTTGTGTATTTTTTTCTTCTGCCAAAATAAGCATTGCTATAAGAAACATTTGGCACGTATTTCTTTCATTTTGGTACTTTCTGTTGGCTAAAATTCTCTGAAATGAAATAATTAGTAAAAGCTCACCAATTTTTTAATTTCAACAAATATTACCATGTTTTTACCCCCCACCGCCCCCCACACACAAAATTGGAGCAATTTGAAGTCTTCCCGACGCTATAAACTACCTGAACAACACTGGATGTTAGCAATCTTTTAAAAAGTATTGAGTATACACATGGCACATTGTTGCTTTAATTTTCATGTTCTTGACGACTAATTATACACAAAATCTTTCCTCTTATAGGAATTATTTAGGTACAATATTTGTTCATTTTCAATTAGTTTATCTTTTTCTTGTTAATCTATTAATTCTTCGTATCTTAAAGCTGTTCACCTTAGCTTGTGAAACTTGTGATAAACACATGCTGTGATTTACCTTTTGAGTTTATCTACAAGATCCTAGTCCACTTAAAAGTACTTTGTGATCACTTTTATTAATAACTTAAGGAGCTATCCTTCCCCTATTCAACTTTTATAAAAACAGCCTCTTGTAATACTTTATAGTTTTTTGCTTTATCTTTAGGTGTTTAAATTTACCTGGAATTTACTTTTGCAAAGCTAAGTATGAAATCTAACATGCATTATTTTTCCTGTAAAGGGTAGTCAGATGGCCTAATGACAACATTAATTCCATATTCCACCCTTTCTGTTAACTCGGATGTGTGCATATACTCACACAGATCACAATTTCTGAACTCTATTAACTCAGGTCAACTATTTATTTGCTGTTGTGTATTAAAGAGTTTTGCCTACTAATATATTTTAGCCTTGGCAGGATGCTATGAGATGACATAGTAACGATAAGAATTCCTTACTTTAAAAGTTGGGCAGGTAACATTTGGGGTCAGAAGCTTTTTGAACTGATGAACTAGTTAGATTTGATGGGGGGTCGGGGCGGAGTGTAAGTGGCAGAAATCTGACCCAAGCTGATGCAAGCAAGAAGGAAGAGTATTGACTTTCAGACAGGAAAACCAAGGGTTGCTCTAAGCTTACTGAATTCAGAAGCTCAACCAATGTCGTGAGCACCGGTCTCGTTCACCATGTCATTTAGCTCTCTTACAGCCATGTTTAGCTTGGCTCCGCCATTATACAGCAGAAAGATGCTTACTAACCGCCCCAAGTTTCATCTTATTCCCTGAACAGCACCAGCAAAGCACACTGAATCACGTGCCCATCACTAAACAATCCCCACTGTTAGAAGGAGGTGAGTTCCTCACTGGCTAGACTAGCTCTCGCGCCCACCATGACCTAGGAGGTGTAATCAATCCTGCAGGAACCACCCAGCTTGATAGTTTATCCTCCCAGAGAGGAGGAGAGCCACTAAGAAAAAATCAAATGCTGTTACCAGAAAGAGGGGCTGACCATTTGATAGGCTAAAACTAGTGAATTTCACTGTTCCTGATTAATGTGAATCAAATTTTCATGTTAGTTCCGAAAATTTTATCCCACTGGGATGAAGGCAACTTTTTCATCGAAATGTGGGCCACATTTAATTCCTGCATGTAAATGTTGGTATCCAGAGAAAAACAAATTAAGATAACAATGAGATGCGATCTTTACAACTTGAATTGGCAAAGATTAACAAGTTGCTAATAGCCATTTTGGTACTACTGTGAGTAAAACAAAAAAAATCATATATTAATGGTTGGAGTGCAAACTGGAATAATCTTTGAAGAGCTGCTTTTACGAAAAGATATACAGCTTTTATCAGCAATGCTTTTTTAATGAATTAACTCCATAGCAAAAATATTTTCAATTGGTTTGAAAATAGCTACGCCAATACACAAAAGTATGCTTGTGAAAGTCTTGGATGACAGCAACAACAAGCGTTGTTTGTAATAACGAAGTCCTACCCTGATCTAATGCATACTAGTAGTGAGCTGATTATAAAATTGCTGTCTAGTTATGCATTTGCCTGACATTTGAAGAAAGGACAATTATACCTTTTAAATTAATACCATTGTTTAAATGAAAAGAAAACAGCTACTTAATGAAGATTTAGCCCTAACATCGCTGCTATAGTTAATTCTTCGCAATGATTCACCCTAGAGTGGTCAGGTCACCTCTCTTGTGCTTTGATTACACCTTCCATATGGATTACGGATCATATGCAAAACATTTAATTACTGAGCTACAGCATTAATCACTTGGCTGAATGTATTTCACCTTTTCTCCTTCCTGCAATGTTTAAGCCAAGTTAACTGATAGCAGTGCGTTAAAAACAGGTAGTACTATACAGCAGTAGGAGAATGTAGCCTCCAGCACAGAGATCCCGGGGGCAATTCTGGAGCTATCATTTATTAGCTCTGTTGCCCTCGGGCAAATCACTTACTAGCTCAGGTGAGTCTGTATCTTCTTTTGTAACATGGTCATAATAAACACAGTTTCTCATATCTAGCCTGATTATCGTGAATTGTCCACACAGTATATATAAGCCCTGAAGCCCTGGACACAAATGTGTAAACATTGTTCTTATGGAACTGCTGATTATTATTATTAATCTCCATTTTCTTGTTTCTGTGCGATCAGGTTTTTACCCATGCAAAGTGGTTGTCTAAGACTATATAGATGTGTAGAGAGAGGCAGAGTAGGTTATTTGGAAAAAGAAAGTGGTGGAGTGAGGTTTTGTTGTTGTTATTGTTGTTAATTATTTTATTTCATAGGGAGAAGGAGGGCACTCTCCGTGTACCTTCGTAAAGAATAGTACATACTCTTTATTTTGACAGTGTAGGGTAAACCTGTAAGAGTCAAGAAAATAACAGATTTGATACTACCCTTTAGTGGCTATCTTGCATGTTAATGTATATCCTTTCATTTCTGTCTGAGTTCAGCAGTTAGACTCAGCTCGTGGGTTCCTACAGCTCAATTTCTAAAATCTACGTAAGAAGTAAAATGCTGCTAAGTTTACCTGCACTTTTAGTGTACATTCAGATCAGAGTCTTCTCAGTTATAGATGTATAGGGCTGTGTGTGTGTGTGTGTGTGTGTGTGTGTGTGTGTGTGTATTTATGTCCTTAAATTAAGCGCTATTGGAGCATGGCCCTGCATATTTGTTTCTGTATTGCCTGTGGTCATTTTTGTGCTAAAAGGGAAGAATTGAGGAGTTGCAACAGAGACCATGTGGTCCAAAATATTTACTATATGGCTCTTTGCAGGACAAAAGAAATGCTAACTGTTGATTTAGGCTACAGTTTACTTTAAGTCACTGTTACATCAATGAAAAACTTGGAAACTAAATACATTTGTGTGTTTGTGTGTGTGTGTGTGTGTTCTTTAAACTTTTAAGCTAATCCTTAGTTTAACCAAAAAGAAAGACTGGGTGTCGTGGCTCATGCCTGTAATCCTAGCATATTGAGAGGCTGAGGTGGGTGGATCACTTGAGGTCACGAGTTTGAGACCAGCCTGGTCAACATGGTGAAACCCCATCTCTACTAAAAATATGAAAATTAGCCAGGTGTGGTGGTGGGCACCTGTAATCCCAGCTACTTGGGAGGCTGAGGCAGAAGAATCGCTTGAACCCGGGAGGCAGAGGTTGCAAGTGAGCTGAGGTTGCACCACTGCACTCCAGCCTGGGCGACAGATTAAAACTCTATCTCAAAAAAAAAAAAAAGGATTAAGGATTAAAAAAAATTGAAATCATCCATGGTTATAATATTCTTGACTGCATCTTAACATCATTGGTTTGTTTTTCAAATATTGTTAAATGCTTACTATATTCCAGTTATGGTGCGAGGTACTTTCCCATATGTTATTTAGTTTTAGAATCCTCTCAGCCACCACCTGAAGTAGTTGCTATTAAACCCATTTTAGAGGTGAGGAAACAGATGTTCAGGAGGATTTAAATAACTTGCCACGTTTCTTGAAACTTCCCAGAGCCAGAATTCAACCTTAGATATGTATGAATTCAATCTGATGCTTGCTGGGTTAAGACCATTGGAGACACCCTCTCTCCTCTGTCCTTTTGACAATTCCATGGGCAGAATATCACAGGAATGGCAAATAGAGGGATAAAGAATGTATGTGACATGCACCCAAAGAGTCTCCAGGCCCCTTTTCATCCTTTCAATCATGTTTCTAAGGTATTTTGAACTAGGCGAGGCTCTCTTAGTTCGAATAATAGCATGCTGTTCAATGTGGACATTAATAGTCAGAATCTGGTAGTGCAGCTACAGAAGAAGCAAAGAAAAAAATGAAATCCTCTCATTGATTTCTAGTCAGAGAGGTGCAGAAACCCTAAGAGTCCTTATGTGAGAATAAGTGTTTTCTCTCTGTGTCAATCTTAATATAACTAAATGCAGCAGATTTAATCCTTTCTATAATTTAATAATTTGTATTAATTACACTTAATGAAATATAAATTAATTACATTTAATGAAATATAATAAAGTTTATTTAATATATTAATTACGTGTAATGTAACATATGGGATTTTATTTAATATACTAACCATTTAATGTAATATAATAAAATTTACTTAATATATGAATTACAGTTAGTGTAATATAATAAAGTTTACTTAATATATTAGTTACAGTTAATGTAATATAAAGTTTACTTAATATATTAATTGCAGTTAATGTAATATAATAAAGTTTTCTTAATATATTAATTACAGTTAATGTAATATAAAGCTTACTTAATCCATATTTAATAAATTGAATTCCATTAATATGTATTATGTGGGTTAACATACATACAGTGTTGTAACAACACCAGGACCTTAGTTTACATTAAAATAGTGCTTATTTTTATAGTATTGTTATTTTAATAATTATTTATGTTACTGTTAAATAAGTTGACATATATTTATGTCCAGGCAAGGTGACTTTATAGTAGCTGGGTTTTCCAAAGTGCCATATTTATATCCCCTAGAAGTATACTATGCTGAGACAGGAGTTCTTAGCTGTAGAATAAAGAGAGCTGGTTTTGTAGAACATTAATTTTGCTCCAAGCTTTTGGAGGAAAAATGTTGTTTCCTATTAAAAGGAAACAAATATACAGGAAATAGACAGCTAATGTGCATGCAGTTTTTAAGAGAAAGCCCGAGACTGCAGTCATCCTGTGTGATATGCCACTGGACTCTTCCATCTATGGCTCTGGAGCCCCTAAGGGTAAGGATTAGACCTCATCTGCCATTAGCTAGCGGTACTTAAGTGGGAAATTTTGCAAAGCAGTAAATTATAACACTACTCAAAAGTGGTTTCTATTTTTGTAATATTATGATGTAAAGTTACTGAGTTTGATAATGCAATCTACATCCCTTTGTTGAAACTGTAGAATATGGCCAATAAAGGGTTAATGGGAAAATCCCAGAATCTGCTTTCTTTTTAATGTTTCTAATGGTCATCTTAGCACCAGAGCCTCTTTGAGAGTTAAGAGAAAGAAATTACCAGAGAAGGAGAGTCTGTGTCTCCTGGGAGATGGATGGTTTGGGGGAATACGGAGTGGGGATGGTGATTTTTCTCTGCACAGAAATACTTTCTTGAAGTCAGCCCTTTACTGTGCAATGTGGGATAGAATTCTAACACCTCCAGTATAATGGCAGGAGGAGGAATGGTTAGGAACATTGGAGAGCTATTTGGCCTATGTCTCTTTGTTATGAAGGGCCCACAGTTTACGTTTTTGACTTTTTCACCAAATAAAGGCTTATAGCAAGTTACCCAGATATGTTGGCAGAATGGCAAGGCTACATTCATCATAGAACTTTAAGCTTGTGCCCCACTGCTGGGCCATACTGCCTGTCAGGCCCAAATTAATATCTTTTATAAGCCCCGCAACGATGTTGTAAAGAATACAATTATAGCTTAGGACATTGCCATCTGTGGTGGGACATTTCAAACAGAATTAAGTCTAGAGATTATGAGTGATGCATCATTGTCACTCAAACTGAAATTGGTATAGCACCTTCTGTTTTATTCAAAATTCTAAAGGGAAATTATTCTGCCACAAAAATTCTCATCTGTTAAGTAGCCCTTAAATGACTTTTTTTTTTTGCCTTTGCAAAAACAAATAAAACCATTTTATTTGTGTGTGAGTTAGAACATTGAAATGTTGAGCCTAGATTTTTAAATGTGTCGTGATTTTTGCTTCTCTTGCTCAGTCCTCTTTTCTACTTCTTTCTGCCTTTTTTATTTCTAATTTTATTTTATTATTTTTTAGTCTTTTATTTTAAGTTCAGTGGTACATATGCAGGTTTGTAACATAGGTAAACTTGTGTCATGGGGGTTCATTGTACAGATTATTTCATCACCCAGGTATTAAGCCTAGTACCTACCCACTAGTTATTTTTCTTCATCCTCTCCCTCCTTCCACCCTCCACCCTCAGATAGGGCCCATTGTGTGTTGTTTCCCTACCTTTTCTTAGGAACCAGAAGCCCCAGGCATTGGAAGTGGTCAAGGCATTTTTTTCTTTGACCCCTGGGAAGGTCTTTTCTTAGTACACAAGCAACAAGAACTTCAGACAGAGAGTATATGATGCTGCATTACAACCTGAACCATTGGAGTTCTGTCAAAAGAATATTGAAGAGATCCTGGTAGAAAAGAAAATAGAGTCAAGAAAAAAGAAAGTGCAGAGTAAAATATAGAGAAGTAGAGGGAAAATAATGTAATGCTGCCAAACCTAATAAGAGTACTGAAATTGTTGCCTCTCACAAGCCAGTGACTTTCTCAAGTTACAACCAAGGTATGGGATTCAAATGATCCCACTGACAATCCCTCTGGAAAGTCTCCAGTTGAAGCCTACCCTATCATTTCTTTAAGAGACCCACATAGACAAGTTTTCTCCAGGTCTGAGCTGGATTTCCTTCGTTGATTGAGCACCAGATGAGGAATTGGCGTGATTTTAAGGGCCACGTGCACTATGCGAAAAAGAGTTAGCTTTGAAAACAAGACAAATACGGGGTGAGACGAGATGCAAATGCTCGGAGGTATCTCAGCACTCAAGAACAAATGCATGTTCACATCTCCTGTGTTAGGCTTGCTCACTGCTTTGATAGCCGGTGGAATCACTGGCAACGTTCACATTTTTTCCTCCTCCTGTTTTCTTACCTCCTCATGTTTTAGTTGAATGCATGTAACTTGAGTAAGATTAAAAAGTGATTCTCAGAATCGGAACTTTGAGCTTCCTGCAAAAGGAATATTTAAGCATCTCTGTATCCAAGAGTACCATCTTATCTCACGGGCTCACTAAGTGGGAGTTAGGAATCCTACAGTTCCCTTCAAGACCTATAGGGCAGTAGATTTGAACCTTACAATCCTATATTGTATTTCATGTTGACCAATCTGTAAGCAGGTAAAGAACTGCCATCTTACTGGTGATAAAGAGTTTATGATGTTAACTGAGCTCTCATTCTAGACAACAAAGTAATCCAGTGTCCTATTCAAACTTAATTCATAGTTATCAAACAGTCATTAAGTATCTACTTTGTGCCTGATAGACATTTCTTTAACCAGAATGCTTTGCCACTGTATCCTCATTCATTTAAAATAGAGTATATAGAAACCAGATTTAGATACTGCCTCTAGTTGAAATTCCTGCATCCAGGTAGGGCTGGCTGTTTGTCTTAGAGAATATGTCCCTTTATGTCCTGTCTGGATAGGTGGAAGGTGAGTAGGTTTAACAAGTAACATTTGATCCAGGCATTTTTACAGTAACAGTTTGTTATTGCTGGAATTTGACCATCTCAATTCATTTTCGTAGGTATAAACTAGTCATGGATATTAAATGTGTGACTATATTGATATATGAAAGCTTACTGATGGCACAGTTTTATCATCAGTGCCTTTATTCAAATGAGTTTTAAAAGTTGATTAGCAACTGCATTCTCCTATGTTGGCTTGGACATGAATAGTGCAAATATGTCAGTCTTTCTATTCTTCCAAGATGACCTTCAGCTCTCTATGTGCATGAATTCCAGTTGGCCTTTAGCCACTCCTCCAAGTAGAACACATATCTATCCAGTTGCCTCTTGTGTAACTCTTTCTGGAGCTTCCATAGCCCCTACCCAACTTGATGTGGTCAAAATGAGCCTCTTATCTTTCCCAGGTATTTGTCTGATGCCCCTGAACCTGGTCATCGATACCACCATTTAGTCAATAACTTGTAACAGTGATCTAGGAGTTGGCCTTGACTTTTTGGCTTCTTTTACACTTGTTTTTATCCTTTTTTTAACACCTCCAGTTATACATGTCTTCTAGTGTTTCTTTCAGTGAGTCTTGTCAATTCTATTTATCAAATATTTACCAAATCCTCTTTTCCATTATACCGTTACTGCTGTGTCTTTGTGCAAACCCTCATCATCTTTTAGGCTAAGATACAATAAAATAATCTTCCAGAGGCTCTTCCTGCTTCCAGTGTTCCTTTCTGCACACACGAGGGTAGCCTTCCTAGCAATGACTGTTCCATTTTCTTATAGAGGAATTAAATCTAAATTTCTTGGCATGACACATGGGCCCCTTTATCATCTTACCTGTGCCCCCTTTCCCTGCCTGGTCTTCAGACATCAACCCTTTCCATCAGTTCACCCAGTCACATCTCTGCACCTTTGCATAAGCTGTTTCCTATGGTTTGAATGCCTTTCTCCCCTGACTATCGAACAACCTGCTATGCATCCTTGGAGATCCAACTCAAGCATCATCACCTTTTGAATTCTCTGAAAGATGCCCTTTGCCTTTAGTTAGAACAAGAGGCATCCTCTACCAAGTAGATGCATAGCACAATTTATTCCATTCTGTCATCTAGTACGATAATTATACTACTAGTTTCTATTATAATACTTGTTTGTTATTTTCCTTCTCCAGTAAACGTATTCTACTTTGCATTCTCCAGGCCTAAAAGAGTTCTGGAATGCAATGGGCATTCATGTAAGTAATGTTAAAAGAATGACTCCATCAATTATATTTCTGTGACATTCTCAGGTAGGAAGATATCTTTATGCTTATAATTGGAAAAAAAAAAAAAAAACCTCTAGTGGCAGAGAATTTGTATTTCTGTTAGCTCTCAGTATTGGGATTGTATTTCTGACAGGCTGGCCCACCAGCTATGCTTCATGAAAGACCATGAGCCACAGGGAAGAGGTTTATTCATCTCAGCATTGGGGTATTTTGCTTTTCTTCAAGGCAAAGGGATCTGGAGACTCCTTTGCAGGCTGGCCATGTCTTGTGCAATCCCAGCTGTGTCTGGAGATTCTAGCAGGGATGCAGAGTGTGGTTGGGACTTCACAGGAAGTCGACTTGCATCAGAAGCACATAGGGAAAGGGAAGGGAAATAGAATGAAGGAAGAAAGCTTTCAGCAGCCAAGGCAACAACTTCCCCCGTCTCTGTCTGGCTCTGGGGCCAAACAGACTCCTGATTTCTCTTTATCTCCTTGTCTCTCCACCTCTATTCCTCTGAGTTCTTTTCCCATCACCCCCCATTCTTTCTCTATATACTGTTTCGCTGACTAGTCATCAGACTCTACCGACAAATTTACCTGATCTTCCCAGCCTAGCCCTTGAGCTTAACCATTCCATCCACTTCTCAATTCCACATTTCTTGGAGAGAATCTGATTTGACCAGGTAGGGGCATGTGTCTGACCCAGGTCCCTGGACAAGGGACCGATGAAGGCCAGGCTGTGAGAGAAGCAGTGTCTCTAAGAAACCCTGCAGCGTTAGGGAGAAATGATTGGTATCTCTATGGTACACGTGGTGGAGATGCTGGCTGCACATCCCAAGAGCCATCCCTAGAAGATGGCTTCCTTCCCATCCTGTAAACCCTGAGTCAGGGATGCCCCCAAGCATGTGAGATGTTGACCCTATTTCTGCACTTGGCCCAAGTCAAATCCAGTCATTGCTATTGGGGGTCTTGTTGCATCCTGTTGTTTCCTTTGGGAGGTGACATACTGCTGACATCTGTGGAGTGAAGGGATTTGGGGAAAGTGTGAGTCATCATCTCTCTGATGACATTTTATTCTCTTATTCTCCAAACTCTGCCCAGCTTCTTTCTTTTTTCTTTCTTTCTTTTTTTTTTTTCAATGGAATCTCACTTTGTTGCCCAGGCTGGAGTGCAGTGGCGCAATCTTGGCTCACTGCAACCTCCGCCTCCCGGTTCAAGTGATTCTCCTGTCTCAGCCTCCTGAGTAGTTGGGATTACAGGCGTGCGCCACCATGCCCAGCTGTTTTTTTTGTGTTTTTAGTAGAGATGGGGTTTTACCGTGTTGTCCAGGCTGGTCTCGAACTCCCAACCTTATTTGATCCACCCACCTCGGCCTCCCAAAGTGCTGGGATTATAGGCGTAAACCACTGTGCCCGGCCCAGTTTCTTATTTAGGACCCTCAAGGAAGAATTGTTGTAAGGAAGATAGCATGATCATATAGGGATATCTCCAGGTGAAACTCTTCCACCTTTACAAGATGTATGCTGGTATAACAGAGAGGAACACCCATGATTACCTATGTACCTCTCCCTATGTACCCCTAGTCTTCTGCCCGGGGACCCCAGGATGCCCTGCAACACATGGAAATAAAATTTACCTCCTGACTCTTGGCTCTCACAGCTCTTATCCTGAATCTTTGTTTTCTAGCCCTGCCTACTTATCTATTTTGTTTTCTGGTGATTAGTGAACATGGATCACCCTCCGAGGCTTTTTGTTGGCAGGGTACATGTCTGTCTCATTTTTGTAGTTCTGTAGTACAAATCAGACAGCAAGTGCTCAATTAATCCTTGAACGAAACAAAAGAAAGGAGTCAGTTCATGCAATAATGGATGCTGACAACCCTAGCATCTTATCGAAGGTATGTATCTCCACTGACTCACCCCCATTTCATCACAAGGCTATTTCCCACCCAACAGTTGCAAAAATCTGTCATCTCCTTGTTTCTTATCTGTCTCCCTCACTAGAACATAAGCTACATGAGGGCTCTTGTTTTGTTAATCCTGTTGACAAAAAACATAGCTTCTGTTATTTTTATTTGGTTGGTCTTTATTGAAGAAATAAAGACCAACCAAATAAAAATAAACAGAGGCTATTTATTCAGAGCTTGCTATAGCAAGGAGTCAGACATCCTCACTTGCATTTTGCCAGAAACTCAAAGGCAGGCAGAGGAGTAGGAAAATTTTATAGTAGATAAATAAAGGGACAGCTTCAGATATGGCCTGGCTAGAGGCTGTTTGCGTGGGGAAGCTGCAGATGGGCTAAGTAGAAAGGGGTGTTCCTTGTGATCGGTTAAGGTGCACACTTGGCTTTCTCTGATTGGTCCGAAGTTGGAGGTGTGGACAAAAATTAGGAAAGCTGTCAGTTACGAATCTAGTCCTGATTGTTTCTGAGCCAGTGGATTTTTGTTTGGCTTCCTGGACCAGTTACTAGAGATAGTAATCTGACTTCCTTGAATCGTGACTTGTGGATAGCAGGCTGGCTTCCTGTAGACAATAAGCTGGTTTCCTGGGCTGGTTACTGCAAACTGTGGGTCAGATTTCTCTTTTTCTATATGGTCTTGCCAGTGTCCATTTGTGTATGCAGTCTATCCTTGATGGGAGGGAAAATTAAAAAGGAAGGAAAGAAGGGAGGGAAAAGGATGGGGACATCATAGTACTATTATCCAGTTTTTATTATCCAGATTCTATTTCGAACACTTTAATCCCATTTCGATGTGAGGGAATAGTAATTCATCCCAGAGCGGACGTGACATCTGTTTTCAGGACCCTTTAATCATATCCCGTGGTCCAAAGCTATAACACAGTGAAGAGGAAAAAGACTCTTTTCCTGTCAGTCGCCCAAACGGGAGCCAAAGGCTTTTGAGGAGGCACTTAAAGAATTTTCACTTTGCAATTGTGCAGAAGCTGTTG
Source organism: Homo sapiens (assembly GCF_000001405.40). Lineage (NCBI taxonomy): Eukaryota > Metazoa > Chordata > Mammalia > Primates > Hominidae > Homo > Homo sapiens. The sequence goes on from NC_000016.10 coordinate 6,474,455, forward strand.
TTCAGGTAATTTAACATTGATTTTAGTTTAAAAGGCAATTAAGACAAAATGGGCAGCCACCAGCCACTTATGTTAAATAAGCTTAGATTTAAATTGCTCCTCATCACCACCTTTGTTTTCTATGTCTGGGCTGTTCTATGCTACTTTAGCATGGGATGGTGTGGTGCCCCAAGTGGGGCAGGTGGATAGGCGAGGGAACCCAGCCAGGGAAACGGTTATTGAAAGAGAAAGAAGTTGGCCAAAAATTGTTCTCAGTGGTGAGATGAGTTCCCTTTCATACTGCTGCTGGGAATATGGATTCATGTAAGCTTCTAGAATTCTGGTTCCTTAGATCTAAAAACTTAAATACGGTGCCCACTTTTTTGACTCATCGGTTTCACTTTTAGGTATCTACCCTGAGATAAGGCACAGAGAAAAATATCATAACATCAGGAAGTGATGTTCACTGCAGTGTTATTTAACATAAAGAGAAAGTGTGTAGCATTAGAGTGGAATACATAAACTGACCTTGTACATTTTTTGTCCTTACAGCACAAAGTGTTCATGATACATTGCAAAGTGCAAAAGATGAAGGCAGCTTATACAGTAACATCCCAATTGTGTGCTTATAATGTTTTAGTTCTATATGCAGTAGAAAATGTCTGAAGTGGATAGACTTCCAACAAAATAGTACTTGGAGCTCTCTTTGGGTGGTGAAATAATGTTAGCTTTTCTGGTGCTTTTTGAAATTTCCTAAACTTTCCACAATAAACACTCATAGGTTTTATAATTATAAAACACATTGAAAACAATGTTGGTTGTAATACTATTAGAAGAATATTCCTGTCAGCAGTGTGCTTGATTCCTGCCATCTCAAGGATGAGGCTATATGTGCATGCTAAGTTATAAGGAGATGGAATGGATATTCGGTTGCAATAATTCTGTTTCTTGCTTAAAGGAAGTCTGCTACGCTTCAGGAATGAGGGTCATTCACCTGGTCTTTGTTTAAATTTGTAAGGTGAACCATTTTGTAGACAATGCTTGGAAAATATGCCCAGGTGATTCATGCATTTGTCTATTAGAAAACGTGGTCACTTACCAGCAACCAATATAGAGCTAATGGGATTCATTTAGAAATGTAACCACAAGTCCACTATAAATCGTATGTTCTCCCATCTCAATATGCTTCATTAAGCTCACCTTTCTTAATGTAACTGGATTATTAGGTGTCAGGACAAAGAAAATCAGTAGGTCCTAGTGTTCTAATCCTGCAAACTTTCAATGTGGTTGCTATGTAATTTTATTTTTTTAGGTGGAGCTTGCTTTGTGCTTTTCTACAGGAAAATATTTTCAAACTGGTAAAGAAGTAATATTACTGTATTGTGAGGAATATTTCAATAGGTCATTACCATAACTTCTAGCAGAAAGGATAATCTACGTCGCATTTTACTTCAAGGATAAGATTGATTTTTATAAAAATCTTTAGTGCATTGAGGCTTAACGTCTTTTTTTCCCCCTATGAAGAAGCAATTAGATGCTGGAGTTTTCCAGAAATGTTAGGTGGGCATAAACCAAACCTTGATGCTTTTCTTTTTGAAGGTTTTATCATCCAGCGTTTGAAGAGAACAGGCAGTTCCCAGGTGAAAAAAAATGTTATTGGTACAATGTCAGTCATCGACACTCACATGGCCAGGGACGCCACCCTTTTCTTATATTTACATCTGTTTGAAAAATAGAGAAATACAGGAAATGACAAAGAAGAAAATAATAAGCACCTATAATCTCACTAGCAAATACTACCCATTTTGTATGATTTCTTCCAGGGGTGTGTGTCTACAAATATCCGTAGAGACATACACATACACTTTAAAAAAATAGTAAATACACATCTTGTACACTTAAAGCAAGACCTATAGATGTACAGGCACACCTTGGAGATACTGTAGGTTCAGTTACAAGCCACTGCAATACAGTAAATATCATAATAGAGGGAGTCACACTATTTTTTGTTTCCCAGCGCATATAAAAGCTGTGCTTTTGTACCATACTGTAGTCTATTAAGTGTGCAATAGCATTGTATCTAAAAAACGACGTGCATACCTTAATTTAAAAAGACTTTATTGCTAAAATAAAAATGCCAACAATCATCTGAGCCTTTAATGAGTTCTAATCTTTTTGCTGGTGGAGGGTCTTGCCTCGGTGTTGATGGCTTTGTACTGGTCAGGGTGGTAGTTGTGGTAGTTGCTGAAGGTTGGGGTGACTGTGGCAATCTCTTAAAATGAGGAAACAGTGAAGTTTATCACATGGATTGATTCTTCCTTTCATGAAATACTTCTCTGCAGCACCTGATGCTGTTTGACAGCATTTTACCTAACGTAGAACTTCTTTCAGAATTGGAGTGAATCCTTTCAAACTTTGCTACTGCTTAATCAACTAAGTGTATGTAATATTCTACATTCTTTGTTGTCATTGCAACAAGGATCATAGTATCTTTACTAGATGTAGATTCCATCTCAAGGAACCACTTTTTCTGCTGATCCATAAGAAGAAACTCCTCATCTGTTAAAGTTTTATCACGAGATTGCAGCAATGTAGTTGCCTCTTCAGGCTCCACTTGTAATTCTAGTTCTTTAGCTATTTCCTCCACATTTCCAGGTTCTTCCTCCACTGAAGTCTTGAACCCTTCAAAATCATTCTTGAGAGTTGGAATCAACTTATTCCAAACTCCTGTTAATGTTGCTATTTTGACCTCCTTCCATGAATCTTGAATGTTCTTAATGGCATCTCAAAAGCGAATATTTTTTAGAATATTTCAGTGTACTTTGCCCAGAACCATCAGAAGAATCCGTGTTTATGGCAGCTATAACCTTATGAGATATATTTCCTAAATAATAAGACTGGAAATCAAAATTATTCCTTGATCCATTGGCTGCAGGAACCTATATTGCATTAACAGGCACGAACAGAACACTTATGTCCTTGTGCTTCTCCATCAGAGCTTTCCGGTGACCAGATGTGTTGTCAATGAGCAGTAATATTTTTAAAGGAATCCTTTTTTCTGAATAGTAGGTGTTAATAGTGGGCTTAAAATATTCAGCAAACCATGCTATAAACAGATGTCCTGTTTCATTTCTAGAGCATAGGCAGAGTAGATTTAGAGTTATTCTTAAGGGCCCTAGGAGATTCAAAATGGTAAATGAGCCTTGCTTTCAATTTAAAGTTACCAGCTGTATTAGCCCCTAATAAGAGCGTCAGCTTGTCCTTTGAAGCTTTAAAGCCAGGTGTTGACTTCTTTCTATGAAAGTTATAGATACCATCTTCTTCCAAGAGAAGACTGTTTTGTCTACACTGAAAATCTGTCATTTAGTGTAGCCACCTTCGTCAGTGATCTTAGCTAGATTTTCAGGGTAAGTTGCTGCAGCTTCTCCATCAGCACTTGCCATTTCACCTTCCACTTGCATGTTACAGATACTCCTCCTTGCCTTCAACCTCATGAACCAACCTCTGCTAGCTTCACACTTTTTTTTTGTCAGTTTTCCCACCTCTCTCTGCCTCCATAGAATTCAAGAGGATTAAAGTCTTGATCTGGATTAGGCTTTGGCTTAAGAGAATGTTGTGGCTGGTTTGATCTTCCATCTAAACCACTAATACTCCACACCAGCAACAAGGCTCTTTTACTTATTAGTAGTGTGTTCAAGGGAGTAGCACTTTTACTTTCCTTTAATAACTTTTTCATCACATTCACAACTTGGCTAGTTGGTGCAGGAGCCTAGCTTTTAGCCTGTCCCAGCTTTTTTTTTTTTTTTTGAGACGGAGTCTCTAGCTGTCACCTGGGCTGGAGTGCAGTGGCGTGATCTCAGCTTACTGCAACCTCCGCCTCCCAGGTTCAAGCGATTCTCCTGCCTCAGCCTCCCAAGTAGCTGGGATTACAGGTACCTGCCACTACACCCAGCTAATATATATATATATATATATATATATATATATATATATATATTTTTTTTTTTTTTTTTTGTATTTTTAGTAGAGACAGGGTTTCACCATGTTGGCGAGGCTGTTCTGGAACTCCTGACCTTGTGATTCACTTGCCTTGGCCTCCCAAAATGCTGGGATTACAGGCGCTGTCCCAGCTTTAAAAGTGTCTTCGTCATGAAGCTTAATCATTTCTAGCTTTTGATTTAAAGTGAGAGGTGTGTGGCTCTTCCTTTCACCTGAACACTTAGAGGCTATTGTAAGGTTATTTATTGGTCTAATTTCAAGATTGTTGTGCCTTAAGGAATGGGAAGGCCAAGGAGAGGGAGCGAGCAGGGGGAATGGCCTGTCAGTGGAACAGTCAGAACACACACAATCTTTATCAATTAAGTGTGCCATCTTATATGGGCACAGTTTTTGGCACCCCAAAACAATTATAATAGTACCATCAAACATTGCTCATCACAGATCACAGTAACAGATCTAGCAATAATGAAAAGGTTTGATATATTGTGAGATTTACCCAAATGTGATACAAAAACATAAAGTGAGCACTTGCTACTGAAAAAAAGTGGCACCAATAGACTTGCTCAGCACAAGGTTGCCACAAAACTTCAATTTGTACAAAATGCAATATCTGCAAAGCATGATAAAGTGAAAGACAATAAAATGAGGTATGCCTGTGTGTGTGTGTGTTTGTGTGTAAGCGTGTATACAACTTTAAAAGTTTCATACTGTATTAGTCCGTTCTAACACTGCTATAAAGACATACCTGAGACTGCGTAGTTTATAAAGAAAAGAAGTTTAATTGACTCACAGTTCTGGAGGCCTCAGGAAACTTTCAATTATGGCGGAAGAGGAAGTAGACACATCTTACATGGCGGCAGGTGAGAGAGAGCCAGAAAGATCAGGGAACTGCCTTATAAAACCATCAGATCTCAGGACGCTGAGGCAGGCAGATCTCTTGAGGACAGGAGTTAAAGGCCAGCCTGGCCAACATGGTGAAACCCTGTCTCTACTAAAAATACAAAATTTAGCCCGGCATGGTGGCACACACCTGTAGTCCCAGCTACTCGGGAGGCTGAGGCAGGAAAATCACTTGAATCTGGGAAGCAGAAGTTGCAGTGAGCTGAGATCATGCCACTGTACTCTACCCTGGGTGATAGAACGAGATGCTGTCTCAAAAAAGAAAAAGAAAAGAAAACCATGAAACCATCAGATCTCATGGGAACTCACCCACTATCATGAGAACAGCATGGAGGAAACTGCCCCCATGATCCAATCACCTCCCACCTGGTTTCTCCCCTTGACACATGGGAATTATGGCCTCTTACAGAAAAAAGTTCACCAATCACCAGTCTAGGCCAGGCACGGTGGCTCATGCCTGTAATCCCAGCACTTTGGGAGGCCGAGGCAGGCAGATCATTTGAGGTCAGGAGCTTGAGACCAGCCTGACCAACATGGTGAAACCCCATCTCTACTAAAAATACAAAAAATTAGTTGGGCATGGTGGCGGGTACCTATGATCTCAGCTACTCGGGAGGCTGAGGCACAAGAATTGCTTAAACCCAGGGGCAGAGGTTGCAGTGAGCTGAGATCGTGCCACTGCCCTCCAGGCTGGGAGACAGAGCAAGACTCCACCTCGAAAAAAAAAAAAAAAAAATCACTGGTCTAGAAAAATGGGACTGAAATTCACAATAGTGTCATCTCTAGGAAAAGAGGAAGGAGACTAGTTTTTACCTGAGTTTGAGAGCTCCTTTTGTTCTTTTAAGAGAACACTTATGTACTGGCTTTATGCTTTTAAAAGTGATACACATGTACACACATATAACATATAGAGTATATATACATACACACTTTTCACTTAAAACAAGTTATATGTATACATGTTATATGCATGTAAAGGGCCAGAGAGTAAACATTTTAGACTTCCTGGGCCACTTGGTCTCTCACAGACACTAAACTCCGCATTTGCAGATGAAGGCAGTCGTAGCAACCCATAAACAAATGGGCATAGCTATGTTTCAATAAAACCTCATTCATGGATGCTGAAATTTGAATTTCCTACATTTTTTACACATCACGAAATATTATTCTTCTTTTGACTTTTAAAAACTATTTAAAGTATCAAAACCATTTTTAACTAGCAGGCTGTACAGAAACAGAGAATGGCTGAGTTTGATTCTTGGGCTGTAGTTGGCTATCTTCTGTTTTGGACTGTTCCCAGTACATTCACAAATATTTATATATCTACGGAAAACCTATAATATTATATTAGTGCATTCTCTTTCAGAAATGGTGTCATAAGTGTAGAAGTCATTTAAAACTTGTATTTTTATCTCAGCAATTTATTTTTGCTGAGAAATATTTGTATATATATTTGTACCTTATAGTGTGTATTTTTATTTCTGTTCCTACATATTCATGTCTATATAGCAATGGAGGTATTCATATGTGGCTTTATTTGATTCTTTTCACTGCTATATGGTATTCCATCATATGATATGCCATATTTTTAATGCTAGATGGGTATTTAGTCTGTTGCCTCCCCCCACAACCCCATCCTGTATCACAAGCAATAGCAATTATATCCAAACATATCCACAAATGTATCTTGTGCATGTTTTTTAGGACAGACATTAGAAGTAGAGCTGTTTGATAATAGGGTATGCACATTTTCCATTTTAATAGGTACTAGTAAATCAGCTTCCCGAGAGACAATATCAGTTTACAGTGCTCATGGGAGACTCTACTGCCATTCTTGGTTTGGGAGGTTGCATCCCTTCCTGTTTTACTTATGGGGTGGGAGCAAGAAAACAACCTTCTCTCTGTATCATCTTGCCTTGTAGTTACAGCTGTAAATGTGGGCCTTCATGTCCCTTTGGGTGGCTGCAGACATGGTTTTAACTGTTTGCTGTGCCCCTTGCACATGAGAATAGCAATTTATATCAATAACCAGGTCTGGCAACATCTGCCAAGGTTGTCACGCTCTGTGATTAAATGGCCACATGTGCTGAGAACACGAGGACAATGGGGTTGTAATTAGGGCTTGCTGTCTCTCCATCGGCCACCCGCACCATGCGTCCCTTCCTATAACCTTGCTTTTGTGAACTGATTTGTGAATCAAATTATTCCACTGGGCATGCCAGTGTGTGCTGGGTTAATAATAATACTCTATATTTGTGAATCTCTGTAATTGTACAGGGTTCTGGATAAGCGAAAGTCTAAACCCCTTTTTGCCATTTTACCTGGTGCTGTTGGAAAATGTGTCAGGGGATCATACAAGATAACATTAGAAGTTAACTTTAAAAATAGTAGGGAGTGGAGCATGTTCTTCATGGCATCATTATTGTGAAATAAGGTTTTACTTTATGGTTATCTCAGCATCCGTTAAATGCCACTGACCCTGTAAGAAAGGCAGGCAGAGAGAACACAAATAGAATTTTGTTAACTCTGCAAGGAGAAAGTTAAACACTGTGTTAATATCATATTAAAAACACTCTTAATGCACAGAAGAAAAAAAAATCCCTCCTCGTTTTGTTCCTGGTATGACAAAGATGGATGATGGTTACATAAGGAATTGGCATGTTAAAAAAAGACACACTTGAAATATTGCCTCTAGATATGAAGTTGTAACGAATGTGAAAATATTTGAAAGATTTATTAGCATTTTAATATTTGCTTACCAATGCATAAAATCCTAATCAGTTGTATACAAGTTGTATACTTTAACTCAAATAAAGTATCCAAGAAGGACACAGGCAGGAAGCCAATGAATATTTCACTCATTGTTGATCAAATATAGGAGGGATATATGTATATTAAATTTTATTTCCCATTTAGATCCTTCCTGTTTAAATAAGTGCTTGAGGTAGCAAAGCCATCTTAGTGCACACAGCTTGCAGTTCTAACTGTGAAGAGAAAGGAAAAAGAACAAATTAGTTTTTCTACATCCAAGAGTCATTTCCCCAGCCAATTAATTTTTTGGTCCCTACCAAAATCAGCACTTAAGCTGAAGATAGCTAGAACCTGTGTAACTCATTCCTATTAACAACAGCAACAAAAAAAGTGAAATAGATCTATGAGGACTTCTTGGGAAAATAACAGGAAAATTACTTTGATGATATTATTATTCAAGGTACACATATTTAAAAGGTGATCTCTAAATTTCAACAGAGACGACAGTTGTTTTTCTCCTAAAAGCAGGCTGAAACCTCAGCGCATTCTCATTTAGTACGTAACGTGGAAAAAGAGTTGAGATCCTAAAGCTTCGCTCCTAAATAAAGTGCAGCTGCTTCTCGGAGATGAAATAGGATGAAAGCCTAGCTGTTTGGGGCGGGAGGCGAGATTGGGGGCGCGGTGCTGGGGTCTTCGATGTTTTACCAGTATTTCTAGGTGAAGCAGCATATTGGAAGTCATAAATACTGTCCCGTGGACATTCTGAATAATGCAGGAGTAGCGTAAGTAATTGGGAGTGCTTATATCCGCCTTTAGACATTTGATTGCTCGTGAGTTAAAATTGGTTGTCAAGTGCGGACTCAGGGAACCGTGCAAGGTGCCCTATTCTGTCATGTGGTACATATTTAATGCCTGAAAGAACAAGGGAAGGGACACGTGCGGGCGAGAGAGGGCGAGCGGCGAGATACCGCAGCCAGCTCGGAGCTTTGCAAGTGCCTCCGACCCGTAGGGGCGGGACCCACGCAGCCCCAGTATCCACTGCCTTCCCCCAGCTGCAAGAGTTTGCAAAAACATTGGGCGTCTCATTTGGCGAGCGTTTTGGCGCGGACAGAGGCCGAGGCCGGCCGGGGAAGCCGGACCCGGGCCCTGGCGCCGCCGTGGCCTCCCTTTGTGCGCGCCCGGGTGTTGATTGCCTCCTTGCACGGGCTGCTCGCTCTCGCGCCCGCGCGCTCGGGGCGTTCTGCACCTGCTGGCGGTCGTGCCAGGCAGCCCGGGCGAGCGAAGGCGCGCGGCGCGCACGACAGATGACTGGAGTCATTTACATTGCTAGCACGTGGGTGCCGTTTGCTGTTGCCTCGGACTTCTCCCGTGCTGTGTTTTCCCGGTGAGGAAACAGGAGGCACTTTGCAGCCGACAATGAAATCTTGGCAGCTAATTGCAGTCGTGGGAGATGCCCTTCAGGTACGGCGAGCGAAGAAGACTCTAAAACACTGTCAGGGAAGGAGAGAAAGAGGGAGAGAGGGAGGGAGGGAAGGGAGAGACCAGGCAGCTTCTGCAGAGGCTTCCTGAAGCCCACTGACTCCGCGGGAGGGGGTTGCAGAGGGACGGGGGCGGGCGACAGGGGGAGGAGTGTGCAAATTGACATTTTTGGCTGCCTGTGGCAGAGGAGCAGCCGTCAGCCGCTGTCCAACGTTAGCGCAGACACGGTGGCGGCGTGTGCGCCTCCGGGGCTGCTGATTAGAATAGGGGACTTGGCCGTGGATGGAATCCGGGAAACCCAAACCGGAGATGGAAGGATGAGGCTGCGTTTGCAGCGCGTGAATGGGACGCGGTATGTAAGCCGAGCTCCAGCTCCGGGGACCTCGGAGACTGTGCTCAGGGCTCGCCCTGGGTGCCCCGTGGTGGGGGTGGTCTGGACACTTGGAGAGGGCTAGGGGGCGTTTAGAGGGATTGGGGAGCCCGGAGATGCATCGATTTTCTTTACCCACTGGAAGTTAGTGGGCAACTTCCTTGCCAATGCTCATTGGCTCCGTTTAACTTTATTCCCAGAGATGAATAAGCGTTTATTAAGAACCGATGTAAAAGTCCCAATAGGCTAGCCATGGTTTTGCAAGAGATGCGCGGCTCTGGAAATGAGAGGTTTATGAAATGAATGGCCAGATGGGTTGTGCATTTGCGAAGTTGGCATGCTCACGTTGCAAGGGAGCATGTGTGTGCAAATGTGAGCATATGCGCTGCATATCTGTGTAAACATGTCCACCATGCTCGTTGCGCTGGTGTACTCTTCATCTTCTCTGCCTGTTTCCCATGGAAGAGAGATTAAATTGACAATACTGAACACGCTTCGACTTGAGAAATAAGCTCTGTACCATTTTATGACATGGAATAAGAGTTGCCTTCTTCTGAGATCAAATGGGAGAAATGTGCCTTGCCTTCTCAAGTGATGGAATGAACTGTTATGCATTTATAGAATATATTATATACAGAGTGTCGAATGTGACATCCATCAGTCTACAATGATCACCTAGCCTCTCAAGCACAGCTCATCCCTCTAGCCCTTATTTTCAGATTATGGGGAAATTGGGGGTTTTATTATTTCTTTTGACAAAAGAGCTGCGTTTTCCACCTTCCTACTTAAGAGGGCTCCAAGCAGAATTGTGAATCCAAAAGTTTTGTTGGCAGTGTCACCTTAGTAAAACGTTATGAAATTATTTGCTAAAAGAGTCACTTTCTGAGTGTCTTCACGTAGAAGAATTTACTCATTGTTGACATGGTTTCAATTTTGGTTACACAGAAATGAATGCGGTTTATTGCTGAAGCAGGCAAAAATGATTGTGTAATCCTCTCTTTAGTAGGGTAGCTGGGTAGTAAATTGTTTGGCTTAAAATGGGGACATCTTTCTCCACTGTGTTCCCTATTTTTTGATTTAAATGTGTGCTGGAAAATCCAAAGAGTGTGAGTAAAAGGGTGTTTGTGGCATGGAGTAACTTGCCTTTGTGGTTTGCTATGACTAAGTTTGAAGAGGGTTGTTTGTTAAGTAAGTGAATGCAAGTCAATCAGCAACAGCTGCTTGCCACTCAGGCTCACAGGAATCCAGGCTTTTCATTTAAAAAGCAAGATTTTCCAAGTCTTATCTGCCCACACGCTTCCCACACGTGTGATGCCTCCCCTCTATTAGAATACTCAGAGGTTATGAAGAGGGAATTGTTAATCTGAGGAATGAGGTAGGGGGACATGTAGAAGGAGCTCCTCCCTCCCTCTCTTACCCCTCTTCTCTTCTCTCTCTTGGTCTCCCTCTGGGTATTTCTTCCTCCTTATCCCATTTTTTTTCATCTACGTGTATTTCTTTCCATCTTTCTGTCTTTACTGTTTTACCTGGTGCACAGAAACCTTTTAGGTATCTTTGCTACACTTTAACATATGTTTTGCACGCTGGAGGATCACCAGAGCCTGTTTTTCTTTCTTTCTTTCAGGAATTCTCCGCTCACCTGCAAGAATTATTTAGTATCAGGCAATTCCACTGTACAGCAGTCTTATAAAAAGTGAATATTCAAACTTTTTTATCATTTCTTTTTAACCAAGCAACTAGACTCTTTGAAAACACTTTTACTATGTAAAAAGAGCAGAATCTTTTCTGTTACCCCAAATTGAGGGTTTATACGAAAGTACTTTCTGTCTCATGACTTTATTGGACTAAGCTTATTTTTACATTTGTCTCTTAAAATCTTATCCTTCAAACTTCTGTTTTTCCTATCACTTGTCTTAATTTTAGAGTCTGGATTCATTTTAATCTGTATTTACTCAGACTTGGTAGAAATAACTATCAGTGCTGACTTATGGGCCAGGTAATTGAAGTACAACAAAAATAGTTTTTCTTTTTTGTATGATATTGTGTTCCTTTTTGCTCTTAAAAAGGACCAGCTAATTATTTTTCTTTTTTTTTTTCCTCTCTCTACTAGGAGTATGATACAAAAGTTGAAGGAGATCTCAGTAAAAGGCTTTTTTTTTTTTTTTTTTTTTTTTTGGCATTGATTGCCTTCCTATAAACTATAGTTGCAATATTTGGAAAATATATTGTCATATTTTATGACACTAATTGGTGTATATGACTTTTGTTTTGAGAATCCAGGTACACACTCCTCATTGTTGTCTTTGATTTGATTATAGACAACCTGCTTGAATGGGCCAATCTTGAGCTAAACAAATATTACAACATCTAGTGAAGAACAAACTTGGTCTTGTTTTCTGTCTAAATTTATAATTTTTATATTAGATTTTGAGCACAGTTGTAATCTGGTGAAATGAAAAGTCATCTAAAAGAGGAAGAAGATATCTGAACTAATAATAAAATGATTATTATTAATTAAACTTAGTTGTGTTTAGCTTTTAGCTTTTATTTTAAAAACTTCACGTGTCTTAGTCTCAAAGTTATCAAAGGGAGTTGGCGTAAGTTCTTGGAAAGTAATTCTGTTGGGATTAAAAGTCCTCTCTATGAGACTTCACTCTCCATCTTGTGTTGATTTTCTGACGAACATAAAAAGAAATGAGGAAAAAGCTTGAACCCTTAATTTTATTATTTTTTTTTTTGGCATTTTAGACTTTACTTTGTTATGGATCCAAAAACTTTGGAGTGTGTTAAAATATCAAATCTTTGTTTGCATTTATGGGTATGCGTTTTTGCTCTTTTTGTTTTCTTTCATTTTCATGCAGGGTTGTGTGTTTGTGTGTATTATGAGCAGTAGTCAACAGGAGCAAATGAGAAGAATTTTACAATTATGAATTCTCATGCATAATTTGATTTTAATTAAATCATAGATAATCAGAATAGCAGTCTCAAGGATTTAGGATCCCTGCTGAACCCCCTCTTCTTGCACGGCACCAAGAGAAAGATAAAACGCCTTTAAAAGTCAGCATTTAATATACAGTGTTTGGTTTGGAAACCATCGCATATTAAATTATTCAGCAACTATAATGTCCCAAACAGTTTTCAGGGTGTGTTTTTATTAAGCTAAATAAAGTTTCTATGAAAAGTTGTGGGGTTTCAGTAAGTTGTGGGGTTTCTGTGTGTGTGTGTGTGTGTGTGTGTGTGTGTGTGTGTACCCAAAAGGCCGAAACAGCTTATGTCAGCTACAGCAACTCGTTTTTGATTCAGCAAAACTAGGTTATGAATTCAAGCAATTAAAAATGACAGAAAGCCCAATTTCACTGCCTAGATTAATATGCTTCCAATTTTTCCTGCTCCATAAAAATTTCAAAGTGTTCTTTCTGTTGAGGTGCTTGCATAACCTATAGGGTATTGGGAGGGTCTCCATTTCTTGTTTGCTTATGATGTCTGAATACTTTGATGTAGCAAATGTAAATAGGATCAGTTGGATATTTGTAACATAATTTTGTGCTTGCAAGTTCTCCTGAAATTATTTTGGTTGGGTTTAAAAGAAAAGAGCTGTGGTTAGTTTCTAAGCATTTACCGATAGTGAAGAATCTGTCGGCAAGCTCCAATGTCATGAAGGCCAGGAAAGACTTTTCAAGAAAAGATACAATTATAGTAGAACTAGTGTTTTCAGCTTCCAAAGATGGCAGTGATATATGTAAAAAAAAAAAAAAAAAAAAAAAAAAAATATATATATATATATATATATATATATATATATATATATATATATATATATATAAAATATTATGCAGTGATGGGCATGTTTATTACTTTTTCTCTATTCCTAAAGTAATGTCTGGAATTCTAGATTCATGTTTATCTAATGAGCCAAATCTCTCCCTGTTATTTAAAATGGTCCTTTTTCCTTACACACTAATTAGTAGTCAAAACCAGCCGCTTTAATGATCTGTAGTTTTTGGTTTGTTCGTTAAGTTTTCTAACCTGGTTTGAATTAACTTGTTCACACAAAGAGTGTACACAGACACAGATATACACTCAAAAAGCTCATCTCCCAGCACCATTTACTCCACGCTTTCAATCCAATACAGAAAGCAACAACCAAACAAATCAAGGTGCACTATTTGCCCAATGTTTGTTTTACAGAGAAGACCCCTAAAGGGCTGTATATGAGGAAGGCCTCTGCCAGCCCTTCCTTTGCTCTTCATGGTAATTCTGCATCTGCATTTGCCACAGTACTGTGGATGTATTTCTTTGTTGTTTAGTTGTAGTCTCTAGTTGTGAGGAAATCAGTTGTTGTCTGCAAAGAAGATGTAAGTACTAGTTGGATTTATTGTGGTTAGCTGAATGTGTAAGTACAGGTCTTCCATTTGTATTAAAATGATGAGGATGAGGATGTGATAACCTGTCAACAGAAACAGCAGTAACAATACAATGCCGATTTCTTCCCGGGCACTTACTGACTCCCTCTGTGCATCAGACATTGGACGAGGAGCTCCTGTGTATTTTCTCTGTTCTTACAACTCTGCAAGGTAGGTATTACCATGCCTAATTTAGAGATGGAGAAACAATTTTCAAGACTTTTTATAATTAGAAAAAGTGATTAGACTGCAAATTTTTCTGATTCCAATATGCTAAGATACCATTGAAGTTTATTAATCTGAGTTTAGAATTTAGCATTTAGAATCTGTTTACACATAATGGGTACTTAAGAGATACACTACGTTAGGGTTTCTCAAACAGGATCAATTTCCTCCCCTAACCCATAATAATATTTAACAACATTTTGAAGACAGTTTTTGTGTCTTTGCGAGAGGATGACTCCCTCCTGCAAAACAAAAACAAATTACCTGGCCCCAAACCAACAGTGCCACAGCTGAGTAATTATACCCTAGGTAATATCAGTGATAGTCTAATATAAACATGGTCTGATTTTTCAAGAGAGGGTAGAAGGTATGTGTACTTCAATTATTAAACATTTAAAATCTCTGGTTGGATACTGTGACTAGGATCATGATGCAAAATCAGACGGTCCTTATTCCCTTACAGTCTGACACTAAAATTGTTACAGCTGCTTCCTTGGAACATCTTTCTTTATAAATATGGCATGGGTCGTTGTGATTTAAAGTGCCCTATTTTTTTCCAATTTACTTACTCTTTAGTACGAGAAGTGCTGGAAAATGAAATTTCTTTCCTTGGTACTCTTGTCACTAGAAGAGAAATGTAACGTCACTAAATGAATAATGGAAGAGCAATTCTAACAACCTTCCCATATGGTCCTTCTTTTCCCTCAGTATTCAAATGGCATTATTTTCCTCTTATCTTTAAAGGTTTGGCACATAGGTTTATTGGTTTATTTGTTTATATAATATTTTATATTTGCCGAGCACTCTTGCAAATGCTTTAAAATATTAATTCATTGAATCTTTAAGATAAGCCTAGGAGATTGTTATTGTTTTTATCTACTTTTTACAAAGAGGGAACAGACATCCAGAGAAGTTGAGTAATCTGTATGAGATCACACAGCTTCTAAGTGGCAGAGCTGGGGTTTAAACTCCAAAGTCTGTGTTCCTAGCCATTTTCTCATGTACTTTAGTAATTTGAGCTTCTAAATGTACAGAAGCCTAAGCGTTGAGGCACCATCTTCACCCGAGTTTTGAAACAAAAGACGTTTTTAGTCTCATTTTGGAGTGCTTGATGAGGAAAACGGACTTACCTGTTTTTGAAAGAGCATGAGTGATAATGCTCACAGCTTTATATGTTGCTATTTAAATACTCCTGCAGATGCACTTCACCTGGGTCAGGAGGTCTTGTGAATTCTCTCTACCATGACCACCTCCAACAACAGCAAAAAAGCCACCAAAGGGAAACACTAATGTACAGGAGGGCACAATTTGCAGGATGAGTGATCTCCATTTTATCCCCTACTTAATTGTCATGTTGGAAAAATAGAGAGAAATTCTGCAACTGGATCTCCTAAGGTGTCTTCAAGAAACTTAAGTCTTTGCTTTCTGATGCTCTTAAAATGTTCTAGAGAGCCCCATGTGGTCCATGCCAGGTGGGTGATGGTGGATGTGAGTACGTTGACTCCCAGCTTGATCTCAGCTAATGCCAGGCTGTTTGTTGTTCCACATTTAGGCCACGGGAATGACCATGCCTATCTCAGTCTCAGTTGGGTTTTTAGTGAATAGCAAATGCTATGAAAAGAAAAACAATTTAAGTATATTTTTAAATAGAAATGCCAATTTGACACATTTTATTCTGCTTTAGAAGGGAAAAAAAGATCTTGCAAGTACGCAATTAAATACATACCAGAATATCCAGAAAACCAAGACAGAAGTAGAGAGCGTCAATGAACTTCAGTTGAATAAATGAGTACATGGATGGAACATTTTGTATTTTTCAAAATTTCTTGTCAAGAATATGTATGGGTTTGTACTTGAAAATGTCTCACATCTCGAATACAAGCCACCGTGGTGGGAAATACAGGTCTGACAGGCGTCCATTTCATACCAGCTGTCCTCAGCTTACCAATCTAAATTTGTACGTTACTTAAGTGTTAGGCATAGGTATCTGCTTACTATTTATTGCCCTGCAGAAAGCTCAGAGATGATTAAGCACAGCTTACAAGTATGGACTGCATTTTACCTGAGGCAGGACACAGATTTTTTTATACAAGAAAGAAAGGGTCACCCATGAACAGCTCGTATCTGGTCATGGAGCAATATTAAAGTCTCAAAAAGGGCTGTTGAGCTACCTCCTCCCAGCCTGGAGACAGTTTAGGAACTGGGCTGGAAGTGGAATCCATTACTGTTCTTTATATTTCAGGCCCAATAAACTCACGTTTGAACAAAGAGAGCGAAGAGTGAATCCCATTGCAGAACTGTCAAAAGACTGATGTTGGATCCATTACTGTCAAATGTCCTTTTTTAATACAGTTCATTAAATTGGCTTTTGTGGAATACCTATTTCATCTAAGTGTTGGTTCAGGAAATGGTTTAAAATGAAACCAGAATTTGTTGTTCAGTGGGAAAATAAATGAGATGAACCCACATAACCAAGACTACCCAGTAAAGTTCTGTAGATACTATCTATTAGTATGCAGTACTAAAATTTAAATTATACGTGTATATATAGTTATATCTATAGTTAAGCTATAGATATGTAACTTATGTATAGACTAGAAGCTACATAGTCTATAGTCTATTTATATGTACATATAAACTATATATAGATATATAGTTAAACTATATATATAGTTTAATTGATGAAAGAAAGAATGGGAAGTTGGATTTAAAATAGCCATTTTAATTCCATATCCAGAAGTATATGGAATACTTCCGCATCTTAAGGTGAGCCTCCTTTTAGAAATAAAGATAACTAGTGATAAACCTTGTATGCCATTAAAAAGAGTGTACCCAACACTCAGTGAATTTCTGCCCAGTCTTGATTGTGAAATTTTCTTAGGAATCTAAACATATAGAAGTTACATCAATGTTATAAGTGGTTCAGGATTCACATTCTGCTGCTGACAGAGAAAGAAACCTGATTTTGTTGTAATGTACTAGCTAATTGTTCAGTATATAGAATTGCACATCATTATCCTTCTTATTGATAGTGTCTATTGAGTGCCTGCAATAAGCTAGACACTGTACTAATTCCCAGATGTGCATTATTGGCCTGAATATTTCCAGCAGCCCTATGAGGCAGATGTGATTGTTATACCCAGGGTTCATGAGGGAAGGCTGAAACTTGGGATGGTTTTTCAAGGGTTACCAACAGCTAGTGACTAAAAGGGCTGCTAATCAAATTTGAAGCTTTGAGGCTTCGAAGTCCCTTTCCCCGTTTTTTTGGCCCAAAGCTATATCAATCATTGTTCTAACATTGGTGAAAAATGAATCTGATGTAGATGAAGAGATTTATGTAGCTATAGGAAGTTCCTATAACTCTCCTATTAGGATTAACCTTCTTATCATCTTGGCAAATTATGCAAGTGGCTGGATATTTTGGGTAGATGGGTGGATGGGTAGATGAATGGATAGATGAGTAGACATATAGACTGAGTAGTAATGGAGAAGACAAATTGGCAAAGGACATGAATATAGGTTTTGGAAAAATAAACATAAATAGCAAGTATATGAAAGTGTGTGTGTGTGTGCGGGCGTGTGAAAGTTTCCCTTGTATATGTGAAAGTTTTATATATTGTATTGGAAAATAATTTGTTGATGAAACAGGCATTTTATATACTGTTAGAATGTGGAATAGTACCTTCTTCTGTAGAGGACTATTTGGGAATTCTTATTTTGAAAAAGTAGGCTGGGCACGATGGCCCACGCCTGTAATCCAACACTTTGGGAGGCCAAGGAAGGAGGATCATGAGGTCAGGAGTTCAAGACCAGCCTGGCCAACATAGTGGAACCTCGTCTCTACTAAAAATACAAAAATTTGCCAGGCTTGGTGGCAGGTGCCTGTTAGTCCCAGCTATTCAGGAGGCTGAGGCAGGAGAATCGCTTGAACCCGGGAGGTGGAGGTTGCAGTGAGCCGAGATGGTGCCACTGCACTACAGCCTGGGTGACAGAGTGAGACTCCATCTCAAAAATAAATAAATAAAAATTAAATAAATAAATAAGTATGTACTTTTGACCCAGCCTTTCTGCCTCTGGAATCTGTGTGATCGCTGAAGTTTGTGAAGATGCAGCTTGGTTCACTGCCGCATTGTGAACAGTCAGAAGGAAACTGGAGCGGAGGAAATACCTAAGTAGGGTGATTGGAGGTCAAGGACCCTTGTAGGAATGAAGTGGATTTGCCTGGATGTAAAACTACATCTAAGATGTTATGAGTGAGGAAGAGCCCAAAACTCAGAAATCTGTTTGAAAAACTTTGTTAGAAAGCAAACATACACATGCAATTGTTTTACATAGAGGGCAATACTGCAAAAGATAATGAAGGGACTATAAACAGTGATTATCTTTGTTGTAGCTGTGCAGTATGACTAAGAGAGGGGCAGGGAAGAGATGAAGCTTTTGCTTTTAAGATTACACCTTTATTCTTTGTGATTTTCAGCAAAGATGCCCTATTTGGATAATTAAAAAATATTTAAGAGAAAAGCCTCCATTTTGCAAACAACCTGTGATCACTTTACCCCTGAGCTGATACAGGTCAGCTTAGATACCAACATAGGTATTCTGTGTTGGACATAGGCAACCTAAATTGCTTGGAAAATATATTTGAGCCTTAGAAAAGATAAAACTGAAAATCATTGGATTCACAGTTATGTTTTGGTTGAGGTTTGGGGTCAGTATGCTCTTTGGAATGGGGTGGTGGGGTGTTGGAATTTCCTAAAAATATTAAATATGTGTTAACAGTAATGGTTTGACCACAGAAGAAAATCAAATTTCCCTGTTGCTGTACACACTTGTCATTCATCGCCGGTACTGCAAAATCATGATCCTTATCCTCCCAGCTGTGTGTGTTTGTCAGGGACCGTAGGCTGCTAAAAGTTGTATACAGTACTATTATTTTTTTTATTCATCTGTGGGTCATTTCATCTTCCTGTGCAAGCCACATGAATAGCTGTGTATGAAAATTGTATTTTGTGCCGAATTTCCCACTGTGAAAGATGTTTACTATATATTTATGAAAACACTGCAGTAACAAAACCCTTTATATAGCCTTTCAATTTGCTGTAAGGGCAGATAAAATATTTTTATCTCAAACTGAACTTCATACCTTGGGAGATTCAGCTGGCCTGACTCAGAATAATAAAACACTTCAGAGAAAGGCAGGTGCTGTTCAGATTGCTTCAGAAACCTGTGCACTTCACTCGGCAGATTTCACTTCCTTTAAACACGCCAACTGAATATACGAAAGCTAGAAATAATCAGTATAAACTATGCAACGTTAAGTACAAGAAATCATCTTTTTTTATTAAATAGTTTCTTAATACATCTACAGTAGCATCAGCGTGATTTTTAATGAGTGATATTTTCCTGTATACCAGAAGATACAGAGAGAAGGTTGGCGATCATTCCAGTGTATTGAAAACTTTCATTCCTCATCTGCATTTAGGCTTTGGCAATGTTCTTAATTGAAATTTTTACAGAGATAAATGTAGCATATGCAGTTGTAAGAAAATATAGATAGATCTCTTGTACACTATTCTCTAATGGTAATATTTTACCAAACTGTAGTATCACATCGTATCGAGGATACTGGCATGGCTGCAATCCACTGACCTTATTTGAATTTCCCTAAGGTTACTTGCACGTATTTGTGTGTATATATATTGTTCTGTACAACTTCATCGTGTGTAGGTTTCTGTATCCACCGCCACAGGTAAGGTACTGAGCAGTTCCATCCTGAGGTTCCATTTGTATAACCACAGCTATCTCTCGCGACCACCTGCCCCTGTTCTTAACCCCTGTCGATCATGAATCTGCCTTCCATTTGTAAAACTTTGTTATTTCAAAAATGGTATATAAGTGAGATCACAGAGTGCTTAGAGTTTTGGGATGGGCTTATTGACTCATCATTCCCTGGAGTTGTACCTACATTGTTACATCAGTAATTTTGCATGGTATATATATGTACCACAGCTTAACCATTCACCTGTTGAAGGATATCTGGGTTGGCTTTGACCATCACACATAAAGCTGTCTTGAACATTTGTGGACAGGTTTTTGCGTGACCGTGAGTTTCACTTCTCTGGCATAAATGCCCAGGAATGGGCCTTGGAGATCTTTGATTTATGCATATTATGGAACACATCAATATGTTGCACCCATTGGAAGTCAATGCCAGTTGCGTACAAACTGATACAAGGAAAAAAGAAAATTGTACCCACGTCTTAATGTTTATTTTTACATAAACACGGCACTAAATGCAGAGAATAGCCAGCATTTATGTAGCATCCACCATATGCCAGGCTGTATTCTAAGCCTGTTATGTATGCTAACTCATTTGTCCTCAGAGCAGCCTTATGAAGTATGTACTACTGTTCTTACTTATGGAGGAAACACCAAGCACAAAATGGTTAAGTAACTTGCCCAAGATTATACAGTCATCACCACTTAGAGGTAGTCGGTCTGGCTGGAGAACCCCGCATTTTAACCACTAATCAATGTCCCCGCTTTCTTTTGTTTGTTTATTTATTTATTTATTTTGAGATGAACTTTCACTCTTTCACCCATGCGGGAGTGAAGTGGTGGAATCTCGGCTCATTGCAACTTCTGCCTCCCGGATTCAAGCGATTCTTTTGCCGCAGCCTCCTGAATTGCTGGGATTATAGGTGCCCGCCACCATGCCTGGCTAATTTTTGTATTCTTAGTAGAGATGGGGTTTCACCATGTTTTCCAGGCTGGTCTCGAACTCCTGACCTCAGGTGATCCACCGCCCCCCGCCCCCGCCTTGGCCTCCCTAAGTGCTAATATTACAGGCTTGAGCTTCCGCGCCTGGCAGACAGCCATCTATAAGATGATGTCCCCACTTTCGTAGATCGGTTGGTCATAACTTGTGGGTTGGCTGAGACAGTAATATTCATTTAGAGTAAACATCTATTGATATCACCCTGAAAAGAAATAATAAATGAAACTGGGTATATAGAATAATCAGCTAGCTGACTTCATCAGCCCTTAGCTCACAGCTCTGCCTTAAAGCTTGCTTTATTTGGCCGTTTCAGACAGATGGATGCCTCTTATGGCTTTTGGATCTCCAAGACGTAGATTTCACAACCCTCCCTTGGTTACACACTGTAATATTTAACAGCTCTCAATAGCAGTATGTTCTGCTTTTTTGGTGTGGCCCAAATCTCTCCTATGGCAAACTCAACACCCCTCACTCCTTCTTCCCACCTATTGAAGACGTGGAATTGTTGGTTGTCCATTGTATTCACAACATAAAGGTATCTGTTTGTAACAGAATATTGTTTGGCTGCTTTACATTAATCCTTGAGCTTTTCGTTCCTCCAAAGGCATTTTATATTTCCAACAGGCTTATAAAGTATTTAATATTTTTATATGCGTCAGTGTAAAGCCATCTGTTGCAGTGACAGGACAAAATGTGGAAGACAAGAACAAGCGTATGTTTATGGAAAGATTCCATGAAATGTTAACAAGAAAGATATGTGCTACTCTGGGGTGTCTTGTAGAAAACGGTCAGGGGAATTTGGAAAGGCATGGCTTACAGCATTGGTATTTGTAAATTAGTGTTTATAAAAGGCATGTGCACTTTTTTTTTCTATTGTCCTGCAAATTTAGACTAGATTGTTGACATAAATGGTGACAGTGACCACTCTGAAAGGAAATGGTGGTGTGACCTAATATTTGGAACTTCCTTCATTTGTTGTTCTTCATTCACAGGCTTCAACTTTTTCCTTTTCATTTGAACAAGTGGATTGGGAACCTGCTTTGCGGCAGGCGTTTGTGTTGCTGGAATAGCTAGATTGTGTTTCTAAACAGCTAGAACTGTTTCTCAGTGCCTTACTTTTAATAGCCGTGTTGTGGTCTTGCTCATACAGAAACAATCAGACGGGAATCAATTTTGCCTGCCCACTTGAACGTATCAGTTTAGGCACAGTTATCCAAAGCTGTTGCTGCATTACATTGCCCCTCGTCGAACTGGGCTCAGAAAATCAAAGCAAGTTGCCCCAAGCGAAGACACCAATGCTCTTGGGGAAACACATCACAGCTAAATTACAGCGAGTATTGGCCGGGCACGGTGTCTCATGCCTGTAATCCCAGCACTGTGGGAGGCCAGGGTGGGTGGATCGCTTGAGGTCAGGAGTTCGAGACCAGCCTGGCCAACATGGTGAAACGTCATCTCTACTAAAAACACAAAAATTGGCCTGGTGTGATGGCGGGTGCCTGTAATCCCAGCTACTCGGGAGGCTGAGGCAGGAGAGTCGCTTGAACCCAGGAGGTGGAGATTGTGGTGAGCCGAGACTACGCCATTGCACTCCAGCCTGGGCAACAAGAGAGAAACTCCGTCTTCGGAAAAAAAGACAAAAAGAAAATGCACTAAGTATAGTATCTGCCAAGTACTACGAGAGGCACTGTGTCTTGGTTGGCTTATATGAGGCTCTCAAACCTCTTAGGTAGCATAAGAAGTCATTGTCTCCATTTTACAGATGAGGGAGCAATTTTAGAGAAGGTAATTAACCAAATATTACATTGCTAACATGGAGTGGACTGGGAACTTGGCAACAGGCCGACTAAACCCACAAGCAGCTTGCTTAACCACTGTGTTTTGTAACTGAGGCTGGAGAAAGAGGAGGAGCTTGTGAGGTGCCTTCCAGACCAGCTCTTCTCAGGTGGGCATTAGCTGGGATGTGTGGGTCAAAGATGCAGTATGTTGTTGAGATGTGACATTGACATGGAGCTTGATGCCCTCCACAGACTTTCTCTAAAAGTTCTTCATTTCTCAGCTACTTTTCCCACTCTGTAGATAGTCACTTCTCAAGGCCCAGAGAGCACTTGGAGAAAGAAGTTGGTGTGAACTCTAGAAGAACAGCTCTTCAAAATGCCGCAATGGAGCAAGGACATGTGGAATAACCTCCAGTATAAATCCTTTACACCGATTTTTGAAGTTTTTAAAAAAAAAAAAAAAACAGAGTTTTGCTCTTGTCACCCAGGCTGGACTGCAGTGGCGCGATCTTGGCTTACTGCAACCTCTGCCTCCCAGGTTCAAGTGATTGTCCTGCCTCAGCCTCCTGAGTAGCTGAGATTACAGGCAGATACCACCATGCCTGGCTAATTTTTGTATTTTTAGTAGAGACAGGGTTTCACCATATTAGCCAGGCTGACCTCGAACTCCTGACCTCAAGTGATCCACCCATCTCAGCCTCCCAAAGTGTAGGTATTACAGGCGTGAGTCACCACTCCCGGCCCTATTTTATATTCACAAGTGTGAGAAAGTGCCTAAAAGCATTCAGAGGTTTTCAATCATATTTATAAATAAATTAATCACTGTTACCCATGTCAAAAGATGACAATTCCAGGCCAGGCACAGTGGTTCATGCCTGTAATCCCAACACTTTGGGAGGCTGAGGCGGGTGGATCGCCTAAGGTCAAGAGTTTGAGACCAGCCTTGCCAGCATGATGAAACCCCGTCTCTACTTAAAATGTTATAAAAAATAGCCGGGCATGGTGGTACGTGCCTGTAGTCCCAGCTACCTGGAAGGCTGAGGCACGAGAATCACTACTACCTGGGAGGTGGAGGTTGCAGTGAGCCAAGATTGTGCCACTGCGCTCAAGCCTGGGTGACAGAGAGGAACTCCGTCTCAAAACAAAAAAAAAAAAAAGGATGACAATTCCAGATAGCTATTCCTAGGTTGATAAAATTACTGAGATAGTAGAATTTAGAGAGACTTATGAGCAGAAATATATATTGACAGAAGAGCAAAATATCATTGTATTTCGTTAATAGAGGAACAATAATCAGGCTATCTGAAAGAGAAGACAGACCAGTTAGCTTCTAAATGCTGTTCATTTATTTCAGTCAGCCTTCTCAGAAGGATATTGGGGCTTGGTTCAGCAATCAGGCCCTTTTAGACCCATAGATTTTGCCTGCAGGTGTTCCTCTCCAACGATTAGATTGTGATGATAGGCTATAAACTTCATGAAGACAGAGAACAGGTGAGCAATATACAATTAGTTCCTAGCACAATGTCTGCCCATATTAAGGACTTCGATAAGGGTTTCTAAAGAATGTGTGATCACATTGGATTGTCCCAGAGTATTTACAATGTATTAAGTCCTGGAAAATCTAAATAATAATTATATCTATAATAATTGGATAATGTTTCAGAGTCCTATTGAGGAAAGATAGTGTTATTCCCACCTGCTAGTTCTTCTCCTGAAGCCAAGATATGCATGGTAAAAGCCATGGCACAGTTAGTATCTGATCCCTCAACTAAAATACTGACACCACCTTCTATAGGCTTATACGGCAAGTAGCAGTATGCCTTGGAGCCTTCTCCTCCAATACACCCCATTGGCAAAAAGCGACTTATGGTTAATGCAACAGTGAAAATAAATTATTACCATTCTATGATTGTGTGACAGGTTAGTAATTAACTTATGTCACCAGTTGGCTTCGCACAACTGTGTTTATTCAGCTCCGTGGAGCACTTTTCAGGGAAAAAGAAATTATCAGCCAGGCAGCCTTTGTTTACTGTGGAAGCTGGATGCTGGTGGACTGCATCTCCTCCTATTGACTAGGAAATAAGTTGGTTGTTAGGACATGATTTTCCATTCTTCAAAATGATATGGTGATGCAAGGAATTTGAAAGCTACACTGGAATTAGAAAAGCATAAAGAAATTGCCTTTTATGCACTAATCGAGCCATTATGCCTGTTTCCTTTGGGGTATTTTTTTACTGTATAGACACCACAAACAGCCATGTGTAAAAAAAAAAGGTATGAAAAATCTTAATTAAAATAAAAACTGTAGTATGTGTTTTTATCCCATTGTAGGTTAAGTGGGTATCACACAGCCTAGGGACAATGGTATTAGATTTGTAATAAGCACAAGTAAAGCTTTTCATTTTGATTGGATTGGGTGTATTTTTCATCAGCATCTCCCGTGTGAGCCATGATTCCAAGACAGAGTCTTGTAATCTTCTGCAGTGGGAATGATTCAGCTTAAAAATCAGTAGGGCATGAGGTATTTCAAGTTCTCATTATTGTAATGTGTCAACATCACTTCAGTGACCCCAGAGTCCTATGTTGGCTGGTTTTCCCCCTGATTTATTGTGCAATCTCGTAGGGCAAACTATAATTTCACTTGGAATCAGAAAGTCTCCATTTATGGTTTGTGTCCCAGTCTCCAGTCATTAGGGCATTCGCGGGTAATCGATACCTCCTCTTGTTGCTAACAGCTGAATGAAGTTGTCACCTGCTTAGATTACAAAGGAGTCGGGTAAAAGGATGTGGTAAGGGTGAGTACATTGAACAAGTTCTGTTTTGAGAAGGGCTTTCTCTGATGTTTACCTGCCGCCTCGTGAAGGGCTTTCAGCATTTTTTGGGACCTCCTTTCTAGAAACCCTTATCACTGAATTAGCACAATGTTTTATTTCTTCTTTTGTGAACCGGGTGTGAATGATGTCATTTCCTTTGGTTAAAAAACAAGTTGAAGGAGCCATTCTTGAAAGTCTGCATGCTGACACATTTTCTAGAAACCTTTGAGTCACGCCAACTCTTTTTAAATACCTGGTCATCATGCTACAATTAAAAGAATGGTATCTTCTATTTTTTCCTAATTGGCAAAATACCTAGGAGCTTATTGAGGCCTTTAGCAAGAAGACCATCATCTGTGTTCAACACACCATGCTTCAAGGTATACACATTCTATTTTGCTGCACATGGACATGGATGCACGTGTGCACATACACACACACACACTCAGAGCTTCTCACTAGAGGATATTCACTGACCATTTATATGATATTGTTAAGTCACACAAAGCACAGTGACTCCAAATTGCAGCTCCAACACCTAGTACTTGGCCAAGGGTGAGAAGGTCTACACAGATCAACTTTTGCAGAAATATGATTAAGTCATCTCAGGAATGTTCCATAATATTCTGAACACAATAGAGTCCCTTCCCTCAAGAAAATTAATATCCAGCCATGGAAAAGAGCCAAGGTGAAGAGGCAATTGAAGTACATGGACTGTAACTACAGAGGCTTAAGAATGGCAAGAAGAGGCATTGAACTCAGGGTCTTAGAAAACTTGGACACTGACATCAACACTTGACAACATCTTGACTGCATGTCAAGATGTTGTTATTCTCCTCACAAAGATTATAAACCAACTGTGATATGTGTGCAGGAGAAAAATCATCGTGTTTTAAAGTTGACCTTGTCCATTAAGATCATTGTCTTTTATCTCAGCCCTTGGGGAGTAGTTTTTTTTTTTTTTTTTTTTTTTTTAATGCTGAGACATCCTCTGTCCCTTGTTAAGTTTTGGGTTGGTGTTGCTGGACCAGCCATGTTCCTGTCTTTTCTTCCTATCCTTCCTGGCAGAGCCCCTTCCTCCCAGAGCTACTTCAGCAGGGTAGGATGGTCTCACTGCCCATGGGAGTCTGCCCCTGGACCCTATCCTGCTTGATGAGTTCAGAGGTCTTTCTGCTGAGCCTCTTTGTCTTGCCAGTTAAACATTCTTTTTTTTTTTTTTTTTTTTTATTTCACTTGAAGTTTTAGGGTACATGTGCACAACGTGCAGGTTTGTTACATATGTATACATGTGCCATGTTGGTGTGCTGCACCCATCAACTCTTCATTTAGCATTAGGTATATCTCCAAATGCTATCCCTCCCCCCTCCCCCCACCCCACAACAGTCCCCGGTGTGTGATGTTCCCCTTCCTGTGTCCATGTGTTCTCACTGTTCAATTCCCACCTATGAGTGAGAACATGTGGTGTTTGTTTTTTTGTCCTTGCGATAGTTTGCTAAGAATGATGGTTTCCAGCTTCGTCCATGTCCCTACAAAGGACATGAACTCACCATTTTTATGGCTGCATAGTACTCCATGGTGTATATGTGCCACATTTTCTTAATCCAGTCTATCATTGTTGGACATTTGGGTTGGTTCCAAGTCTTTGCTATTGTGAATAGTGCCACAATAAACATACGTGTGCATGCATGTGTCTTTATAGCAGCATGATTTAGAATCCAAACATTCTTATAGACAAGGGCTCCTTCTCCTGACGTTTCTGATCTCATTCTAAAACATTCACCCAGTCCACTGACCTGTACTGGGCGCTGTGCTGGGTGCCAGGCACTGCTTTTCCATATTCTTTTCTAAACTGCTAAAATGGGTGATTATTCCTCCAGGCTCTTTGCTGACACTGGGGGGAAATTCTTCTTGGTTTTCACACCCCTCTTAGGACGTGTCTTCCACTCTGGCTTTACTTGTTCATAGATTCATGAAATCCTCAACAGAGATCCTTGCAAGTGCTGAGGAGATAGTGGTGAACAAAATAGATAAGATTTCTGCTTTTGTAAAGTTTACATTCTTCTAGGGATCGTGTGTCCTTGATTTGGAATGCCTGCTTAGGGGGGTCATGAGGGTATAACCCTGGTTTCCTAGTTTCCAGGGAATGGGTTGGGTCATTCCTTGTGTAACAGAATATTACCCAACTGGAACCAAAAAATTCCTTCAGTGTCCCTTCAGGCATTGGCTTTAGCTAGTAGGAGGATGTAGAGAAATTTTGTGCTTCTGTTATATCTTTCTCATGGGGAGCTATGCAGATCCATCTGTAGGGATCTAGATCGGCTACAATAGTAGTGGCCCCAGAGAAAGTTGACATCAGAACCCCTGATCTACCTGGCATGCCACCTTTAAGGGCTTTAACTTCAGCTCTGTGACGTTCCCTAGGAAAATCCCAAGAAGAGGTGTCCCAAACCAGTGGTATAAGTAAGAGCTTAGGTCTTGAGTCCATCACTAAAGACCTTGGGCAAGTTATTTAATCTCTTTAAGTCTCAGTTTGCTCATCTGTAAAATAGGATGGCAGTATAACCCATCTACTATTTTAAGGATTGTACGACATTCTGCACCTAACACCTTAGCATAGTACCTAACACATAGGAGATTTTAGTAATTATTAACTACTATGAGAGAGGTCAAGGAGGGGAGGGAGAGGTGCCATCCATGGTGGATAAGTTGTGCTAGCAAGTGTTTGTATGTGGAACTTTTCTATTGTTAACTCTTTTACCTCTGCTAATTTTTGCCATTACCACCGGACCCCTATGTAGGACTCATCTCCTCTAGGGTAAGGTGCCCCGATGGATCATGATTATCAGCATCCTTTTTAGACATGGATGTAAGATACTTCTTTCTTGGCATTCTATTCTATTCTCGCTGGTTCTGGATTGAATCCAAATACTAACTGGGGTTATGTCCGTTTTATAGCAATGCCATGTTACAACTTGTAAACCGTCATATTATGTAGCCACTTAAAGGATGAAGTAGGCCTTAATCTGATATTATGGAAAGAAGATAATATCGACTCAGCTGAGATATTAATGTATAGATAGATAAATGGGGAAAAGGATGGTAAAAAGTAGTATAATATGTATTTATAAAGATTTAGACATATGGATGCATGGATATATTCTCAACAGACCTAAGAAACTATGAAGAGTGATTATTCAAAGAAAGGATGCTGAGACTTCATGGTAGGAGCATACTACCAATTTATTATATGTGATTTTTTTATTATTTGTTTTCATAACATTTTTTTAATAAAAATAACGTTAAAATAAATCTTAAGCACAGCCCCCAAATATCTATACTTATCTATGGGCAGTCTTTGTTTATCTCTTTTCCACTTCTCCAGACGAGATGGGATAAAGGAGATTGTAGAAGCCTGGGGAGTCATAGCACTCTTGTTCTTGTAACAGTTAGCTTTTGCTGGTAACAAACAATTCCAATATTTCGTGGCTTAAAAAAATCATATGTTTGTTCACATTTCCCTGGGTGGACCATGTGGGCTGTGCTCAGCAGGACATTTCTTCTGATGGTTTCATCTGGGTTTACTCACACCACTGAAATTGAATTGCCTAGAATGTCTTGACACACATACTTGGTGATTTGCTGGGTTGCCTCAGTTTTCTTATTTGTGGCCTTTTCGGCAGGCTTGCTTAGGCTTGGTCAGCAAGCTAACTTGAGTCTCAGGGACCCCAGTGCAGCAGTGTAGCAATCTCTAACTGAGGAGCATCTTTCATCCCTTCCATATGTTGCATTTTCTGATGTCTACTGGACCAAATCAAGACACACAGCCAATCCCAGAGTGAGTGATGTCTCGCGATGGAGGAAGCTTCACACTCACCTGGAAAAGGTATATGCAAATGGGGATGGGATAAGTTTGTGGCCATTGTTTGCATCTACCCAGGCCTCTTTAAGGCAAGCCATGCACTGAAGGGAATAATGCTCTACGAGGAGGATGTTCCTTAAGCCGGACCTTCATCCCTAAATCATCTTTGGCACTTGAATTCAAGATACATGTAGTCTCTCCCTTTTTAAGAGCAGCCTTCTATTTGCTTATACGTATGCATCTTTCTTATCTTTTATTGTTTCAGCACCACTGATAATTTTGCTTTTTGGTTCTTTTTTGTTCCTTCAGTGAAATGGCAGCCCAGAGGTAAGGTAGTCAGTAGTCATATACCTCTAGTGACAAAGAACAACCCCTGGATAAAGCACCATGTATCTTCAGGGAGCTGTGCAAGCCTGCATGATAGAGCTAGCACCAACGGTGTTCTGACAAGTATGTCGATTCTGAGCTTCTCCACAGTCCACCTGTTGGGAATCTATTTGCTTTGGATTAAAGGCACCAGTGCATCCAGCTTCAACTTCACATTCCCCTGCCCTTCACCATCAGACAGTTTATTTCAGAGATCATTTGGGATCTAATGTGTTTGCTTTTCTGATTCTGCTGGCACTGGTGTATGCTTCACCATTGGTTTATGGATGCACAGAGTACCGGGGTAGTATAGAGTGAGAAAATTTGCATGAGACCTTTGTAATGTGAAACTTAATTAAAAGTGCAGAGGACTCAAAGTAACAGGGAGCTAGAATGAGGGATGAGTTTGCCTATCTACATTCCAAACATACTGAGTCTTATTTGACACCTCATGTTGGTAGATAGATGGGCAAGTGTGAGGGGTAGTAGGTATGACCTGTCCCACTGCCATGTTTTCCAAAAGCTCCTTGTACATGCATTGAATTGCATACTTGCAAGCTTTATCTTACAAAAGCAGAATAAAGTGCATCAAATCGGCACTTCTATTTAAAAAACAAAGTCTGGCCAGGTGCAGTGGCTCACGCCTGTAATCCCAGCACTTTGGGAGGCCGAGGTGGGTGAATCACGAGGTCAGGAGTTCAAGACTAGCCTGCCCAACATGGTGAAACTCTGTCTCTACTAAAATTACAAAAAAAAAAAAATTTTGTAATTTTTTAACTGGGCTAGTGGCAGGTGCCTGTAATCCCAGCTACTTGGGAGGCTGAGGCAAGAGAATCGCTTGAACCCAGGAGGCAGAGGTTGCAGTGAGCCAAGATTGTGCTGCTCTACTCCATCTTGGGCAACAGAGTGACACTCCGTCTCAATAAATAAATAAATAAAAATTAGAAAAATAAAGTCTACTCAAATTATTTTTTTTCCTTCACCAGACTTGGGGGTTTCTGCCCTAGTTATGCAGTTTCTTGCTCAGTGGTTGGATTTGAAGTATTCCTTAAAGCTCTTGATTGTCAGTCACTTTTATGTAGTTGTCACTTTCAGTATGTCACAGTCAATAGCAGAAATGTGAAGCTTGTAGACATTCATTTTCACCCTGATATTCATCACTCAATTGAGCTTTGTTTATATAAGGAATCTAAAAATGCACACATTTATGATTAGTAAAAATGGCATTTGGGAAAAACTTTTCAACAGGAGAATATTTGGAAACAAAATGCTCCCATTACATCCAGGAGGAATGTGAATTTTGGAAATCCCAAATAAAATCAGAATTGAAAAATATTAGGTATTCTCGAATGCAGTTTTTAGACACACGTTTACTCTGTGTATTCTCACCGTCTAGTACAGCTAGACAGAGATTATGGGGTCCTGGCTTATGTTTGGGTATAGCAGAGATGAGGTGAAATAAATAAGGTATTGATTTAATCCTCAAGAACTCTACTCATTTAAATGGACAGAGAAAACAGATGTACATGATACATTCAAAGGAAAAAGTGTAGTACTCTTTGGTACAGACTAAAAACTCAAGAGTCTAATGAAGGAGAAATCACATACGTAAGAGTGGTACATAAGAGAATTCCTTGGAGGCAGTGGTTCTGATAACACATTCATTCATTTCAAATGTATCCAGGTCCTACTCAGTGTTGGGGTAAGGAGCTGGTGCCACTGTTAAACAATGGGCGAAAGTGACAGAGAACCTGTTACCTAGGAGCATACAGTTGAGTGGGGTCAGGAGAGGAGGTTAGTGACATGGGTGGAAGAGGAAATCACATCATCACAATAGCAAACCTCTAATTACTATCTGAGCTAACTGGGATAGGTGACCTAAAGGAAAGATTCCTGATTCTAGCAAAGCAGTTAGCAAAGGTGCACCCTTGCATATATCCAGACATGCCCTACTAAGAAAGTGGCACTGAGCTGAGAGTGGGAAAAATGAGAAACAGTTAATTTAGAAGCGAAGAGTCTTCTGGACAACAGGAGTGGGCAGGTCATGTAGATGCCCCAAGTGGGAGGCAGAAGTCAGTGCTTCTGGACTAAGGGAGGACCATGTGGGATGGGGGAGAGAATAGAGTGGGGAAATGTAGTGACAGCAGCCAGCAGGGAGTATGGGGAGCTGGAGGGAAGAGCCAGACACTCAGATCTATGGGGAAGGCATTGCAGTATTGAAAACAGCTTGGGTGAAGGCAGAACCAGGGTGGAAAAGGCTTAGTTGGAGAAACAAAAGGAGAGGGTTTCGTGGTCAAAGGCAGTGAGAAAGAAGGCTGAGGGAATGAACCAAGACTCTATTAAAAAAGATGCGTCAGGGTTAAGTGGGGACCATTTATAAACTTGGGACATCTATGGACCCACAGTGTAGTCTAGACTCACCTTTGATGTTGAATTTGTCAGTATAAACGGTAATAACAATCACAGTAGCTAATTTTTTTTTTTTTTTTTTTTTTTTTTTTTTTTTTTTTTTTTGAGATGGAGTCTCGCTTTGTCTCCCAGGCTGGAGTACAGTGGCTTCATCTTGGCTTACCGCAACTTCTGCCTCCAGGTTCAGGTGATTCTCAGGCCTTACCCTCCCAAGAAGCTGGGATTACAGGCACCAACCACCATGCCTGGCTATTTTCTGTAATTTTTAGTAGAGAGAGGGTTTGGCCATGTTGGCCAGGCTGGTCTCAAACTCCTGACCTCAAGTGATCCACCTGCCTTGGCCTCCCAAAGTGCTGGGGTTACAGTCATGAGCCACCGTGCCCAGCCTTAGTAGTAGCTAATCTTTAGTGTGGGATTTCTTTATGTCAGGCAGTGAACTTACTGTGGTAGAGGGCTCATGACTGCTTCCTTTTCAACCCTACGCTGTCCATCTGTGAACATTTCCTTCAAATCCTACCTCCAAGGTACATCCCAAGTCTCCGCTTCTGATGTTTTCACTGCCTCAGCCTTCTGAGCCAGCATCGTTCCTCACCTCCACTGCAGAGATGGCTTCCTAGCCAGACATCCCAAGACCTAGTTTTACCTTCCTCCAATCCATTATACACATGATAGACAAAATTACTTAAAACATAAATCAACTATACACCCATTTTCATAGCAGCATGTTTACAATAAAAAAGAGGTGGAAGCAACTCAAATTAAATGGGTATACAGAATGTGGTTTGTCTATACCATGGAATATTATTCAACCTTAAAAGGGAAAGAAAGGGCTGGGCATGGAGGCTAATGCCTGTAATCCCAACACTTTGTGAGGCTAAGGCAGGAGGATTAATAGAACCTAGGAGTTGGAAATCAACCTGGGCAACATAACAAGACCCTATCTGTACAAAAAAAAAAAAAAAAAAGCCTGGCATAGTGGCACACACTTGTAGTTCCAGCTACCCCCAGGCTGAGGTGGGAGGATCACTTGAGCCCAGGAGGTGGAGGCTGCAGTGAGCTGTGATTGCACCACTGCACTCCAGCCTGGACAGAAATCCTGTTATATGTCCAACATGGATGAACCTTAATGGCATTATGCTAAGAGAGATAAGATAGTCACAAAAAGACACATACAGTATGATTCCACTTATATAAAGTATCTAAAGTAGTCAAATTCATAAAGACAGAAAGTAGAGTGGTGGTTAGCCAGGGCTAGAAGGAGGGGGGAATGGGGAATGGGGGTTTTGTTTTAATGGGTAGAGATTTCAGATTTGCAAGATAAAGAGTTCTACAGATGTATTGTACAAAATACACTTACGTTCATTGCATCACTTTTCACAATAGCAAAGACATGGAATCAACCTAAATGCCCATCAATGATAGACTGGATAAAGAAAATGTGGTACATATACATGATGGAATACTATGCAGCCATAAAAAAGAAAAAGATCATGTCCTTTGCAGGGACATGAATGGAGCTGGAGGTCATTATCCTTAGCAAACTAATGCAGGAGCAGAAAACCAAATACTGCATGTTCTCACTTATAAGTGAGAGCTAAATGATGAGAACGCATGGACACATAGAGTGAAACAACACATCCTGGGGCCTTTTGGAGGGTGGAAGGTGGAAGGAGGGAGAGGATCAGGAAAAATAACTAATGGGTACTAGCCTTATTACCTGGGTGATGGAATAATCTGTACAACAAAACCCTATGACACAAGTTACCTATGTAACAAACCTGCACTTGTCCCCGAACATAAAACTTAAAACAAAAATATAATGTAAGTAGACTTAACACTCCTGAACTGTACACTTAAGAATTGTTAAGATTATGTGGGTTTTTTAACCACAGTAAAAAAAAATTCAAAAAACCAAAAAGAAAACATAATTCAGCTAATCCCTTAAAACCTTCCAAAGGTGTCCTACTGTGCTTAGAAAGAGAGAAAAAATGACTGTTGTCTATAAGGTCCCGTAACATCTCGTCTCTGCTTCCCTCAAAGACGTTTCCTATTGCTGTTTCTTCTTTACTTTTCTCTTGAACTTCTCTCTCTCCTGCTTACCGTAAAACATGGCAAGGTCATTCCATCCTTTGCATCTGCAGTTACTTCATCCTAAAATTCTCTACGCCTAAATTCACAGGATGAATTACTTGCCATATTTAAGGCTCTGTATTAAATTTAGAGAAGAAATTTGCCATTTATATTAGGTTGATACAAAAGTAATCACGGTAAAACTGCGCTTACTTTTGCACCAACCTACGAATCATAACAAAAAAAAAAAAATAAAGATTCTTAACACTGTTGTTATCATTAATGGTATTCATTATCTGTGCCTCAGGTTGAGACCTGGTTTCTCAGTACTATGTGAATGTAAAGTTTTTATTTTGTAGGATTTAATTTTAATGGCAGTTAAGATCACCCTTCTTCATGGCACCATACATTTGGATGAGATTTTAAAATATACCACTGATCTTGAGAAAAGACTGATTTTATTTCAAAGGAGTAACCAGATTTTGTTGTGCTTTCTTTTGTCTTAAGTAACCCTTAACCTTTAATGCAGAGAGGATCTTCCAGTAAAATCCCATTATCTGGTAAAGGTATTTTTGGGGGGAGCTGGCCAACAGATTTAAAATGGAGGAATTTTTTTCCTATGCGGTTATTTGAGCTCCTTATATATTCTGGTTATTAATCCCTTGTCAGATAAATTGGTAACGAAAATATGGTACATATACACAGTGGACTACTATTCAGCTATAAAAAGAATGAGATCCTGTCATTTGCAACAACATAGATGGAACTGGAGGTCATGATGCTGAGTGCAATAAGCCAGGCACAGAAAGAGGAACTTTGCATGTTCTTGCTTATTTGTGGGAGCTAACACTTAAAATAATTGAACTCATGGAGACAGAAAGTAGAAGGATGGTTACCAGAGGCCAGGAAGGATAGTGTGGAAGGAAGAAATGGGGCTGGTTCATGGGAACAAAACATAGTTAAAAAGAACGAATAAGTCTTAGTGTTTGCTAGCAAAACAGGGTGACTGTAGTCAAAAAAAATTTAAGTGTACATTTTTAAATAAGTAAAAGAGTATAATCGGATTGTTTGCAGCACAAAAGATTAAATGCTTAAGGAGATGGAGACCCATTTACCCTGATGTGATTATTAAGCATTGCAGATCTGTACCAAAATATCTCATGTAACTCATAAATATATACACTTACCATGTTCTCCCAAACATGAAAAATATAAAATTTTCAAAATAGAAAAAACTGTAGGAGAAGTCAGATTTGAGGAGATGTAAAATAAACTATATCCCTGATAATGCAGGAGACGCTCCATAAGTGATGGGATGTTTACTCAAAGGCAAATGTGAAGTTGGCCAACCTTAGACAATTGGCCACATGCGATTCAGGGCAGGGGTGGTGTCTGTTCCTGTGATTGAAGCAGCTTCATATCAGGCTCCTGTCTTCCTAGGGATGCTTATAGTTACTGAAAGCTTCTGACTGTAACTTCCTCTATCCTGAGCTCTTTGATGGGAGTCAGTAGAGAAAGAGAAGAGTGGAAACATATGTATGCTCTCTTCCTCATTATAAAGATTTATTTTTATTAGCCCCTTTGTCTCATGTGGCTGGCATTGAACAGCCACACCGGAACCATTATTGGATTCTGCAAGCATCTCTGAAAGCCGGCTTTTCAGTCACCTCAAGTTGAAGTGTTTTTGAGATTTGAACTGCTTTTGTTCGTGGAAGGTCACATGTGATGCCACAGAAGCCAACTCCCAGTTTCCCGATGCCGTTCTGCTCTTGTTGTTGATGACACGCTGAGTCCCTGACCTGGCTAAGCTCCCTCACTAAGAAAGATGTGATTTTGGTCACAGAGGAGACCAGGTGAGGGACAGCAGGCACAGATGACAACACATTATTATCATTCATTTGTTCACTGACTACCCAAGCAATTGGAGTCTGTTGGATTCCATGTGATGGAGAAGTCGGGAGGATGAAAGCCTGCGTATGCCTCCAGAGGCTCCCTACCAAATGATTTTTAATAGTCTGTATCCCTCCCACAAACACAGTTGGTTACTCTACTGGGCAATGAAGTTTAAAGGTTGGAGAGGCTCCAAATCTGGGCACAGAGAAATCTCAGCTTAATTGTCCCAAACTATTAAAA
The DNA here is from genome assembly GCF_000001405.40 of Homo sapiens. Lineage (NCBI taxonomy): Eukaryota > Metazoa > Chordata > Mammalia > Primates > Hominidae > Homo > Homo sapiens. The sequence continues at coordinate 6,510,764 of NC_000016.10, forward strand.
AAAAGACAACAATTTGTTGCCAGTACCTGGCGGACTGCTAAAGGTTTTTGTCATTTGTTAAGTAGTGTTGCACCCTTAGTGCTGCACCCTTAAAAAAAAAAAAAGGAAAAAAAGGTATGCCCTCTTTAATACTTACTAGTGGCTGACTCATAATTTTAAGCATGAAAGACAAGGAGTGGATTTGAAATGTGGTGTGTGCTGCTTCTGTCTCCCACGGCAGCATCCAATGCTGTCACGAGCTGTTAAATGATGAGTTCTGAGGGGTGTATGTTTAAAAGCAACATTGAGGTTGCAAGCATCCAGGACCATTGAGGTAGCGTGGATCAGAATGGCTTTTCCACGTAAGAGCAGGCACTGGATAAAGCCCAGTGTGCCTCCTGGTGTTACGCTGGGTTGGTGGAAAAGCCTCTGGAAAATCCCAAAAGAGAAAGATGGAGGAGCGAAGAGTGTGATACTCTGATACTCAGATGTGTTGGTGCCCCCATAAAAGGGGTTCACAGGAAATAGGGAGGAATAGGCCAGTGTGCTGGTTCACTTTGGCTTGACACATGCAAATTGCCTAAAATCTCTTCTATGCTTTTTCTTAGTGTCTATCATGTAGCAGAAATGAATCCCTCTTGGTAGATTGAGAATATCATACGCAAAATGAAGACCTGGGAATTTTCCTGCTCTGTTCCTAGGCCCTGGACTGACATGGGAGAATTTTAAAACATGCGCTTTTAGAATCAAAATTAGTTTTCATGTCTGCAGAGACAAGGAGCCCATGGAAACTACCAACTGGCATTGCTGAGAATAATTATTGTCAAATTGAGTCCATTGTGAATAGTCCTCATACATAATTGCCCTGGTTAGAATGAGCGCCAAAGAGGGAGCTTTAATATTTACTAACTCCCTGGTGAAGAAAGAAACCTTTTGCTTTATTAAAGGCTGTGGTGATAGTAATTTGCTGATGGAATGCATTAGTGACATGCACTATAGATGGATTTTATAAGAAGACATTGTCCAGAAGAGATTATTCAAATTCTACTAGTGGCTTTCCTCTTTGTAGAAGTATCTAGACTTGAAGTCACGGCTTTCTTCTTTTGATAATATCTTGATTCAGTAGGAAACCAGTGCCTGTGCAGCTCTTTGTAGGAGTGTCTATTTCATAAAGTTCAGATTATGTCAGTATTTCATAACAGCCAGGTCTTTCCCTGAGACTTACCCCTACAGGGATAAGAGAACAAGCAGGACATGGTGGCTTATACCTGTAATCCAAGCCCTCTGAGAGGCCAAGGCAGGAGGATCCCTTGAGCCCAGGAGTTCAAGACCAGTGTATGCAACATAGTAAGACCTCTCTTCTCTACAAATAAAATGAAAAAAAAAAAGGAATTCGCCAGGCATGATGGTGCATGCCTGTGGTCCCACTTACTTGGGTTGCTGAGGTCGTAGGATTGCTTGAGCCCAGGAGGTTGAGGCTGCAGTGAACCATGATCACACCACTGCATTCCAGCCTGGGTAACAGAGCAAGACCCTGTATCAAAAAAAAAAAAAAAAGGTAAGAGAAAAAGAGATTTATGCATGTATTTAATGAAAAACATACATTATCATTAGATTAATAAAACTTCAATCAAGAGTGCTCAAAATTCAAGCCTCGGGTAGGATAGGGAATGCGTTGCATTCAGGCCTTGGACATGTTTTTCTTGGATAGGTCATGGAGTTGAGGGGTAAGCATGGGACAAGTCCAGCATCAGACCAAAGAAGCCTAATGTAGAGGGTCTGGACCAAGACTGGGTGTTGCTAGACATTACACAAGAGCCTCTTTTTAGTCTTCTGCCTCCAATGGACACCCATGACTGATCCTAGGAAATGTTACACATTTCCAGAGTTCTCCCAAGAAAATGGGAATATCTGTGAGGCTTTCTAGTTCAGTCCCCACATGCTATGAGGACCCTTGCTGTCTTGTGTTTTGGAGACCGTGACGTCACTGTCTTGTTTCTGTGGCCACAGGAGAGTCAGTCAGCAGGAGCAAGAGGATGGAGTAGTCTCATTGTCTTAGCCACAGCCAAGCCTAAGCTTTGCTCTAGGTCAAATGATCCAATGCTGGCCCATGAAGGGGAGTCAACTGACTTTATTTTGAAGGTTTTTAACTAGAGAGAATGTCAACTCTGCATTGGCCTTCTATCTTTTGCTGTTACACATGAAGTTTTGTATTGGGATGGAAAGGAGAAGCAGAATAATTTTGTTACGAATTCCTACTTCTCATCGATGTCTCCTTCCCACTGTGAAAATACAAAATAGCACATCAATCAATATGGCACAGTATTGAAGAATCCAAGTCAGCCAGTTCTAGTCTGGCTTCAAATCCCAGCTCTACCACCCATTCTTAAGTGAAATCTTAGGTAGCTCTCTGAGCTTCAGCGACTTCATCTGTAAACTCATGAGAGTAAGAATGCCTAGCATATTGGGGCTTAGGTAAGAGTAAATGAGTTAGTGAATGCTGGGCACTTAGCACAGTGGTTGCCACGTAGCAAATGCCTGGCAAAGGGACTGGGCTGCTGGTAGTGATTCTGTCAGCTTCTCCTCCTTGTTGTCTAACTTTGTGCTTGGATAGCATTCCTTATGGCCTCATATCTACACATCAAACTTTTCAGGGGAAGAGAGAGCACATTGGACTCATGACTCTGTGTAAAAGTTTGGAGACCATGAGGCCGGGCGCGGTGGCTCACGTCTGTAATCTCATCACTTTGGGAGGTCGAGGCAGGCGGATCACCTGAGGTCAGGAGTTCGAGACCAGCCTAGCCAACATGGTGAAAACCTGTCTCTACTAAAAATACAAAAATTAGCTGGGCAGGGTGGCACACGCCTGTAATGACAGCTATTCGGGAGGCCGAGGCAGAAGAATCACTTGAACTTGGGAGGCGGAGGTTGTAGTGAGCCGAAATCGCACCATTGCACTCCAGCCTGGGGGACAAGAGTGAGACTTCGTCTCAAAAACAAACAAACAAACAAAAAAAAACAAAGTCTGGAAACCATGACATCATTGTCTTGTTTCTGTGGCCACTGCAGAGCCAATCAGTTCAAGCGAGAGGGTGGAGTGTTCTCATTGGTTTGGACTAGGACGCATAATCCAATACTGTCACCTGAGGGGGCGTCAGGCTGAAAGAGATCCCCAAGTGGAAAACGGGCTGATGGGAAGAACAGAAATAGGGAAAATAAAGATGGAGGAGGCTCAACACATGTCCACTGTGCTTTGCAAATGGCGCATGTCCACCTTACAGAGAATCAACACCTCAAGGCATGAACTGTGTTGCTCTGTAAGTCCGTAGCCATTGGTCGTCAAGAATGAGCTTCCCTGTCATTAGGTGAACCCAGAAGTAATCAGCCCTAGGTGTCACGTTCCATCCAGTGCTCTTTCTGCTTTTGAGCCACTTACTGAAAGGCTTATCTCCCATCCTTTGGGGATGCTCTCTGCTTAAAAGGATGTTTAGAATGCCATTTGTAGCACACACACGTACACGGGCAATCCTTTCCACTTCATCTTACCATATTCATCTGAATCTGGCTTCCCGAGAGTCTCTGTAGTATGGCGTGGAGGCTTAAGAGCTTCTGTGTCTTTCAGAGGGTAGAAGGAGATTCAGTCGACTTTCTTTTGCCCACATGAATTGATGCTATGCTCCTTTAAGTGCCAGGTTTAGTCCCCTGCTGAGATCACACTTACCTCAACTAAATTATTTTTCATTTAAAAGCAGCCATCCATTCACAGTCTTTTATTTGTGTTTCAATGATGTTTGTAAATGTGCTCTAGCAGTTGAAAGTGTAGGCACGTATGTGGGGGAGCATTCCTGATGTTCCCCTCACCACGCATTTGTGTACCCCTCACATGCCCTTTGTCTGTGTCTCATCCATCTCTAACATGACCACAAAAATGGTGTCTCCTGAAGTGTTCAAGGATCTACCCTCCTCCATAGTCATGAAGTTTCTAGTAATAATGGTAATTATTCTTATTGTAATAAGGAGGAAGGGGTGGAGGAGAAAAAAGTGATGGAGAAAAATGGTGTCTCCTGAAGTGTTCATGGATCCGCCCTCCCTTGTAGTCATGGAGTTTCCAATAATAATGATAATTATTTTAATAAGGAGGAAGGGGAGGAGGAGAAAAAAGAGGGAGAGAAAAGGGGAGAATGAGGACATGAAGGAGGAAGAGAAGGAGTTGGAGAATGAAAAGAAAAACAAGAACAAAAACAACCAGAGAAATAACAGTGTAGTATTAGCACATCTTTGACACAAGCTTCAATAATTTCTGAAGAAGTGAAGGAAGGAAGAAAAGAATGGAAGGAAGGAAAGGAGAGAAGGAGAGAAGAAATGGGTGTATATTACAGGTTTACTTATGTGCTAAGTCCTGTGGTCAGACCTTGACATTTCATTTTCTCCTGTAATGTTCACTCTGGCTATACAAGATCAGTGATTTCATTATTTGCACTTTCTAGATAAGGATGCTGAGCAAAGTGGCTTACTTTTCTGTATTCTTCCTCTCCTGACCCATCCATTTTATGCTCAGCTGCTAGGCTTGTCTTTGTCAGACACATTGCTTATGCCAGTCTTCTACTCAAACAACCTTCAGAAGTTCCCAGTTGAGCATTACGTAAAACCAAACATATGAGCCTGAGATTTAGAGTCCTCCCATTTTGGTCCTGGACATATTTTTCTTAGAATCTAAGACATAACTAATATGCTGTCTACCCACTTTGGGTCATACCCAAATGGCCAGTTACATTGTTCCCATGTCTTCCCTTGAGAGCAGACATTTATGAACCTCTGTTTAAATAGAATAATTTTTTTCTAAAGAAGCCTTTTTATGGATCAAAATCCTTCCATTATTCTCTGTGCTTACAGAGTCTTAAGTCTAAATAATCTCTTTAATCTGCCTGCCTTCTCTTATTCCATTTCTCAAAACCCTCCCCTGCTTTGACTTCAGGCTACCCCATACCTCCACTGTGCTGAACTAATGTTAGCCATAAACATACTTGCACCTGCTGTTTCCTTTACCTGGAACAGCTCCTTCATCCGCCTGAAGTCTCTCACCCACCCTAATGGCCTCTTGGGTGAATTTCACTCTATCCTTTAACACCTAGCTCAAATGTCAGCTTTGCATAATTTTCCTTGACTCTCCTAGATGGAATGAGTCTGTGAAACCTGTATTTTTTTAGGTACTGGTACTGAAATACCTGAACCCTGTATTTAGACTTCCTGGTTTTATTTTTTATTTTATTTTATTTTTTGAGACAGAGTCTTGCTCTGTATCCCAGAGCAATGGTACACTCCAATCCCGGAGCTGGAGTGCAATGATAGAATCTTGGCTCACTGTAACTTCCGCCGCCCAGGTTCAAGCAGTTCTTCTGCTTCAGCCTCCCGAGTAGCTGGGATTACAGGCATGTGCCACCATGCCTGGCTAATACTTGTATTTTTAGTAGTGACAGGATTTTGCCATGTTGGCCAGGCTAGTCTCGAACTCCTGACCTCAGGTGAGACTTCTTGTCTTTAAATTTTAGCTCTGCCTTCTATGAAATGTGTGAGTTTAGATAAGCTGCTATCTAATCCTCAGTTTCTTCATCTGTAAAATGGACATAGGCTTCAAACCCATATCACATAGTTGTAAGAAATAATAAAAGGTGATCATGGAACACTTAGCAGTATTCAACAGTAGCACTCAACAGCCCCTGTTGTTAAGATTATTTTATGTTCATATGTTTAAAATGTCTTTGTTTCAGAGGAAAAACTCCTCAAACATAAGGCTTGTTAATTTTTTATAACCCTAGCACTTTGTACATGAAGAGTGACTAGTTCATAAAACCCAACACTTTCATGGAATTGAAAAATACTTTTTTATTGAATAAGGCATTGGAAGACAATCTGTTGATTGTCAAGATTTCAGTAACATCACCAATTATTCGTGGTGCTAGTTGCAAGTAAAATGAAAAAATGTTGTTTTCTCCATTCTCATTGTGGTTTGGGGTAACTTCGATTAAAATGCATATATAAACCAGTAATTTCACCAATAGTTGGTAGAGACATTGCAACACAAAACCTGCCCAGGTGTGGAGGATGGGCATACAGTGGGGTATTATGGGAATGTTGCATTTGAAAAAGAGCCCCAGTCTTGGCACCTTGACATCTTCCTGGGAAAACTAACCGCTTTCCTCCACAAATATGCTCTGGGGGCAGAGATAAAGTATGAGGCTAGGTCAGAAGCTGTGAGCATAAATTCCTACTAGTGTAGACATCAACATAATGAATGTTCCTTTTAGCCTCTCATTCCAAATATAGAGGTGGAAGGCATGTCCAAGGTTGTGACACAGGATGACTGGCTTGTTGTGGGCCACTTGTGACCAAGACATTTCCCAGTACATGCTGGTTCCTAATTTAGGTCCTTGGCTCGCTTCTGACAAGCCACTTTATGGAAGGGCGTGATGATATATGGCCTTCCCCTGCTGAACAGCTCGCATTTTGACATCACCCACAATTCTGCATATTCAGTTTGCTCTAATCCAGACATAACTGTTCTCCCTTCACCTTTAGTATTCAAGGTTGCATCCTGATCCGAATACATCTGTGTTTGGGGCAAAACTGGAGGGTCGTCAATTAATCTTAGGCATGACAGTTTATTACTCCCTGAAGTCTCTCTTTCTCCTTCTCTGCTGGACAGAGAAACAGAGAATTCCCATTTCTGATACCAGTGTCTCCTGTCTCCCAGCTGGCTTCTCTTTGGCAGCACTTCTCCACCTACACTGCCGAAGTGGGAGAGGATGTGAGGATTTATATTCAAGGAGAATTTAGAAATGCTTTGTGTTTCAGAGAGTGCTTTGCCTGGGTGTTTAATCCCGTGACCATCAAACCCCTCGAGATAGTACTTGATGGCTACAATAAACTGGCCTCTTTCCTATTGTCTCTTCTTGATTACAAACCCTGTCTTGCACGATGGTTTCAAAATTATCCTCCTGCACTTTCTGCCACATCCCTTCATGGCCAAGATTTTTCCAAGTTGTAAAATATTTTTGCTTTTCTTCCATTCGTTATTTTATTTTCCAATTCTTAAAAGTACATAACCAGAGATTGTATGAGAAATAAATGTCTTATAAAGTCTGGGGCCTTAATACTTGTGGTGATGATAATGAGATGTCGATAGTAGTGATGATGGTGATGGTAATTGTGATGATGGCTATTTTGCATTTTGGAGACATGAGACCCACTGAGTTAAATGATGTTCTTGATGCCTCATTGACTCTGAAGTTCTTGTCTGTCTTTGTTGAACTAATTCAAGTTGGAGATTTTCCTTTTGTTTCTTTTCACCCCTAAATGTCACCATTCCTGCAATGGATGAAAATGTGGATTTGTTTTTTAGGAAGTCTAAGTGGATGAGATTAATAGCCTGCCCTGTGGTTTGTTAAATAAACTTGATAAGGTTTTATTGATTACCTTGAGGGTTGTCTGGGCCAAACACCATGTACCATTTAAGAAACAAACATTAGTTAAGAAAAGTTTTCATCTCACTTGAGGAGGGGAAAAAATTATTGCAAGATACGTGATCCAGGGAAAGGACAAACTGAGAGATTCATGGCTCAAGGCTTTCTGTGGGTGTCAAGTTGGGGGTCATGGGGAAAGAAAAAGTGCACCAATCAGGGGCCAGGTGATGACCGTGTGTCATTTCAATTAATGTGCTTCTATTATACAGATGGGCACACTGAGAGTCAGTTATTTTGTGTAGTTTTCTCTGGGTCATGTAGATCTGATTCCAGTTCAAAATCATGCTCTGGCACCTCCTGTGCTGGGAAAACATCCTGGGAAGGTGAAATTCAGACCACTTACTGCCTCCAGCTCTTGGGGCTTCTTGACATTGTCCTAGTGTTTGCCTTAAGGGCCACCCGGAGTAACTGCCCTTTGAATTTTATCTATGTATGTATCTGTCCATCCGTCCGTCCGTCCATCCATCCATCCATCTATCTCTGTCTGTCTGTCTATCCATCTATCTATCCATCTGTCTGTCTGTCTGTGTGTCTGTCTATCTATCTATCTATCTATCTATCTATCTATCTATCTATCTATCTATCTGTCTTCCTGCAGAAGTAGCAAACGTGCCCCGTTCTTCCCTGGAGCTAGCAAAAGCAGGGATAGCATTTGGTCAGAGTTCAGCCACACACTTCTTTTCTTTCTGGCTTACCACCACCTAGTGGGGCCAGAAAATAAAGGGGGAAATATTTTCTCAGTGGGCTCCCAAGGACTGTGAGAAGATAAACACTTAATTCTAACTACTTTCTCCCTTCTCGGTGAGAAGCTGCCACCCATCGTATGCACAAAGTGGAAAGGCACAAAGTGGAAAGCTTGACTTGCCAAGCCAGCCAAATGTCTCTGCAGTCAAGATATGGGGGGAACCGTCTGTGTAATTTATCTCTAAAATGGAATTGGTAATACCTGCCCTGCCTACCACACTGGGTTGAGTGAAGAGTGGGAGTGCTCTGTGCACCAGAAAGGGTCAAATGAAATGAGAATAGTCAGGTGATACTATTGTGTTGCATTGTCATTGCAGTTAATACTTCCTTTTGGAGAAGAAATACTGTACATGGGGATATAGCCCTCCACCTTGGGAAAACCCAGAGAATATTCATTTCTGATGGAAACTGTGGCTGGGCGCAGTGGCTCATGGCTGTAATCCCAGCACTTTGGGAGGCCAACTCAGGAAGATCACCTGAGGTCAAGAGTTGGAGACCAACCTGGCCAACATGACAAAACCCCGTCTGCACTAAAAATACAAAAATTAGCCAGGCGTGGTGGTACATGCCTGCAATTCCAGCTACTCAGGAGGCTGAGGCCAGAGAATTGCTTGAACCCGGGAGGTGGAGGTTGCAGTGAGCTGAGATCACGCTACTGCACTGCAGTCTGGGTGACAAGAATGGAACTCTGTCTCAAAAAGATAATAGAAGAAAACTCTGCGAGAACTACCAATTACCCACCACCTATTGTATGCCCGGTTCTGTATTAGCAACTCAGTAGACACTTTCTTATTTAGTGTCTAAGGTCTTCATTATCTCCATTTCATAGGACTGAGGGTTAGCAAGATGAAAGGACTTAACCAGAACTAAGGCAACTGATATATACCAGAACTGTGGGTTTGGCCCCATGCTCTTAACCACCCTTCTGCAATGACTGAGCAGGTGCTTTGGGTCAGTAGGCATGGTATTAAACTATCAGTCTGTCTTCCTTCCTGGGAGAGACACAAAAACATTGAGAACTCATGGGCATGTTTCCACCGTGCAGGTGCTAAGGTTTCTTATTTCGTGACCAGAGACCAGGCACATTCAGTGAACTGCTTCATTCGGAGGTGCTTGGAGCTTCTTCATGGCCATCCTTTGCAACTTGGAGTATGCAAACAACATTTCTTCTCTAAATTAAAAGCTTCCAAAGTTATGATGGTATGTGCTTTTTAAAGAAAGGATGTATTCAAAATTTAAAGCGATGTTGAATTTTGATAGTATTGCTTTGTAGGTTGTTAAATTGTGGCTTTAGACAATGAGTTGTTTATAGAACTACAAAATCCTTGTGAGGAATTCAGATTTGTCTACCTTTCTTAGAGGGTCCTAATGAGGTTGTGTTTTAAGAAATGTTACATAGACTATAAAATCCTAATTTTTAAAACAATCTGGTTCATTGTCTGAAGGGCCTCATTTAACACATAGTCTCTGTACACTTGGTAAAAATCATAAAATGAAATTATTCAACGTAACTGCCATATCAGTGGGACTATTTGTTTATAAGCAAAAAAACATTGGTTCTAACTTGTGAAAAAAAATAATTCATTAGAAAGATATGTGGGCACCTTTAGCTTGAAGGGGAGGGCTGAAGACTATCTTTGAAAAGGGCAGGACCCAGGACAGTTCTGCAGGGCCTCAGCAGCAGGAACCCTGCTTAGTTTGATCCAGACACCCTTAGAACCTCTAAGTGGCTTCGTTTCGATCAAGTGCCAGTCCCTTGATTTGGTTATACCAAGCCATCTGCTTAATTAACCCCACAAAGCAGGTATAAGGAGGCAGAGGGAACTTCCAAAAAGGACTTTGAAGTGCTATTGTCAATAGAAAGTAGGCAGACGTTGCTGAGAGAAAAAAATCCAATAAAATTTCTGTGAATAACCAGTGTTGGAAAGAGTGTAGGGGGGGAAAAAAATAATTGCTTCGCCACTAGAGAGATGTAAATTGGCATAAATTTTCCGAAGGGTAATTTGTCAATTTATATCAAAACCTTTTTACAATGTTTAGATCCTTTAATCAAGCAATTCCACGCACAGGAATAGCGGCTGACGACAATCAGGCAGGTGGGAAGCAGGCTTACTAGAGGCTCAAAATGGTGTTTTTCTGTAATTGTGAATAAATGGGAGAAGAAAAATACCTAACAATGGGTATTGCTTAAATTATAGCAAATAGACATTATGACAGGGAAGCCTAGGCTGTGCTACTGTTGCTCATTGGTCAAGGAAAAGGTGCATGCACGTTTTTAAAGAATGGATATGTTAATTTCTGAAGCCCAAGACATCCCTGTCTAACATTCCACTACTAATTGCATTTCTCCTCCTCATTTAATTTTAATTAAACCTTTCCTTCCCTCTCTCCCTCCCTTCCTCATTTCTTTTTTCTCTTCCTTCCCTTCCCTCCCCTCCCCTCCCGTCCCCTCTCCTCTCCTCTCTTCTCTTCCTCTCCCCTCTCCTCCCGTTTTATCCCCTCCCCTTCGCTTTTCCCTCCCTCCTTCCTCTCCTCTCCTCTCCTTCCCTCGCTCTCTTTGTCTTTCTCTCTTTAATCTTTTTTCCTTAAAACACCAGCAATCACACATGTTAAGGCCATATTATGTTTCAAAGAAATACTTGTAGGCTAGCTTAGGAATTCTGGCTAATTATAGCCTTGTTTGGATAGCCAGAAAACAACAACAAGAAAAAAAAATTGCAAAATTTCTGGGACTTGACTTTAGATACGCTTTGTAAACATGATTTCTATCTCCTGTACAACTGTGATTCTTAAAGCTAAATAGTGAGGAATCCTCATGTCTAAAAATGGAAGGCTTAGAGTTAGGACTAAGAAATGAAGTCCTTATCACTGGCCCATTTTAATCTGTGTTTGGGTCTTGTTGAATTCGAGCTAAGGGAAGGGGAATACTTCTTTTGCAGGGCTCAGGAATTAAAAGTTCAGCTCTCACTTTTCTCACCAAGGTTATCGACCAGCTTCTACAAAGCCAAATATTTGTTTTCTAATGAAAGTGTTAGGAGATTTGGCAGAGTAAAAACGTCCTTGCATCTAGAAAAACTGGCATGTGTTTTCTTTGAATCAATTTCCAAAGATTATGCAGTATCTTTTAATGGCACTCTGGGGACCCACAGTGTGTGTGTGTGTGTGTGTGTGTGTGTGTGTGTGTGTGTGTCTTAAAAATTAGGATGAACATTTTATGTCTCCCAAGTAGATAAACCTCTGCCCTACCCCCAGTGAAGAGATCATAAAGCACAATGTTATTAATTCAGAAGTGATGGGAGGGAATGCCATAATTCCAGAGATGATATTTGTTAAAATATTGATGGCTTACCACTTTCCCCTGTTGGATTAATTTTTACCCAAGCTGGCCATTTATCAGAAGGTACATAATGCCATCGTATTGGGAAGATTTTTTTTTGAAAGATATTTATGAAGACATCAACTTCAGTCAATGAAATTAGACAGTTAAAAGATGGCAAAATATGCTTTGGCTTAGCATAAGGAAAGCAATTCTGGATGAAGCTGTTTCTATTAATTTAGCTGACAGGAAAGTGTGAGGGTGGCTTGTAAAGTTAAATATGACCTGTTCAGAAACCATAACTTGGGTTGGCATTCAGTACCGGGGTTAATACTAATAACCAGGTTAATCTTTAGGTACAGTACCTAAGAAACAGTGAACCATAAGAAGGGATATTTTGGTAAAGGAGACTGAATTGTGTCTTCTTCTGCTTAACCCATTTTTATGCCTTCCATGTGCACTGATAATGCAACCCAAACCTTTGCCTTGACCTGCAGGTTTTGTGGGGTATAGCCCCTTCCTGCTCACAAACTTCTCTCTCTAGCCACACTCTTTGTTTCTCTTCCTTGATCCCACCTAAGTTCATTTTGGACTCGGGGACTTCGCTTTACTCCTGGCTTTGGGATGTTGTCCAGGTTCTTTAAAGAACCAGCTCCTTCTTATCTTTTAGGCATCAAAGAACCATTGTCCATCCTACATAAGAAAACTCCTTCCTGGGAGTCACTAGCATTTAATACGTTTATTCATATTTACTGCTCTTTAAAATAATCTTATGTGTTTGTTTGAATTGTTCAATTGCCTTTTTCTGCCAACTGGAACGTAGGTAGCATGGGGTGACTGTCTTTGTCCTGCTTACTCATCTCTCTCTTCTCAGCATGCAGAGGAATATCTGATAAAGAGCAAGTACTTGGGAAATACCTGAGGAGGGAAGGAAGAGAAGAAGGAAGAGACAGAGGGAGGGGGGGTTAGTACTGGCAATAAGTTGATAAAGCTACTAGCCATTTGGACGACAGAGGTGTTTAGATGGTTTGGTGTGGGGCTGAGGGGCATCGGAAGCTGTGATTTTGATTGTGTCTATGAACTTGGCAATGTTAACGGTCATTGAACATGGGTGCACATTTTGTCCAATGCAGTGAAGAACTCTGAAGGCAGCTCCAGTCTTTCAGTGGGGTGTGCCCATACTTGATCACTATCACCCTATGCTAACTGGATGACTTTGGTACGCTACTTACCCTTTTTTGACCTTGCCTTTCAGTCTGTATTATGAGTGCATCTGTCAAATCAGAGATTTTCACATTCTCAAGATTTTATCCAATCTTCAAATACATCATAAGTATGTTTGTTTTAATGTCATGAATTGTTCAAATCTGTTAAAGAACTTCAAAATTATACATTCATCAGAACAGCCACATAGCCCCATTGGTTGACTATAAAAAAGCGACTATTACATCCTCATGAAATGCCACTTATTTAGTTACATTTTGAAGGTACAGGTAAGATTTTCTTTGAAAAAAATGTGCCTTGCTACCACAGTTTTTTATATTTAATTTTTATGAGTACATAATAGGTATAGATACTTATGGGATGCATGAGACATTTTGATACAGGGATACAATGTGTAATACACACATCATGGAGAATGGGGTCTTCATCCCTCATGCATTTATCCTTTGTGGTATAAATAAATCCAATTACACTCTTTATTTTAAAATGTACAGGTAAGTTATTATTGAGTATAGTCACCCTGTTGTGCTATCAAACACTAGGTCTTATTCATTCTATTTCATGTACCCATTAACCACCCTTATTTCCTCCCCCGACACTACCTTTCCCAGCCTCTGGTAACCATCCCTGTACTCTCTATCTCCGTGAGTTCTATCATTTTTATTTCTAGATCCCACAGATTAGTGAGAATATGCACTGTGTGACTTTCTGTGCCTGACTTATTTCACTTAACACAATGATCTCCAGTTCATTCTGTGTTGTTGCAAATGACTGTATCTCGTTCCTTTATATGGCTGAATAGTACTCCATTGTGTGCATACCACACTTGCTGTGTGCATTCATCTGTTGATGGGCACTTAGGTTATTTCCAGATCTTTTTATGGCAGCAGTGTTTACCGTAGTTCTACAAACTCACTTTCGAAGCGTGTTTGTCTTCCATGTTACCTCGTTAGACATCAAGTTCCTAGTAAACATTTAGGATGAGGGTAAGGGTACCACAAGGTTGTGGGCACAGTTTTTGAGTTTGTTTTGTGTTAAAAGGGCCTGTGGAGGATTGTGTTTGTGTTCTGGGACTGCCATAACAAAGTAGCACAGACTTCTCTCACATTTCTAGAGGCTTAAAGTCTGAAATCAAGATGTCTGCTGGGCCATGCTCCCTGTGAGGGCTCTAAGAAGGAAACCTACCTGGCTTGTCCACAGCCTCCGTTGGTTGTCAGCATCCTTGGCATTCCTTGGTGTGTATTGTCATTGCCCCACCTTCTTCCTCCATCACCTGGCTCCTTCTCTGTGTGTCTGAGTCTATGTGTCTCCAAATCTCCCTCTCTTTATAAGGACACCATTCCCTGGATTTAGGGCCCATCCTGAGCCAGTATGACCTCATCTTAACTAATTATATCGGCAAGGACCCTATTTCCAAATAAGGTCACTTCTGAGTATCTGGGTAAACATAAATTTTCAGAGGACACTCTTAGTACAGAGATCTTCATGTTAGTGGGAATAGGCTGGGTTACTGTTTGTACAGGACATTCCCTCCCTCCACCTAAATTATCAACACAAAACTGTAAAACAGAGATATTTGGTCAACCTGTATTTATTGGGAATTGCTTGCAAACATCCTGAACTATAGTAAGTGTTAGAAGGCAAACAAGAAGATAAGAACAATTCTAGCTTGAAGAACTGTGTGATGTCACTGAGGAGCAAAGTGGCACTCAGAGAACCACTGCAGAATTATCAAATCCTAAACTTACTGGGGAGTATGTGATGTTAGAGTTTGGAGAAGTGCTTGATGAATTTGGGCTGGTGTAGTTGAGTACACTTCTCCTGAGCAAGAGCGTGAGCTGAGCCATGAAGCATTGGTAGGACCCTGGAGACATTGAGAAGTGATGCTATAAGGTATCTTAAAAGTCAATGAAGATGTTTGTGCTCAAGTCAGGAGCAAATGCATGTTTCACTTTGTTGGTTGGTGCTGCTATAACAAAACATCACAGACTGGGTAATTTCTAAAGAACAGAAATTTATTTTTCATTGTTCTGGAGACTGGGAATTTTCAGACTTGGGAAATGTCACATGAAGGCACCAGCAGGTCTGGTGTCTGGAGAGAACCCCGTCTCTACTTCCTAGATGGTGTCTTGTTGCTGTGTTCACTGGTGGGAGGAACACTGTGCTTTTAGGTGGTGGAAAGGAGGGAAGGGCTGAAAAATGGTCTTACTATTGTCTCCAGCAATTTTATAGGGTCATGAATCCCATTCATGAGAGCTTTTCTCCCATAACTTAAGCGCTTCATAAAGGCAATTCACAACTAAGTTTGAACACATGAATTTTGAAGTAGACACAAACATTCAGACCATAGCACACAGGAAATGCCTGTGTCTGCTACAAGCAGAGAAAAAAAGCAAGGGAACTAATGGTGGCTGAATGCGGGAAGTAAAGGTCAAGTAAAAATGACCCCAAGATATCCAGTATGAGATTGGGAAAAATGGAATTAAACACTTGGAAATGGTGTTCTCATCACTTACATGACCAGGTTTTCATTCCTTGGATGTGCGATAGGGTAAGAAGATAAAGTGAGTCATGGAATCTTTACTTGAAATGCAATTCAATAAACATCCACCTCACCAAACCATTCTTTATTTCAGGACTGGATGAATTAATTCGAGTGTTTAAAAAAGAGGGGGCTCACCCCAATGTTTCTGCCACCATTGAGTAATAGAGTATTGGGTTTCCTATCGTGCTGTTATGATTGGGACAAGCGGAGCCATTTGTCTTTTGCTACATGGGAGAGGTGTTAATACCAAGCACATCCAGTTATGTTGTGAAAGGCTCTGTTGTAATTAGTCTGAGTCGAATCATCAATCAAGAGATTCTGCAATTATAAGCACCAGTCACACTACATTGCTGTAGAAGGCGGTCATTCATGCTACAGCAATACTTGTCTATTAGGTCTGAGGCTAGATGCTTTATACACAATATCTCATTTAATTCTTAATGAAATACCCTAAGAGGGCCAGGCACAGTGGCTCATGCCTGTAATCCCAGCACTTTGGGAGGTGGAGGTGGGCAGATCACGAGGTCAGGAAATCAAGACCATCCTGGCTAACATGGAGAAACCCCGTGTCTACTAAAAATACAAAAAATTAGCCGGGCGTGGTGGTGGGCACCTGTAGTCCCAGCTACTAGGGAGGCTGAGGCAGGAGAATGGCTTGAACCTGGGAGGCAGAGCTTGCAGCGAGCCGAGATTGCACTACCACACTCCACCCTTGGCAACAGAGCGAGACTCTGTCTCAAAAAAAAAAAAAAAAAAAAAAAAAAAAAACAACCAGAAAAACAGAAATACTCTAAGAGGTAGGTATTATTACTATCCCCATGGTACATAAAAGATATAATCACAGAGAGATTAAATAAATCACCCAAGATCACATGCCTGTGCATTCACAGAAGAGAAATTCAAATCTGGAAATCCAACTTAAATCTGCTTTTAAACGTTATTATTAGCCGCCTCCCAAAAGAATTTGACTATATTTTTCCATTAGTCTCTTTGTACCCATTGCCTTTCTTTTTAAATTATTTTATTTATTATTCAATATGTTAAAACCTTTTAAAACATTCAAAAATATAAAAAGGGATATAGGGAAAAAGTAAGTCTCCTATCTACCTATGATCTCTGACTCCACATTTCCCTTTCCAGAAGTAAAGACGCGTTACCAGTTTGTTTTGTATTTTTTGTATTGTCTGTATATTTTCAGAAATGTGATATCTTAGGTATATACTAAGAGGGGTGTGTATGTGTGTGTATGTGTGTGTATCCTCTCCTTCCTTCCTCCCCCAACAAAGTGATTTCTGTACAGGCTACTTCGTCCTTCCCCCCATCACTTAATGTATTTTTGGGGCTTGGGGGTGTCTATGTTGCCAGCCTGTGAAACACGTGGATAAATATTCAAGTTGAATGTATAATTTTTATGGATTTTTGGTTATGTTTCTGTCTGTTCACTGCCTCATTCAGGCCACTTGAAACACATTTTTGTTTTATTATTTAGGACCCTCTAAATTGTAATTGCATGCACCTGCAATGATGTGGAAACCCCCTTATCTTGAGGACTGGTCTTGATTGTGTTCAAAGCCACATATTTAAGGAGACTGGAGAGCCTGTGGTTTATCCTCCTGAGTCAGAGCCTGAAATCGTTGACCCTAAACCCAGAGTGTTTTGTCTCTCACCTTGTGGGCGAGTTAATGGTTGCCACTCCGAGCTGCTGCCTCTGTAGGGTAGGGACGTGTGGATGCACACAGCAGAGGCTCTCATAAGGATAAAGGCCTCCTTATGCACAATTCAAAAGAGTGACCACACCCCTCAGTCACGATTCCATGCTTTATCCACTTTCTTCCTTTGTTGTCCCTTTTCCCATGGCATCGCTGAACCGTCATTTCCTATTCATGTTTCATGCTCTCCTTACCTGTGTGTTGATTTGCATGGATTTCTCTATGTTGAATTTCCTTCTACCTTACATCCTTTCCACCCTCAAAGATCAACAAAATCTTGTCACCTTCAGGAAACCTTTCCTGATTCACCCAACTGGAATCCTTCCCTTTCTTTTACCTAAACCTTGATTCTGTTATCTTTGTCTTCGGCACTTTTATCCTCCCCCCATAAATTGCCCTGCTCATAGTAGTTGCTCAATAAATATTTGATGCCAATCCCATGGAAATACCAGCATATGTGTGCATGCCCTTCAACTCTCAGAGACAATTAGACTTCCACTTCCCAAACTTAGGATGCCTCACTCATTAGAGAATTGACAAGCTGCCTAACTGTTTGCACAGTCTCCAACACATTATAAATATTTGGATAAGTCCACCATCAATGCACAGTCATTGCAGAGCCAATAAAACATGACCTTGACTTTCTCCTGTTTGTTTACATGCACCCTACAGCATCATCTCCAAAGGCAACAGGAGCAAATGGTGAACAGCTGGGCAAAGGAGGTGTCCTTCACACGTCCTATATTTGGAACTGGTGGAAATAGCCAGTATGATTCTGTGTCAGTTTAACAGGATAGATACGATTTTAAAATGACATCTTCATTGTGAACCAGCTGTGGGCAGGGGCTCATCTTGATATCACTTGTGCTAGGCTTTGAGTAGGGCAGAGTTTCTCAACCACTCCAGTATTGATATTTGGGACCAGATACTTCTTGGTTCAGGGGAGCTGTCCTGTACACTCTACGATGGTTAGCAGCACCTTGCTTCAACCCACTAGGTGACAGTAGCATTCCACACCCCACCTCCCATCCAAGGCCAGGTTGTGCCAAACAAAAATGTCTCCAGGCATTCCCAAATGTCTCCTGGTGGAAGAAATTGGTGTAGGGGCCAGAGGAATATTTATTAAATGAACAGGTAAAATTATCCATGTTTGAACATTATCAATTTCTATTTCTCTACATGAAGAACAATTAATCCTCCTTGGCAGGTGTGCAAGAGAAACGCATTTTACTCAATACCTAATTAATTGGTTAAAAAACAAAAAAACTTCTTGTAAACCGCCCCCAAATTCTAGCTGCCACCTTGTTATACTCCGAAATGTGGTGAATTTGTGCCTCCATCTGTTACCCAATCTATATAACTTGACATTTGCTAAAAAGTACCCTATTAAAGAGGGTTGTTTTTATTGTAAACTACTTTTCAAATAAAAGCATATTGCATTGACTGTAAGTTCTACTATGCATAAAAAATAATTTACCCTGTCCAGGCACGGTGGCTCATGCCTGTAATCCCAGCAGTTTGGGAGGTGGAGGCAGGCAGATCAAGTTCAGAAGGTGGAGACCAGCCTGACCAACTTGGTGATACCCCATCTCTACTAAAAATACAAAAATCAGTTGGGTGTGGTGGCACACACCTGTAATCCCGGCTACTTGGGAGACTGAAGCAGGAAAATCGCTTGAACCTAGCAGGCAGAGGTTGCAGTAAGTCGACATTGCACCACTGCACTGCAGCCTGGGTGACAGAGACTCCATCTCAAATAATAATAATAATTATTATTAATAATATATTATTATTTATCCTAAATGTAACATTGAGTCAGCTGTTTTCACTGATAGCACAGCTATGGTATGAAGTAAGATACTACAGGTATATTGAAATAAGAACCATTAGTGATTTATTGCTAAATAATTGCATAGACTCCACAACACGTACGGAAGAAGGTGTTTAAAGTTCTACAAAACGCCAAGTTGTAGTAACACTTGAGAATCTGAACTGCATGTCTTGTTGATATTTCTTTAACATTTTTATTAAATATTATCCCTAGTTTATTGAACAGAGTCAGCTCAGTGAGATATAAACATGAGGTGACTTTTTCTCCACTCACTGCTCCCAAATTCAGAATTGCATATTCTTCCCCTTCCCCTAGAAATAACTCAGATTTTTCAACTTTCTGGTCCCTTTTGGTTATTAGATATAGTCTCAATGGGTATTTATGTCTCTGTCATTTTCTCTTTCAAAGTAGCTATTTTACAATGTGTTTAAAGTTTCTTTTCTTCCCTTGTCAGTCAGACTTGTAGCTTCCGAAAAGGAGACAGTGTGTGGTGTTTTTCTTTCCTCCCCTTCTTTTATCTTAGAATGAAGAGGGAGGATTTTGTATGACTTTGGAGCATTTTTTCCTTTCTTCTTCCGGCCCTCTAGATCTGATGGAGTTTGGGGGCAGGAAGAAGCGGCAAAGAGTCATAGCTCTCAAGCTCAACAGTGTGCTTGCATTCCTCTTATTTGGCATGGTAAGCATGAGTGAGTTTACTGTCACTCACATAGTTCCAGCAGAAACAGCTGAGCTTGAGCCAGTTTGGTGCTACATTCCAAGAGGCTCACCTGCAAGATGGGGAGACAGTGGGCTGTAGCAACATTGTTGCTATTTGTCTGGTTTCTTTGTTGTAAATATTCAAATTCTTTCTTTCTCACGATGCATAACTATCACAGATACCTCAAATAGACATGCAGGGGCTTCTTTGCTCCTTGTATTAGTCTATTTTCACGCTGCTGATAAAGACATACCTGAAACTGGGTAATTTACAAAGAAAAAGAGATTGAATGGATTCACAATTCCACATGGCTGGGGAGGCCTCACAATCATGGTGGAAGGAGGAGCAAGTTATGTCTTACATAGATGGTGGCAGGTGAAGAGAGAGAGCTTCTGCAGGGGAACTCCCTTTTATAAACCGTCCCTTCCCCACCCCCATCTCATGAGACTTATTCACTATCACTAAAACAGCACGGGAAACACCTGCCCCCATGATTCAATTACCTTCCACCGGATCCCTCCTACAACATGTGGGAATTGTAAGAGATATAATTCAAGATGAGATTTGCATAGGGTCACAGCCAAACCATATCACTCCTGTTTCTTGATTTGGAAGATCCGGCTCCAGAAAAACCCCAATCACCTCCCTTCCTGGTGTCTGTTCCAACCATGCATCGCACAGGCCATTGTCCCCCACCTTGCAGGTGAGCCTCTTGAAATGTACTAGCAAACTGGCCCAAGCTCAGCTATTTCTACTGGAACTGCATGAGTGACAGTCAAGTCACTTGTGCTTACCATGCCCAGTAGTAGGATCCAGGTTGTTTCCCTGCTTCCCTTATTCCCACTCTGCCCCCGGTTTTTCCCAAATTCTATTTTTCTCCAGCGCTCAGGGACATCTCTGAGACAGCCATCAAGTTTGCTGTGTCTGTAGACTTCTAACTGGGGAAAGACATTTCAACCTCCCCTTGTTGCAGGAGCCTCTGGTATTTGCAGGTACTTCACTTAGCATGGACTCATGGCTTTGTGGGTGAGCTGAGGAGCAGGTACCAGAGCTCTCAGACATAGGATCAGTTTTCTTAAGACATCTTACTCGTTGCTAGATTGTTCCTAAGACCTATGGATGTCCTGATTATGATTACATTTAGGACAGGTTCTCATGAACGTGGGAAAATGGTGAAATATTTTTACTTTTCATAGTTTTTAATTTTAATATCATTGGCTTTTGGAAAATACCTATTGTTTTAAAACAGCTACCTAGGGTTTCAATAAAAGTGGCCTTAATGTTCTATTCCTCAGTGTACGAATGACCCATTCTCGGAGCATATGTTGTCTAGTAGCCCTTGTCCTGCCTTTCTAGGAGATAGAGTTTCTCATGGACCCAAACAGGGCTTCTTAATGGAGATTTATAACATCAAAAGGGATTACATGAGAACAAAGTAATTATCCTTCGTGTATGAGTATCAACCCAATTTACGAAGGAGTGAAATTAGACACTGCAGTTAATTACAGGGACAGTCTCAACTTTGTGGACCAATTAGGGCTCATTGGTTGCAAGCAACAGGAACCAATTCCCCTTCTACATTAAGCAAAAAGAATACTTATTAGCAGTAGTCAGTGAGCTTACAAAATTTAGAGGTAGTTGAAAAAGCAGTGTTGGTAGCATGACAGGCACCAAGCCACTGTGAGGTCTCCTCCATGGGAAGAAATGAATTCCAACTAAGTCTTCCGTCCATGTATCATTCTGCTCCAGTTCTGGATCCCAGAAGAGCACATCCCATTGGCCAGACTTAGGCAATACCTCCCCTTCTTGAGCTCACCCTGGCTGGGAGAGCTAAGATGTCAAAGAAAGTTCCTTTAGGAAACTCTTTATCTTCCAGAGTGGGAAGGCAAAGTACCCAATGTATGGTCTTACAAAGGCTGCATAAAATGGGGGAGCTGTAACTTCTCTTGGGTACTCTTAGGAAAAGGAAGCACCAACCAGTGAGCAAGTGATCTCCATTCCCTTTTCATAGAGAAGGTCGATTTCTATCCTCTTGCCTGGAGGGTTTCAGAGCTGCCCTAGGCTGTACTCCACTCCAGGGTGGCCCTCAGAGACCATTACTGTTTCCTCATTTCTTGAATGTATGGAGGACCCTCCAGTTACTTTCTGCTTTAAGGCGATGTTTATTAAACATTGTTTCTATTAGGGCTGTGCTCCTTCCTCTGTACCCTTTAAATATTCATCTCCCTCATGCTGCCATCCCCTTCATGGAGATCATTCCTGCAGAGCGGTAGTCCAGTTTGCTCTACTTCCTGGTGATCGTCTCTTCTCGAGATTTCTTCCTGCACATGCACACTCTGGACTGTGCACTTTTCTGCTCTGGATTCCTCTCCTGGACAGTTGCACTGGACTCCATTCCCATTTGTCTGAGCTTAGGGTTTATGTCTTTTTAGGGCATTTACCGTCCCCACTCCTGTGTTACCGTCTCTCTGTGCTCCTAGCATGTACACATTGTGGAATGTGAGAAGGCAAAGATCTCAGACTTTCCATGTGAATTGAAGACCCTTCTCTGGCCCCTTGAGTGCCAGTGTCACCAACACCACTGGTCACTCTCCTCTCACTTTCTACCTGTACAAAGGACAGTCTCCCAGTGTCCCTGTGGAACATTGTGATTACTCGAAGTTGTCCTAGCTACTTGGGAATGAGTCCTAAGAAGATTCATCTTACTTCTGATGCATCACATGCTCTGTGTTGCAAAGCACACTTGGCATAGCCAGGAGCATCCTAGGTTGGCCTAGTGCTAGATGGCAGGCATTGAAAACTGTCAACACCAGTACAGGAACAGGAAAGACAAACCATGGAACTAGATGAGACCCTGATACTGAGTTGTGGACAGATCAACTATAGTGATACAGGATTCTTGATTGTCTGCAACAGAGAACTTTTCTAAGTAACCTATGCACATGATAATTTGATTTGAATGCTTTTGGGGAGAATGCAGTATCATCAGGAAAATTTGAGAACCTGGCTCAGAAAATAGACAAAAGGGATGAAGGTACCATTAGGATCCCTGGGTAGAAACTCCCTGCTAAGGATGCTGTTACCAGCACTGTGATCACTGCCACGTGGCACCACCAGCATCCATAGTCCTGAACACAGAGCAGTGGTTCTGGACTCTACACTTGACACAGCCTCCAGGGATGGTGCTTGATTGATCCTGTGCTTTTACCTAGCCCCTTAAGACCCAAGACATATGGTAACATACAGAGTCAAGTGATTTTTTTTTTTTCCTTGAAAAAGCACCAGTGCAATTTGAGGAGGAAAAGCAAGTCTTTTCAACAAATAATCCTGGACCTACTGGATGCTGGAATGGAAACATTTAACTCAGATCCATGTTTTCCATCGTAGACACAAATTAACTGAAGATAGGTTGCAGACCTGACTACAAAAGCAAACACTCGAAAGCCCCTGGAAGGGAACATAAACATCTGCCTTTGAAAACTGAGCATGGTCAACATTTTCCCAGATAAAACACAGTACGTACTAAACATAAAAGAGAAGTTTGACAGACTTCCTCAAAATTAAAAACTTTGTCCCATAAAAAGACATTAAGAGAATGAAAAGTCAAGCTGCAAGGAGGAAATATAACAATGTATATTATATATATGTGTGTATATATACACACACACATACACACATATACATACATACACAAAGAGCTGTGGCTCTGGACTTAAATATTTTATCAAGAGAAATGAAAACATATCTGCACATAAGGCTTCTTCAGAGATGCTCATTGCATGTTTATTTGCAATGGCAAAAGAAGAAAAAAGGGAAATTACCCAAACATCCATCAATAAATGAATGCATAAGTAAGTTGTATAGTCACTCAATGAAATGCTATCCAGCAATAAAAAGAAATGAATTGCTGACAAGGACATCAGTGTGTATGTGTGTGTGTGTGTGTGTGTGCATATGCGTATGTGTATAACATACTCAGCAAGAGAAGTTATCCACCAAAGAGTCCATGCTTTATGGTTCTAGTTTTATGAAGCTGACGAACAGGAGAAATTGGCCTATGGGGATGGAATTCAGGATAGTGATTGTCTTTCACCCGCTAAGATGCCTCTTCAGTTTCTACCCAAAGACTTCATATATATTTACCTCTAGGCTGTCCACAAAATGGAGATGTGTGAATCATGCTTTTCATGCCATTGGGAAAGGACATCCTGTTCACAGCAGAGGTGATACAGGAGCATTAATCACCAAATGTTTAGTAAATATTGATACCCGGGTGATTTACACTAATCGTCACAAGACCGCAATCTACCTTTTATATAAATGCAATAAAAAAATCTTGGTTATAAAAGTACTTGCTTCCTTTGCATTTTTTCTGCTGGGGGAGAAGCACAGAATGCAAAGAGGGAGAAGGGAATTTTCTAAGGAGATGGCATTTCTATGCACTTTGACTGGGGTACTGGTTCATGTATATGTGTGTGTTGGCAAAACACCATGGAACTGTATACTTAAGATCTGTGCAGTTCATGTAATTACACATGAATGACCATGAAAAGTCCAATGAGGCATATCCTAGTGGTCAAGCCTGGTCATATGTGCGCATTCAACATACAGAAAACTTGTTTGG
This sequence comes from Homo sapiens, assembly GCF_000001405.40. Classification (NCBI taxonomy): domain Eukaryota; kingdom Metazoa; phylum Chordata; class Mammalia; order Primates; family Hominidae; genus Homo; species Homo sapiens. The sequence goes on from NC_000016.10 coordinate 6,534,953, forward strand.
TTTCTGTAGCAGGAGGTATGAGCTTTCTGCAAATACAAATGGTATTTGAAGGAAGGACAGTCATTCATGACACAGGTCTGCTACAGCATTGGATTCCGCATCCTGCAGCAAAAGCCAGGTTGGGACCATGGTTGGGATGAGATTCCATGGGAACAAGCCAGGAGTGAACAACTGCAGTTAGAGTGGAAAACGTGTGCTGGTTTGTCTGGGACTTTTTCTGTGTGAGCACTCAAAGTCTCATGTCCTGGGAAAATCCTCTGTTCTAAGCCAACTGGGAGAGTTGGTCACCTTCTTTCCAGCCAGAGCTCTGTCTAAAGTTACATCTGATGGAGAAATTGAGGGATCACACTGGAAAAAGTGAACCCAGAGATTTACTTTGAAGCTCCTCTGGGTATGAGGTCAGTGTGGGATAATTGTCATGGACGAAGATTCACTAGAAGTCTCACAAGCCCTGCCACCCTAAATCACATCAGAAAAGAACCCCTATGCATTTTCTTTTCATACCACCCAACATCCTAAAACCATCAGCTTAGTGTTTTCACTCCCATTCCCTATAAACTCCATGTGGTTTGTTCACATGTCAGGTTTATTCGTCAGTGTATCTTTAGCACATGTAAATGGCTGTCACAAATGCTTAAATGATTCAGTGAATGATTGAATGATTCAATGAATGATCCCATCCATCAACCGTTGCTCCAGGCTTCTTGTAAAGACCAGGATCCTGACCCATGGACATTTTTGAGGCTTTAAGCCACAGCCCTTCGAGCAAGGGCTGGAAGGAAGCCTCTTTCATCTTTCTCTGGGGCTATCACAACCAGCATATGTGTATTTAATTAGTCACTGCCTATTTTTATATGTTACACAAGCTCAGTTTCTCCCTCTCTGTTCTCTTTTTCTCAATAGTGGCAATGTAGATTTTTTAAAGTTTATTTTTCAGTTTCTTCCCTTTTCCTGCAGTCTCCCTCTAGAGATGACACTGACTTTAAACTTTGACCCACTAAGATGCCTCTTTAGTTTCTATCCAACGACTTCATATATATCTATCTCTAGGCTATCCACAAAATGGAGATGTGTGATTCATGCTTTTCATGCCTTTGGGAATGGACATCTTGTTCATAGCAGAGGTGATACAGGAGTATTAATTACCAATGCTTAGTAAGTATTGATACCCAGGTGATTTACACAAATCATCACAAGACCACAATCATCACAAGACTACAGTCTACCTCTTGTATAAATGCAACCCAAAAATCTTGAATTATAAACTTACTTGCTTCCTTGGACTTCAGATAAATCTCTAGTATCCTCAAGAGTCTTTGAATACTTTCCTGTCTCCAGCAAATCTCGTGGGAAGGAAAAAAATAGATATCACTTTGCAATTTATGTTTTTACCAGCATGCAATTGAGTAGATTCAATTGACTCCAAATGTTTTGCACATTCTAATTTCTGTCCCCTATTGTCCTCCCCTGTTGACTTCAAGTTAATGCATAATATGATATGGGACATCCCTCATAAATTCCGTATCATCAGAGTAATGTGGCTTTGATGATGTACTGCATTTTAAATTAGCTCTGTCACAAAAGGACGATGGGGGGCCCAGGAGGTTTTTTTTTTCTTTCTAATTTTCCTTCTGTTCTTGAAGTGTGATAAGTCTAATTATAGTTGGCAGCAAACAGAAGTGTTTCTTCAGCTAGTATGGCTTGTGAGGGTTCTTGGATTGCTATGATATCTTCAGATTTTTATAGTAGGTGTCTTAGACCCAACAAGTCAAGATGGCTTCTAAGTGGAAAGGTTTTAAAAGATTAAAGAGAGATTAACAATACAAGAAGTTAGTAACATTGATCTGTCATGGCCAAGTTCAGTGGTGCATTCCTGTGGCTTATTTTACTCATGGGAATTAAATAATGATAACATTTTCAGAATCTTAGAATAATTTGGAGAAGAGGATATGACATATCTAAATTATGTGTATACAAAGTAATTTTTGTTTCTTCTAATACTCTACTAGTCTAAGGGGATTCCTTCCTATCCATTGTCTTTTCTGGGGAAAGAAACCAAATGTACAGTCCTACGTACGGTAGGAAGAATAGCTATAGCTCCTCTCAGCTCTGGTATAGGAAACATGCTCTAATGAATTTTCCTTCCAGCGTTCCATACCAGTGTTTCTCAAGCTTTTAGTGAGCACAGGGATCTTTCCAGGAATCTTCCTACAATGCATATTCTGTTTCGTAGGTCTGGGTGGAGCCTGAGATTCGGCACTTCTAATAAGCTTCCAGGTGTTGTTCCTGATGCCGGTTCGTGCACCAGAATATGAACAGCAATATTTTATAGGGTGTTAAGCAACAGAAATGTATTTGTACGTGGATGTCTCTGCAATAGAATTGCATCCAGAGGAGAAATGAAATAGCTTACAATTATGGATGAATTGTGTAGGTATTCATATAGAATAGCTAACATAAATGGAGCCATGCGTGTATTATTTAACACTCACAACAGTATAGATAGACACAGTGCTTATCTCCATGACAGAGTTGAGGGGCTATAAGCTTACAGATGTTTAGTGATGTGATCGAGTTGCTGAGCTAACACTCAGTGGAGTTTGAACCCAGGCAGTATGATTTCAGAGACCACGCTGAAGTATCTGTACTGCTCATGGACTGTTGCCCTGAAATGCAGTTTATTTGTCTGAAGTGTAATGTCTGGAGTTTTTTGCATCTTCATCATTATAAACCTCTTACAAATATTAATTGAGTTCCTTAGGCCATTCCTTAAGGTTTTATAGCAGATAAGAGAAGATAATGTGGTTCCAACTGAAGACCACCAAATAGTGCTCACTGGTAGCTGAAATTCAGGAAATGATTTACATATCCAGCAGGAGTGATTTTCTTTATATATAGAAAAATATATTTAAATTGAGTTAAATCATTATCTGTAGTAATTATAGCTGAATGGAAGAACCGGCCTAAAGAGCAAGATTTTTTTTTTTAATAAAAAGGATATCCTAGGAACTCTACAGTGATTTGCAGATTAATTCTATCTTTGTTTATATTTCTACTTTCAAACTTTTTTATTCAGGTAAAATTCACATAATATAAAATACAGATACATAATATAAAATTATATAAATATAAAATTATGTGAATTGTAAACTGTACAATTCAAGGACATTAGATTCACAATGCTGTGCAATGATTACCTCCAATAAGCATGTGGAAATATGCTCAACACCATTAGTCATTAGAGAAATGCAAATCAGGCCAGGCATGGAGGCTCATACCTGTAATCCCAGTACTTGGGAGGCCAAGGCAGGAAGAGTCCTTGAACACAAGAGTTTTATACCAGCCTGGGCAGCACAGGGAGACCTCATCTCTACAGAAAATAAAAATAAATTAGCTGAGTGTGGTGGCACACATCTGTGGTCCCAGCTACTTGGGTGGCTGAGGTGGGAGGATCACTTGAGCCTGTGAGGCCGAGGCTGCAGTGAGTGGTGATTGCGCTACTGCACTCTAGCCTGGGCAACAGAGCAAATCTGTATCTCAAAACAAAAAAGCAAAAAATGCATATGAAAATCATGAGGAGACATCATGCCACACCCACTAGGATGACAAGTAATAATAATAGTAATAACAGAAGGTAACAAATGTTGTCCAGGCTGTGGAGAAACTGAAATTCTCAAATATTGCTGGTTGGATTGCAGAATGGCACACCTGCTGTAGAAAACGGTTTGGGAGTTAAACCAAGGTAAACACAGAATTCTCACTAACTTTTGACGACTGAATGTGTTTGCCTTTTTCCAGCTGTTGGTTGTTTTTTTTCATGGCTTCTTCCAGGGCCTCTGTCTTGTTTGCTAATATGCGGTTCTTTGTCCTGTATCCATTCAGTAGCCAATGTAAAATGGTGCCAAACTTACTATTTTAGATTGAAGGGATTAGCTCCTCTTTCCAGTGATTTTACCATTGTCTGTTCTTAGCTGGTGCCAGGTTGGAAAGGGAAGAGTTGTTGGCTGGTTTGTTGGTGTTTTTACCTCCAGGTACTGTGTCATTCCAATGTTATTTTTACTGTCTCATGTGGAGTGTCCTATATGATTTGAATAAAAGTCCCACTCCATTGCTGTCTCTGCAAGGCTGACTCCTTTGACCCTGGCAGAAAGAACAGTTGATGATATTTGGTGAAAAAAAAAAAGAAAATTTGCCCATGGTATGACTGTTCTTCTCCTTGGCGGGAAACTTCTACTTGAATCATTGTGCAGTATGATGGAGGCACTTATAGGTTTAAACCCTAATTATGCCACTTGGTAGTGTGTATAAGCATGGGCAGGTCCTTCAATTTCCTTGTGCCTCTGTTTTCCCAAATAAATCATGGAATAGTACTTACAGAAATGGCTAATGATTAAATAAGATAATGCAGGAAAGCATTTAGCGTAGCATCTGGCACACAGCAGCACTCCACATCAACGCTGGCTGTTATTGTATTATTATCATGGTTACTTCTGTCCTAGTTTTTACTCTATTACATAGTTTGGGTCTATTTGCACAATATACTTCTTTAAAACACACACGTACAGTCAGGTGCAGTGGCTCACACCTATAATCCCAGCACATTGGGAGGCTGAGGCAGGCAGATCACCTAAGGTCGGGAGTTCAAGACCAGCCTGCCCTACATGGTGGAACCCCATCTCTACTAAAAATACAAAAATTAGCCATGCCTGGTGGCCAGCACCTGTAGTCCCAGCTCCACGGGAGGCTGAGGCAGGAGAATTGCTTGAACCTGGGAAATGGAGGTTGCAGTGAGCTGAGATCGTGCCACTGCACTCCAGCCTAGGCGGCAGACTGAGGCTGCATCTCAAAACACAGACACACACACACACACACACACACACACACAGACTTTAGAATTATCTCATTGTCTTCCTACAAGCTGTCTTTTTGCTTCTGCATGAACTTTTAAACCTTCTCCACCAAGGCAAGGTAACTTTAAATGGTTTTCCCCACAGATAGCCAGCCAATGAAAAAATTACCAATGTCTTAACAGAAAGGAACTTTGTTACTTTCAGGTATACACAGCAACCCTGCAGTTCAACAGTCTCTGTCCTGGGTAGGGCCTCACGTGACTTGACTTTGATGAAATAGAGAAGCAGGCTGCCCTCTGTCAGTTGAAGAACCCATGTTTTTAGCATAATGACCTGATTCTGTATGTGGCTTGGGGAATCCTATTTGTGAATCTGAGGTCTATCTTTATGTTAATGATTCTTCATTACTTTAACATTCTTGAAAGTAGGTTTTGGCCTTAGAATTTGTGCAATTCTCCCTCAATTGTTCTTTATTCGTAGATAGCCATCATATAAGCTGGCTGGCTGTAAAAAAAAAAAACTCAACTCAGGCCTAGCGTGGTGGCTCACACTTGTAATCCCAGCACTTTGGGAGGCTGAGCTGGGTGGGTTACAAGGTCAGGAGATCGAGACTATCCTGGCCAACATGGTAAAACCCCATCTCTACTAAAAATACAAAAATTAGCCAGGTGTGGTGGCATGCGCATGTAGTCCTAGCTACTCAGGAGGCTGAGGCAGGAAAATCGCTTGAACCTGGGAGGCCGAGGTTGCAGTGAGCCGAGATTGCACCACTGTACTCCAGTCTGGGCAACAGAGCGAGACTCTGTCTCAAAAAAAAAAAAAAAAAAAAAAAAAAACCTCAAGTCAGTCTCTGTACAGACGTTTCAAGAATGCCTAATCTGTGGTGTCTGTGTTGACAAATTCTTATACAATGCTTTAAACATATTCAGATTTTAAATTTTATTAACTTACCTAATTATTCACTTAAAGTAACTCTTTAAAAAGACTGGCTTATCTTACTCTAGCTGTACTTTTTTTTGCTAGTGAAACTACCAGTGGATTACTTTATCTCAGATTGTATTCATCATATTTCTCCATTATAAATCCGTTAAAATGTCGTTTCTCTGACTTCTTGGAGTTGAGGTCTGGGATTATCTGCTATCAGAGGAAATTCCTGCCAGAACCCCCTAGACATTTCCACATTGCAAAGCAGCACGAAGAGCAAGCATGAGTGAATCAAGTTCTTATATAAAGAGGGATCCTAGGATAATGCTACTTTTAGAGATGGAAAAGCTCTAAGATATTTCCAAGTAAAAGAAACCTGTGTTTCAGAGAGGGAAAATAACCTGAGTGTTCACAGTGAGTTGGTAGTAGGACACAGATGAGAACTCTTTCATTCTATGCGGTAATGGCTCTAGGTCCTCCTGTCTTAGGCTCTGAAGGGAGACAGACTGTAGTCTCTCCTGGAATAGCCCGGGAAGGAACTTTGACATGAAGATATTCAACCTCCCAATGGTAGAAATAGGTGACTCTGGCATTCATTCATTCATGTAACAAGTATTTATGGAGCACTTACCCAATGCCAGACACTGTTCTAAACAGAGGTTATGGCAGTGAGCAGCACTGGACAGTTCCCTGCTCACATGGAGTTGGTCACAGTGCAGGGATCAGACAGTGAATAGGTAAGTCAGTGATCTGCCGAGAAAGATGACAACAGTGTCACATCAGGGTGACGTAGTAGTACCTGAGATAGGGCATAGTGAATGGAATATTTTTTCTAAGCGCAATGGAAAGTCACTGTAGAGTTTTAAATAGAGGAGGGATAGGATATGACTTATGTTTTAAAAATCTCAGTGACACCTAGGTGGAAATTTAATTGTAGGAAGAGCAAGAATATCAATTCTGGGCAAATGCTGTAGGTCAGAGATGATGGTAGCTGCTAAGATAGTAGCTGTGGGCAGGAGCTAATGATAGAGGAAGGATACTGGACATAAATATGAGGACTAGACCCTAGACTTAGTGGAAGAGGTGAGCGAAAAAGACTTACAAACAACTTTAATGGTTCAGCTTGAGCATCTGAACAGATTAACCCAAAGAGTTTACATCAGGCTCTGTGCAGCAGGTAGTGTTCACTGCTTTAGTGTTCATTGATTTACATCTCCCCCTTTTTTTTTTTAATTAAAGAGATTAGGTCTCACTCTGTCACCCTTGCTGGAGTGCAGTAGAATGATCATAGCTCACTGCAGCCTCAAACCTCCCATCTCAGCCTCCCGAGTAGCTGGGACTACAGGTGTGCACCATCACACAGAGATAACTTTTTTTTCTTTAGAGACAGGCTATTGCTATGTTGCCCAGCCTCGTCTCAAACTCCTGGCCTCAAGTGATCTTCCTGCGTCTGCCTCTCAAAGTGCTGGGATTACAGGTGTGAGCTACTTTGCCCCACCAACATCTATTTTAAAAATAATCTTGAGATCTATAAGCCATTCCTGACCAGAGGTCAGATACTTATCTGTTTCTTTTCTCTTTCTTGAGTAGCACCTCACACAGGGCTGGATTGTGGGGTGTTCTAAATGCAGGGGTGAGGCAGGTGTACTGGAGGGTTTTACCCCATGTGTGCTTTCCTCTGAGCTCAACAACTGCAGCTAAGAAAGGTGTCTCAGTGGATAATCGCATGATCCACTGCCCTGTGTGGGACCATAGTCTTTTTTTTTTTTTTTTTTTTTTTTGAGCAGGAGTCTTGCTCTGTCACCCAGGCTGGAGTGCAGTGGCCTTTTCTCGGCTCACTGCAAGCTCCGCCTCCTGGGTTCACGCCATTCTCCTGCCTCAGCCTGGCAAGTAGCTGGGACCACAGGCGCCCGCCACCATGCCTGGCGGCTAATTTTTTGTATTTTTAGTAGAGACGGGGTTTCACTGTGTTAGCCAGGATGGTGTTGATCTCCTGACCTCGTGATCTGCCTGCCTCGGCCCCCAGAAGTGCTGGGATTACAGGTGTGAACCACTGCGCCCGGCCGGGACCACAGTCTTAAGACGCTGGCTCTGCCTTCCTGGGTGCCACAGTTACCATCTTTTGTAAGTCTGTAAACTTCATTGGCCTGGCATTGACTTCCTCTGGGTACATTAGTGGGGACCACACCGTGCTGAGTCACAGTTAGAAGGGGCGTCTGTCTTCACAGTGCGGCATCACTCTTATCCTGGATGCCCTACTCTTTATCATTCCTCCTCCTCTCACTCTCCCTCCCCAGGGCCACACTATCGTTTGGCAGTAATCACATCCAAGCCAATTTTGATCAATAGTTTTGTTCATTTCAAATGGAAATAAGCTCCGTGTTTAGCAGATAAGGAGAGTTACACTCAAAATGTGGCACATTTGTACCCCATCCCTTAGGTGGAACATGGCAGGATTCTTCAGGAGGGAAGAGGATGCACTAGGCTTAATGTTTAACATTCTTTGGATGGCGTCTCCTCCATGCCACCGTTAGCTGTGAGCTCAGCAACTCTGGGAATTGGAACAGTTGCCCCTCCTTGAGACTCTTTACTGCTTGTGACTTGACACAATGGAAGGGCAGATTTCCACTGAGTCTCTACTCGGTGGCTTCTCAAAGACTTCCACTGAGACTCTGCGCACCTTTATTGGGTTGGCCTGATTCAAGCCTGCTTGCAGAGGCATTTTCTTTCTTGACTCTGACATGTGGCTCAGTTTGGGAACCCACTTGTTCCCTCTCTGAGATCTTTCCGCCTGCATTTTGGGCTTTGCGCTTTTTATACCTTACTGTGGCTCCAAGAAGGCCTTTACTGCTGCTTTGGGTTGTTTTGCTGTTGTTTTGTTTTCCACTTAGATGCCCTCCCGGTCTGGAAGATTTTTGCCTGGTTGGAAAGAGGCACCTTGGCAGGGGAGGAGAGAGGAGAACCTACGGGATTATGTGGAAGTCTTTCCCCGAGGTTCACACCGAAGCATCTTAGAAGGGTTAGAATCTCTTTCTAAACACTTAGTAAGACACGTTTTCTGAAGTGTCACTACAGAGTCTACCCTGGCAGAAGAAGCCACATCTTTCCAGATACACCTGCATGAAAAAAACCAAAAGAAGAAGAAGGGGAACCCAGGAAGGATAACACGAGATAGAAAGGCCATCTTGGCATTTGGGGAATAAAAAGTATAAGGGCATTTTGCTTTTAAATCTAAGAAAGGTATAAAGAGGAGAAATGTTGAAAAGCACCTTGTCTCTGGTTTCTTATGTTTGCCAAATATTAGCAAGTACCTGAGATGCTCTTCTAGGTGTCTGTCTTGTGTGCCATCTGGCCCATGAGCTGTTTGAGATGGGAGAGTATCTTATCTGTCTTTGCATCCCCAGCACCAGTAGATTGAACCGAGTAACTTCCACGGTGCTCATCCCAGGGGCAACAGGCCCTGTTGAACAGGCATTCACTTTATGGTACTTGGACCACACTTGGTGGGGAAAGAGGTACTTCTTGGCCACCACAGGTGTGGTTGCAAGAAATTAGCCTCATAACTTTGAATGGATTCAAATCAAGCATATCTAGAGCATAGCAGAAGTGTCATCAATGGTGGAAAACCACCTTTTCCCCTCTTGCAATCTGAGGAACACCTGGCAAACATTTCCACCTAAATTAGTTCTTGGCTTCACTGGTCCAGCTTAGTTGAACGGATGTTCTGGGAGGCACTGTAATTTCCTGTTTTGTAGGATCTCATAGGAAATTTTTCATGTGAATTCAACTCTGATCTCTTCATTATTGATTATATGCAACTCTTGGTATTGTTTTCTCTTAGCATTCGATCGTATTGATTCAAATGCTGTTTTCATTAACTTCATGGGTGCATATAAGAGACTGGATGGATTTGAGGATCATAACTTCAGTTTCGCTGACTGCGTATCCACCCCATACTAACTGTGGGACTCTATATAAGTTTGTCTTTTCAAACCTCAGTTTCCTTGTTTGTCACATGGAGATGATAACACTCCTCTCTCAAAGATATTGTGAAAATTGAATGATGCTGAGCACGTAGATTAGTCAGCGAAGGGTACCCACGACCAGTGATATTATGATGGGGCTTGATCCAAGTTGGAATCCGTTACCTTTGCCCAGTACCATTGTTTGCACATGTCTGCTTTTTATGATTATTAGTTAAGAGTTTATTTTCTTACAGAGGATTAGGCAAAGGGTGATTAAGCATAGGTTATTCAGTTTAAACTAATAAATCTTTTTTTTATAGGCTGACCATCTGTCAGGGAAGTGGCAGAAGGCATTCCAATAGGACTGAGTTGAATTAAATTGGGAGATAAAAGTAATAACAATGGCTTTCCTCCAAATGATATCTAAAAATCCGCGTACTTTTTCCCTAGCGCCATTTTTGCCACTTTAATCCAAACTACCCGCATCTGGACTACAAGCCTCCTAACTGGTCTCCCTCTTTTCCTTGCCTTCAGATCCAATCTTTTTGTAATAGGTTGATCCTTTTAATATTCAAAACAGGTTACCTTTCCCCATCTTTTCCCCCTCCTGGCCTTCAATAAAAACCCAAACGTAAAATAAAAACGGATAACTTGGCCTGTAATCCCAGTTTCATCTGGCCTCTTGCCTTTCTCTCCAACCCCTCTCTCTCTTTCTCTCCAGGCCATCATTCTTAGGGCTTTCAACACCCTGTCCTCCATGTCATTTCTGTTGCAGCCTTGGAGACGTGTGCCTCTCCTTCTGCCAGAGGATGCCTCCTGTCGTGGTCACTTGGCAAGGTCCACTCTTATGTCACATCTCGGTTTAGACTCTGCAGAAACGCAATTCCCAACCCCTCCGATAACTACTCTCCACCCCAAAGATCTCACTGTACTAATTGCAGATTTATTGATGTGGTGCTTGTTAAGTTACTCACCATGGTGTCCCCAGAACCCATGTTAGTGGCATTGCTGAATAAAAGGTGCTTCAAACTACGAAGGGCTTATAATGTGCATTTTCCCACTTGAGGCTGATGGCATCTTTGTGAGGAAGGCATATAGTGGACAGCCTCAAAGCTATAGGAGAGTAATCTAAAGCCCACTCTGGTGAAAACTTGGAAATGTTAAGAATAGGGTTTGAATCCCAGGTGTCTGATGCCAGGCCTAAAGCTCTTTCAACTTGAGTACTGCACGTGCTAGATAGTCTCTGTGTACTGTTGTCTAAAACAGGGATTTGCAATCTTTTGGCTTCTCTGGGCCACTTTGGAAGAAGAAGAATTGTCTTGGGCTCTAAATAAAATACACAAACACTAACAATAGCTGATGAACTATTAAAAAATCACAGAAAAAGATTATAATGTTTTAAGAAAGTTTATGAATTTGTGTTAGGCTACATTCAAAGGCATCTTGGGCCACATGTGACCTGTGGGCCATGGGTTGGACAAGCTTGGCCTAAAAACGTATTGTTTGTCTAGGTAGGGTCATGATTCATGAAGCTATTGAGCAAGCATTTTCATGGCACTCATATCGCCTGTCAGACTTTGTCCCAAGTGCATTGTAAGCTCTTCCTTGCCTAATCTGCACAAAGACCTTGTAAGATAGGGTATTAGTTAGTATCACAAACTGGGTGGCTAAAAATGACAGACATTTATTGCCTCACCATTCTGGGCCAAGGAGCCCAAAGTCAGGGTGTCAGCTGGGTCATGCTCCCTCTGAAACCTGTAAGGGAATTCTGCCTTGCTTCTTTTGACTCCTGGAGTAATGGCACTCTCTGGCATATTGTGATTGGCAGCTCCATAGCACCTCTGTCTGCTTCTACTTTCATGTGGCATTCTCCCTGGCTCTTTTCACATCATCTTCCTTCTGTCTGTGTCTGTCTTTGTGTCCACATTTCTCCTTCTTATAAGGACACATCCACCTTACTGACCTCATCTTAATTTGATTCCTTTCTGTAGATTCTTTTTGCAAACAAGGTCACATTACCAGGTACCTGAGGTTAAGGGTTTATCTGTCTTTTTGAGGGGACATGATTTAACCCCTAGCGGATACATATCCTATTCCATTTTCACAAATGGGGTCATAGGCTCCATAATAGGACCAAAGATTCTGAGCTTGCCATTGGCAATGACAAGTTCAAACACAGATCATGCCTCCGAAGTCCATGCTTGGTTTGTGGACCACACAGTTTTCAAACCCTTAAATCAAAGTGTGGTCCGTAGATTCAATTAACTTTCAAAAAGTGAAGTAGGGCTCTTTTTCTTGACTCAAAGTGAGCTTAGCCAGGAGAGGCAGATTTTTAAAGTGCCTGAGCATGCGTATTATTACTAGCTTTGCCTGCTGAAGCAGAAATGTGTTCTTCCCCTGCCCAACTCTATTGCATTGAGAATAAAGTATCTGGCGCTCTTTTACTAAGATGCAAGCCATTCTTCATTTTAATTGGTGGGGAAACGTTTATTATAAAATGCTCTTCCCCCAGAATAGTTCCCTAAAGTGGCATATAGTATCTGTTTTTTCTTCCTCCTCTTTCTTCCTGGGAATCATTACCAGCCCCGGCTGGTGATTTATAATCACATTCCCAACAAATTTCACTGTTGTTAATGACTACTTATTTTCTATACAAATGATTTTTGCTCTCCTTCCTGAGGATAATTAACTAAGAAACTGGTAATAAATTACTGATAATGATCAGTTTGTCAGAGATGATTGTCGAATGGTGCCATCTTCCATAGTAACTAGATAAAGTATCTTTAATTGCTGATAACAGAACAGACAAATTGTGGTTCTTTTTTTTGTTGTTGTTGTTATTGAGATATTCATGAAATCTTCCTCCTGGAAGTCAGGCAGAATAACACCTTTTTTCTCTGTCTCCTGAGGGAGGGGAAAAGGAAGAAACAGTCATGACTTACAGACTTCTAGAAATATAGTAAATGTGATCGCTTTTTGAGGTTTGTAATAAGATAGCTGATCTTTGTAAAGCAGAGATCAGAGAAAATCTACTCTGGGATACATTTCGTTTAGACCAGGGGTCCTTCCTGGTCATGTGTGATTTTTTTTTTTCTCTCAAAATGTCATCTTTCCTATTTGCATCTAAACCTTGGCCTTCAAATGTGACTTCTTTGAACTCTGGAAAGGAATAGTATTTAATTCACAGTGTTTCTCACGGTTAGGATGCTGACTAAACCCCAGACTGCAAGCGAGGCTGTGAAAGACCCTTAGCTGGGAAACGTAGAGAAGACCTATGACAATGGATGTACACTGAAAGTCCTTTAATCATAGCCCTTATTATCTATTTTCTTATTGACAAGCTCAGACTATTCATCGTAGTAAGAATTGCAGGACCTACTATTAACTTCAGTTCTTTGAAGGATACACATATTTCACATACTGAAGGCTGGTTTACATTTAATCCAGTTAAATGTGTCACTTTACTGACATGCCTTGAATATTGTGAGTCTTGGGTATTGCCATCCTTTATTTATAATCTCCATCAGTCTTGTAAACTTTTGTTTTGTTTTGCTAGATGTCAGCAACTGTCAAAAAAGCTATAGTGTCCGAGATCATTTGAATCATTTTGGCAGTTTAGAAAACAGAGTGGTGCTTAAAAGAATAGAAATGAGAATTCCAAAGGCGGAGGTCTCAATATCAAATTGTTGGGGGGTATGTAGTGTCTCTTTGGGCTTTTTAGGTTTTGTTATGAGAAGGGAAGGCACAACCAGCATAGAATTAGAATGTACAAGGTTACAAGGATGTTTACACACTGATTTCTTCAGAATTTCTTCAGTTCCAAGTGAAAAAAGAAATTTTTTTAAGTTTCAAGTAAGCTCTCCAGGTAGTCACAGGGATGACAAAGATACAAATAAAACACGAATAAACTTTCAAATAAGCTGAAGGAAAAAAGAATTAAATTATAGAACTGGGAAGCACACGGGGTAGACTTCAGGCGCGGTTGAGTCAGAAGATTTCACGATGTCGCAAGAACTCTGATTCTCTCAGATCTGCTTCCTCTCTTGGTACCAGGCATCGTTAGGTTTCTTCCACACGTAGTCTTCGAGAAGTTAGCATCCTTGGCTGGGTGCAGTGGCTTGCGCCTGTAATCCTAGCACTTTGGGAGGCCAAGGTGTGTGGATCACTTGAGGTCAGGAGTTGGAGACCAGCCTGGCCAACATGGCGAAACCCCATCTCTACTAAAAGTACAAAAATTAGCTGGGCATGGTGGCGGCGCCTGTAATCCCAGGTACTCAAGTGGCTGAGGCAGGAGATTCACTTGAACCCTGGAGGTGGAGGTTGCAGTGAGCTGAGATCATGCCACTGCACTCCAGCCTGGGCAACAGAGCAAGACTCTGTCCCCAAAAAAGGGAGGAGGGAAGAGGAGGCGGGGAGGAAAGAGAAGGAAGAGGGGAGGAAGGAGGAGGAGGAGGGAAGGAGGAGGGGGGGGGAAGGAGGAGGAGGGGAGGTGGGAGGAGGAGGAGGGGAAAAGGGAGGAGGAGGGGAGGAGGGAGGAAGAGGGGAGGAGGGAGTAGGAGGAGGGAGGAGGAGGAGAGGAGGGAGGAGGAGGAGGGAGGAGTAGGAGGGAGGAGGGAAAAGGAGGAGGGGAGGAGGGAGGAGGAGGGGTGGAGGAGGAGGGGAGGAGGGAAGGAGGAGGAGGGGAAAAAGGAGGGGACGAGGGAGGGAGGAGGAGGAGGGAGGAGGAGGAGGAGGGGAGGAGGGAGGAGGAGGAGGGAGGAGGGAAAAGGAAGTGGGGAGGAGGGAGGAGGAGGGGAAGAGGAAGAGGAGGAGGGGAAGAGGAGGAGGAGAGGAGGGAGGAGGAGGAGGGGAGGAGGAGGATGGGAGGAGGGGAGGAAGGGAGGAAGGAGGAGGAAAGCATTCACTTGAAGATACTGCAGCAAATTGTAGGGAAGGCTTTGATTGGCTAATTTGAGTCATGTGCCTACTTCTGAGCAAATCCCTAGACGATAGGGCTGGAGTCTTCTGAGTGGCTGGTCTCCAGCCTCATGACCTACAGAGTAAGGTAAGAATGAGGGGAATACAGCTCTGACTAAATGAAATAGGCAGATGTAGAATGGGGCAAGGGTGGTTTTCCAAAGTAAAAGATTTTAGGTCGATCCTAAAACAAAAGGAAACACAAGCACACAGTAGTAGAGAGACCTTCTCATGGACCCTTACGTACTTTGACTACTACCCAGCTCAGTTTGCTCTGCTTACCAGTTCACAGATGCTTTCTTTGGCTGGCTTTGCTTTTACAGTGGATTTTCTGACACTTTTTGAACATTGTCTAAGAGGGGTGACAGTTTCAAATCCACCCAAGAAGTGGACACCATTCCATACTTTATGACTGAATCTAAAATGCTGTTCACTTGTGCCTCCAGCTGAAACATTTTTCTCTTCGCTCTGTTTGGAGTCCCTCTCCCTCCCCTCTCTCTATCTCTCACTGTTCTTCATGGTACACTTCTTTTTTGGGGGTTGGCGGGGGGACAGAGTCTTACTCTGTCGCCCAGACTGGAGTGTAGTGGCGTGATCTCAGCTCACTGCAACCTCCGCCTCCCAGGTTCAACAATTCTCTTGCCTCAACCTTCCAAACAGCTGGGTCTACAGGTGTGTGCCACCAGGCCCAGCTAATTTTTATATTTTCATTACAGACAAGCCTTCACCATGTTGACCAGGCTGGTCTCCAGTTCATGGCCTCCAATTCGTGGCCTCAAGTGATCTGTTCACCTAGGCCTCCCAAAGTGCTGGGATTATAGGCGTCTGCCACCATGCCCACCTAATTTTCGTGTTTTCAGTAGAGACGGGGTTTCATGATGTTGACCAAGCTGGTGTTGGACTCCTGACCTCAAGTGATGCACCTGCCTCAGCCTCCCAAAGTGCTGGGATTACAGGCATGTGCCACTGTGCCCAGCCTTCATGGCACACTTCTAATTCTTTCCTTCTTCATGAGCTTTTTCCAGCATGAGCCAAAATCAATTTCTTCTTCTGCATCCCCACTGAAATTGTTATACTTCATAAAATACTTTGTACCTACTTCAGTTTTAGTTTCTAAGAATTTATGTCTTTCTTGAGAAACAGAGTACTGTTTTGTGATTCTTGCTTCGGCACTTCACATTGATTAGAACAATGCCTGGCCCTAAATAGATATTTAATTCTGGTGAGTTCTTCCCAGACAAGTCTAAAGGAGGGTGTGAATACTCGGGCAACTCAAGTTATCATCATTTGGGTCTGGCTGTGTTCACTTATGGGAATACAAGTGTGGGCATTAATAGTTTGGAGGAGCACAGGAGAACAGTGAGCTGACTGCAGAGGAGGAGATGGATTTTGTTTCTCTTGGGGGCCCCAGGAATTTTGCCTCCTGGACCCATTTTATGTGATAATGGCTCTGCGTTTTGGGTTACAGAGCTCAACTCTCTGAGATTAACACAAAGCAAAGGGCTTCCCTGTATGTCTATATAGATCTAGCCCAACTCAGGATAAGCAGCTTCTCACTAATTCAGCAAATGTTGTGTAGCATCAGCTATGTGTTGGACACATGTAATGAGTAAATACATATGTGACTGCTGCCCTCATGGTTGGAGCTTTGCTACTGGGATGGTCTAGTCTGGGGCTGCCTCTTATTACCAGCGGCATCTCAGACTAGTTATTCAACAACTGTGTGCCTAAATTTTCCTGCCTGTAAAATGGGAATAAAGAGATACTTCACAGAGCTATTGTGAAAACTAAAGGATCGTATAATTTTACGCTGTCTAACATAAGTAACCATTTAGCAAATGACAGCTATTACTTGTAGCTATTGGCTCATGAAGTCTGCAGGCTGGTAGCACACACATTCATCAAGTGATAATATTTAAAATGTAAATTATGACATAATTGATCTGAAGGGGAGGTGCTTGGTGTTAAGAACACTTAAAATAAGGAATTCTGTAAAAGCTTGCCTGGGAATGTGTAGCTAATATAGCTACAGATAAGACTATTAAAAGATTAGAGCCAAAATGAATAATGTATCCATGTCTGATGATTGATAATAAGGCAGCAGTTGTGGACAGCTGAGATGGTCCTTTTCCAACCGGGACGTCAGAGCTACTGTGATTATCATGCCAATTACATCTCACATTCTGCCAAGGTGGTTCTTCTCTCTCAGTGCGTTGGTCATTTCAGAGTGGGAAAAGCCTTCAGCTCAGTGTCCTTCAGGATCCAGTCTACTCTTTAAATTTTTGAGAGTTATTTGGATTTCAGAAGGATTTGCCTCTCATCTTCTAGTCATATCCCATTACCAGTCAATTCAGAACATCTATTAGTTCAGCAGGAGAGGAAAGGATGAATTTCCATGCCTCCCACCTTTGCTTGGTAACAGGTTATGCTTTTAGAAATCACTTCATGACCTACTGCTTCCTGCTGGGACAATAATGTTCTTGTGTGTGGCTAAGCTATGCCCACATTTTTAAAAGTTGGAACACATCTAGTAAATATACATACCTTTGAAAGTCCTCATTTAAGCTGAATTAGACCAGTGAATAGAGTAATAATGAAAGTATTTGAAGGAGGGCAACCCCTTTTCTTTAAAAGGAAAGAGAATAACTAATATCAGGAAACCAATCATACCAGTGAATCAGAGCCCAGTTTTGGGGACTGAAAGACTCAGGGTGAAATTGCTGTGACTCCTTGGGCTAGTCTCTGTAGTTCTCAGAAACTCAGTAATGTCATCTGTAAAATGGAATAATAATGCCCAATTCATGTGTTTGTAGTGAAGATTGAAGGAGATACTACCTGCAAAGTATTCAGATGTTTGCCTGGTCTATGGTAATTGCCGAATAAATGTTACCTGTTATCCCAGTGTTGTGTGCATTGATGGCAATGATAAACAACAATACTTGAGGAATTTTGAGGTTTGATTCATCATTCTTTTACCTTCTGAAATTTGGCATCCTTGGAAAATGGAAAAAGAAACAAAATTTGTATATTCCTTTTGTTGCAGAAATGGGTAATTATGTGATATACACATACATATGTGTGTACATTTTATACCAAAAATTATATAGAAAATGTACACACATATAAATACACATACAATTATATGTGGTATGTATGAATGTATTATGTGTAAGATATATATTATAAATATATAATATAGAGTATGTCTGGCAGTATATTCTGTTTTGTGTTATACATAATATAACAAAATGTATGTTATTAGATTACATAGATTTCTGGTATCTATGTTACAATCTTTTCTAATTAAAAATTTTTTAAAAAGTATCTAAAGAAAAAGCATCAGCTGCCCCCTGCAAGTTCTCTGAGGACTGGCTTTTATTATTATTTGTTTTGACACTTCAGTGGCAGCAACTTCCAGTTACAGCCAGAGTCTCAGTATGTAATCCCGTGGAAACGTCCCTAGGTAACAGGATGTGCCCACTGGTCATGGAAGTCAGTTCTGTTAAACAGGGAGGATTTTATCTGTCTGAATAAATATTTCTGCAGCTCTTCTCACGCTATGGATTTGAGATGTGAACAGGCAAGAAGGGTCATCACTATAAATCAATAGTTTCCATGAAGTTGCCACCGATTTAGAGCAGACAGCAGCTTTTGGGTTGAAATAAAGATCGTGAAGTGCAGACGTAGGCAGCAAATGCTGGGGATAATGTGTGGAGTGTATAGGACTATTCAGTGAACGTCTATCAAGGATGGATAGAAAGGAGAATGCTCTTTTTGAGATAAGTTAGCTAATCGATAATTGGCAAGGGAAACATGGAAATACTTGGTGGAAATTGATGCCACCTACACCAATCCACACAAGTACATGCACCTCAAACCTACCACCCAATATCCAATTGTCACCAAGTCTATCTAATCACATCTTACTCACCTTTGTGCTACTCACAAGTTGCCATGGAGGTGAGAGTAGACGCGGTGGGGATGGACGATCTCTCTCAGGACAGGATGATAGAAAAGGAAGAAAAGAAGATTTGTTTTAAGGATGGGCCACTTCTATGAATGGTTGGAAGAATGGAGGAGAGAAGGACAGCAAAAGGTGATAGGAGAGGTGGCAGGTGAACCAGGGAGGGACAGTTTCCTAAAGGGTAGAAGGAATTTCATGGAGACAGCAACCCGTGGATGGTGCCAAATCTCATCATGAATTGACAAGAGTCCTTGGACTTACCTTCCTGGGAGTCGGTTTTATAGATTTTGCACAACTTTGTACCTAAATCATTCCCAACAATTAAGTGTGAGTTCCCAGAGGGCAGGTACCAGGGTTTATTCATTTTGGAAACCCCAGGGTCTGGCAGACATATTAGGGATGAATAAATGTGTTTTGAAAGTATGAATGAATGAATGAATGGATAAATAAGTGCTGGCCTTAACATAACAGTTTAATGTCTGTGCAAAATGAAAATAACAAAGTGTTAAAGAAGTAATTAGAAATTGGCAAAATGGGGCACAAGAAACCATCTTACATATGTGGTAGCTCTAGGGGTTTAAGAAATAACATCCCTTTATTTCCCTACTGAGTAAGAACCAATGGAGAAAGAAGCTGGGCAGGAAGGCAAAAGGAAATAAACAATCTTCTTTCATTTAGCCTAATGTTTTTAAGGTTCTGCTCCCATCCCCGTGAAGTGTTGGGAATAGGCAAGTCTATAGAGATGCGAAGTAGATTAGTAATTGCCTAGGGATGGAGCGTGGACTGCAAATGTGCACGAGGCTTCCCTCCCGGGGTAATAAAAAAAAAGTTCTAAAATTAAATTGTGGTGATAATGGCACCACTGTGTGAATATACTGAAAGCTACTGAATCGTGTACCCTGAATTAGTGAATTTTATGGTTTATGAACTCTATCTCAATAAAACTGGTTTTCTAAACAAGAAAACAAAAAGGTTTCCGCTTATTAAATAAACCCAAATTTAAAGGTATGGCCGAATGGGCTTGCTTGTACTCTCCTGATTTGTGCAGACTTGTCCATCAGTCACTGAAAGTGTGGAAATCTTCAGTCCATCCTCTGGCCTCCAGTAGACACAGACACACACACACACACACACACACACACACACAGACACACACACAAAGGTACACAGACACACACACAGACACACACAGATAAACACACAGACACACAGACACACACAGACTCTCCCTCTCACTCTCGCTCTGTCGCTCTCTCTCTCACTCATGAGTGCTGTAGCTGAGAAAGAAGCCCAGAGTATGCTTTTTCTGCCAGCTGGAGAATTTGACCTAGGGCTAAGTGACTAGCCTGAGTACATCCAGGTTCTTTTCCCAAAGGAACCAATTTGATAAACCATTCCTTCTTAGCATGGAGGAATGAGAAGCTGGGGAGAGGCCCAGAATATTATGCTAGAAAAATTCTTGCACATGGAAACACAGGGAAGGAGGATAAGGGGGTGCCTCCATTCTTATGTCTCATACTTTTTATGTCCAGTAGTGTCTGCATTTCTATCATAAATACTCTTTTAAAATCAGGAGTCCTAGACCAGAGAATGTTCCCTGCATTCCATATCAGGTAAGATCCAAGTATACAAAGCCTGTCTCTTTAATTAATTTCCTTTCACCCAAATCCTATCCATTGGGCATGATCAATAGTTATAAAACCCATCATTTCCAGTGTTATGGTAATGCGAAAGCTTGATGAAATATGGGTTTGACCACACAGTAGTCAGAAGTCTAGTTCTTCATGTATTAAAGGATACCATTCCAGCTGGGCACGGTGGCTCACACCTGTAATCCCAGCACTTTGGGAGGCGGAGACAGGCGGATCACGAGGTCAGGAGATCGAGACCATCCTGGCTAACACAGTGAAACCCCGTCTCTACTAAAAAATACAAAAAATTAGCCGGGCGTGGTGGCGGGCGCCTGTAGTCCCAGCTACTCAGGAGGCTGAGGCAGGAGAATGGCGTGAATCCGGGAGGCAGAGCTTGCCGTGAGCCAAGATCATGCCACTGCACTCCAGCCTGGGCGACAGAGCTAGACTCTGTCTGAAAAAAAAACAAAACAAAACAAACAAACAAAAAAGATATCATTCCATCTATTGTGTGTTTATCTCTGTTTAGTTACGCACTTGTGTGTAGTTGCATTGACATTTAGGCAGACTTGCCTATTCTAGACATTTTCTTACTATGAAATGCACGTGACTAGCACAGTGTCTGGTTATTAGTCAATTCTCATTAAATATTGGCTGCATAAGGGATGGGGATCATAGGCATTCGGAATATAGGAGGATCGACTCTATTCTGGCATTATTGGATGAAAGGGGTTCTTTATTGGAACCGACTACATTTTTTTGTCCTTGGTAATATTAGTCTTACTTTGAGGCACTAGGGCATTTTGAGACTAGTGAAACTCCCATGGCCTTCAGAATTATAATTTAAATCTTCTATTCCTCCAGAACTCAGGACATTTAATTTATCATGATTCATAAAAGACCAGTAATAAACCCTGTCTTTATTTAAACGTGGGCGGCATTGACTTCCCGCTGTAGGAATTGGGTGTTCTTTATCAACGTCTCTCTATCTACTTATCACGGATCCTGCATGTGTACAAAAAGGCATCTTTGTCAGTCAGGGGGAGATTTTATTAACTAAAGGTTCATTTGTTCTTCAAGTGACACTATCTCTTTGGAATTACCAGATGTTGTTCAAACTGTGCCGGCTCTCCTTTTATTCTGATGATGGCAAATGTTGAATGTGGTGAATAAATATTGGGCACTGTCCTCGGTCATCTCAAATAAATGTGATAAAATGAAAACATGTCGCCTCTGAGGTCTCATTTGTTCCCAGGAAGTCCACGGCGCATTAAGGCCCACAGACAATGAAAGACGAATCAGCCATTCACTGGGTATTCCATTATGAGACATTCTTGTCATTTTCCAGATTGAATTTTAGATTAATATATAGCCTGAGATAAGATGGCATGTATTGAGATGATGCCACAGTGCCATGGCCAAATTGTTTTGTTATAATCACATGATATAGAGAATTAAATGTATTGTGATGATCTGCCGTAGAAATTTGCATTTAAAAGAAAAAGTGGCAGAAAATAAATTAATAGTAAATTTCTTATGACTTAGACCTGAAGAGGCTCATGTGACTGCAGGTGTTATGTTTTGACCCTTCTTTGCTACCATGGCAAGACTGGTGACTGTCTTCTGAGGAGAAGTAGAGGAGATTTCACTTAACTGGATGATCACAGAGTTGAGGTTTTTGTCATCCATTGCTGAGCCATGTATTAAATATTCATTATATATATAAATATACACACATACGTATATATACATACATATATATACATATATATACATATATATACATATATACACATATATATACATATATATACATATATACATACATATATACATATATACATACATATACATATATACATACATATATACATATATACATACATATACATATATACATATATACACACATATATATACACATATATATATATACATATATATAATAAAAAAGTGGGAAAGAACAATCTGGCAAAACAGACATTTTGGAATCACCATGCCCTTCTTTTTCGGGTGATGCATGACACCCATGAATTAAGATTTAAAAGAGGATATAAAGCAGAATCTTGCTTTCACAGTGGGGAGAAGAACTTATGAATGCTTTGAAAATAATTGCTAAGAATTATACTCAAATCGTATTACATCAAGAAATGGAGATGTGAACCAGACTGGGACAGTACGATTTCACAATAACAGCCACAATTTCTCTAATTTATTACATTGTCATCTGTCTTGTGATTTAACATCCTTTTTCACAGTCTGCAGTAATATATGGAATTACTAAAAGTTGGCGGCTGTCTGACGTTCAGAAATGTTGAAAGAAATGAAGTATTTCTGTGGGTGTTGCCGAAGTCCTGTTGAAAGGGTAGTTAAGTATCGCTGATTAATTCCCATTCTATCTCTGATGAAATGGAGAAGGGGAAAATGCTCCTTTCGACCAAGTATCTCATTGCAAACTGCAGCCCAGAAGTTGCATAAGCATTTTCCTTCTTCGGTATAAATTGATTTGCTGTGAAAAATTTCAGACGGTTCCATGTCAAGGCAATGTTTTATTTCGTGGTGCAGGACAAATGTAGAGCTAAGTAGATTTGTAGGCTAATTTATTGGTCATTTTAATATTGTGTATTCTCCCCTTTGGTGTGTTAAGTACTTCCCCAATGCTTCTTCAGCGATATACTGCTTATGGCATGCCCAACTCATCTTAATTAAATTCTTTCTTGCCACAACCTCATTTTTGCTCATGGGATACATTGCTGTCACTGTGAAACATTTTCTAGGAAAATTGAGATCTATTTTTCATAAATTAGGCTCTTTTTTAAGGCTCTCTATGTTAGTCACTTAAATTAATATTAAGTTATTATGTACTCCAAATCAGTGCTTTATAAGTCTTTCAAAAAATATCGGTTGCCCAGAAGCCTGGGAGGAGTGCGATAGAGCTGGAGCGTAACGTGCAGGTGTGTTGGGTTAGTGATGGGTGAAATGACTCTATGTGGCTCGTCCCCACCTCCCATTGTTAGAGGCAATCAGAGAAAGCATTTTGCAAATCGAGAATAAGAAAGAGGCCTTACAGAGCATGTTGCCGCTGCTGCTGCTGCTCCTGGCACCCCTGCTGAGATCAGCTCAGTGCAGTCTTCTCTTTTAGAAAGAGGAGAAGAGTTTATCCTGAACTGTGCATTTTTTAGTTTTAGAAAACATGGATTTCCTGACAGGAAATGGGAAGCTTTTTGAACTGTATGACTTGAGTCATCTGTCACGTTGGAAGGACATTGGAAAAATCAGCCTCCTGATGTAGAACTTTGTCATGACTTTCAAAAGTTTCCCTACAAATTGACACATGGGGCTTTTGGCTTTTGTCCTGGGGATATGGCAGTTGTCATGTCAATGTCTAGAAAAATTGTCCCTTATAACCAAAGATGGCTAATTAAACAAAACAAAACGCCCAAACAGGTGCTTATTCATTCCCTCCGTCCGTCCCACTCTCACACAGGTAAAGAACGTGTTTCAGCTAAGATGATTAACATGCTTCCCCCACCCCCACCCCCTGACTTAAATCCTCAAGCCCACTAGCTCTTGCCTTACCGCCATGCTGACTTTTACTTCCCCAAACATACCCAGCTCCTCCTGAGTGGGACGTTGTGAGCATTCTGCTCCCTCTGTCTGGAATGTGCCCCTCCTGCCTCACCACAACCTTTGCAGAGTTAGCTTTTACTTCTCCTTTCACTCTCTACTCAAAAATGCCGCTTCCTCCAGGAAAGTCTTTCCTGGAATTCCCACCCCTAATGCAACTCCAACTCCCTAGGATAGATGAGAATATGTCTGTATTTGGTCTCATAGTTCCTTGTACTTTTCCTCCAGTTTATATATACATATGTGTGTGTGTGTGTGTGTGTGTATATACATATGTGTATATATATGACTGTTTGTGTGTACATATATATATACACAAACACACACTCACATAGTCACATGTCATGTCAATGTCTAGATAAGTTGTGCCTTATAACCAAAAGTGTCTAATTAGACAAAACACCCAAACAGGGGTTTATTCATTCTCTCAGTCTATTTCTCTCACATATATTTAGAACATGTATATGTATGTGTGTATATGTGTGTATATATACACACACACGTATGTATACATATATAGATATAGATCCACACACAGCTGCTAGTACCACTGCTGAGATCATCTCAGCACCATCTTCTCTTTTAGAAAGAGGAGAAGAGTTTATCCTGAACTATGCATTTTTTGAGAAAACATGAATTTCATGTTGAGGAAATGGGAAGCTTTTTGAACTGTATGACTTGAGTCACCTGTCGTGTTGGAAGGACATTGGAAAATAGGACGTGTGGGTGTATGTGTATATATATACATACATACATGTATACACACACACATATATGTGAATATATACCCACACACACAAATAAGTACATAGGTATATATCTGTGTATATATATCCCTCTATAATCTGTGTGTGTCTATATATCTATATCTCTTTATATCCATATATTGAACACCTACTATGTGCCAGGCGCTCTTCCTGCATTTGGAACTTGTTGGTGTAAAGACGACAAACTGAAGTTGTTCCCTGAAGCTCCCTTATCTGCCTAAAGTCTGGACCCACTAAAAAAGAAAACAAGAACCTCTGGTTCCTTCCCTGAGTTCTCATTAATTGAACTCATATTGCAGGAAGAAAGACTGATGTTTTCCAACCCACATGAACAGACTTTTGTCACAGGCCATTGTTCTTCAAGCCCATTGAGTTCCCGTAAAAATCACTTACTACCTATGCTAAAATCATCCACACTTTCCCATTTCCCTTTCCCCTAAGAAGAAGGATATATAACCATCTGTATCACATTGTGCGGTGGGGTAATCACTCTGTTATTCTGCCCCATGCATGGTAATCAATTCGTTTGCCATTTATCAAAAAAAAAAAAAAAAAAAAGTCAAGCCCTCATGAAGTCAATATTCTAGTTGGGGGGAAAAACAATGAAAAGTGTGCGTGATGCCTGAGCAAATTGTGTTAGAACATGAGCAGTGCTATGGAAAAAAGAAAACCAAAACAGAAAAGGATGAGGAGGGCAGGAGAGTGGGGGTGGAAGAATCCATTGCAATTTTACATGAGGAGGAGAGGGCCAGTGTGGGCCTTACTGTGAAGGTGACATTTTGGCATAAAGCCAGCTGCATGGATTTGGAAGAGCATTCCAGGCAGTGAAAACAGTCAAAGCAAAAGATCTAAGGCTTGAGAGTAGCCGTCTGTTCAAGAGACAATAGAAGGGCCAGAGGGAGTGGAGCGGAAAATAGCAGGGAATGAGTTGAGGGAAGAAGCAAGGTGAGGAGGAGGTGCAAACCACTTAGGACTTGTAGGCATTCAGGGCCTTTGGATTTTACTTGAGTAAAATAGGGTCTTGACTTACATTTCAAATGAATAATTTGAACTTCTGCATTGAAAATTGATTATGAGGGCGCTTAATGCAGTTTATAGCTGTGTACTTGTGTGATTATGTGGTTGATGTCTGTCTCTCTCATAGACTGTAGGCCCTAAGAGGGCTGGAGTACTGTCTGACTTGCTCTTCATGGAATCTCCAAGATCAAGCCTAGTGCTTGGCATGTTGCTGTCCAATAAATATTTAATGTGAAAGGATAAAATGAATGCAGGCCACATCAAGATGATGCTAGTTGGCATTCATCCCTCAGAGGCATGTGCTGTAGATAGTCAATGTGCAAATTTCAACTTGTATCCATCCACTTAAAGACAACTTCAAACGCACCCTCCAACCACAGGCTTAAGTTGAATTATCTGCTTAATTGTTGCTATGTGCAGCTGTTTTTCATTAGTGCTGTTTTAATTTGCAGTCTATGAACTTTGATATTTGTAACAAAAAGTAATTGGATACTAGTCTGGAAGGCTTCCCTCCTTAAAATGAATATGCTTCACGCCCAAGCAAATGACTGGAAAGGTTCCCTGCTGTCTACTAGGGAAAAGATTCACGGGGGCAGGGGCTGTCCACAGCAGACCAGAATGTTACAGTCTGCTGGGTAAATGTTCCATGGTTTCAGAATTAATATGCATGCATTCCGTAATACATATTTACCTGGTAGTCTGTAACCATTCAGTAGAACTGTTACAGTCTAGTAAGTAAATAACATGTTTTTCAAAATTAGAACGTGTACCAAATATGTATTTACCCAATAGGCTGTAACAGTTCTGAGGAAACCTTCCCTGTTGTTAGTCTATCAGGCTGACTTATGGATATGGGTTTAATGTTGTTTTGAATATGAACACAGTATAAAGGAAGATGTGTGATTTTTAGAAGGGCGAGGGGTTGTCATGTAGAACAAACCAATTTTAGGAGGAAAATTCAATTCAGTTGCAGAATCTGTTCCTGCTATTCTTTTCCTTTCTTTTATTTTATCTTTTTGTTTTTTCTTTTATGCTAGTTGCTGGAAGATTGCTAATGACACCAGGATGAATTTTTAAATACTGTAATTTAATTATTGGTAACATAATATGGCTTTATAAGTGATTAGTGGACAGATTTCTGAACATGTGTAGGGGCCAGTTTTTTAGTTGCTAACCTCATGGCCTTGGAGGAATCCACAAGTTGGATTCTGGTGAATGATTTAATGACGGTATTGGCAGCACTTTGCCTAATGAGTATGTATCACTCTGGCCTAGGTAAGTCAAGCTAAAGCTAACCACATTCACATCATCCACCTAGATCTGTTATACAGGAACAAACTGTGTAGAGATCATTATGAGGCCATGTTGGTGCTTTAAGGCATGGAGTTTTCAGCGGGATATTACTCATTTCCATCATTACTGATGTTCAGCTGCATTTCTACTGATGTCGGCTGCATGGGTAGAGAATTAGACTCCATAGTTCAAGATAGTTCATGGGTAAGTAACATTGTAGTCAAGAGTTTGTGGCTCTGGAATCAGATGACTTGGGTGCCAGCCCTCTGAACTTGTATCAGTGATTTAACCACTTTAAGACCTGATTACCTTATCTGTACAATTAGAGATTGCCTTATCTGCACACTAATTGTACAGAACAGTCATTGTACAGATAAGGCAACACTAGTATTCACTTTATAACATTCTTGTGAGTGAAATAGTATCCATAAACTGTGTATCACTCTTCAGAGCACATATTGAATATTTAATAGGCATCATCAACTTTTGTCTATGATCACTGTGGAAATTCAGCTGTGCTGGCATACAGGAGGTATATGTAGCAGGATTAGCAAGGGTGACTCAGTCCAGGTTTCCAAGTATTTAGTTTGGAAGTAAATGAAGACACGATGTGTGTAATTGGATATTTCACTAATAGGTTATAAGTGGTTGTGCAAGTTTCTAAACATCTTGCATGTACTAATAAATACTTTTAGTTGACAAATGAGAAAGCAGCCATGAATCTGAGTCTCTTACTTGGAACCAGGTGAAACAGTGATTTATGAAATGCCCTTTAAAACTCCTTGGAGGTTCACATTCTGCACAAGTTGCTTTTTTTCTTTCTAATTGAGAAAGCTGCTATATTTTGAGTCTGTGTAAGCAACTGCAGGCCTTGATTCTTGATTCTTTTCTTTCTTTCTTTCTTTCTTTCTTTCTTTCTTTCTTTCTTTCTTTCTTTTTTTTTTTTTTTTTTGCATAGTTGTTACTGTTTCCTTGGGCAGAGAGCCATAGGATGAGTCCCACAGCCCTTTCCTGGGTATGTCCTTCTGTGCAATGTACCTTCCATGAAGCTTACCAGCATGTTTTATCATGTGTTCAATGTCATTTGCACAATTAGACTCAGATGCTGCAGGGGCAGGGGGCCATGGAGTATACTCACTTCTTCCAAGTGCTGTTTCCCCAGGCCCAAGTGCAATGCCTGGTGCAAAATGAATACTCAGGTGGTTCCTGTGTTGTCGTCCTTTGTGACTCTGTCTCTCTGAATTAGTTCTAGTCCATGGCACTGCGTGACTTCCAAGACAATTTTAGCATCCTGTGCAACACGCATGAGATTTAGAAGCATTGTCTGTTGACATTATTCTTTATGAACATTTACTGAGAGCTTACAATGGGCCAGGCACTATTCTAAGCATTTCACATCAATATTTCATAGGAATCCATTTAAGTCCATCTTATTATTACCCTCATTTATCAGATGAGAAACTGGGATCCCCCCTAGATTGGATGTGTATAAGTTATTGAGATGTAAGTCAAAAAATTTGGTGCATCCCTAGAGCCCAGAGTCCCTTACATCTACTCTACCTTGTCTCCCAAGGAAAATACTATGGTCAGGAGTTGGGTAAGCCGATAAAAAGATGGCTGGGTGTGGTGGCTCACGCCTGTACTTCCAGCACTTTGCGAGGCCAAGGTAGGCAGATTGTTTGAGCTCAGGGGTTCACGACCGTTATCAGCAACGTGGCAAAAGCTCATCTCTACAAAAATACAAAAAAAGTAGCCAAGCATGGTGGCACACACTGGTAGTAGGGCACACACATCAGTAGGGCTTGGGAGGTGGAGGTTGCAGTGAGCTGAGACTGAGCCACTGCAATCCAGTCTAGGAGACACAGTGGGATCCTGTCTCCAAAAAAAAAATATATATATATGTGTGTGTGTGTGTGTATGTATGTATATGTATGTGTGTGTGTGTATATGTGCGTATATGTGTGTGTGTGTATATATATATATCCCATTAGGTCTGCCTGCCACAGTGGGGATCATTCTTCAACATGAGATTTGGAGGGGACAGACATGTAAACTACAGCACCCATGTTGTTTCTGCTTCTTCCCAGCAAGCTATTTCTAGCCACCCTTCACCTCCACCAACCTTAACCTCACAATCACTTCTGGATGTTCTTGTAGCCTACACTGTGGATTGTTCTAGGCTCTTTAATTTTCTGTTTTCCACGAAAGTCTGTAAGCTTGATGAGGATAAAAGCCATGATTGCCTTGCTTACCCTCACTGTGAATGAATGAATGGAGTGGTGCAGAAACTCAAGAGCATCATGTACATATGGAACATGCTCTATGGTTTTTAATGAAAATATGTGGCAGTATTGGCTGGGCTGCAGTGCATACAGTGGAGTATTATTCAGCTATAAAAAGAAGGAAATACTGTGTTCGTAAAAACATGGTGTGAACCCAGGAGACAGAGCTTGCAGTGAGCCGAGATCGTGCCACTACACTCCAGCCTGGGCAACAGAGTGAGACTCTGTCTCAAAAACAAACAAAAACAAACAAAAATAAACAAACAAACACATGGGTAAACCTGGGGGACACCGTGCTAAGTGAGATAAGCCAGGCACAGAATGACAAATACCGCATGATCTCACTGATATATGGAATCTAAAAAGCTGAACTCTTGGAAGCAGAGAGTAGAAAGGTGGTTGGCAAGGTTTGGGGGTGGGGGAAATGGAGAGCTGTTGGTCAAAACACACAAATTTCAGTAAAAAGATGAACAGGTTCTGAGGATCTTGTTCCCCAGTGTGGGTGGTGATGGATGTGTTAATTTATTTGATTGCGGTAATCATTACACAAGGCATATATAAATCATCACATTGTACACCTTGAATCTGTTCAGTCCTTATTTAAAAATTTTTTAAAATTAAAGCATTTGCGGCTGGGCACGGTGGCTCATGTCTGTAATCCCAGCACTTTGAGAGGCTAAGGTGGGAGGATCACTTGAGGTCAGGAGTTGGAGATCAGCTTGGCCAACATGGTGAAACCCCATTTGTACTAAAAATACAAAAATTAGCTGGATGTGCTGGCATGCACTTGTAATCCTGGGGAGACTAAACAAGAATTGCTTGAACCCAGGAGACAGAGGTTGTAGTGAGCAGAGATTGCATCACTGCACTCCAGCCTGGGTGGGGAGACTCTGTCTCCAAAAAAAAAAAAAAAAAAGCATTTGCAACAGGGAAGGTAAACTACAGTGATAACAAAATACTACTCATTGTAGAAAAGACAAAGTACAAATAGCCATAGGCCCCCAAATGTGAAATGACTTTTTCTTTTCTTTTCTTTTTTTTTGTCTGAGACAGAGTCTCACTCTGTTGCCCAGGCTGGAGCTCAGTGGCGCGATCTTGGCTCACTGCAACCTCCATCTCCCAGATTCAAGCTGATTCTCCTGCCTCAGCCTCCCAAGTAGCTGGAACTACAGGCGCCCGCCACCATGCCTGGCTAATTTTTTGTATTTTTAGTAGAGATGGGGTTTCACCATGTTAGCCAGGATGGTCTCGATCTCCTGACCTCGTGATCCACCTGCTTCGGCTTCCCAAAGTGCTCGGATTACAGGTGTGAGTCACTGCGCCCAGCTCCCAGATTCAAGCCGATTCTCCTGCCTCAGCCTCCCAAGTAGCTGGAACTACAGGAGCCTGCTACCACGCCTGGCTATTTTTTTGTATTTTTAGTAGAGACGGGGGTTTCACCATGTTAGCCAGGATGGTCTCGATCTCCTGACCTCGTGATCCGCCCGCTTTGGCTTTCCAAAGTGCTGGGATTACAGGTGTGAGTCACTGCACCCAGCTCACTTTTTCTTTAATTTTTGCTATAAGCTCACCTGATGAAAAAAAGAGCTGGAAGGATTAGCAGCTATGTGAGGCTATCAATCAGGGTAAGACAGGCTATGCTGTAGTAACACATAACCCCCAATATCCATGGCTTAAAAGAACCAATGTGCTTTGTTTTTGTTTTTGTTTTTTTCCTCACATATTTCTCTCTGTTCATCCTGCACTGGCTGGGAGTGCTACTCTATTTGTTCTTCATGCAGGGTCACAGGTTACACCTCTTCTGCGATTACCAGGACAGAGAACAAACAGAGTTAATTGCACACTGTTCCTTCAAGGTGTTATCCCAAAGTAATGTGTGTCATCACTGTTCAAATTTATTAGCTAAAACAAGACATTCAGCTATGCCTAAGTCCAAGTAGGCAAGGAGGTACAATCACCTCCGTTGTTTTGAAGGAGAAACATAATTTTTTGGTGAAAAGCAACTGAGATCCACCACGGTGAGAAAAAGCCACAGGCCAGTCTCACAGCATCATGGCGAACAGCTATGCCTAATTGCACCTCGATTCTAGGTGTGATCCTGTCAAAAGCAGTACCTTTAAGATGTGTAGTTATAGTATTGTCATTCTAAAATATGTAACTTTTAGGAATTTTGTGGCTAGACGTAGGGACCTCCATTTGATTTTTTTTTTCTTCTCTTCTTAGTGAGCCTAGTTTGAAATGTTGGCTTTCTTAATCTACAGAGACTTTGTCATTAATGTGTAATGAATATCTGGTTTCAAACCATAGGCTGCTTATCCCTTGACTATTTGTCGAGACCTTTGTTTGCCGAAATACTGCTTTATTTCATTTCTTATTATCTTTAGAAGGTATTACTGATAGGTATTCATTTTGACCCCTTTACGCACACTCCTCAAGTCTGTCTTCTCCACAGGCTAAATCAGTATTCCATCCACTTTTCATCTTTACTGTTCCTGGCACTCTCATCTATATGAGAAACAGGATCTGTGTTTGACAAGCATGCTTACCCTTTGCTTACTGTTTTAATAAAAATTTCTATCAGCGTTTTTATCTGCAGTAGCAGTCGAGACACTGTTTGATATTGAGATGCTAGATTTCATGGACTTTGAAATATTTTCCCCATATCTTTTTTGGCAAGTCTTTGAACATAGACCACAAAAAATTGACATGTTGGAGATGAATTTACAGACTCTAAGTTAACTAATGACTACCTGTCCCAGCTTAAATTGTGTTCTAGGATTGAAACATTATATTACACAGTCAAATCGTTGAAATTAATGGTCAGACTCTTCCATAACTGAGTTAGTTTCCCATGAGACTGATACTCTATTAAATGAGCAGGCTGTCCAGATTTCTCTGCATCGCCTTTGGTTTGGGGATAATGTTGACCCAGTCTTGGCAGTTTCAAAGCAGTACCAAGCAGTCAGACTATTTTAAATGGGGAATGATGAATAGCAGCTTCCTAATCTCCAAATTTCATTCAGATACGGTATCTTATTTCATCCCCTTTATCCTGTGAGGCAAATTATTATTGTCCTGAACACAGAGAGATGGGGAAACTGAGGCATGGATGTTACTCTGTGTGCTGAAGATTATACAACTACTGAGTAGCTCAGGTTCGTTTGGTCTTTCTGTCCCTAGATAGCCTCTTGGCTGGCAGTTCTCATGATTCAGGACTCTTCTCAAATATCTCTCATGAGAGAGGCCTTTCTTGGCTGCTCCAGCCACAGAGACAGTCACCCTGGTTCTCTGCTCTGTCACCTTCATAGCACTTATTACTATTTCATTGTGTTTCTTATGTGTCTGCTTGTTCTCAGTCTCTGTCCACTTGAGAACAAAGGAAAGGACCTTGTCTCTTTCATTTCAGCGCCACATCCCAGCACTACACCAGTGCCTGGCACCCAGTAGATATTCTGAAATGTCAGTGGATGGATGCCTATTTACATACTGTGCTTTTCTTGTCCCTCAGGGCCACATTTTTGAGTTGGTCCATACAAAGCAACAAATTAAGCATTTAGGGCTTTATGGACAAACCCCACTATTTTTTTAAAATTTTTTAAAATTCCTTTTTAGAGACAGGGTCTCACTCTGTCACCCAGGCTGGAGTGAGTGGTGAGATTACAGTTTGCTGGAGCCTTGAACTGCCAGGCTCAAGCAATCTTCCCACCTCAGCCTCCCGAGTAGCTGGGACTACAGGCGCATGCCACCATGCCAGGCTAATTATTTAAATTCTTTGTAGAGGTAGGGTCTGACTATGTTGAACAGGCTGGCCTTGAACTTCTGGCCTGAAGTGGTCCACTATTTAAGGTCTTTGACAGTGCAGCTTTACGGGTAATGACATGTATTAGTTATCTAATACCATGTAACAAATTACTCCCAAAGTTAGCCTCTCAAAACAACAAAAGTTTCTTTTTCATCTCATAGAGTTTCTGAGGTCCAGGAATCTGGGAGTGGCTCTAGCTCTAGTTTCCTTGTGAGGTGGTGGTTCAGTACATCAGCTGGGGCAGCCGTCAGTGACAGTTGGAAGTACTGCTTCTAGACTCACTCATATGGATATTGGCAGGCCTCAGTTCTTCACCACATGGGCCTCTTTACAGGCTGCTGGAGTGTCCTGGAGACATGGCGGATGGCTCTCTACCAAATTGAGTTATGAGACAGAGAAAGCGGGGAGAGAAAAGGGAGAAAGAAGGGAGAGATGCTAAGATGGAAGCCATAGTCTTTTATAACCCAACCTCAGAGTGACATACCATCACTTCTGCCATGTTCCATTGGAACTCTTGTACAGTGTGGGAGGAGATGGCACAAAGGCACGAATAACAGAAGATGGGGATTATCTCAGGGCCATCTTGGGGGTTCATTCTCATGTATCTTATTCTGATTCTCAGAAGAGAGCCCTGGATAGAACATGTAACTCTGTATAACAGTAAATCATTTCCTAATGTCTTCTTCCATTTCAGGGGCCAGTTGGGTGGAAAGTTTGATTACCAGTGTGCTTATAACTCTTTTTTTTATTATTTTTTGAGATTGAGTCTTCTCTGACACCCAGGCTGGAGTGCAGTGGCGCGATCTCGGCTCACTGCAACCTCCGCCTCCTGGGTTTAAGCGATTATCCTGCCTCAGCACTGCCCCCAAGTAGCTGGGAGTACAGGCACGTGCCATTATGCCCACGTGATTTTTCCATTTTTAGTACAGATGGGATTTCACCACATTGGCCAGGCTGGTCTCAAACTCCCAACCTTAAATGATCTGCCTACCTCAGCCTCCCACAATACTGGGATTAGAGATAGCTCTTGGATAATATGCTACTTAAGAATACAGATTCTGGTGTCAGCAGCCCAGCTTTGAATACTCTCTCTGCCTCTTGATATCCATGTAAACTGAGGATATTTTGAAGCTTTTCTTCTTACAGAATTGTGGAAGCAATGTATAAGTTATCTAATACTCTGTATTAGTTATCTAATACTGTGTAAGAAATTACTCCCAAAGTTAGCCTCTCAAAACAACAAACATTTCTTTTTGTTGAATGAGTTTTCATCTCATTGCTGTAGAATAGGATCCTAGTAGTATCTACCTCATGGAGTTGTGAGGATTCAGTAAGTTACTTCATGTGATGCTCATACCAGAATGTTTGCCAGACTAAGGGCACTTAGGAAGTGTTGACTTTTATTCTTTGGATTATCCCACAGCTAATCAGTGCCAAAGTAATTGTTGCTTCCCATAGCTTATCCTTCACTAGATGGAAGTGTCCTAGACAGACCTCTGAGACGAAGTCAGTCTAAACAACTTCTGGCAAGCTATGAGCTGTAATTGGGTTAAATAGTTGCGACGTGGAGAAATCTACTTTTCTGTTGCAGAAGTTTCATGGGCTCTGTCAACCTTTCTGTCCATGGGTGGTTTTCTGTGGGAACCCATCCTGTGAGTACCTTGACAATAACAGCTTACCTACCATCCAGAATTTAGTATTCTCCCTTCATTCTCTAGAGAAAACCCAAGCATACCTTCCTGAGTGGTTGGCCAGTGGCTGAATTCCACGGCTGTTTCGTTAAGTTCTCTTTAAGCAGATTTTTCAAGTCTTCCCTATTTATATCTTTTGAAATCCAATCTCCTTCAATCAATTTTAATCCCCTAATGTGTTTGCTATAAGTACTGTACAATTCACTTGTCCTCAATAATAAAATTCATTTTGGTGCAGCCTGCCGGTAATTTGTTTGAGAAGAAGTCGTTAGGAAACCCTTGCATTCTCTTCTGGTTTAGAGGACGACCTTCAGTATTGATAGCATTTTGTTGTCATGCGCTTGAAGTATTCTTTCATGATTGACAGTGCCGTTTAAATAATGGACTACAGAGCCATGTGCTTAAATGAAATCTGACTACACTAATTTCGTTATATATTAGGAAACTTCAAGTGTTCTACAAGGACACGATTTCATTGACCATGGATTTATATTTTCAGTTTGTATGAATTATACCCATTGTGTATTGTTCCCCCTTCACTGTAAGATACTCTTTTGTTTTGAAAATCAGTGTTTTTGTGTTTTAACTCTCAATGTATGCTGCATAAGCAAAGGATTGTGTTCCAGGCCCCTCCTGGAACAGGCCAAAGTAAGTAAAATCGAGAATTTTTTATATGAAAGATAGAAGAAGTACAGCATTATTGACTCAGCTTAATACTGAGTTAATACACTCTAATAAGGCTCAGAAGATATAAAAGATCCACTGTACTCTCTCTATATATATATATACACACATACATACACATATAAAATATAATTTATACATGTATGCTTAATTGGAAAAAATAAAGATCAAGAGCATGTTTTATTGTTTATCTGTATCTCTAGCTTTTTTTAACAGCATATAAAGACAAAGCACCTTTTTATTTAGGCTTGGCTAAAAATTATCAGTCATATGTAGATGATTTTGCAGTATCCGCCAACTTCCTACTCAGGAAAAGTTATAGCAGATGGCAGAATTTATGTGCCATGTGGCATTTGTTTAAGTGTGGAAATAGCTAATATTTTTTCCTCAATTATTATAACTATTTTACTTTTAAAGACTCAATTAACTTTGAAATACCATTCTTGATGGGTGCCTCAGTTAAGGATGGGATGGGGAGAAGGAAGAGAAATTTGAAATCTTGCAGGGCCTTTGATTGAATAACGGTTATATTGCTCATTAATCAGAGGCTCTGGGTACCCTGTTTTCAAAATAACATTATTGTTTACTAAATATAGACTCCTGTGGAACTGTTAAGGAGAAGGTCCTACTGAGATGAGCAGGCATTGTGGATTGGCCTTTCTACTACCAAGGACTGGGATTCACATTTGCAAGTTTGTGGGTCCTCAGGGAGAATATCTTGGAGTTGACATCATTTCAGGCATATAGCCCGTAATTTGTTTTGACAACTACAAACAAAAGGGGTCTATTCCCAAAAGGCTTCTTCGAAAATTGTCAGAGGCTCTTGCCGTTGATAATGTGAGCTGCTGCTCCCAGGGCTGAGGGCCTGAGAACCACAGCAGGACTGGAATCCAGTGGGAGGAGCAAGGAAGCTGCAGGGGGTGACGGTGGGCATCCTTCCAGAGAGAAGGGCACATTTGAAACCTAGGAGACCATTCCTGTCAGGAATCAATATCAGGTGACTGTGATCTATGGCAGAGACCCAGTGCTCGGAGTGATTTTTTTAAGTTGTGTATGCTTCATATAGATTTTCTTTCCTGATTTGAGTTTTTCTACTTGGGTGAAATAAAAGGCAAGGGGTTTGTGTGCTGGGGTAGTCGGGGAGAGAGGAGAGGATTTGATGGAGAACATCAAGGACCTGTTGCTTGCCTGTTTTCTAGGAATCCTTACCTGTAATCAGCTCATTACAGAGAATCTTGGGGTTCTCTTGAGCCTGCTGAAGGCATGCCTCCTGAGATCCATTGAATAGAGCAAAAGGATCAGTCAGGAAATATTTATTACACAGAGGAAAGAAGAATGCACCAGCAGAGTTCTGGGCCTGCTGCAGCCACTCAGTAAATATTTTTTGAGTGAATTAATTTATCAAAAAAGCATATGTAAAAATATGAGTCATTATCATGAGTGGTTTGATTGAGGATGATATTTCTTTTCTTAGTTTTTACAACTGTTGGTAACATTTGATTAATTACTTTTATTACAATTATGATTATCATCATTTTATATACAGTTGTACTCCTTGCCTGTGTTAACAATTTGGTGATAGCCTTTCACATTTTTATACCTTTACATGGCCTGTATAAGTATACAGTTTTGTCCTAATATACATGAAATAATAAAAAGTGGATTTTTCTGCCAATACACACTTAGCAAGCGTTCCAGGGTCTCTTTATGTATTAGAACATAATCTCATTGTCATCTCATTCTTTTTAAAACGTTACTTGATATCCCGTCGTGGAAGTATAATATTTATTTAAATATGTTTTGCCTATATTTGATTTCATAATGTATATTTTTAAGTGACAAATCTGTATCAAATTCTATAGGACATAGAGAATAAACCCATGACTCTTCCAAGTTGTCTGAGATCTAGTTATGAATTTTGCACATTTTCTTAATGAGTATGTTCTGCTTTTAAAACATTAAAGGTTGAAGAACGTTTTAAATCTACTTACAGGATCAAAACTATGCACATGAAAAGAATGTCTAACCTTTGTTGGGCTCTTATCTAAGAGACACTAAGCGTGCATGTACAAATATATATAAACTCATTAAAATCCCTTCCATTATTTAGCGTGAACCGTAGCATAGCCAGGCAAGATTGCTGAGTCTTCCCCAGATGGACAGCTATGTTTTCACATCTTCCCACCTTCTCTGTCTTTTTTTTTTTAGACAGAGTCTCACTCTGTCACCCAGGCTGGAGTGCAGTGTCACTATCTCAGCTCACCGCAACCTCTGCCTCCCGGGCTCAAGCGATTCTCTTGCCTCAGCCTCCCGAGTAGCTAGAATTACAGGTGTGAGATATGCACCCAGCTAATTTTTTGTGTCTTTTAGTAGAAACGGGGTTTCACCATGTTGGCCACGCTGGCCTCGAACTCCTGACCTCAAGTGATCCACCCACCTTCGCCTCCCAAAGTGTTGGGATTTCAGGAGTGATCCCGCATGCCCAGCCATCAATAAATACTTACTAAGTGCCTACTTTGTTCCCAAGAGTGCTGGGAACTTAGCAGTGAACAAAATAAATACCTTCCCTCGGGGACCTTGAACTCAAGTCTAGTCAGGGATCACTCTATTAAGAGATCAAGTCAACACTCAATTCTCCTACAGACTCAGATAGGATAGTATTTTAATTTCTCGTTGATCTGCTCCCTCAGACCCTAGACCATGGGCACTGCAGATTTTTGCACCTTTTGTAGAGGCAGGGTTTCACCACTACCAGAGACTTTACCATCATTTCTATGTGAAGGGAAACAGTGCCCTTTCAGTAGACAACGTTAAATCAGCCATCAGACGTGGGTCATGGTGGGTTTGCCGTGACTGCCACAAACACGCCTCACCGAAGTCTGCCAGGGGACGCCATACCCTCCCCTAGAAAGTAAGAAACAGAGAAAGGCTTTCTCCTGCCCCGGACTGTCTTTCTCTCAGCTCTAAGAAATTTCTTTACAGCTGTTACTTTATCCTGGCCTGTCTCTTGAGTAAGAAAACTGCTGGAAAGAGTCTGCCATTCACTCAGATCATAATCAGGGAGCCTGCTGTCACTCAGGAAGGGCTTTAAAAAATTCTTCTGATTTACTGTGAGTGCAAATCTCTGATATTCCTGCATCTCCCCATCCATCTTATTTTGATTTTACACATAGTGCGATTTTGAAAGGAAGCGGTGTTTTTGGAGAGGTAGAAAAACTCTGGAAAATAAGGCTTATGACGTTGGCCATCAGCACGGGGCTGCTGTCTGCTGTGTGACATGCTCAGGGGTGACGCGCCTCCCGAAAGAGACACTTGGTAGAGAAGGCACGGGCGCGAAGCCCGGCTGCGGGAGAGCTGGGAGCCTGAATGTCGCTGGCTGCCGTTCACAGCAGGCTCTCTCTGAGCACCGTGGGGAGGCAGTGACACCCGCTGGCCTCGCAGCGACACTCCGGCAGCTGTCCTGTTTTCCAGCCTGGACGTGATAGGTGTGTCTTGGAGGACAGTCAGAGGAAGACAGGCAAGCCATACTGGCCTCCCTCGAGGTTATACCCTCGCTTAGGTTAGGTTGCTTCTAACAGACATCCTCCGCGGGCGTTGAGGCAGCCAGCTTCACTGTCACCCAGACAATTTTTCTCTCGCTCTGCCAACCCTGTTCCCCTTTCAAGAATGTTTAAACTCTTCATTCAAGCGATGAGAGGGAAACACTTGAGCTGCACACTCAAGGAGATGTGGGTTTCCATTCTGGCCTTGCGATATATTATTGGTGGGACCGTGGGTGAGTCACTTAACTTCTCTAGTCCTCAGTTTTCTTATCTGTAAAGTGGGCTCCAGCATACGGCTTAACTGAGGTAACACACGTTGTTCATGTCAGCTGTTGCTTTCATGCCGGCTCTGCCTAGGTCTCCCCATGGCAACAGGATAGGAGTTCTCTGCCTGTGCGTCAGTTTTTCACTAGCGTGGGAATGCTGTGAGGAGGGGGCGGAACTCGGTGTAGCAAGGGTTTCTGTCCGTATCTTCTATTTTTTTTTTTTTTTTTTTTTTGAGACTGAGTCTTGCTCTGTCGCTCAGGCTGGAGTGCAGTGGCGCGATCTCCGCTCACTGCAAGCTCCGCTTCCAGGGTTCACGCCATTCTCCTGCCTCAGCCTCCCAAGTAGCTGGGACTACAGGCGCCCGCCACCAAGCCCAGCTAATTTTTTGTATTTTTAGTAGAGACGGGGTTTCACCGTTTTAGCCGGGATGGTCTCGATCTCCTGACCTCGTGATCCGCCCGCCTCGGCCTCCCAAAGTGCTGGGATTACAGGCGTGACTACCGCGCCCGGCCCGTATCTTCTATTAAGAACCAGCAACCACGGGCTGGGCGTGGTGGCTCACGCCTGTAATCCCAGCACTTAGGGAGGCCAAAGTGGGCGGATCACGAGGTCAGGCGATCCAGACCATCCTGGATAACACGGTGAAACCCCGTCTCTACTAAAAATACAAAAAATTTGGCAGGCGTGGTGGCGGGCGCCTGTAGTCCCAGCTACTCGGGAGGCTGAGGGAGGAGAATGGCGTGAACCTGGGAGGCGGAGCTTGCAGTGAGCCGAGATGGCACCACTGCACTCCAGCTTGGGGGACAGAGCGAGACTCCGTCTCAATTAAAAAAAAAAAAAAAAAAAAACAGCATCCAGGAATGCTATCGTGTAGTTGCTTTGAGACATGGCCTGGGGTCTCCCCGCAAGGCGACAGGACAGATTACGACACGTTGTTTGAAATCTGCCTTTAGAAAAAGACACGGCCTCATTTTATGCCTGTGAGTGATTTTTCTTCTGTGTCATATCATAACTCTGATAAAGATAATTACATCCTAGTGTCTAAAGGCAATGATGTGCTTGATTAAGCCTATGCATGTTGTTTGGTCCTTGTATATTTATATTTTCTTCAAATTTAAATGGATACTAAGTCCTCTCAACATTGTCTATAGATTGCTGGAAACTGTGACTTTAAGCAAAATGACGTGTAACAGAATACCTTTTACCATGAGCTGATTGATACAAACAAGAGTTAAGTTCCTGCAGCACATTTCTGGTCATAAAAGCATCACTGATCTTCTAAATAAAGACCCAAAACACTTCTAAAATTAAACATGAAAACACATGTGAACCATACATACATTTTAAAAAGATTAATAAAGGGCTAGGCACGGTGGCTCATGCCTGTAATCCCAGCACTTTGGGAGGCCACGGTGGGCAGATCACCTGAGGTCAGGAATTTGAGACCAGACTGATCAATGTGGTGAAACACTGTCTGTACTAAAAGTACAGAAATTAACTGGTGTGGTAGCAGACGCCTGTAATCCCAGGTACTCGGGAGGCTGAGGCAGGAGAATCGCTTGAACCCAGGAGGTGGAGGTTGTAGTTAGCCAAGATCACAGCACTGCACTCTAGTCTGGGTGACAGAGTGAGACTCCATCTCAATAAAAAATAAATAAATAAATAAATAAATAAATAAATAAAGATTAATAAAAACATGCAAGATAATTTAGCCAGTTTTTGATTAATCAGTGATGGTGGTGGTAGGCATGGTGCGTTACATCAAAAAATAATTTTTTATTTTTGCAAAGCAAAAACTGTCAGGAGCACCTCCCCCCATCACACAGTTCAAAAACAATGACTAGCATGGCAGGCTCACTGGGCACCTTCATACCGCATTGTTTATTGTTGTGCACTTTTATGATTAGCATCTACTTTATCAGTTTTTATTTGGCAGTCGTGAGTATTCATTCTTTCATTTTGCAACCTGCTTATTCCAGTTCAGGCTTTCGAGTGGGTGGAGCCTGTCGTAGCATCTCAGGGCACAAGGCAGGGACCACTCTGGTCAGGATGTGCTGACACACACACTCACTCATGCTGAGACGACGTAGACATGCCATTTCCCCAAACACGCACATCTTTGGGATGTGGGAGGAAACCGGAGTACCCGGAGAAAACCTACGCAGACATGGGGAGAAGATGCCAACTCCACATAGTGGACCCAGTTGGGAATCAGATTTTTTTCTTATCAACATTGTAACATAATATTATTCGAAGACCTGCTGTACTCTGAACTGTTCATTCTTCTAAGGGTCTTAAAAACTTGAGGACATTGAAATGCTATGGCTCACCCTCCTATTTTCTTTCTTAGGTATGTTTTTACTGAGTCCTCTGAACCTTCTTTGAACTCCAACTGGGAGGAAATAACAGCTAATGGGGGGTTGTTCCTATTTTTGTTGGCAGGGTGAGGGAGGTGGTGACTGAGGTCAAACTATGTGGAAGGATATTTTATTTACTAAAACAAAAGAGGCAATAATTTTTTACTGCAACGTTAGGGATTTATGCTAGATAAAAGGAAGTTCCCACAATCCTGGGGGAAGGGTGTTAAGCCAAGGCAAAGATTTCACAGCTGTTGGGAAATTGCTTTCTGAAAATACTAAAGGATACAGTGCCAGAGTCACTGGCCATCTGCTAATAATTTATGTTCCTCATCCCCAGCAAAGATAAAGAACCTGTAAAGAACCACCCATCTAGGGATACATTTCCAGCCCCCCTTTTATCAAAGCGGTGACATGTGACCGAATTCTGCCCAGTGACATGTGGGAAGAAGTGGCTCTTTCAGGACTGTTCCCCCAAAACTGTCTTTGGGATGCTCCAAACTTCTTTATTCCCCCAATCCTCTGATGAACATGCACCTGACATTGGATGCTACATGTTAAAAACGGAGTTGTCATCTTCTACCTGGGTCGCTGAATGACTGTGTGGATCAGGAAGCTCCCCACTCTTCCCTGCCATGACTGAACTAGCCACTGTCATCTGGAGGGTGTCTGTAATAG
The DNA here is from genome assembly GCF_000001405.40 of Homo sapiens. Classification (NCBI taxonomy): domain Eukaryota; kingdom Metazoa; phylum Chordata; class Mammalia; order Primates; family Hominidae; genus Homo; species Homo sapiens. The sequence goes on from NC_000016.10 coordinate 6,577,250, forward strand.
CATCTAGCATTGCCTAACATCATACTAATGGAACACTACATATTTTCATCTGAAGTGATATCAGTGGAATTTCCACTGAAAGCAAAGGTTTAGATTTTGGAGCAATAATGCTTAATATTTGTCAGTAGGAGCTTATTAAATATAAATACCAGTCCCAGTGCTTAGAACTTTTTATGTGCTGTCTCCTTTCATTTTCCTTCCAACTCTCCAGTTTGTATCAGTCGGGGAACACCAAGTTGTGCTGTGGTGACAAATAGCTCTGAAATCTCAGTGATATAACACAACAAAGGTTTATTTCTTGCTGATGAAGATTCACTGAGGTTCTGGGACACTCTACAGAGAAGCTCTTCTGCATGTATTGGCTCATCATTCCCAGTGGTTTTACTCTTAGGAACCCACCATGTCAATAAGTAGTTCCACATGGTCCCAGGGGAAGTCCACCTGGATGTCTCACAGTGGTAGTCAAGTGCTTTGACAAGGAAGTGACACACCCTACTATCACCAAATCCCATTGGCCAGAACCAGTCACATGGCCTCCTTTTCCCTCCTGTATCCCTACTATGTGCTCAGGAAAAAAATAAACCAGATAGTGAAGCAGGAAGGACTATATGGAAGGATATTTTATTTATTAAACAAACGAGGCAATCATTTTTTACTGCAATGTCATACAAATGAGAAGGCTGGGATTCAGAGAGCTTCAGTCACTAGGACAAGGTTACCCAGTTAGGAAAGCACAGGTTTTGTGATGAAGGGTGTCACCCAACAGTGCTTATTTCATTGAAGAGCCATTTCTAAAATTACTTTTCTGTGTTACAACAAAAAATAAGGTAATAAGTTAGTCCTCAAGCATCTTGCAGTTCAGAGCTGGAAACAGACAAGTAAAACGACCAGTTACCTGCATTCTAACTACTACTAGACATCAGATAGCACTTTACATATCATTACCTCATATCTTACGTAGTGATAAGGGAATGTGAGAAAACTTTTGCAAGTCATCACAAAACACTTTTTTCAGGGGCATAAGAATCTTGGCCTAAAATGGATCATCATGTAACAGGCTGAGAACAGGGTAGTGGGAAGTTAGCGAAGCAATGTCCCCGGGACACAGCAGTGGGTGAAAGTGTGTTGTGATTCATGACCTTATGGATGGACGGTGTTCTCATCCATCTGTCCTTGGCTGGGTAGCTGATGGAACAGTGATCTGCTTCTCTGGGTATTTGGGAGAAATAAATAAAAATCCATGGTAAAATGAAGCTGTGTTCTGCATTTTACTCAGCACAAGCATTCTGTCCTAAACTCCAAACATTGTGCCCAATGGGGATGTCGGCTATGGGTATTGGTGTGTGTGCGTGTGTGTGTGTGTGAGCATGGGAGAAACAGAGGGACATAGGAAGAGACAAAAATATAGAGAAGGAGAGAGAACCCCAGAGAGAGAGAAACAGAGAGTGAAGAAGAAACAGAATATTTTCCATTTATTTCAAGTCAGTTATCCCAAGTTTTAGTGGGATCAAAGTAAAATAGATAAAAATGTATTTATTAAATATAATATAGATTTTTTTAAGTATATTTCCTGGTTGCTAAAAAATAATCTTTGCTCGAGGCATAAGAATGATACAATGGACTTTGGGGACTTGGGGGAAAGGGTGGGAGTGGGGTGAGGGTAAAAGACTGCAAATTGGGTACAGTGTACAAATTACGGCTCTGGTGATGGGTGTACCAAACTGTCGGAAATCACCACTAAAGCACTTATTTATGTAACCAAACACCACCTGTTTTCCCAAAACCTATGAAAATATAAAAATAACAAATAATTTTTGAAAATATTTGCTCAAAAATGAGGCTACTGAAATGATGTTATGTTTTCTTCTATTTTGGTTCTACCTAGAGAAATTTTAATGTTTTATGCCAAGCTGTTCATGCTTAGTTCTGTTTTTGTTTTGTTTTCTTTTTTGTTATTGTTGTTTTTGTTTTTGAGAAAAGGTCTTATTCTGTTACCCAGGCTGGAGTGTAGTGGTTCAGTTATCGCTCTCTGTAGGCTTGATCTACTGGGCTCAAGCAGTCCTCCCACCTCGGTCTCTTGAGTAGCTGGGACTATATGCATGCACCACCACACCTGGTGATATGGTTTGGCTTTGTGTCTCCACCCAAATCTCATCTTGAATTGTAGTTCCCATAATCCCCATGTGTCATGGGAGGGACCTGGTGGAAGGTAATTGAATCATGGGAATGGTTACTTCCATGCTGTTCTTGGGATAGGGAGCGAGTTCTCACAAAACCTAATGGTTTTGTAACGGGCTTTTCCTCCTTTGCTCTGCACTTTTCCTTGCTGCTGCCATGTGAAGAAAAGCCTGTTTGCTTCCCCTTCCGCCACGATTAGAAGTGTTCTGAGGCTTCCCAAGCCATGCTGAACTGTGAGTCAGTTATACCTCTTTCCTTTATAAACACTAAGTCTCAGGTATATCTTTAGTAGCAGCGTGGGAACAGACTAATACACTTGGCTAATTTTTCAATTTTTTTGTAGAGACACGGTCTCACTATGTTGCCCAGGGTGGTCTCAAACTCCTGGTCTCAAGCTGTCCTCCCATATCAGCCTCCTAAAGTGCTAGGATTATAGGTGTGAGCCACTGCCGCCAGCCTTCAGTCCTTTTTAAAGTGGTATACATATTCTATGTATAGGTTCATGGACCTGTTCATCTTTTTTTTGTTGTTTTTTCTTTTTTCTTTTCTGAGACAGAGTCTTGCTCTGTCGCCCAGGCTGGAGTGCAGCGGTGTGATCTCAGATCACTGCAACTTCTGCCTCCCGGGTTCAAGTGATTCTTCTGCCTCAGCCTCCCAGGTAGCTGGGATTACAGGTGCCCACCACCGCACCTAGCTAACTTTTGTGTTTTTAGAAGAGACAGGGTTTCACCATGTCAGCCAGGCTGGTCTCGAACTCCTGACCTCATAATCTGCCCTCCTCAGCCTCCCAAAGTGCTGGGATTACAGGCATGAGCCACCATGCCCGGCCAGGCCTGTTCATCTTTTAAGGGTTTATGTTGTTTGACTTTTTCCATCACAAATTTTTATTCACCTCAGTTTGCTGATAACTATTTCCAGGTAAGCTGGAGTCATAACACACATTTGCCAATTATCTGGAGAGGAGCACTACTTCCTAATTATGTGGTCATTGAAGAGCTAGTTGATCATTAAGCTACACTGATATGCAAAGCCACAATAATAAACAGCAGGCAAGATTAAAAACTCCGTAAGACATAATCCCTTATGGTCCTCTTCATAAACATACAAATAATGAAAAAATAAATACACGTTTGCTCAATTCTGCAAAACCAGAAATGTCACAGGGGGGGATGCATAATAGTGATTGTATTGAGGGACCAACCTTGGTTGATTCTTTTGTGGGGTATACACAGTAAACTCAGACATAAACCTGCAAGGTAGGCATCATTATTCTCCTTACCTTTCTAGAGATGAGACCAGCTGAGGCTCAGAGAAGTAAGTTCCCTGGCCCCACAAAGCTAATGAAGCCCTGGAGTTTAGATTCAGACACAGATTCTGTTATCCCCAAAGACTAAGACCCTCAAAACATGTCAAGTGTTAACCGATGCCTAAATGGAACTCAATTTTTCCAGAAAGACCCTGCATATCTCATTTGGGCTTGCTTTTTTTTTTTTTTTTGCCCTTTTTTTCCCCCAAAATCATAATTGCAAAGGCAAGCTTCTGAAGCATTGATCAAGAATATATTTTGCTTTGGATGAAGAATGTGAAAAATGTGATTTTAGAAGAATGCTGTAAATATTTCTCCCACTTCATTTTCTTTTCCCTTCTCCTTTTTCCATGCTGTGCCTTTTGAGTTATCCCCATATACTCTAAGTGCCAGGTAGGTCCACGTGGGACAACCAGAGTCTAATGAGTTCCTGCGCCACGCCCACCCCTAATGAAGCATCTTCAAGTAGGATTTCTAAAGACCCAGGGAAGCTTTCCCTTTGGTGATTTGCAAAGTCTGGCCACTTTAGAATTTATCTCCTGCACAGGGTTCTGTGTCTTTGCTTTTTCGATGATCCCTGTGAAGCATGAACCCAGCACCCTTGCCTTCCTCTTTGTTGGAGATGGTGGTTATTTGTTTGAGTCTTTTAGGGTGCTTTATTTTGTTGGTTTCACTGTTGGCAGCTGGTACAGGCTTCCTTCCCCCAGCTGTGTTGGCTGTTGTTTTGGGAAACAAGCCTTGCTCTTTTCCATGCAGACCTCTACCCTGGGCTCTGATGGTCTAGCTGAGGTGAAGCAAACCGTAGGTGAGTGCCAACAGGGGATGGCCCCTTCCTGGGCAGAAGGCGGATATCGATCTCATGTCAGTCATGTTGCCTGTCTATGAAAATACTACATGAGCTTCTCAGAAACAGGTGATCTATTGATCCCCAAGCTGCTAAGGGGGCCTCCCTCATGGGTTCTGCTTAGCTCCTTAATGAGGGACTCACAGCTGTGTTTATGGAGGTCACCTGGAACTAGAGGCAGGTTTTACTGGGAACTCTCAAACTTTGTGAAAATTGGATGTGTGTCCCAGATTCTTAGCTTTGGTGTTATATCCCTCAAAGGATGCCACTGAGATTACATGTCCAACACAATCAGAGGCATTTCAACATGTCAAGGTTTTCTTTTGCCCTAGGCATTCATATAAACCAATCGTTATGAAACCGGGGCATTTTTGCTTCCCAAAGGATATTGATAATCTTTGGTTGTTGCAGTTGAAGGGATGCTACCAGCATCTAGTGGGAAAAGCCAGGGGTGCTGTACTGCTGCACATCTAACAAGGCAAAGACCAGCTCCCCACCCAACAAAGAATTATTGGGTTCAAAATGGCAATAGCATTGAGGCTGAGAAAGCTGATTTAAGTCATATTAAAATGGACCCCTTGTAAATATAAAACACAATTTTGTGATAGTAAAAATTTCCAAAGAATTTTTATCACTTTCCTATTGAAGTGAATTAACTCTTAATAGCTCATTGAATTTATGATTAGCTATTATTTCTCAGTAATCATCGCATAAACTTGAAAATTCTGATGAGAAAAATAATGTACAACTTATTTTCCAACATGATAAAATATTTATGAACACTAAATTTAACAATTAATGATGCTGACATAATGTTGCATTTTGGAGAAATATAATTAAGCAGTTATTAATTTTGTCTTTGTTCCTTGAAATGTTAGCGCCAATTTTTTTTTTTTTCAATTTTTAGATGCCCTTGGACCTCAAAGGCCCTGACACTGCATGTGGAGTCAGGTGCATAAAACATCCTTGAATCTATTAATTCTGGGCCTCCTCAATGAAAGGTTAAATTCATTTAAAATACTTAAATGATGACATCGTAGATCCAAGAGGTCAAATAAAATAAGGATTTAGTCTTTTTTTCTCTCCTTTCTTTTTCCCTCCACCATTTCTCTCTTCTCACTTCTTCATTTCTCATCTTCTTCCTCTCCTGACCGCTCCTTCCTCCCTTTCTCTTCTTTCCTCCCCTTTCTTTCCTTCCTCTTTCCCTTCCCTCCCCTTTCCTAGCTTCCCCTCCCCTCCTCACCCCTTTTTGAAATGTTGGAGTTCATTTCAACAGAAACAACTGAGCTACAGTTCCAGCTGGTTTTCTAAGCTACAGTTCAATTATTACTATTATTTGCAATTTTTCTCCCCTCCCCTCCCCTCCTCTTTTCTCCTTTCCTTGAATCTATTAATTCTGGACCTCCCTCTTCCTCACTCTTCTCTCCTCTCCTCTCTTGTCTCTTGCTCGATGTCTCTCTCTCTCTCACCCTTCTCTTTGGTGTTCACTCCATTCTCAGGTAAATTCTCCCCACAAGGAAGAGGATGGATAGTATCAGAGCCAGCATTCTCCACTCAGAAAGCCAGCTGGAAGATAGAGATCTCATTTCTTGGTTGCTTCAGCAAAAGGCCCAGGAGTAGTTCTAATGGGTCCTAGCATAAATAAATCACTGTGGTCCGGGGCACATGGCACTCATTGGCCAGCTTGGAACACATGTGCAACTTCAGGACCAGGAACTACCTTTCCCTGAGACACTTGGTCTGACAGTGGGAAATGGGTGGGTTGCGTGCAGAGCAATGGGCCTGCTGATGCCAAACAAGAGGAATGATACCAGCCAATCAACAAATGTCTGCTCCTTAAACAACTGCAATGTTAAGTTTTGGGGGAGCATCTCACACTAGCCCTGTGGATGAACAGTGCTTAGTCAATGGAGGAAATAACTAGAACTTTATTAGCTTCCATTTTACATTTTATTCCTTTCTTCCAAGTAATTGGGATTGGGGAGAGCATCTTGTTACCTGTCGCCTTTTTAACTGGATTCTATCCATTCTCTGTAACTCTTAGTTCTTTGCTCTCTGGCTGGTTTTGTCAAGGTAACTAGGTATTTTAAATCACAGTGCAATTTCTTGTGGCTCAGAAAACTGAACTGAAGTAGTAACTTTTAATAGGTCAATTACATTATTTTTCAGCAGCCTGCTGCAGCCTAATGAAACTGCAGTTTAATTAGGTTGGTGTGACGCCAAAATAAATGTTTCATTCCCAGCTTGTTTTATTTACTCATTGAAAAGTAGGGGAATCTACAAATAATAGGATTGGAAAATGTTAAAGGCTAATCAGTTTGGCTGCACTTGTTTGTAAAGAAAGACGATTGTATCTTCATCACTCCAGTTTGGTAGTTGAGAAAGCTGAAAAACAAATAAACAATAACAACGACAACAACATTTAAAAAAAAAAAAGAAACTCAAAATTGTAGGATTCCTTAGTAGAAGGTTCTTTTAACAATAATAAAGTCAACTGCAAATACTGAAAGACCATTCAGAAAGAAACGTAACCAAGTCAGAGTCTCCTAATGTATTCTGTGTTCCTATTGTGTGGTAAGCATTGTCCCTGCTGTAATTACATCTATTTTCTCAGTAAAACAAAGGGAAGTCTTGTAGATGAAGTTTTAGGGCCCATCAAAGGTAGTACTCTGAGTGTGATCAAACCACACTTTCACTATTTGGAGCTCAGTGAGTTAGGAACTAGAAGAGCAGAGAACAGCAGAAAAGTTGTGTTTTATTTTCATTATTATTATTATTATTATTATTATTATTATTATTATTATTATTGAGACATGGTCTTGCTCTTTCACCCAGGCTAGAGTGCAGTGGCATGATCTTAGCACACTCCAACCTCTGCCTCCTGGGTTCCAGCAATTCTCTTGCCTTAGCCTCCCAAGTTGCTGGGATTACTGCCCTTCCCCACCACACCCAGCTAATTTTTTGTAATATTAGCAGAGATAGGGTTTTGCCATGTTGACCAGGCTGGTCTCAAACTCCTCACCTCAAATGATCCACCTGCCTTGGCCTCCCAAAGTGCTGGGATTACAGGCATGAGCCACCATGCCCGGCCTGTGTTTTCTTTTAAAATACAGCACCCCTGAATGACCTCTAGCTACTCCCAGTCCTTCCACCCTCAGCTGGAAGATGTGAATTGCCACCCACCAAGGCAGGACCAGCCTGGCACCGATCACTGAAGGATTGTGATTAAGTCAGATGGTTTTGCCAGCAGCCTCCAGCCGATGTCTCATGCTGAGCTATTGTTTCAACAAAAAATGAGATGTCTGGTCATGTTCTCTCTTCCTGGGGCAGAGATTGGGGACCTGCGTTGAAAACCAGTGACAACTTCCCTTTGCCTTACTGAAGATAAAGGGGAATCAGGCAAAAGGATGCTCAACCAAAGCTGCAGGCAAGCGGATTCCCAGGCAGAACCTGGTCAAGGCTTTGTAGGCATCACTTCTTCTCTGAGACACAGAGAGCTTGGCATCTCTGTGCACTTTCATAATACACAATGGTTAGCATTTTAATCTCTGGCAGCCTCATGCAAAGAAAAAAATTATTCCAAGGCAGTGCCAGGAATCCTAATGTCCTCCATGGTATTTTTCCAAAACAATTCCTTAATAGATAACTATCATCTTTCCTATCTTACAGAAGAGGAAACCTTTATCGTCATGTAGGTGTGAAACAAGAGGTACATTTGCAGGGCTGCCATGAAGCATTGTCATTACACACATTTATGGTGTGAGGAAGTGCTGTTATAGTCTCCAAAACTTTGAAATCATCTCTTCTTGACTTTTACTTCGACTCTTTTTTCAATTTTAATTCTAAGGTTGACTTGTATTCTCGGTCCCCTTTGAATAGAACCTTAGATCCCCCATGTCACATTCAAAAGACATGTTTCAAGTGCCGTTTTTCATCTTGACATGTTTTGCAAGGTCCTTGCCTCTGTGACTTTGAGATCTGTTTAATTCACTGCGGTGGGCTGGGTAGGACTCTTCCAGTCTTGTGATAGTGCTGTGTTGCTGGTTAGATCAATGACATAGACTCTTTCTGTTTAAGAATAATGCAGTAAGCAATGGTGAATGCTTGGAATGATAACTGTAATCATGCACCTGTTCACTGCAGTTCAAAGGGGGCAAAAACAGGTGTACCTTTGCTGGTCATCACAGCAAAACTAATTTAGTTTTTTTCTTCTTTCTTTCTCTCCTCTTTGACAATTTGTGTAGGGGTCTGTGCATTAAAATGGATAATTTTAAGGAAATTCTGTAAAATAGGTATGCATGAGTATTGTAGAAGTATCATGTAGTAGAGATCATACGCAATTATTTCTGTATTAATTAAAGTGTGTCCAGATACCTTTAAACAACAGTTTTAAACGTTCAAAACAGTGGAATACATGTTGCCCAATAAGTGAAATAATATATACTGCAATGTATAGAACAGGTACTAGCTGTATTTAATAGTGAAGTTATGCTTAATTTGAAATGCTTCACATTTGTTTATAAATCCATCATCAGAAGCAATGTTTGTTATGATCAATTCAGACGTTTGGAATCAGGAGGTCCAGAAGGCAGCCGTAGGCAGTTGTTTGTGCATTCAGACTACAGAGTATCAAGAAAATCCCAATTTGCTCAGATAGGTAGGTGTGAAAACCAACAATTTCTTTGAACCACTCGTCTTACAACCTCAGTGTATTCTATATTGTGCATAGATGACAGAAGAAACATTCATTCCTAAGATACCTACAAAATGAGCAAAACCAGCAGCATAAATGGACCCAGTAGTAATCTATCTCCAGTGCGTCTTAATTTTGTGCATCATCCATTTGTGACTTTCTTTTGTTCTTTCTGTTAATCAGAGATCTTTTCAGTGGCAGGTGACATATGCCCAACTTGAATGGCCTTAAGGAAAAAAACAGTATTGTCTCATGTGATTGAAACATCTATGTATATATAGCTGGTTTGGGGCAAAGCTGAATCAAGATGATCAGATGATGTTGCCAGGAATACTTCTTCCCACATTACACACTCTTCTGTATGCCATGTATTTTCAGGCTGTTCCCTTAAAGTGGCAAGATGGCTTCCAGCAGGGATACGCTTACATCATCCCAGCTCAGGAGCCTGACGGCAAAGAGAACCTTCTCTTCAGTGGTTCAGGATAAGTCCCGGCCAGATCTCAGTTGCTTACCCATCCTAAGAAGCAGGGTTTTGTTTTAACTGCACTATCACCACGTAATTATAGGAGAAAGGGAAAAGGTTTCTTCAATGAGTCTTTAAAATATTTAACATTAAAAAATTGACACTAAAAATTGTATATTATGTAAAACAGGATGTTTTGAAATATATATATATTGTGGAATGCTTAAATTGGGTTTAAATGAGTTAAATTAATACATGCATTACTTCCCCTGTTTATTGTGTGTGTGTGTGTGTGTTGAGAACACTTAAAATCTATTCCTTTAGCAATTTCCTAGTATACAGTACCTAATTATTAACTGTAGTCACCATGATGTACAACAGGTCTGTTGGATTTATTCCTCTTATCTAACTGAATTTTTTTTATCCATTGACTAATGTCTCCCCAGCTCCCCTCTCTCCGCACTGGTAACCACCATTCTGTTCTCTGCATTTATGGGTTCACTTCTTTAAGATTCCACATACAAATGAGATAATACAGTATTTTTCTGAGTTTGGCCTTTTTTTTTGAGACAAAGTCTCACTCTGTCACCCAGGCTATAGTGCCGTGGTGCCATCCTAGCTCACAGCAAACTTCGCCTCCCAGGATCAAGCAATTCTCCTGCCTCAGCCTCCTGAGTAGCTGGGATTACAGGTGCACACCACCATGCCTGGCTAATTTTTGTATTTTTAGCAGAGACAGGGTTTCACCTTGTTGGCCAGGGTGGTCTTGAACTCCTGACCTAAAGTGATCCACCTGCCTCGGCCTCTGAAATTGCTGGGATTACAGACATGAGCCACCACGCTCAGCTGTGTGCTTGGCTTCCTTTAAGGCATCTTAATGCTAGAAGAAGCTAGACCATGACAGACAAGTAAAAAAGAATGAAAATCTACTAGGGTAGAGGTTTTTAGTGTAAAAAACAGAGAGATGATTTTTCAAAGAAAGAACTCTCCTCAACCCTCTTTTTACATACAAACTTGTAGAAAAATTAAAACACACAGTGAAAACCCATATAACTTTTGTGTAGTTTCACCAATGATTAACATTTTGTGACATTTACTTTCTCTTTCTACCCTCCGTCTTCCCATATATATTGGACAATTTGAAAATTACAGGCACCATGAACAACTCATGCCTAAAGGCTTCAACATGCTTCTCTTAAAAACAAGGCGGTTTTTGCCTGGCACAGTGGCTCACGCCTGTAATCCCAGCACTTTGGGAGGCCGAGGAGAATGGATCACCTGAGGTCAGGAGTTTGAGACCAGCCTGGCCAACATGGTGAAACCGCTGTCTCTACTAAAAATACAAAAATTAGCTGGGCGTGGTGGCACACACCTGTAATCCCAGCTACTCGGGAGGCTGAGGCAGGAGAATTGCTTGAACCTGGGAGGCAGAGGTTGCAGTGAGCTGAGATTGTGCCACTGTACTCCAGCCTGGGCACAGAGCAAGACTGTGTCTCGGGAAAAAAAAAAAGAAAGGCAGTTTTGCTATACAGCCACAAAACAATTCTTATTTTTTTAATGTAGATACTAACTGGAACATGCATCGCACTTAGTTGTCCTTATTTCTTTCACAGCTTTTGATCTAGAAGAGTACTCTCGGCTGGGTGCGATGGCTCACGCCTGTAATCCCAGCAATTTGGGAGGCCAAGGCAGGTGGATCGTCTGAGGTCAGGAGTTCGGGACCAGCCTGGCCAACATGACAAAACCTCGCATACACCAAACATACAAAAATTAGCCAGGTGTGGTGGTGCACACCCGTAACTCAGCTACTCTGGAGGCTGAGGCTGGAGAATCGCTTGAATCTAGGAGGTGGAGGTTGCAGTGAGCCGAGATCATGCCACTGCACTCCAGTCTGGGCAACAGAGTGAGACTAAGTCTGAAAAACAAAAAATGAGAAATGCACCTTCCTCCCTGCATTTTTTGGTCTTCTATGATGTTGATTTACAAAGTTAGTCTTGGACCATTTTCTTGTAGAACATCTGAAAATCAGGACTTACTTGATTATTTCCCTGTCATTCAGTTCAACTTCAGCACTTTGTGGAGAGTGCTCCCCAGGCCATGCTGTCTCACTGCCTCCTTAGCTGGAGGTCCTTGATGTCACTTTCTCCCATGATGTGTGGCAGTAAAGTTGGTCACTGGGTAACTGACAAATTTCCCCAGGATACACTAGTCTTGTACTTAGGAAATAACCTATGCATCTGTACTTTGATACTACCTAACTATCCTTTTTTCCATCATCCCTTCATCATTGAGGAACCTTTTCAGAATGGGTTATTACACTGATAGTAGTGACATGATGCTTTTCTAATTTTATCATTCCATCTATATTACAAAAAAACCCCTAAATATTGGCTGTACCCACTTTAGTAGAACCATGGCACCCAGCTAGAATACCACTGCCAGAAAAGAAACTATTTTTAAACTATTTGGCAAAAATAACAGAACTCTAACCAGCCAATGGGTTCTCCTTGCCTGCTGCCTAGACAAAGCTGTTTTATCAAGACAGGGAAATTGCAATAGAAAATATGTGTAATTCACCCAGAGCCAGCTGTATGGGAGACCAGCGTGTTGTTATTACTCAAATTAGTCTCCCTGAAAACCCAGGAACTGGGGTTTTTCAGGATTATTTGGTGGGTAGGGGGTCAGAAAGTGGAAGTGCTGACTGGTCAGGTTGGAGATGAGTCACTTCCTCGGTGGGGTCCACAGACCAGATGAGCCAGTTGATCCATATGGGTGATGCCCACTGATCCATCAAGTGCAGAGTCTGCAAAATATCTCGACCACTGGTCTTATATTTTACAATAGTGGTGTTATCCCAGGAGCAATCTGGGGAGGTTCAAAATCTTGCAGCTCCTAGCTGCAGGACTCCTAAATCATAATTTCTAATCTTGTGGCTCATTTGTTAGTCCTGCAAAGGCAGTCTAGTTCCCAGGCATAAAGGGGGATTGTTTGGGGAAAGGGCTGTTCTCATCTTTGTTTCAAAATTAAACTATAAACTAGGTTATTTCCAAAGTTAGTTCAGCCTATGCCCATAAATGAACAAGGACAGCTTGGAGGTAAGAAGCAAGATGGAGCCAGTTAGGTCATACCTCTCTTTCACTGTTTCGATTTCCTCAGCTATAATTTTTACACAGGCAGTTTCAACTCCACCTGTAGCTACATCATGAGCTTGAAGAAAAGAATCAATAATGACCACAATTTCCAGTCACTCCTCTTCTGATAGAAAGGCCAAGAAGTAGCTCTTAGTCTTGGTTGGGGATCTCTTGGCCAAAAAGAAAAAGGAAAGAGAAAAGATAACTGAAACAGTGACAACTGAGAGAAGAATGATAGCGTTTTGTAAGCATCACCATTTTTTCAGCGTTAAATACTCAGAATGGAGTATGGGGAACTTCTAAGTTCACATGGCATATTCAAATTCTCCTTGTTTAGAATTTCAAGAGCTATTACTTTTCTTTGATTCAGTTCGATTATCTTTCATGATCCTCAGAAATTGTACTTTTCTCCCCATTTCAGACTAAGAAAGTCCTTAGCCAAATGGCCTCAACCATCGGATTTGCCTGTAGGTGTCATTCATTTTTGTTGTTTCTTCCCACCTCCCTGGGGTTTTTCAGTAGTGCTTCCTTTCAATCAAAAGCTAATTTTTTTTGTGTGTGTAGGTGGTATAGAATTCCATGCTTTTACACAGTAGCAGGCCTGTATTTGATGTACCTGGTTCAGAGACAATTGTCCTTTATAGCTTTCGGGAGTAAATTCAATGAGAGCCCCCTGCGACTAGTTTGTAACTCATTTAGTGAGAGTTCTACAGGATTATTTCACAAAGCAGTTCTCAGCTTAAGAAGCTAAATTGGCTTCATGGGGCCTAGCTGGAGGCCTCTTCATCCCTGCATTCAGAGGATATTTACATGCATACTACGAATCTTTCTAGAAAATGGGAGGAGGGTTCGTATTGACGGTCGTACATTTCCTCAACTTAGCTGTCCGTGAAGGGTGTTGGGATGGGTGTTTGATAATTAGGGAGAATATTTTGTTTCATAATACATGGACAGCTCTGTCATATTGGCAAGTGCGTTTGACATGCAAGAATTGTACAGTTATAAGGAGTGACCCGTGGCAAAAGCAGACCATGCATTTGCACATTTAGGTTAGTATAGTGGGTAAGATGAGAGACTTTGGAGTCACACTGCGAGAGTCCCAGTGCTGGACTACACTTTGGGAAGGTACATAACCTCTCTGAACTTGGTTTTGGCACTTGCAAGATGTGGACAAGTATAATTGTGTGCTGGGCAGGATAGCTTATGTGTATTAAGTGCTGTGATTATTCTTAGATTTCTTTGTCTAAGAGTTCGCACACTGTGTATTATACAATAAATACATTCATAATTGAAAAACCTGGCCAGGCGTGGCTGCTCATGCCTGTAATCCCAGTGCTTTGGGAGGCCAAGGAGGGTGGATCACTTGAGGCCAGGAGTTCAAGACCAGCCTGGCCAACATGATGAAACACCACCTCTACTAAAAATATATATTTTTTAAGTATTAGCCGGTGCAGTGGTGCATGCCTGTAGTCCCAGCTACTTGGGAGGCTGAGGCATGAGAATCACTTGAACTTGGGAGGCGGAGATTGCAGTGAGCTGAGATTGTACTACTGCACTCCAGTCTGGGTGTCGTAGTGAGACTCTGTCTCACAAAAAAAGGAAAATGAAAAACCTTTGTGTTATGCATATTATACAGAGCCCTTTCTAAAAAGAACAGCAGGGCGACCCCTGCCTGAGTTCCTGGTAGAGCTGGGAGAGGAGACCATTTATGCACTGGGAGTGACCCAGTCATTTTTGTCAGATGATAGAAACTGCTTTTCTTCAGTATATCTCTGTCTTAGTCTTAGCTGTTGTGACACGGGGCAACTCTAGTATCTTCTGCTTTTTCTACAGCTTAATTTCTATCTAATTTGTACTATTATATTTAATTGGAAAATTGCCCAGAAAGCAGAGTCTGCATTTGTAAATGAAGAAGGAGAAGCATTTTAAACGCACTAACAAACCTCACTTTTTAAAACAAGATTAACGTCTTTTACATGAAGGAACCCTTTTGAAAGAATTTGGGAAAAGACATGAGAAAACACATTTGCTTTGTGAACTGGAATTTTATATTTGGAACTGGCTTCACAGAAGACAGAGATGTTAAGTAATATTTGATGGGTGTCTACTGTGGGCTGTATGACTTCCTAAGCATCCTATTATTTAATCATATAGTTGTAAATATAAAACTTAACAGTTTCAGACTTCCATGTGTGTGAAATTGGAGATTTGGAGACTTTAGACACACGTTCCAATGTCAGGGTAGGACGATTGAGTCAGCCAGAATTTCACATGTATCTCTCCAACTTCTTTTCTTTCTGTCCCTCCTTTAACGTCTCTGCAATATTTCAATTTCAGAAAATTGAAAGAATAATAACTACCAGCCATTGGGCTTTCTTTTGTGTGGTACTAGGCAGTAAGTTGGACATTGCATACATATTAATTCTAAGCTTCCTCCATGATGGATATTATCTGCAGTTGTACATTTCTTCTCCTTTCTCTTAGCTATCCACAAAGGGTCTTTGGATGGGTGCTTCATAATTAGGGAGAATATTTTGTTTCATAATACAGGAACAAGAGTGTCATATGGGAGGGTGCATTTTACATGGCAAGAATTGTGCAGTCCTAAGAAATGACCAGTGGTAAAATGGAGCGTGCATTTGTACATTTAGGTTAGGATAGTGAATAAGGTGAGAGACTTTGGAGTCAGATTACAGGAGTCCATATGCTGGCTCCACCATGTAATACCTTTCTTTGCTTTGAAGAGATATACATATGGGGAAGCGGAAGTTCTGCTACTAAGTAATGGAATTTGCTATCTGTTTAGTTTTGAAGCTCATAGTCCCCTGAGAAATGTCGTGTGTGTGTGTGTACCCACCTGTGTGTAGATGTGCACAGAGAGCTCCCCCTGGTAGATGAAATAGAGGTTATTCTGTTGTAGGCAAATGTTCCCTGGACATTAAAATACTGGATTCCAGTTCTATTCATCCAGGCAAGTTGCTGATTAGCTGTTTTTTTCTCAGGGGTTTCTTGAGCATGTGATTATGCAGAGAGAGTGGAGATCATTGGCTGGGCACGGTGGCTCATGCCTGTAATCCCAGCACCTTGGGAGGCTGAGGCAAGCGGATCATCTGAGGTCAGGAGTTCACGACTAGCCCGGCCAACATGGTAAAACCTGTCTGTACTAAAAATACAAAAGTTAGCTGGGTGTGGTGGCAGGTGCCTGTACTCCCAGCTACTTGGGATGCTGAGGCAGGAGAATCACTTGAGCCTGGAAGACAGAGGTTGCAGTGGGCTGAGATGGCACCATTGCGCTCCAGCCTGGGCAACAGGAGTGAAACTCTGTCTCATAAAATAAAATAAAAAAGAGAGTGGAGATCACCCTCTTCCACGTACCCATCTCTCTCTGCCCTACTGGATCTCATGTATTCCCTAAAATGTATTGCTCAATACAGGGTGTAAGTTTACCAGGTGGTGTTATAATCAGTTCAGGCACTAAAAGAAAGGGTTAAAATCATGCGGAATCACAGAGAAAAAATAATGATCTGCCTATCCTTTTTCCTGAGAGTTTCCTGATGCCCCAAGAGGAAATATTCAGTTTGGTGATCGCCTCTTTTTGATGACATTTGCCAGTTTTCCTTGTACTAGAGGGAGAATTGAGCCTCAGGCTGACAATGGGATCCATCTAGAATCGAGGATTGTGGCTTTGCTTTGGTCCTATTTGTTTTCATTTGTTGCTTCTCTTCATGATAGAATTCCTGGTTTTCAAATTATGCTGGTAATGTGAGTGCCCTGTTCATTTGTTTTTCAGAATTTAATGTATGCCAATAAAAAGGTGAATTGTTTGAAGGAAGTAAGATTTTTACTTCTTATTTTACAGAGGCATGCCATTCAGTAGCACTGGAACAGAGAGGAGGAGAAACTGGAGAGCAGAAAGGCAGGTGGCATTAGCATATGTCAGATTTTCAATGAGGACTACGGATATGGCAATATTGGGAAGGTGATCTCTGAATGATGGAAATTTAGGAAAGATGTTTAAAGTGCTTGTCTCTCATTGCCTAGCGATTTACTGGCATTGTAGACTCCACCCCAATGCTTTTGTTCAATTTGGCGTTTAGGATTAGTCATGCACGTGGAAGATTCCAGCCTCCCTCCGCCCAGTGTTACAGCTTGGACTGAATATTTATTAACTACCCAGGGAACATCACACTGTTTGAGGACACTTGAGTTCATCTATATCCACAAAATGTGTCCTCATCATGTTGAAGTGGAACAGCAATTCATAAGAAATGACAGGAGCTTAGCAAGAATATATAGGGGAAAATCCTTTGTCTAGTAAGAGTGTGAAGTGCCCAGGAAGGTGCTTCCAGCAAATAATGCTGAATGTTGGTGACTGCTAAATGAAGAAGGAAACACGAAGTTCAGATTTAACAGAACCATCTAGACAGCCATACTTCCCATGACCCTGGGAGGCCGACAAGATCCCATATTTAACCTATCCTTACCAATGTTATGAGAAAAACAAGAATGCATGTGCGATTATAAATGGTGGCTGACTTTCAATTTTAGGTTGAGATACAAAAGCAGGTGGTGGGGGGGTCTGTGGCAAACTCGGCAATAAATGCCCCAGGTGAAGAGGCTGCCCAGCTCTCACAGATTGTTGACATGTAGGAATCAGTGCCTCTGATTTTCCAGGAAAAGTCAAGAATCTAGGTTTTTAATGTAAAAGCTCCTGTTTTTCAATTATGGGCAACTAGTTTATTATTTAAACTACTTGGGCTAGGACCCTAAATAAGTATGTTCAGGTTGTGGATTGTACAACTCAAGGGACCCAGCACGCTCATCTTTGTACTTTTTTTTTTGAGATGTTTTTATTGAGGTTCACTTACTATATGGTATGCGTATGCCACAAAATTCACCTATTTAAAGTGTACACTTCAGTGTTTTTTGTTGGTTTGTTTTTGAGACGGAGTCTCATTCCGTCGCCCAGGCTGGAGTGCAGTGGCGTGATCTCAGCTAACTGTAACCTCCGCCTCCCGGGTTCAAGCGATTCTCCTGGCTCAGCGTCTGGAGTAGCTGGGACTACAGGTGCGTGCCACCACACCGGGCTAATTTTTGTGTTTATAGCAGAGACAAGGTTTCACCGTGTTGGCCAGGCTGGTCTTGGTCTTCTGAGCTCGTTATCCACCCGCCTCTGCCTCCCAAAGTGCTGGGATTACAGGCATGAGCCACCGCACCTGGCCTTCCGTGGTTTTTAATGTATTCACAGAGCTGGGCAATCATCAACACACCATCAGCGCATTCTAAATTTAGCATATTTTTATTGCTCCAGAAAGACACGTTGTCCCCATTAGTACTCACACCCTGTACACCCTTACCCCACCCTGTAGCCCTACACAGCCAGCATTCTGCTCTATCTCTATAGGTTTACCTATTCTGGGTATGTCATGTAAATTGAATCATGTAATATGTGGCCTTTCATGTCTGGCTTCTTTACTAAGCATAATGTTTTCAAGGGCCATCAATGTTGTACCATGTGTCAATTTAATTCACGTTTTGTAGCCAAATAATATTACGTTATATAAATATACGACGTTGTGTTTGTCCATTCATTGGTTGTCAAACATTTGGATTGTTTCCACTTTTCAGCTATTAGAAACAATGCTTCTATGAACATTGATGTACAAGTTTTTCTGTGTACTTACGTTTTTATTTCTCTTGGATATATACCTACAAGTGGAATTTCTGGGTCATATGGACTCTATTTTTAACATTTTGAGGAACTTCCAAACCGTTTTCCAACGTGGGTACCCCATTTTACATTCCCACCAGCAATGTCTCTGGCTTCCCTTTTGTCCACATCGTCACGAATACTTGTTATTATTTCTCTTTGACAATAGCCATTTTGATAGGTATGAAGTACAGCTCATCATGGATTTGACTTGCATTTCCCTAATGATTACTGGCATTAAGCATCTTTTTAATGTGCTTGTTGGGCATTTGTTGTATCTTCTTTGGACAAACCCTATTAAAAAAATACTTCGCCAACTTTTAAAATAGGGCTATTTGTCTTTTTATTAAGTTTTATTGTTGGAAACTTTTTTATTAAGTTTTATATAAGGGTTTTAATGGAACTTTTTATTTTTAAGTTGTATGTAAGGGTTCTATATTCTGAATAAAAATTTTCAAATCACATGTGATTTGAAAATATTCTGTTTCATTCTGTGGATTTCCTTTTTACTTCTTATATGGGATTGTCAGCAGCACAATTAAAAAATGGATACAGTCCAATTTATTTTTTATTGCTTATTCTTTTGGTGTCATTTTTTAGAATCTGTTTTTCACCCCAAGGTCACAGAGATTTACTCCTGTTTCTTTTTTCTGGGAGTTGTATAGTATTAGCTCTAACATTTAGGCCTATGATTCATTTTGAGTTAAATTTTGCATGTGGTGAGATAAGGATTTGCATTTGTATCTTTGCATATGGATATCCAGTTACCCCAGCACCATTCATTGAAAATCCTATTTTCTCACTGAATTGACTAGGTACTTCTTACTGACTTTGACCCTAGGGTGCGTCACTGCAGTTGTTTAATTGTAGAATGTAAATATATGAAGGTATATTAATTCTCCTACTAGGGAAAAATTAACTGCAAAAGGAGGGGTCCCACTCCTGTGTTCCTGGCATTTTTAGTTTCTGCATCAGCCTCAACTCTAGGATAAGAGATGGGTAATTCTTAATGAGAACAGAACTTCAGAATAAAAGTCTCAGCTGGAAAATAACTTGATTTTCAGTAGGCTTGTTCATATGTTGTATATATGTGACTTAGATAATCATTATAAATACAGTTGATTCTACCAAGTCTTTTGAACTGTAAGTCTTAGCTGGGCTCTGAGCAAAGCCCTTCTTCCTTCTTGGATATACATGCATGCACAGCCACACACAATACACAAATGTACCCTGGTGGATAAGGCATTTACAATTGAGAACAGCTGATAGTTCTATATAGTGCTATATCGAGATAGAGAAATAGCTAAAGATGTAAATATACACACCCTTGATACATTCATACACACACACAGCATTAAGTTAGGCAGCCCCTGGTTTCTGCCACTAGCACAGCTTTCTGAATGAATGAGCTCTCGAGAGGGGAACTTACTGGAAAGCTTTCTTATCAACTTGGTAAAGGTTTGATTTTCTTGCCCCCTACAGTGGCTGTTTGTCACCCTGACTGCAGCTAGAATTGCTGTGTTCTGTTCTTTTTCTGGAGAAATTACAAAAGGAGTTGACATCTACTGTATAAAATGAAACCTAGCAAATTTTATAAATTACTAAGGACGATTCTCTAATCTTCATATCTCATCTCCAGCATCCAAGGAGGTGGAGAAGTAGTTGGGTGCGTATTCACCTAGACTTTGTTTTGCAGTAATGTGTGC
This sequence comes from Homo sapiens, assembly GCF_000001405.40. Taxonomy (NCBI): domain Eukaryota; kingdom Metazoa; phylum Chordata; class Mammalia; order Primates; family Hominidae; genus Homo; species Homo sapiens. The sequence goes on from NC_000016.10 coordinate 6,597,281, forward strand.
CAGTTTTATACCCTAAAGCCATCTGAGTCCCCTTTTCCTTTCCCTGTCTCCATTATCCATCTGGATAAGCCAGATCTTCAATATCCTAGCCTCCTTTAAAACCAGGGACCCAACCAGGCGCGGTGGCTCACACCAGTAATCCCAGCACTTTGGGAGGCCGAGGTGGGCGGATCACAAGGTCAGGAGTTTGAGACCACCCTGACCAACATGGTGAAACCCTGTCTCTACTAAAAATATAAAAAATTAGCCAGGCGTGGTTGCAGGCGCCTGTAGTCCCAGCTATTCGGGAGGCTGAGGCAGGAGAATGGCGTGAACCCGGGAGGTGGAAGATTGCAGTGAGCTGAGATAGCACCATTGCACTCCAGCTTGGGTTGAGAGCAAGACTCCATCTCAAAAAACAAAACAAAACCAAAAAACAGGGACCCAATTCTGGCTGCTGAAACATCAGAAAGAAGTCCACAGGAAAGGTAGCCAGGATTTTCTTCCAGTTTAAAAGGAGCAAGCCACATAAGCAGCCACCTTTTTCTGCACTGACAGTTACCTGTGCCTTGCCTTTGGGTGTGGTGTTGATCCTTGGAGCTGCCATGGCCATCTTGGCACCATGAAGTGAGTATCCTCAGAACAAACATTTGTTGGGCTAAAGAGGGTGAAACAGAAAAGTAGAAGGAACTTTGGTCCTTAATAACACCGGGAGTTGCTCAGAAAGTCCAGGGCTGCCTTTTATTCTGGAATTCTTATTTAAGACAAAATGATATCTTTATGGTTATAGTCACTTTGGTCAGGTTTGGTTTTCTGGTACTTGTGGCAGAAGGCATCCTTATAGATGCACCTATACATATACCAATGTATCCACATCCGTGTCTTCACACACACATCTGTTTCCTATATGCAGAACATGCATTCATAAATATGTAGGGTTTTTTAAATGTGATCAGACACTATATAGTTTCTAACTTGCCTTTTTTTCATTCCACTATATAATTAAGACATCCTTTCTTGTCAGGATCTAAAATTATTATTTACTCTTTTAAAAGACTGCATGTTATTTTATATTATGTATGGACCTGATTTATTTAATACTCTCCTATTAGTAGATGTTTAGGTAGATGTGAATTGATTGGCCAGTACAAAGTAAAAGTGTAACCAGTGTTATAAAACTAATGTTCTTGTTATCTCCCAGTAATCCTATTAATCAGTCTGTAGAAAATAAAGAGGACGTCAGACCGATATATACAAAGATGATTATTCCAATATTAAGCATAATGGAGAAACATGAGAAACACTTTAAAAGTTCAATATAAAAGGACTTGTAGTTTATGATCTATACATATGATAAACAGTATTATGTGACCATTCAAAATGGCTTTTAAGAATACGTAGTGGCTGGCTGGGCGTGGTGGCTCACGTCTGTAATCTCAGCACTTTGGGTGGCTGAGGCAGGCAGATCACGAGGTTGGGAGTTCGAGACCAGCCGGACCAATATGGTGAAACCCTGTCTCTACTAAAAATACAAAAATTAGCTGGGCATGGTGGCATGCACCTGTAGTCCCAGCTACTCGGGAGGCTGAGGCAGGAGAATCACTTGAATCCAGGAGATGGAAGTTACAGTGAGCTGAGATTGCGCCACTGCACTCCAGCCTGTGTAACAGAGCAAGACTCCATGTTAAAAACAAAACAAAACAAAACAAACTCCTCTGTTTCCCATCCCAGTGTCAGCACGTAAGGTGACAACTGACAAGATCTGTCTCATAATGTGAATAATGGTTTTCTCTGGGAGGTGAGAAGATGAATGCTTTTAGATTAAAATAAATACCAGTCAGTATGTTCCAAATCACCTGATACGGTCATTTGGCGTTATCCATGTACTTGTACAAATTTTTCTCTTCTAACCCACATGTTTCTACTGTTCTCATCCAAAGACGTGTTGCAAATCATTATCCAGAACATGGGTATTGATAACTGCAATGTTCTTGGGGCTTTGCATAACTTCCAATAAAGCAAAACCACATCTCTGAATCCATTTTAAATTTGCAGTCAGCCAGGGGTCCTCTAATGGTTGTGCGTTTTGGGGAAATTGTGACCTGGGTCTAGTAATGAGTCTCTTCCTTGGGAGTTAAAGTACTCTGGGAACATACACCATCTATCTCAGAATACTTTGCTGAAATAAGAATAACAAGGACGCTTCAAAAAAATACTAAGCGACACACCTAAAGGGCTTAAACACTAATAAGTGAGAGAATCTAGTGGCTAGGAACTTCAGTTCTCAAGCCAGTAACAAAACTCCTACCATTTCTTACTTGCAAAAACTTGATTTTCCCCCGTGTAAATCAGGCTAATCTTTTTATTCCTTTACTAGTGACACTAATACTATTCAGCAGCCATATGGCAGAGTGCTTCAGAACTGCTGCTGTGGAGCCGAACTTCTCCACTACTCTGTTTCCCATCCCAGTGCTCACCACCTAGTTAAGCCATCTTGAGCAGGTGCGTGTAACTTAATGCAACCTTCAGTTCTGTATTTCTGAAAGGCAATTAATGAGAGCACTTAGCTTAGAGAGCTGTGAGCATTACATGAGCTAACACTTGTTAGGCAACTAGAACAGCACCCTGCACATAGTAAATATTCTGTCAGTGGTACAAAGTGTTAACCCACAATCAACAAAGCATTGAACGCAGTCCATAACTCACAGTAAGGTATGCAACATGTTGTCCTATTGCCATCTTCTTCCCAAAGCCCAGATAACTGCAAAGGGCATCTGGGTGGCACTGCTGGGACTGGAACATGTAGAGGAAGAGGGTTAGGGAAGCATTCATGGGTTTTTCAAGCTCATTTTTCTCACTTCCCTTACCAGACCCATCACCCAATTTAGTAGGACACAGAATCAGATTATTATTACTTTTTGTCTTCTCAAAGACACATTTTTCCTTGAAATTAATGGTGGTGCTGATGAACACGAAATCCACCAGACAGAATCTCGGGGCTTTTGTTCTCAGTCCTCCCCTACCTGGTTCTCTCTCCTCCCCCATTTCCCTCCTGCCCAGCATTGAGCTCCAGCTGAGCTACTGTCAGGAGGCTGCTCTGCTAAGCAGTCTGTCACATGTTCCGTTACAATCATGTTTTATTATAGCTTTCAAAAGATGACCTCTCATTCTGCACACTCGTGTTCATAGAGGACTTCTGGCATTCTGAAAAGAACCAGATAGCAGAGTCTCCAAACCCTTTATTTGCTTCAGCTGATAACTGCTCTGGCCAGAGACGAACGCTGTGGTGATTATAAGATGTAATTTACTACAAAAGACCGTTAATATTACTTACAAACCTGCCATCATTTCTGGGGAAATCAGAACTGAAACAGTGGACGGGACACATCTGAATCCACCTAAATATCTTGGCCTGATAGAATTACAAGTTTATAGATTTACCATTTAGGAAACAGCCCCGTTATGAAACATTTGTCCTCACAGACAGACAGTATAAGTAACAAGCAAGATTATATCCTTTTATGTGGATCAAGGACATAGTCAATGTAAGAAAAAAAAGATAGAAAAAAAATCCCTTTAGAGGAACGTAAATGCTGCCCTTGTGAATTATAACTGGGGAATTAGATCTATGAAAAAGCCTCTAATATGACTAAACAAAGTCCCTCAGGTGATACTCTGAGTCAGAAAAGTGTGAGAAAATATAGCCTCTTAAATGTGATTATAGTCAGAGCTGCAGTTACTCCCTGAGAAAGGACATAGAAGGTAGAGGAATGAAAGAAAAAAACAGTGTTTGAAAACTTTTTGTGTCAGACCAGAAATTATAGAGTAGCAACAGCTTAGGGATTTAAGTAACCCCTTTAGCCTAGTTGTAAAGCCTTTGGGCTTTAAACTGAAGAACAGAAAGGAATTAGATATCCAACTTAGTACTTGTTTTTTTAAGATCATGAAATGGAAGAGTCTTTTTTGCTGAATGACGAATTGAACCAGCATATAATTCCAACTAGGGCTATAATTAGAAAGATACGGCTCTAGTATTTAAGCTTCTTACACTCTCCCCTCTCTCATGAACTTTCATTAGAGTTTCTTGTCTACTTGGTTATATTTAATGGAGATGAAGGTGAGAGTTACGGTGCTTTTGTTGGTATTGTGGCCAGACTCCGGGAGAGTCCTAAAATCGGTGTTTGTCATTTACCTCTCCTCTTTGAGAAATTTTAAGGGAACTCTACATACAAGAAGCTATACCAGCGTAAGGATCCTGGACCATTCTACTCATAGTTTTGCAAGCACCCTATGCTTGGAGTTAGCTCTGGTTAAAGGCTGTAAAAGGACCACTGTTCCTCCATCCTATCCCCAGTCCAATCCTTGGGACTAGCTCGCTCAGGAACTCTCAGAGGTACATATTAAAAAGAACGTATAAGAGGTCAGATCTGTAGGAGAGGCTTCATCTTAAGTCATTCTCCCGGGTATATTTGTTGAGGTCAAGAGCAAGGAAGGAGAAAAGATATAGCTGAGTTTAACCAAAGCAAACAGGACCTTGCTCAGCCAACTAGTGCTGCCCGCATGGAATTGAAGATGTTAAAGAGAGGGGTTAGAGCTTGAAGAGGATGTTAAAGAGAGGGGTTAGAGTCACAGTTTGTGCATTTTAAAGGACAGTGACCTTGACTAGTGGTAATGGGGTCAAATCATTAATTCAGACCATTCAGATAAACAACTCTTCTCTCTTGTCAGGTAGGACAGGGGATGGAGGAATGAAGTACCTAGAAGCAGCTTGGTAGGAGAACAAAGGCGTCCTATTTCTCTCCTTTCCCTCCATTATTCATTTATTCCCTAAGTTGTTTATTGGCCATTTGTCTGTCTTCTTTGGAGAAATGTTTGTTCAAATCCTTTGCCCATTTTTTAATTTGTAGTTTGTTGTTGCTGCTGTTGAATTTTAGGAGTTCTTTATACATTCTCGGTATTCATTCCTGATAAGATAGATGATTGGCAAATATTCTCTCCCATTCAGTGGGTTGCCTTTTCACTCTTTTAATAGTGTCTTTGATTTGCTAAAGTTTTTAATTCTGAAAAAGTCCGACGTATTCTTTTTCCTTTTTGTTGCCTGTACTTTTTGTCCTGAGCTGTTTATAAGGAAAACAGCAAACCGTTTGTCTGAGTATAGGATGGTCTCTCTAGAGCAAGAAGGGAAGGCAGGTGAATCTCATGACTCCAGCTGGAAGGAGAGAGGATCAGTCTGTGCTGAATCCCCAACAGCTGACCTCCAAGAGGTCTTGATGTTCTTACAGAAAGGCCACCTGCAGGACAGGGTTGTGTGTGCTGCTGGGAGGCCAGGCGGGGACTCCTGGGAAAGCCTTCTCCTGGCTCCAGTTCCATTTGGCTCATCTCCAAGGTGGCCAGGTACTCACTGATGCATGGACAGCTCATATGTTCATCTGTGAACTATGTCCAGGCTCAAGATGAGCTGGAAGTGCAATTTTTTTTCCACTTGCTGCTTTATCCCTTCTGTGCATTCCTCTTGCTATCATTTAGCACCTGGAAAAATGTAGAATTCAAGATCAGAAAGACAACTGGAGCTCATGCCCCACACACCCCCACCATCACATGCAAATGAAATTACTGAGGCCTGGAGTGCTTAAGACTCTTTCCCAAATCCTGTCACTAATAAAACGAGAGCTGGAGATTGGGAATCCTGACTTGAGCCGGTGCTGTTATTACCCTTTTTCTAATCATCAGTGCACCCAAGGAAAAAGAAGTTTCCCAATTTTATTTATTTCAGTAAGTATTTACTGTCATTGTCTACTCTTCATCCTAGTAGCAAAAAAATAAAATTTGCAAGTGGAAACTAATCATCACCGTTGTGGTCTTAGCTGAATTGTTCTTTACAGATCTAAAGAGAGACCACAGAAAGATCTGAATGGCAGCATGCCTTAAGAACAAGATTGACCCAGCTTACTTGTCTCAGGGCCAAGTATATGGCAGAACTCAGTCATCTAAAGGAGAGACTGACCCCGGGGAAAGGCAGCCCACATTGCCAGAGCTTCTGATTTTTTCAAGAGAACCTGGCAGTTGGAGTCTTGTATGAAATAGCTTGATGTATACAACTAAAGGATTTAAGGGAATCTGTTTCTTAAAATTTAATATGAAGGCCACCATCTCCTGCACAAAACAAAAATCTTTTTGTGTTATCAAAATGGACTGTTGATTTAAGAACCTTGCTCTTGCTTTAGATCAGAGCCCTCAAACACATTGGAATGATTCGGAGAGCTTTAGAAAACATGCATGCCTTAGCCCCACTCCACACTCCATGATTCTGAGCCTCTTGGGGTAGGCTCTGGGCATCAGCACTTGAGAAAGCCCCCCCGGGCAGCCGCTATGTGCAGCTGGGGGTTATGCACCACTAGGCTGACTGTAGTGTGAACATTGAGGATCCTACCCCAATCCTCTTCTTTCCCATGGGTAAGGACATCTGGACTGTGATTGCTGGACATCAGGATGGCCTTAATATTAGGGTTAACATCTGAATCATTGGCTGCCTTTTTTATTTCTCGTCCTGCTGTTTGGGTACTTTATAGACATAGACAGTTGTCCATGTGACCCCATTTGCCTCGAGTTGCTTCTGTAGAGTTTTGATCCCACACTTTGTGATGTGTCTCAGCTCTGGGGCGAGGGGGCTGTTCAGTGAAGTTGGTTTGTGGCTTCTTCCCTCTGATCTCCTTTTCTTCTCCCAGCCTTGGGGGTTCTGCAGCTAACTGTGGTCCTTTCATGTAGCTGCCTTTGGTCTGCTGGGGACTTTGAAGGTTTGCCTTTGAAACACCCAGATCCCTTTTTGGTTCCTTCCTCTACCCCATCTGCTTCTCTCCACTCCCCTTACTGTTGGCAGCATCCCCTCGCCTTGGCAGTCCAGCTTTTGAGAGTCACTGTGATCAACCCAGCAATTCCTACTGGGGAAAAAAAAAAGAAAAAGTAGGGAGCCATGATAGGTGCACCATGTCTATCAAAGCCATCAAAATGGCTATTTTAGAAAAAAACCTCAATAAATATTATTGTTGATCTTGTTACACATGATAACAGCATTTTCTTATTTTTTTAATTTATTTTTTTTAAGAGATAGGGCCTTGCTTTGTTGCCCAAGCAGGACTTACAGTCTTGCATTTAAGTGATCTTCCCATCTCAGCCTCCTGAATAGCTGTGCATTCTTGTTATATAAGAAAGTATCTGTAATTTTTAGTGGCACAATTGGATTATAAAGTAGAGGTTAAATGATAGGAACTCTGGAGTTGCTTCAAATACTTTAGAAAATAAATGAATAGGTAAATAGCAAGGTAAAGCAATGGTGGCAAGCTCTTAATTACTGTTGTATATGGGTACTGAGTATATAAAACCCATTATATAACATGTTCTACTTTTGTGCATATTGAAACTTTTTATTAAGCATATACACATGCACACACACGTATAATTGTCAGCCCTATAACATTCTACAATTCAATAGGAATATATGATTCCAAGATTCTATAATTCTTTCTTTCTTACCAATTAATTGGTGCTTGAGATTGATGTAACTGAATGAATAGATGACTTCATAAAAAGTAAATGAGCTTGGGCCTGGTGGCACACGCCTGTAATCTCAACAGTTTTGGAACCTTAGGCAGGCAGGTTACTTGAGCCCAGAATTTGAGACCAGCCTGGGCGACATGGCAAAACCTCATCTTTACCAAAAAAAGTAAAATAAAATTATATATAAATATAAATGTATTTATAGTGTGTGCATATATATAAAAATATATAAACACATGCACAACGTGTGTATTTTTATATATATACACACACAAATTAGCTGGGCACAGTGGTGCGCACCTGTAGTCTCAGCTACTCGGGAAGCTAAGGTGAGAGTACTGCTTAAGCCCAGGAGCTCAAGGCTACAGTGAGATGTGATCAAACCACTGTACTGGGTGACAGAGCAAGACCCTCTCTCAAAATAAAATAATAATTTATAATGAAACCAACACATACAATTAAAGAAATAAAAAATAGGCCAAATAGCATCTATACTTCACCTTCCCAACATGTTAGCTTTTACAGGTAGCTGTCTGGCATTTGTTTCATTGCTGTCCATCTAGTTTGGAGTTTTGCTTTATTGATTTATGATATTATCAAGCACAGACTGTGAACTGGATCTTATATTGTGGCAATATTAGCTTTCTGGCTGCTTTGAATTTGCAGTCTTAACCCCCAAAGAGAGAAATCAGAAATGACAGCATTTTGGCCAAATACAAGCGTCCAGTGCATTTGTCATCGGAGTGATCGGAGTGAATCTCTCATTTTTACTTGTGCTGCTACTTTACATGTAGTGACTTCAAGTACAGAGTGAAAACTTAATACTCGTTCATTGTTCCAGAAATATTTATTGGGTACTGGCTCCCCGCCAGGCTCTGGGCAGGGCCTAGATGCTGTGTCAGCGAACAGGAGAGATTCAGTCCGTGTGTTCGTGGAGGTTGCATTTAGACGGGCATTTCATTATGAAACAACACACGGGAAACTATACTTGAAATATGCATCCTGGCAGGCCACAGTGGCTCACTCCTGTAATCCCAGCACTCTAGGAGTCTGAGGCGGGTGGATCACTTGAGGGCAGGAGTTCGAGACCAGCCTGGCCAACATGGTGAAACCTCGTCTCTACTAAAATTACAGAAATTAGCGGAGCATGGTTGGGGGTGGGGGCAGTGCCTGTAGTCCCAGCTACTTGGGAGACTGAGGCAGGAGGATCACTTGAACCCAGGAGGTGGAGGTTGCAATGAGCCGAGATCACGCCCCTGCACTCTAGCCTGGGTGACAGAGCGAGACTCTGTCTCAAAAAAGAAAAAAAAAGAAATATACATCTTATAATGCTGAATGTATTTCCAGTAACATGCAAGTGTTGTGGGGAGATAGGCAGAGACTTGGACAGGTAATCGGAGGCTAAAATAGGAATCCTGTGAAGTACTACTGCCTTTGATATTTTTTCCAAGCCAATATATTAGAAAGCCACTTCTTCCTGGAATTCATGTATCCAGACACATTTTTATCTTGATGAATTTGGGGTTGCATGTCTCAAAAATGACTGTACGTGTTTTAAAATTTTATGTTCTGGGGTACATGTCCAGGACGTGCAGATTTGTTACACAGGTAAACGTGTGCCATAGTGATTTGCTGCACCTATCAACCCATCACCTAGTTATTAAGCCCCATACGCATTAGCTGTTTATCCTGATGCTTTCCCTCCTCCTTCCCCTCTACGAGGCCCCATTGTGTGTAGTTCCCCTCCCTGTGTCCATGTGTTCTCATTGTTCAGCTCCCACCTGGAAGTGAGAACATGTGGTGTTTGGTTTTCTGTGTTAGTTTGCTAAGGATAATGGCTTCCAGTTCCATCCATGTCCCTGCAAAAAACATCTCATTCCTTTTTATGGCCGTATAGCATTCCATGTTGCATATGTACCACGTTTTCTTTATCTGGTCTATCATTGATGGGCATTTTGGTTGACTCCACGTCTTTGCTACAGTGAATAGTGCTGCAGTGAACATACGCGTGCATGTATCTTTATAATAGAATGATTTGTATTCCTTTGGGTATATACCCAGTAATAGGATTGCTGGGTCAAATGGTGTTTCTTGTTCTGAATCTTTGAGGAATCACCACACTGTCTTTCACAATGGTTGAACAAATTTACATTCCCACTAACAGTGTAAAAGCATTCCTATTTCTCCAGAGCCTTGTCAGCATCTGTTGTTTCTTGACTTTTTAATAATCGCCAAAAATGGCTATACATTTTTTAATATACCTGAGGCTGCTGCCTTCCAAACCTACTGACTAATAGTCCCTGAGAGTGGAAGTCAGCACTCTGCATTTTAGCAAGCTTCCTAGAGAATTTGTGGGTGAACAGATGAGTGTTCATCTGACTACTGATTGGGGACAATGACAGAAAGATATCAGAATGTGCTTTGAACCATCTTGGAACAATTCATTGTGGTTATTAGGATTAAAAGGGAAGAGAAATGTCAGCTCTCATATTCACATCCCTTAAAAATCAAGCATTAGGATATAATAATTCATTTAATATAAATGTTATAACCATATGACCAATTTCCAGTTATCATAAGCAGTTAGGTCTTTCAGTCTCTCTCCTCTCTCTCTCTCTCTCTCGCTCTCTATCTCTCTTCCTCTCTCTCTTCCTCCTCTGTCTCTCCTTACTCTTTCTTCCTCTCTCTCCCCTCTCTTCTCTCTCCTATCTATCTCCTCTCCCTCTTTCTTCCTCCTCTTTCCCTCTTCCTCCTCTCTCTCCGTCCTGTCTCCCTCCTCTCTCTCTCTCCTCTCTCTTTCTCTCTCTTCTTCCTCCTCTATCTCTCCTCTCTCTTTCTGTCTTCTTCCCTCTCTGTATTATGTCTGCCTATGTGGGCATGTGAGTGTGCAAATAAGAAATAATTATTTTAGAATTTTGTGGTTTCCCCCTGCTGTATATGGTTCCAAAATTCAGTGTCTACAACATAGCTCCCGAATAATGTTTCACATCCTAATGAGCGATCATAGAATGGGAGAACAAACTTAACATGACTTACATCCTCATTTAGCCTTTAAAATTCTCTTTGTCCACAAACCTCCTTGTTTCTGGAGTTGGCAACATACTGAAATAGAATATATACAAACTTGGAAACAGCTATGAGCTTGACCTAAAACCTTAACTCTGACCCTTTACTGGGAAGGCTTTGGTAGGTGATACATCCTCTGTAATATTTTATCTTCTACATCAAAAAAGTCCTTCATTGTACAGAATTTTGAGAGAAATTAATGAGACAATGTCTCATAGCACCTGAAACAACGGGTTCTCAAGAAATACTATTTCATTGATTACTCCTCACTTTCTTAACTCTTACCAGACCTATTTTGAGTCTGTATCCTTGGTATCATCATTTTTTCTCAAATTATTTCTAAGGCAGCATTGGTTTGTGTTATAATCATTAATAGATACCTGAATTAAGTGAAATATTTCAAAGTAAAGCCATATAGTATCCTGTGGGGAAAAGCCTATCTTTTGAGCCAGAAAGACTGGCTTAAATCCCAGTATTATTGTTCACCTCTTTGTGGGTTTTGTTTATATGTTTATACACATTAGTTTTACCATCTGCAAAATGGGGATAACAGTTTTCACCCTTATTCGTTTCCTGTTACTATTTCCCAAATTGTCACAAGCTTAGTGACTTAAAACAACAGAAATTGCCCAGGTATGGTGGCTCACATGTGTAATTCTAATATTTTGGAAGGCTGAGGTGGGAGAATCGCTTGAGACCAGGAGTTTGAGATGAGCTTGGGCAACATGGCAAGACCCCATCTCTACAAAAATTAACTAGTCATGGCGGCACATGCCTGTGGTCTCAGGAGGGTGAGGTAGAAGGATGACTTGGGTCCAGGAGTTTGACGCTACAGTGAGCCATGATTGTACCACTGCATTCTAACCTGTGCATCAGAGCAAGAGCTTGTCTCAAAAACAAACAAAAACAGAAGTTGGTCATCTCATAGTTGTAGAGATCAGAAGTCTGCAGTGTGTCTCACTGGACTAAAATCATGGTGCCAGCAGGGCTGTTTTTTTCTTGAGCCTGTAGAGGAGATCTTTTTTCTTGCCCTTCCCAACTTTTAGAATCCACTCTGCTCCCTTGGGTCACAGCCTTTTCCAAGTTCAAAGCCAGCCATGGCCAGGCAAGCCTTTCTTCCATCAGGTCACTCTGACCTGACCCTTCTGTCTCCCTCTCCCATATTTGAAGACCCTTGTGATTACCTGGAGCCCATCTTGATGATCCTGAATAATTTCCCTATTTAAGGTCTGCTAATCAGCAACCTTGATTCCCTTTTACCATGTCATATGATACATTCGCAGGCTCCAGGACAGACATGGACATCTTTAGGGGCCACAATTCTGCCTTCCACAGCCACTTTATAGATGGTTGTTGGGATTACTGGGAAGATGTAGTAAAGTTCTTAGCACAGTGGCTGGGTATGGAGTGTAGTATGTTCTGTAGATGGAGAGGTTGACGTGGAAAATGATTTTCTTTTTTCTCTTTTTTATTTTTATTTTTTGAGACAGGGTCTCACTCTGTTGTCCAGGCTGGAGTGCAGTAGTGCAGTCTCAGCTCACTGCAATCTCCTCTGCCTCCCAGGCTCAATCCTCCCACCTCAGCCTCCCGAGTAACTGGGACAACAGGTGCATGCCACCACACTTGGCTAATTTTTGTATTTTTTGTAACAACGGGGTTTCACTACATTGCCCAGGCTGGTATGATTTTTCTAAAATCAAGGCATTTCCTTAATTTAAAAAAAAATTTGTTTATTTCTTTACTGGATTAGCTGTTTGGGGGAATCCTGAAGTTAACCCTATGTAAAGATTCACCCAGATGGTTCAGTGTTTCCTTCATAGATAACCCCCTTTAAAAACACTAGCAATGGGTCAGGCATGGTGAATCAGGCCTGTAATGCTAGCACTTTGGGAGGCCGAGGCAGGCAAATTACAAGGTCAAAAGGTCAAGACCATCCTGGCCAACATGGTGAAACCCCATCTTTAGTAAATATATGAAAAATAGCTGGGTGTGGTGGTGCGCACCTGTAGTCCCAGCTACTTGGGAGGCTGAGGCACGAGACTTGCTTGAACCCAGGAGGTGGAGGTTGCCGTGAGCCGAGATCACGCCATTGCACTCCAGGCCTGGCAGTAGTGTGAGGCTCTGACACAAAACAAAACAAAACAAAACAAAACAAAACAAAACAAAAACCCACTAACAATGATGATGTGGGGGAAAATGGCCAGACAGAAATAAAATAAGAACGGAGGTAGATGACATTCAAAGTGTGTTTCATGGACCTCACGTTGATTCTCAAAGCCTGAAGCTCTTCGGTGTGCATTAGACTAAATTATCATTCTGCTGAGAGTGCATCTATGTTTTCTTTTCCACTGTTTGTTTTTAAATGTTGTAAAAACAATAATAAAGTATGGCATTATTAGTAAGCATGAATTATGGAAGAAACTCATCTGGACCAGGGAAACATTGACATTCTTATTTTTTTAGAGGAAGACAGAGTATCCCACTATCACCCAGGCTGGAGTGCAGTGGTGCAATCATGGCTCACTGCAGCATCAACCTTGCCGGCTCAAGTGATCCTCCCACTTCAGCCTCCAGAGTAGCTGGAATCACAGGTGCATGCCACCACACTCAGCTGATTTTTTTGTACTTTTTGTAGAGATGAGGACTCCCTTTGTTGCTAAGACTGCTCTCAAAATCCTGGTCTCACAGGATCCTCCCACCTTAGCCTCCCGAAATGCTGGGATTACCGGTGTAAACTACTACACCCCACCCGATCAACATTATCCTGATTATACATTAACTCAGGTGAGCTTCATATATGTGAAGAAACACTGAAAGATCAGATTGCGAAGTGGTCTTGTTACTCAGCAGCTTCCGCCAAACAATCACTACCATGATAACATCACCAACAAAATGTCTGTGACTTTCACATCCCCTGCTTTGAGAAGTAGAAATAAAAATGTTCTGGGCATACATACCACTTATGAATTGACTGCCAAACTGTTCTTTTAAAAGTAGGTCATTTGATATGCCTGTTCCACTGATAACATATCTTAATATATAGTAGACCATAAAATGTGGAAGATCATAATATACAATCTGCATTCACTTAGCAGCAACTTTTTCCTTAGCTGGAGCACAGATATACTTAATACCAAATTAGAAGAAAGTGTATGTTATTGTGGAAATAAGATTTTACCATTAAGGCCTAAGAAGCAAAAGCAGGAAACCAACAGGAACCCATAAATGGTTGGAGATGACAAAGTGGACTGTAATAGTCTTTGTGTAGTTATTTTTTTGAGGGGGAGGGGACGAAGTCTCTCTGTCACCCAGGCTGGAGTATAATGGTGCAATCTAGGATCACTGCAACCTCCGGCTCCCAGGTTCAAGCAATTCTCCTGCCTCAGCCTCCCAAATAGCTGAGAATACAGGCGCACACCACCACGCCTGGCTAATTTTTGTATTTTTAGTAGAGACAGGGTTTTGCCATGTTGGCCAGGCTGATCTCAAACTCCTGACCTCAGGTGATCCATCTGCCTCAGCCTCCCAAAGTGCTGGGATGTCAGGCGTGAGCCACTGTGCCTGGCCGTCTTCATCTGCTTTTACATGATGCTTCCTGTTTCCCTCGGAGAGGTCTCCTTGGATGCTCTTTGCCCCCGTGTGATTCTGGTACTCATACAACTTGACATTTCTTCTCATCACATGAGACTCCACAGTGAGCATGGTTTTTCCTATCCGTGTTCCGCTGTTCAAGGAAACTGCCTGCAGATGCTCAGAGCTTTCTTTCTCCTTTCTTTGTGCTTTATCAGAGCAAGGATGATTCCGGCTTACCTTGTCCGTGGCTTCTGGATATTTTCACCCAGTAGAGGGCGTGAGTGGAAACTCTGAATGCAGGAGAAGCCAGAACTCATCTTCCCCTTCTCTCTCTGCTTCCCAAGGCACCCTGAGTCCTCCCTCAGGGCCCTCCTCCAAGGCCCTGTCTCCCGCTGGGCAGTGTCCACCATGGCACGTGACCCTGGTTTCTGGTCTCTGAAGACACCTCCTCTTCCCATTGGTTGCAAGGGTTTTGGTAGCTTCTGCAGTCACCTCTTCCTCAATTCTGTTACCGTTCCTTCTTTGGCCTCTCAGATCTCCCGAGTCCCCTTGATGAAAAAATTCCTTTTGGTTGAAAAGTCCCGGAATAGTTCCTGTTTCTTGCATTATTCTAATATATTTACGTCTAAAACAACCCTCCCCTCTTGCATATGGTACATGATGCATCTAGGGATTATCCCTGGTAAGAATTTGCTCATCTTTTATTTTCTGTTTGTTTAATTATTTTGAAGGAATTTTAGACTCAGGGTAAGTTTAGCTTTATAGAGAGTCCTAGTATACTCTTGACCAATATTCCCCTAAATGTTAAAATTTTGCATGATCACAACACATTTCTCAAAACTAAGAAACCAACTTTGGGATGATATTACAAACTAAACTGCAGGCATACGTTTTTAATAAAACCAACATTGCCACTGCTTTTAAAAGTAGTAAATAAAAACACATATCATGTATGCATATGTGTGTATGTGCAGATCTCTAATTACGTATATTGACTTATTTAAGTTTCACGTGTACTTACAGCACAAACTACTTTTACAAGGCAGTTGGAATTGGATGGTGAGCTTGCCATGAGGCTAGAGCCATTCATTTCCCAGATGTTAAAAACATTTGTTTGGCCCGGGTGTAGTTGGTCACACCTGTAATCCCAGCACTTTGGAAGGCCGAGGCAGGTGGATGACTTGAGGTCAGGAGTTCAAGATCAGCCTGGCCAACATGACAAAACCCCTCCTCTACTAAAAATACAAAAATTAGCCGGGTGTGGTGGTCGGTGTCTGCAATCCCAGCTACTCAGGAGGCTGAGGCAGGAGAATTACTTGAACCTAGGAGGTGGAGACTGCAGTGAGCCAAGATCATGCCACTGCACTCCAGCCTGGGAGACAGTGAGACTCTCTCTCAAAAAAAAAAAAAAAATAATAATAATAATATTTGTTTGTTCCAGAGGGCTGTTTCCTTAAAACTGAAAGTGAAGATTACCAAATTCAGTTTGACAAACAAAGCCCCCGTACAGTTCACGTGCCAAGTGAGAGAAGGCAGGTGCCAGTCCCAGCATGTGTGTGTGTGTGTGTGTGTGTGTGTGTGTGTGTGTGTGAGTGTGTGTGTGTGTTTTGGAATTCACAGGATAAATACTGTGGTACAGGAACTGTCAGGCCTGATTAATACTTTTGCACTCGCGGTGCATGTGCCTTGATCTATAGGCATTATGCTTGCTGCGTGGGTCCCTCACAAGGCAGCCATTAGCATCAGCTTCCAAGCAGCTCCCCCACTGTGCACTTCCCTTCCCTGTCATATGCTTGGCTGTCATCTTTGCTAAAGGATTTTCAGGTTGGTTTGCAATAAGGGTAAACTTGGGAAGGATGGAGAGCAATTTCCTTTGAATGCTCAGGATGGTGGGGGCTGGTTCTTAGCACACAGAAAATCCATATGAGAATGCCTAGGACAAAGCGGGGGAATGATTTCTGTATACGGTGTGGTGTTTAGTACGTGAAACCCTTAGGCCCCCTTAAAGTCTTCCGCTCCAACCCTTAAACAGTTAAGCATATAGATTAGCATCACTTACATGCAAGGACATTGTAAAATATGATATGTTTACAAAATGCTATGGAACGCTAGATGATTATTAAACATAATGAGGTTGAAATCTAATTCCATAATATGAAGATGCCCATGTTTTATTCAGTAGAATAAGCAACTTGTAGAGTAACATAAGTAGTGTGTTATCTCATTTTTTAAAAAAGGTAGATAAGTACCAAGGAGGGCAGATCACTCGAGGCCAAGCGTTTGAGACCGGCCTGGCCAACATGGCGAAACCCCATCTCTACTACAAATATAAAAAATTAGCCGGGTGTGGTGGTGTGTGCCTGTAATCCCAGCTACCTGGGAGGCTGAGGGAGGAGAATCACTTGAATCTGGGAGGCAGAGGTTGCAGTGAGCTGAGATTGTGCCACTGCACTCCAGCCTGGGCGACAGAGTGTGACTCAGTCTCCAAAAAGGAAAAAGAAAAAAGAAGATAGATTCAGATACTGCAATAATTTGGAAGCTTTATACAGCAATTACTAACCAGAGTTTTTCTTTTGTAAGTGAGTTTAGGTGAAACTTTCCCTTTCTACATTGTAAGTTGCTTTATTGTTTGTAGATTTTATAACGAATAGGTAATATTTTTGGAATTCCCAAAAAATATTGAATTTCCCATGTAAGATAATATTTTCTACAGATCATATCATTCAGATCTTGTTTCTTCTAAGTAATGAAATTCTGATGCATTTCATACTGCCTGCTGCAAGTAAGGATGTCTGAAATGGACAATAATAAACTAAAGATAGAAAGAATCCCTTCTGAGTCTTACACTGGATGGACTTCCTGCCCTCCAGCCATCTTTAAATATCATGCCAGGTATGAAGAATTAACATCCCTGATTTTTCTTTTAGAAAGAATATTGGTATCTGCCTAGAAAGAAGATGGTTATTAAAAAGAATAAAAGCAGACCTGCTTTTTCCTGCCCAGTTAATCTTTACCGGGACAGGACAAACCAATCACTGCGGAATGTTTTGTGGGTGTCCTGAGGCTGCTGTAACTGAGTATCACAGACTGGACGACTTAGAACATCAGAAATGTCTTCGCCTAGTTCTGGAGGTTGCATGTCTGAAATCAAAGTGTGGGCAGGCTTGGTTCCTTCTGCAGGATCTGAGGAAGTAGCCTCTTTCCTTACTCCTAGTGATTTGCCCCACAGTCTTTGGTGTTCCTCGGCTTATGGGTCTATCACTCCAGTCTCTGGCTTTATCTTCGTGTGGCATTTTCCATCTGTCTCTGACTTCACATGGCCATTTTATTTATGAGGACATCAGTCATATTGACCTAGGGACTCACCCTACTCCAGGGTTACCTCATCTTAACTAATCACTTCTATTAATAAAGTGACTCTGTGTTTGAAAATGTTTGCATTTGGAGGTATCCGGGGTTAGGACTTCACCGTATCTTTTTGTTGCTAACAGACACTTTAAAAATATAGATGACTGCATCCCAATTACCAGTCGAATTGTTTTGGGCATTATTTATTAAGAGAAATAACCATTGTGATGCATAAGATGATCTGTGAGCCCTGTGCTGCAGACGAGGGCCATGTGGATGGTATCGTGAAAACAGTTGCACCTTTGCTTAAGGCAAACTCATTGTATAAAATACAGTTTGCAAAACAGTTATTTTGTGGGTGGCCTATTTTTCCCTCTAGAAATGGCATTTTTTACTCTATAAAGGAATGAAAACTTCTTATACAGAGAACTTCCCAGTGGATTTAGACTAGAATCTCATTCACTGGTGCTAATAATTCCAAAATACATTCGTATTTAAGATCCTCATGCCAGTAATTCTAGTACTTTGGGAGGCCAAGGCGGGTGGATCACCTGAGGTCAGGAGTTGGAGACCAGCCTGGCCAACATGCCAAAACCCCGTCTCTACTAAAAATACAAAAATTAGCTGGGTGTGCTGGTGGGTGCCTGTAATCCCAACTACTTGGGAGGCTGAGGCAGAAGAATTGCTTGAACCCAAGGGGCAGAGGTTGCAGTGAGCCAAGATCGCACCACATCTCTCCATCCTGGGAGAAAGAGCGAATCTCCATCTAAAAAAAAAAAAAAATCCTCTGTCCCAATAAATATGGCCACAGGAAAATTCCTCATTTCCTCAAAATAAAGAACTTCTTTCACATGAAATGTCCATGTGCTTTCCATCAGCCTTTCCCTCTCCAGGAGAACATCAATGCAAACACTTGTATTTCCCTCCTTTGAAAGTCTCTCTATATAGCTTCCGTCTTTTCTCATGCACGTGAGAAGTCAGCTCTGCCATTAACAGCAGATGGATGGAGACACAGCCGCATTTCCCTTCTCACAGGCACTGTCTGCTTGGCACGTGGAACTGCGTTTCCTTGCTCGCGAATCCTCATGTGATACGCATCTCCCCATCCCTCATAACCTCCCTCGGTGCAGAAACTATCTGTGAACAGTGGTACCGGTCCCTTGACGTTGTAGCTTGACTTGCTGAACTCTGATTCTGAATCCATATATAGACGCAGGGACACTGCCCAGTTTTGCGTTTAGGAAAGTCAGACTGTCATCGGTGTGGAGGGCTGTGCAGCAGATGAGGACAGGGCCCCAATCCCAAACTGAAGAATCTTTTATAGGAAGTGTCAGGCCTTTTTGCAGGAGCAAATTTTTCATCATTGTATGTGTATTTAACTTTTCTGTTCTTTGGTAACTGGATAAACAGTGAATAATAAATGAATGTCTGTGCTCATATTCTCCTGTCCTTTAAAAATTATATTAACTTATTTTTAATCAGTTTATTAGTTATATGCTATATTACATGCTATAATCTGTAGAGAAATCCACCCCCAACCGTGCCCAGTGATAGTGACTCAAATACAGTAAAAATGTTTGGTTTTTTTTTTTTTGGCCAGGCGTGATGGCTCACGCCTGTAATCCCAACACTTCAGGAGGCCGAGGCGGGTGGATCACGAGGTCAGGAGATCGAGACCATCCTGGCTAACAAGGTGAAACCCCGACTCTACTAAAAATACAAAAAATTAGCCAGGCATGGTGGCGGGCGTCTGTAGTCCCAGGTACTCAGGAGGCTGAGGCAGGAGAATAGCATGAACCTGGAGGCGGAGCTTGCAGTGAGCCGAGATCGTGCCACTGCACTCCAGCCTGGGCGACAGAGCAAGACTCAGGTGATCTACCTGCCTCTGCCTCCCAAAGTTCTGGGATTGCAGGCATGAGCCACCATGCCCGGCAATAAGTTTTCTTAATTCATTGCAAAAGGCAGGGCTTTTCTGACAAGAGTGAGCTACAGCCATTATTCTGATTAATGCTGCCATAATCTAACATCACGGAATGGCAAACTAGAGACTATGGGCCACCTCTAGCCTCTGTCTGTTTATGTAAATTAAGTTTTATTGGAACACAGTCATGCTCATTTGTTTACATATTGTCTCTGGTTGGCTTCCTGCCACGACAGCAGAGTTTTGCAACAGAGACCTTATGTCCTGGCTTTGAAGATACATACTATCTGCTTCTTTGTAGGAAAAGTTTGTTGATTACCGGTATACAGTGTTGATCTTTGAGCAGGGTACTTAAGAACGTAGAGGTGCTTTGGCCCACCACGAAGAGTTTTGGAAGACGTAAGACTTAAGTGGTACAAGGAGAGGTCCTCCATCCCTGACTATAAGCACTTGTCCACCTTGATCTCATCTGTATAGGGTTCAGTGAAACTTCTGCTTGGAAAAATACATGTTTGAAATCAATTACATGAAGCAAATATTGTCTAGAGTGTGAAGGAAAGGGAACCTGATCTTCCTGCTTGGAGGTCTACAAAGCCTCAAAAACAGATAGGCAGTTGCCCTTAACCTATACAGCAGAGACATTGTGTATCTAAAGGCATGGATGTCCAGCTAGGAATTATGACACTCATGCAGAGGGACATGAGGAGGGGGTAGTTTGGGTCTGACTCTCCAGTTCACTTCTCATGGATGTAATTGATTTCAAACTTGTATTTTTCCTAGCAGAAGTTTCACTGGACCCTATAGAGATGAGATCAAGATGGCCATGTGGTTATAGACAGGGCTGGAGGACCTTTCCTCCTACCACTTACATGTGGGGGTTCCAAAGATTTACTAAATGCTTTGCATGTGTTCCAGGTGTCAGAGCCCATCACAGGCAGGGTTTTGACTCTCAGGGAGCCTGCAGTCTTGTGGAGGGAAGGTGGGCAATAAGGAAGAAGAGACAGCATAGATATTTTGTGCAATTTCAGCCAGAGGAAATATGGCAAGACAGTAGACAGTGGGGGATAAAGTACAGCAATTTTCTTTTATTTAGGAAGATTAGAGAATTCCTCCTTGAGGAAGTGATGTGAGTTTCAATAAGGATGGAAAGTACCATGGAGGTCTAGAAGTGTCTGGGGGCAGGGGTAACAGCAAAAACAAAACTTTTCAAACATGGAGGTGGTGTTGGTGCATGCTGGTGTCTTGCAAGTGCTTTCAGAAGGCTACCCTTATCTTTTCCTATCCACCTGGCAAATACCTCCTCATATGCATGCAAGACTTTGCTCAAATGCAGCAATCCTTGTGTTTGTTTCTGCTGCTCTAGGCGGGAATCCCATCCCCTTTCTTCCACCTTATCCTAACCGTCAGTGCTCCCAGTGTTACAGGGACATGAGGAGGGGTTAGTTTGGGTCTGACTCTCCAGTTCACCTCCCAGCACCCTGCCTAGTGGTCTACCCATCACTGATACTTAACAGTTATTGAATATGATTATGTGTATACCCTAGAAAAATAAGCAACAAAACCGTTCATTGTAATAGATGACATTGACTGAACACTTACTTAAAACGCAGTTTCAAGCCCTTAGCATATATAAAGCCATTCAGTATGCCAAATAACCATAAAAGGTAGGGACTGTCATTATTTATAGAAGAAGACACTGAAACACAGGAAGACTAGTGTGTCAGAAGTCCTACATTCTGATAATAGTAGCACACACTTCCTGATGTTCATTATACATTTACCACTAGGCGTTTAATGTGGATTTTGCTTATAATCCTCATAAAAGTCTCTGGAACAAATGCTGACATGATACTCGTTTCGAGGAGGAGAGAATCAGAATACAGAAAGGTAAAATCACTTCTCCAAGGTTACGTGGCTAGTGCGTGAGAGAACTGGCTTTCAAATTCACATCACTTTAATGTGATGTGTTGGTATTAGAAAGGGAAAGCATTTCAAAAGCCCTCACCACAGTGTCATAAAGCTGGCTGCTCATGGTAAACATTCCAAAGAATCCACCAACACAGTGTCCTTGGAGTCCGTCTGCGTGCCTGTGCAACTGCACCTTGCTTCTCTTGGTGAAAAATTCACCTCTTTGGACCCTGTGTTCACTCTTGTTGTTGTCCTCCCCTTAGATGAGGAAGGAGCAGGGCCATCCGTAAAAACAGAGTCATAGGGTGAAAACACATCACAGAGAATGCAAAAGGGTTATTTATAGTCCAGAGTGGGAAGCTGAAAAGACACTGTGAGAGGAACTTAATCGTTTCCCAGGGGATCAGGGAGAAGAGTGGACAGTGGTGATGCCACGCTGCAGAGGGTCAAGGTTGCATACCAATTAAAATGACTTCCAGACACTTAACACACACATGGTACTTCGCTACAGACCGCTGACATGTTCCAGCCAGGAAGGAGAAAAAAAAAAACAACTTCTGATGTCTCATGCCTCTGTCCCCCCCTTAAACAGTGAGGCAGCTGGGCTAACACTGTTGTTGCCAAACAACTCTAATAATTTCAGGTTCCATGATAATGAGTTGGTGGCCTTATAACTCTCGTTTGCATATCTTGGTACAAGGGAAAACATTCAGTCCAGTATGACTCTTTAAATAGCCATCTATGCCAAGCCCCACATAAAAGGTGGGAGGGCTTGTTGATGTTCCCTTTTTCTGCAAACTCATTTGTGAAACTACATCAATTACAGTTCAATCAGTTCTCCCATTCTTTTTTCTTCTCATTAAACTTATGCCTTTCTGCTTAGTTAGGAGAGGACTGTAAACTCAGCTTAAGCAAAAATAAGAAAAATAAGAAGGACTTATTCATTCTCATGAAACCTATGCGTCTAAGGGTAGGAGACTGCCTTTTTGGTGTGCGTAAACCTGTGCCCCTGAGAAACTCTCTGCTTCTCAAAACTGCTTTCATCTTTGTTGGTTTCCTTTTTTTTTTTTTTTTTTTTTAATAACTTTCATTTTAAACTCAAGGTTACAAATGTACTGTTTTTACATAGGTAAACCTGTGTCATGGGGACTTGTTGTACAGATGATTTCATCATCCAGATGGTAATCCTAGTACCCATTAGTTATTTTTCCTGATTGTCTCCCTCCTCCCACCCTCCACCCTACAATAGGCCGCAGTTTGTGTTGTTCCCCTCTGTGTGTCCACGTGTTCTCATGGTTTAAGTCCCAGTTTTAAGTGAGAACAAGGAATATTTGATTTTCTGTTCCTGCGTTAGTTTGCTAAGTGTAATGGCCTCCACTTCCATCCATGTTCCTGCAAAGGACATAATCTTATTCTTTCTTATGGCTGCATAGCATTCCATGGTGCATATGGACCACATTTTCTTTATCCAGTCTATCATTGGTAGGCATTTAGGTTAAACTGAAATCATAACAAACAGTCTCTTGCACCACAGCATAACTAAATTCAAAATCAGTCAGAATTCACTCAAAACCATACAGTTACATGGAAATTGAATAACCTGTTCCTAGATGACTTCTGGGTCAATAATGAAATTAAGGCAGAAATCAAGAAGTTCTTTGAAACTAATGAGAACAAAGATAAAATATACCAGAATCTCTGAGACGCAGCTAAGGCAGTGTTAAGAGGGAAATGTATAGCACTAAATGCCCACATCCAAAAGTTAGAAAGATCTCAAGGTAACAAGTTAACAACACAATTAAAAGAACTGGAGAAACAAGAGCAAACAAATCCCAAAGCTAGCAGAAGACAGGAAATAACCAAAATCGGAGCTGAACTGAAAGAGATAGACACGAAAAACCATTCAAAAGATCAATGAATCCGGGAGCTATTTTTTTTTAAACAACAACAATAACAACAACAAAACAAACGATTAGCTAGATGAATAAAGAAGAAAAGGTAGAAGATTCAAGTAAACATAATCAGAAATGACAAGGGGGAATATTACCCCTGGGCCCACAGAAATACAAACAACCATCACAAGATTATGAAACCCTCTCTGCACATAAACTAGAAACTCTGAAAGAAATGGATAAATTCCTGGACGCATAGATCCTCCCCAGACTGATTTACAGGAAGAAATTTGTTTTACTTTCAAGCACGTTCTCATATTGTCACCAAAGCTCCACACTTAAAATCCCTTGTATTAGTTTGATAGGACTGCCTTAACAAATTACCACAAACTGGTGGCTTAAAACAACAAAATTTTATTCTCTCACAATTTGAGAAGGCAGAAGTCTGAAATCAGGATGTCAGCAGGGTTGATTCCTACTAGAGGCTTGGAAGGAGAATCTGATCCTTGCATCTCTTTTAGCTCCAGGGGACTGCCAGCAATCCTTGGCTTATAGCCACATCATTTCAATCTCTGCCTCTGTTGTCACATGGCTGTATTGTCTGGGTGTCTCTGTATTTTAAATCTCCCTCTCCTTTCTCTTATAAAAACACTAGTCAGGCCGGGCGCGGTGGCTCACGCCTGTATTCCCAGCACATTGGGAGGCCTAGGCCGGCGGATCACAAGGTCAGGAGATGGAGAGTATCTTGGCTAACACGGTGAAACCCCGTCTGTACTAAAAATACAAAAAAAAATTAGCCAGGTGTGGTGGCAGGCGCCTGTAGTCCCAGCTACTCGGGAGGCTGAGGCAGGAGAATGGCGTGAACCCGGGAGGCGGAGCTTGCAGTGAACCAAGATTGCGCCACTGCGCTCCAGCCTGGGTGACAGAGCCAGACTCTGTCTCAAAACAAACAAACAACAACAACAACAACAAAACAGTAGTCATTAGTGTCAGGCTGTACCCTAAATCAAAAATCTCAAGAGGCTTAATTACATCGGCAAAGCCCCTTTTTTCCAAATAAGGTCACATTCTCAGGTACCAGGGACTAGGAAGTGGGCATATCTTTTCGGGGGCACATTGTAATTGACTACACATATTACTGTATCAACCCCATTGCAAACAGAGCAAACCCCAGAAATACTGGGCTAATGCTCGTTAGCTCTGATCACCTGGCCTGACTCACAGATCAACCTTTAGGCTAATCACTGCAGCTAGAAGGACATGTGGCAACCCCAGATAAAGAACATACCATTTAAAGACCACACACATCACACAAAACCTATTGAGAGACGCTTGACGAACAAGGTTTGTGCTCAGTGTGTTAAGTGGATGACATGATTTAAAAAAAAAGTAACTGAAGAGCTAAGAGAGAGTTATGGTGGAAGAAGTCGTTACACAAAGGTGCTACATAATTGCTGCTAGGTTCGTGTTAGCCAAAGGGGCTTACACCATTTTCAAGCCTTTACAAGACCTGAGAGTGATGTGTTGGTTTGAGTTGGTGTTTATGTGGAAAGGGAATATGTATGGAATATTATTAAATAGTTTTACTGAATTATTGGCATATTGTAGGCATTCCTTAAGTACTTTATTGAATGATAGCACAAAATATTGCTGAATATTTTTGCTACATTCTTGGCAGGTTGTAGGCATCTCTTAAGTATAGTTCTGCACCACATAATGACGTTTCAGTCAACAGCAGACTACATATATGACTGTGGTCCTATAAGATTATAATGGAATTGCCCTATACAGATGTATAATTTTTTATCTTTTATATTTTTATCGTACCTTTTCTATGTATAGATAGATTTAGATACGTAGTACTTACCTTTTAATGACAGTTGCCTACAGTATTCAGTACAGTAACAAGCTGTACAGGCTTGTAGTCTAGGAGCAATAGGCTAGACCATATAGAGTGTGTGTGTGTAGTAGGCTACACCATCTAGGTTTGTATAACTGCACCGTGTGATGTTGTCACAAGGATGAAATCACCTAACGATGCATTTCTTAGAATGTATCCTGACTCTTAAAGCAACATTTGTGGTTTATTGACTGAAGGGATAAAAAATAAATAAATGAATATATGAATACAAAACAATTTTTAGAAGATAAATGAATGAGTGAGCAATTTGTCCTTCTCTTTCCTCCTGAGATTTTCTATTTTTAAAAGTGTGCTTGTATTTTTGTCTTTATATTTAAATAATGATTTAAATGATTTATTTAATACTGAAGCCACTGATGAGCTGAGAACTCATAACACATTGCTAGGCACAGAGCAAATGTGAAATTTAGTTTTTGTTGTTTTTATCCACATGTTGTTCTGCCAAGTTGGGCAACATAATGCCCCCTCAGAATGCTAGTTAATGCACTTAATTCTCTCAGGGTCTTCTTACTTTAGACTCTTTGACATCCTTGGGCAATTAAAGATTAGCTATTTTAATGAACACACCACATCTTTTACAAAGCCTCTTTGGCAAAAGACCTTTGTCAGTCCGCCATCGACATATATTGCAAATTACCTGCTGTGTCCCTTGAAGTATTATGGAAACGGGAAACATATGGGTGGACTGGCACAGGCTCTGCATACCCCATTCCAGAAGCTTACATTGTAGTAAGGCAATATCAAAACATGCATGCAAATGAATTAGGTTAGTCAATTTGAGATTATCTGGGAGGGGGCTGCTTTTGTGCACAAGACAGAGCTAACCTGGAATTTGAAAGGTGCAGTTGGGCTTAGCTGTTTCAGTGACAGTGGGGAGCAGAGATGCTGAGAAGGGCCTGAGAAGGACAGTGAAACCCAAATGACAGCTCAAGTGTTCTGATTGTCACTTTCATGCAACCCCTGGTACTGAGTCCATGCTGCATATTGTTAGGTGAAAATTCTTTTTTTTTTTTTATTATACTTTAAGTTTTAGGGTACATGTGCACAATGTGCAGGTTAGTTACATATGCATACGTTTGCCATGTTGGTGTGCTGCACTCATTAACT
This sequence comes from Homo sapiens, assembly GCF_000001405.40. Taxonomy (NCBI): domain Eukaryota; kingdom Metazoa; phylum Chordata; class Mammalia; order Primates; family Hominidae; genus Homo; species Homo sapiens. The sequence goes on from NC_000016.10 coordinate 6,623,550, forward strand.
CGTCATTTAACATTAGGTATATCTCCTAATGCTATCCCTCCCCCTGCCCCACACCCCACAACAGGCCCCGGTGTCTAATGTTCCCCTTCCTGTGTCCATGTGTTCTCATCGTTCAGTTCTCACCTATGAGTGAGAACATGCGGTGTTTGGTTTTTTGTCCTTGCGATAGTTTGCTGAGAATGATGGTTTCCAGCTTCATCCATGTCCCTACAAAGGATATGAACTCATCCTTTTTTATGGCTGCATAGTATTCTATGGTGTATATGTGCCACATTTTCTTAATCCAGTCTATCATTGTTGGACATTTGGGTTGGTTCCAAGTCTTTGCTATTGTGAATAGTGCCGCAATAAACATGTGTGCATGTGTCTTTATAGCAGCATGATTTATAATCCTTTGGGTATATACCCAGTAGTGGGATTGCTGGGTCAAATGGTATTTCTAGTTCTAGATCCCTGAGGAGTCGCCACACTGACTTCCACAATGGTTGAACTAGTTTACAGTCCCTGTTAGGTGAAAATTCTATGGTCCATTTCACAACTACGTACCACAGAAAAGGGAGATACGGACAACACTGGAAAAACAAAATATAAGTATGCAAAGGAACACAGACTTGGATATGAGGAAGGGGCATAAATGCTATATTTAAGCACATGGTTACTGCCTTTCCTAAGGAGTAAGCCAGGAAAAGAAACTTTGGGTCAGTTAAATATCTCGTTGCTTCCTTTGCAAAAGTACCTTTTAATAGTCTGTTTTTAGAGTTGTTTAAAAAGAAAAAACTGTCCCTTGCCTACTTTAAATTCTTGACATTTTTTTCTGGTTTTGGTGAGATCAGGGTTTTTGCAGGGCAGTATCCTTCATTATATATGTCAGAAGGCTGAGAAATGAGTGGGGATGGTGAATCAACCACAGCCCTTCTGAATTTCTCACAAGGTAATCTACCTAACAGAACATACCAGTTTCCACCCACCTTTGTTTTGGTTAGAGTGATATTTTGTCCCTTGGCAGTGAGGACGTCTTTCCTTCACATGATTTTTGTAAGACTGTACCCTAAAAGTAGCCACAGTGCAGCTGTGTTTTATATGAAAACAAATGGGGTTTTGTTGGGTACATTTTGTGGCATTTCTTGAGGTCACCAGAAACTCCTAGACGTCGTTGTAAAACAAAGAAAGAAGAAGAAAAAGGCTGGAAACTCACTCCTCCTGCTGTTCTTATGTCAAGTCAGTGAAGGCAATTCTTTAATTTTTTCATTTTTTCAGTGAATACTTAGCACATACCATGTATAACCCCCCATGTAAGACCAGCCCTTTGTCTTCTAAGAAATGACATTCTGGGCTGGACGCGGTTGCTCACGCCTGTAATCCCAGCACTTTGGTCGAGGTCGAGGCAGGTGGATCACTTGAGGTCAGGAGTTTGAGACCAGCCTGGCCAACATGGTGAAACCCCATCTCTACTAAAAATACAAAAATTAGCTGGGTGTGGTGTCGCAGGCTTATAATCCCAGCTGTTTGGGAGGCTGAGGCTAGAGAATCTCTTTAACCTGGGAGGCAAAAGTTGCAGTGAGTCAAGATCGTGCCATTGCACTCCATCCTCGGCCACCAACCCTATCTAAAAAAAAAAAAAAAAAAAAAAAAAAAAGGTATTCTGGTGGATAGTGGGGGAGTGGCACACCCCCAAAACAATTTCACAAACAATTATTTAATTGCAGTTGAGTTAAGTGCTAAAGTGAGAAGGACACAGAATAGAGTCGATTTAAATTAGAAAGAACTAAAAAATGTAGCTAATTTCTTCATTCCTGTAACTCTGGGTTTGAGACAACAACAATTTGAGTGAATCAGTGAATGACTGCATAGATGGCATGTATAGGTGTCAAGTAAAAATCGTCTTGTAGCTAAATCCTCAGTTGTGAAATGGGATACAAAGTCCAAGCTCCTTTCCTTTTCTAGGTATTTCTGATGGGATTCACTCAGTTCGTTAAAACTTTAAGAAAGCCCTCTCTGTCTGTTATTTTTCTCTCTGCCTACTCAGATGGTTCCTCCATTCTAACTATGGTAGAGGCCAACCTTGTCATGATTTTCAGAACTATGTAGTTCCCCACCGCCCCCGCCCCAAGAAATGCAGAGCAATCTGCCTTATCAGTATCTCTTCCAATTAATGTAATCTTGTTTCTGTTATTTCCACCATATTTTTCAATCCAGTGAGCCTCATTACATTTGCAAGTGCATTAAATTAGAGCCTCTATAGAAGGAGAATGATGATTATCAGCTAATTTAATTATGTTTCTACATTTGCAGCATTTAATGATGTCTGCCATTGTTGTTGGGGATTCTTACATTGGCTCCAGGTAGAAATTAGCTCTGATCCCATGTAAAGTTTACGTTATCAGATAATACTTGAGAGCTCATTGAGGTACATGTTCAGTAATTTTTGAATCTAATCAAAATTGATTTATGTGCAATCAAATTATAGGAATAAAGAAACAGCTTCACCTAATTTAGTTGCCGATTATAGTGTTGCCTGCCTCTGAAGTCACACCAATATGCGTCTCTTAGTTTTGTACCAACATTGCATCAAGGCCTAAAATTCTGCAGGTTTTTTTTTTTTTTTTTCCCAAATTGCATAGTTGGTTCTGTATTTCTGACCTTCTGCTGTCCATCAGATTGAACATTTATGCCCTCTGATTTTGTGTCCTGTTCAACAAATGTTGCCCGGGTGTCCTTTAAGTGTTGGCCATGTGACTCTTGCACTAGAGGCCCAGGTCACCCATGAACCTAGAAGAGAAGATCCATGGTGTGGAGGAGTGGGTGTTGCAGGACCTGGGAGCTGAGGCTCGGGAGGGCTGATTCATCATTCTTCCTCCTTTGCTGTGGATTCTCAACCAAGGCAAAAATAGATACACACACTCAACAGGGATTAAGGTACAGAATTCACGCTGGGCATGGTGGCTTATGCCTGTAATCCCAGCACTTTGGGAGGCCGAGGCAGGCGGATCACCTGGGATCAGGAGTTCGAGACCAGCCTGGCCAACATGGTGAAACCCTGTCTCTACTAAAAATACAGAAATTAGCTAGGTATGGTGGTGCGCACCTGTAATCGCAGGTACTCAGGAGGCTGAGGCAGGAGAATTGCTTGAACCCGGGAGACAGAGGTTGCAGTGAGCCAAGATTGCACCACAGCACCCCAGCCTGGATGACAGAGTGAGACTCCATCTTAATAAATAAATAAAATAAAATAAAATAGAAATAAAATAAAGTATAGAATTCAGTTTATCACCAGTGAGGCTGTGTTGTAAACATGCTTTTATGTTTAACAAGCACTTTAGTCATAGTTATTTTGTGCCAGACACAAATTGGAAGGACCTTATACACAAAGGCCCTTTGAATTGTTATGATAGCCTAAATACAAACTATTATTATCCTCCATGCACAGTTTATAGACGAAGAAACTGAGGCACAGAAGGCTGGGCTATGTTGCCGAAGGCTACCCATCTGCCTTCTGAAAGAACCAGGGTTCTAGTCCTGGCGGTCTGGCTCTAAAATCCATGGCCGCTGAACACAAAGTCCTATTGTGCCTCCCAAAGCTGAAATTAGCATTCTGTCATCCAACCCGCATTACTCCTACAACCATATCTAGATCTTGGGATGGGCAGAGTAGTTTGGAGGATATTGGTCCAGCACAGGGGAATGAGATGGGGCTTTGAAGCTGGCCTCTAGAAGGCGGGGCCCTGAAACGTCCCTACTTAGGTGTGCTTACCTGTTCTAGGTATACCTTACCTACTCTAGGTGAGCTTAGGACATACGGATCAAAAGCAAAACATGCACTGCTTGGAGGAAGTGAGACAGAGAAAGAGAGATGGAGAGAAAGAAAAACTTTTCCATTTTGAAAAGTTACCCATCAGAAAAGTCTCTATGATGTTGATTGGGTGAGGAAGAATATTGGAAACTTGCTCCCTGAAACAGTCATAACACAGTGGAGGATTTGAGTAAGTCTCTAGGTCTCAAAGGAGGAAGCAGGAAGGATGAGAAGATAAGAACTATGAACGCTAGACTGAGAATATACTATTAACGCCTATACTTAAGAATATAAGATGTTCTTGAGACATGTGATAAAGTAACTTTCCAGAAAAATGAGCAGCACACTGTGAAAACAAAGACGCAAAAGTGAGGTGTCAGTCATCCCCCCTCTGAGGCCGGAGGGAGGGTGGAGATTTGGTGCAGGTCGAAACTGAAGCCAATTGATAAAATGCTGTGTGTGCCCTACAAGGAAGAGAGAAGGTTTGAATAAAATAAAGTGTGTCTCAGTACAAAAGGAGAAGTTTCACAAAGCATTTAGACATCTTATAAAATGGAGTTGCTTCATCACTCCCTAAAGGGGCCATCCTCAACTGTCTCCTGTTCAAGGCCCACTCTCAGCCTCGCTGGATGTCAACAGCCATAACCATGTGATTGTTACTGCAGCAGAGCAATGTCTCCAAGTGTGCAAAGGACATCTCTGGGTCACTGAGCGTGAATGTCCATGAGCCCAGCCAGGCTCCCTTCTCTGTTCAGGAGGCAAAGTTTTTCCACTTCGCAGTCCCCAAGATGTCTCTGTGATACTGGTATGGCGTTACCTTCTGCCTCTTCCTGCTTACGGGTACCTTGGTCATCTCACCAGTCTCCCTGGGGGTTAGCATCTTAGGAATGTGTACTCAATGACAGCCAACGTAAATTTTGCACCTTGCTCAAAATTTGACTGCTTTCCCGTTAACGGTTCATTAATTGAAAACTACCGGTATCTTCCTAAACCTAGAGTATGTCCCAACAGCAGGATGTGATTTTATGTTTTGTGGTACATGGACATGCATTTTGTTGTAATTGCAGATGTATATGTATGAGGCTGGTTTTCAAATATAGAAAATATGAAAGAATCATAATATACTATATACCCAGCATTAAGATGTTACAATTCACATTTTTATCATATTTGTTTTATCTCTTATATATCCATCACTTCATCTACCAATCCACCTCATTTTGTTTTTTTATGCATTTCAAAGTGACTTGCATCAGTATCTTTCACCCTTCAGCAGGGTGTAAATCTTTAATGAGAGCTCATGGTTTGTTTGTGGTCTTTTATTTTTCTGAGGTAAAATTTATTGATACTGAAATATACAAACCTTGAAGGGACCGTTTGATGAGGTTTGACAGCTGAGTACACTTTTGTAACACGAAGCTCTGTGAAGATATAGAACTGTCATTCTTCCAAAGTTTAGGTATGATCTGTATGTTTATTAGAAAAAGAATCACAGCCTGACCAGTATGGTGAAACCCCGTGTCTACTGAAAATACAAAAAATTAGCCAGGTGTGGTGGCATGCGTCTGTAGTCCCAGCTACTAGGGAGGCTGAGACAGGAGAATTGCTTGAACCCAGGCTGCGGAGGTTACAGTGAGCCGAGATTGCACCACTGCACTGCAGCCTGGGTGACAGAGTAAGACTCCATCTCAAAAAAGAAAAAGAATCAGCATACATACTAAACCTATGATTCCATGAACAGTTTAAATGAAAGAGTACATACTTTTGTGTGTGTATATGTGTACCTGGTTACATATATGTGTGTATAATTTACATTGATAAGAATAATGCAGTATGCAGATGTAGCAGAATTTGTAATTGTGATGGAAGTTCTTCTGTATTTGGCAATTACAGGCCTAGGGAAAAGGTAACCTCATCCCATTAGCATTGTCTTCAAAAAGAACACGAGCATATAAAATGTGCGAGGCTACACTGATGTAACGTCCAAGATAAATGGAAAGAAACACAGTGTTGCTCGTTTAATTGAGGATGTTTAACGACTTTTGGCCCTGAGAGTACCAACAGCTACAATTTTTCAAAGTCAGCCTTGATTTATGTTTTATTTTTTAAGTACTCATTAATGTCACAAATAGTTAAGTTGGGATCAGCTGTCTTCATTTACAAAAAATGGGTTATACTTTCATCTTTTGACCCTGAAACGTGTAGATAAAAATCAACATTAATTGGCAGGATGAATGAGGGTGGTTAGGGTGGGTGTCTGGCTGCAAGATTCTTAGAGTATTGGGAGAGATGCTCAGAGCCCCTTAACTGGAGATGACAACGAGATTTTAATTAACAGCAGGTGAGTCTTGTGGTCAGCCATTTGACATATAGGTGGATCACAAAATAGCCTTTCCTTTCTAACCACATTTATTTCTAGCTTAATTAGTCCTTCTGAGATAGCTTCGCTATTAGCCACAGCCTCTCCATTTAAGATCCTTTTAATCAGACGTTTTATTTTTTTATTTTTTATTCTTCTCATTTTAGCACTAGCTTAATGTTATGAAGGACCTGGACTAACTCATTTTAATGACCTCTGCTACATAAATGCTAATTTTACATTTGGCCTTATTTCGGTAGGTTTTTTTTTTTTTTAAAAAAAAAAAAGACCATTGCTTTCAGAAGGAGAAAAATGGAAAGATTAAACCCCTTAGTGTCATCTGCCTGAAAAATCCTGTGGTTTCTTCTGACAGGAAGAGGGTTTTCAAATCCCTCCTTGGTCTAAGCTTCTGTGCTTGACATCTCATTATTTTACTCAGCTACTTCAGCATCACCTTCACCCAGTTAATTAAGTAACTCATTGAATGTATTATTCAGTTTTGATTCCCCTGTCTGTGACAGAGAGGGATGGAAGATGCTTCTTCATCCTTCTTCTCCTGCCTTTTTCTCTTCTGCCCACACCCAAGGAATGGAAAAGAGAAAGGAGAGGAGAGAAGACATTAATTTCAAAATCCATCCATCCATCCATGCATCCATCCATTTCTGCAGCAGATTGTTTGATGTTTTTAATGATACTCAAAAGAAAGTGAAGTTGATGATGGTAAGGTTAATGGTCATAGGTCTTAATGGTGATATAACATCAGTTTGCACCAGGCACTGTTAAAATTTCCTTCTAACATGGTCTTATTTCGTACTTAAAACAGCCTGATGAGGTAAGCACTATTCATAAGGCCACTTTACAGGTTAAGAAAGCTAAGATCTAGTCAACTAATTTGTTCAAGTCTCCTTGCTAGTAGGAATCAGAAACCCAATTTGGGCCCAGAACTAGCTGATTGGTAATACTTATATTCCCTACAGCATTTCTGTTAAGTATCTCCATGTTTGTAGTCAAGTTTAAATTCCTAAAATTTAAGCTGGAATTTATGATGAAAATACCATGAGAAGGAGGTTGAAATTGTAGTTGACCTATGTTACCCGACCTGCTCGTTACAGGAGTTAAGAAAGAAACTTGACTTCCTCTAGGGCAGTAGTCCTCAAACCCCAAGGACCAGGACATTTGGCCAAACAGCTATGATAAATGCTGCTTTATTTGAGTACATTAGACTTCAATTAAAAAAATGTTTTAAAGTACCTTATTGAATGCATTTAGATTTGGGGGAGGGAAGGAGGCTATACTTGGACCTAACTCCTTGGTTGTCAACCCAGCTGGAAATAAGCAAGACATGATGTTTAATATGAATGAAAGTAGAGAGAGAGGGCATTTGGAGGGGGGTTGGTGCAGAGGGAAGCAGAAAGAATTACTAACATGAAAAGGCAGATAGAAAATTTAGAAGGTCAAAGGCAGAGTAATTGAAATAGAGCCTCGGAAATTGTGAATCTGAGAAAGAACTGGAGGTTAAGTGATAGGTAAGAAGGAAGATAAGGACAAGTAAAGGGATGGAATAAAACCAAAAATGGGGGGTGAGTGTGTGTGTGTGTACGAGAGACAGAGATGCATTTTAATGCATATTTAAGAAAAAGGAAAGTAGAACCTTATAAAGAAGATGAAGTAGAAATATTTTTTAGAAAACACTTTTTATTATGAAACATATTTTTTTTTTTGTAAGGGAAAGTTCCCAGTGACAGAGTGAGCTGTGTAGCAACGTGTGTAAAAAGCAGACATCACATTCTTAAAGTTACTCCATTCGCTCCTGAACAAATATTAAGTGGAGGTTTTGTTCTGGGTGTCAGAATACAGCATGGAAAAAAGACAAAGGAAAGTCTCTGCTTTCATGGAGCTAAGAAGCTAGTTGATGTGGAGATAGAAAAATAAACAAGGAAATCAAGGTTATCAATGCAAATAATGGTACGTGCAATAAAGAAAACAGAACAGAGAGGATAAAGCATTGCTGGCTGGGGGAAGAGCTCACTGATGAGCTGGTGTCTGAACTGACCTTGGGGTAGGGAGGAGGAGCAGCCACCGGGAGGCTCAGAGCAGCAGCTCTGCAGGGGGCGGGGGTAGAGCGGGTGCATGCAAACACCCCAAGGTGGCCACAAACTTAATGCATTTGAGAAGCTGTAAGAAGGTCATTGTAGCCAAAGAGGAGTGAGCAGGAAAAGGTAGGAGAGGTCAGTAGCGAAATGGGCAAAGAGCTATGTTGGGAGCTGGGTTTATTCTCAATGGAAGGAGAGGCCATTAGGGTTTCAAATAGAGAAATCACACTCTATTTGGATAATGTTTGGATAATGTTTGGACAATGTTTAGTAAGGATGTGCTGGAAGGAGGTGCTGGGTTTGGTTTCTGAGTCTGTCCCTTGTTAATTGTGTGTCCTGGACACAGTTACTGCATCTCTGTGATCCTTCACTTCCTCCTCCTTGAAGACACTTAACTGCATCGGGTTTCTTTAGAAGGAAAGCTGGAAGAACTTTAGAGTCTGTTTTCCCTGCATGCTAGCTACAAACTGAAACCATCGCAAACAACAAGGTCAAAACATCTGTGAAACCTTGCACCAGTTGTAATAAAGATAGCCAGGGAGAAAGAAAAAAAAAAAAGGTCTGAACTTGTTGGAGAAACAAAAGGACCTCATAAACAGTATGGAGACCAGTTGTGTGTTGTCATCAGTGACTTACCTGAGAATGATATTCCTGTGGTTATGAGGATAGTGTTACAGTATTTCCTTGGCTAAGTGTCTGTGGCTGTTATCCATGTGCAGAATAAAAGTCCACTTGAGGAGGAGACAGAGGCTCCTGTCTTTTACCAATGTTGATGGATTTCAGTGGAACAAAAATGAGTCTCTTGAGGTTAGAAGGCAGGCCTGGCCATGGGTGTTTTGCTTGAGCTATTCCACTCATGACACTGGGCCTGACTGATATCCGGCGAAGGCCTTCTTTGGCTGAAGTGCTTGCCAGGCCTAACCAACCTGGAATTTATTGATAAAGCTTAAGCAGCCGCAAGGCCTATGACCTCAAAGAGTGACTTAGGCTGACTTTATCAGCCTTGGCTCTTCTTTTCATTATATTTGCTATTACTGGAGCTGCTCTCTTTTCTTAAAACCTGTTAACCTTATACAAGGGGATGGGACCATTTGAGCTCTCAGACAGGATGCTGATGGGAAATTGTAAGCCTTCGAAATAGGTTGAGAGCTTCCTGTTGTTTGGGTTCTGGCAGAGGTTACAAAAATAAATAAATAAATATAAAAAGGAGAGGGATGGGGAGACATTGAAAAATAAATACTTGATGTGTTTTCCTGGAGTTGAGCTGGCTTCTTCCTGGGACATGCTTTTTTCCAGCCCTTGGAAGAAAGTTGCAGCGATTGTGCCCACTTCACAGATGCAGCTGACGTGCACCCCTGTGCTGCGTGGGGATCTTAGCAGGGCAGGTCAGATGTCCAGAACTACTTACATCCTCACATCAGTGGCTTATAGACCAAGAAACAGTCCTCTCCAATAGGTGCACAGAAAGTGTTCTTGAGTCTTTATTTTTATTTTATTTTTTTTGAGACAGAGTGTCACTCTTGTCGCCCAGGCTGGAATGCAGCGGCACGATCTTGGCTCACTGCAACCTCCTCCTCCCAGGTTCAAGTGATTCTTGTGCCTCAGCCTCCCAAGTAGCTGGGACTACAGGCATGCACTACCACACCTGGCTGATTTTTGCATTTATTATTATTATTTTTTTTAGTAGAGATGGGTTTTCACCATGTTGAGCCGGCTGATCTTGAATACCTGGCCTCAAGTGATCCCCCCACCTGGGCCTCCCAATGTGCTGGGATTACAGGCCTGAGACACTGCGCCTGGCCACATGTTCTGGAGTCTTTAAATCAACAGACTGTTTAACTTGGCTAAAGGAAGTCAAGTAGTTACTTGGTTTCCAGCCAGTTACTGATGGCTGTAATTAGCCACATGTTTTAGTGACTTTGGAATCGAGGCTCTAGCCAGGCGCTGTAGCTCATGCCTGTAATCCTTAGGCTTTGGGAGGCTGAGGCAGGAAGATCACTTGAGTTGAGGAGTTTGAGACTAGCCTGGGCAACACGGAAAGATGTATCTCTATAAAAAAATAAAAATAAATTAGCCATGCATGGTGGTGCATGCCTGTAGTCCTAGCGACTCAGGAGGCTGAGGTAGGTGGGAGGATTGCTTGAGGCCAGGGGGTGGAGGCTACCATAAGCGATGACCGCACTACTGCTGTCCAGACTGGACAACATGAGTAAGACCCCATCTCAAAGAAATCCAGGCTTTGTGTAAACCGATGCATTTCTTATTGAATAAACCTACACACACACATACACACACACATACACATACACATACACACAGACTATATCTATATTCTACTATACCAGTTATTGTGAGTAATTCATGGAGGTTCAGAATGGGTAGAAAAGTCAATAAACAGTAAAGTTGCCTTCTGTTGTGTGCTCATTCACTCTTCCATTAAAAAATATTTCTGTTACTCCTTTAAGAAAATGATTAGTGCAACAGGAAAGCAGATTGGCTGAGTCCCTCAGATCACCCGCTTCTGAGTCAAACCAATAAGGTTCATGTCCCAGATCCAACAACTGTCAGCTCTGTGACCTTGGGCAAAAAACCAAACCTCCGTGAGTATGTTTACTCTAAAATAGGGATAATCACTGTGGCTGCCTCCCGGGCTTAGTGAAGTTGCATATATATTTAATATAATAGATGATACATACTTATATAATATTATATCCATTTAATAGAATATATGATATATACTTTTATATTTTTTAATTTAAATATAAAAGTATATTACATATTTAAAGTATTCAAATATATAATATTAATCTATGTAATATATGATTAAAGTATTATATAAATGGAAATTACATTATATAATACAAATATATGTATATATGTAAATATGTACATATATAATACAAAGATACATATTTGTATTAAATATATAATACAAAGATATATTTGTATTAAATATACAAAGATATACATATATTTGTACTAAATATATAATACAAAGATATACATATATTTGTATTATATATAATACAAAGATATACATATATTTGTATTATATATAATACTTTAAATTTAAATTCAAAATATATATTATAAATTAAAAATACACATGTATATATTTTAATTTATATAATATAATATAATTTAAATTAGTAATTTAGTTTATAATTATTACATATATTATACATGTTTTAATTTATATATAATGTAATATAATACTTTATTATGTTACACAAATTATATATGACATGCATATTTTAATAGTTTAAATATATGTTATATATTTTAATTTATATATCATATATATTATATATAAAGTATTATATGTAAGTATACATTATGTATTATATTAAATGTATATGATATGAGTATAATATATTACGAAAGTTTTAATATATATTACATAATATGTACATATTTTTAATTTAAAATATATAATACTTTCAATTTATATATTCATCACTAAAAATGATTTTTTGGAACATTAGTTCTTGTTGTTAACCTTGTCTCTGAGTAGCTGATAACTTCATGAAAAAGTCAGATATTGTATAAAATGCCCTGTAAATATAAGTACAAGTGAAATCATTTCCACCATAGCCCATGATCCTTATCCATGCAGGACCAAAGACTTGGTGCCACAAGGAACAGTCAAATCTGGATGGGGAGGTAGAGGAGGAAGTGATAACAGGTTTGGTAAACAGATAATTGGGCGAACAGAGGGAAAGTGATTCAGCAGGAGGAGACAGTGAGCCAAGTTTCTGGAAAATAAAAAGAGGTATCAATAAAAAGGTTGACAGGGAGCATAGGGTCTGGGAGGAACATACTAGAATATGAGTCTAGGAAGGAAGGTGGCATAGGCACAGAAGTAATTTCAGTAAATCCAATGAGTCTTACGGTTTTGTGAATTCAAAATTATTTTTGGAAAATCATGCTGCCTAAGAGAGATCAATTTATTTTTATTTATTTTACCCAACATAAACTATTTTGATGCACTTGACCAGTCAGTCTTAGGGTTTAGGTCACTATCATATTCACCTGAATAAGTATAGTCTGACTATTCCTTTTATTCAAAATGTTCGAGACCAGAGGTATTTTGGATTTCAGATTTCTTTTTCAGATTTTGGAATATTGACACATACATAATGAGGTATCTTGGGGATGGGACCCAAGTTGAGAACCGTCATTGCCTTATGCTTTATATGCACATCATACACATAACCTGAAAGTACTTGTGTACATGTTTAATAATTTATGCTTGAAACAGTTTTGAGTGTATTTTGACTGCAGTCCATCATATGGAGGTCGGGTATTGAATTTTCCACTTGTGGCATCACCTCGCATCTCAGCAGTCAGACAGTTTTGGATTTGGGGGCACTTGGATTTGGGATTTTTTCTTTTTTGAGATGGAGTCTCGCTCTGTCGCCCAGGCTGGAGTGCAGAGGCACGATCTCGGCTCACTGCAAGCTCTGCCTCCCGGGTTCATGCCATTCTCCTGCCTCAGCCTCCCGAGTAGCTGGGACTAGAGGCGCCTGCCACCACACACGGCTAATTTTTTGTATTTTCAGTAGAGATGGGGTTTCATGGTGTTAGCCAGGATGGTCTCGATCTCCTGACTTCGTGATCAGCCCGGCTCGGCCTCCCAAAGTGCTGGGATTACAGGCGTGAGCCACCGCACCCGGCTGGATTTTGGATTTTTAGATTGGGAGTGCTCAACCTTTAATAACAATATTAAAAAATTATTAAACCTCTAATTACTGTAGCACATATCAGAAGATTTCTCTTTTATTTGGTTTAAGTTATTTTGGAGAAATAAAAATTGTATTTTTTGTGTGCATGATCTTTTGAAATGTGTAAACATTGCGAAATGCCTCAACCGAGCTACATCACATAAACATTTATATTCTATTTGATTGTGTGAATCTCACCAATCTGGAAGTCATAAAATAAGCCAATTATATATAATATAGTTTATATATATAATATATAATATATATAATATATAATATATGTTATATATAATATATAATATATAATATATGTTATATATAATATATAATATATATAATATATAATATATATTATATGTTTAATATATTTATATGTTTAAATATATGTATAAACATATATGTATAAATTATGTATAAATATACATAAAATATACATAAAATATGTATATTATGTATATTTATGTATATGTATCATTATGTATAAAATATGTATAAATATGTGTATAAACATTTATATGGATAAATTATGTATAAACATATTTATATGTATAAATATGTTTAATATATATAATACATATTAAATATATATATTATATAATATATAAATTTATATTATATATTAAATATATAATATACAATATATATTATATATTATATATATTATATAATATACAATATATATTATATATTATATATATTATATAATATACAATATATATTATATATTATATATATTATATAATATACAAATATATATTATATATTATATATAATATATAATATACAAATATATATTATATATTATATATATTATATAATATACAAATATATATTATATATTAAATATATATAATATATAATATACAAATATATATTATATATTAAATATATATATTATATAATATATAAATATATTATATAAATATATGTAAATGTATATAATATGTATTATATATTATATATAATATCCTATATATTATATATAATATTCTATATAGTATATATAATATTCTGTATAGTATATACAATCTGCATAGTATATATAATATTCTATATAGTATATATATAATAGTCTATATATATATTAGAATGTGCATTTAACTTGAAAAGGTTGAAACTCTAAAGTACTCCCCAGATAACTGGTGGTGAATTGGGAGCCAGATGATGAAGTGGCAGCAGAAAGTACAGCTGACCATGAGTACAGGGTCTAGAAGAATATTGTAATACATCTACATCTCTTCAAGAACACAACAAGTTGGCGTTATTTAGCAGGAGGGCAGGATATTCCATGGTCTCCAAATCTTGGAGGTCCTTTCTGCACTGGATTACAATTCTGAAACTCATCATCCATATTTAGAAAAGTGGAGACAGTGAATTACATTTTACAGGGATTTTACCCAAAAATGGTTAAAATGACAAAGTCTCTGTGCTTCAGTATATTAGCCTTCATAATTTTCAACACCCAACATTTAGTTTTTTATCTCATTCCCAGGATGACATGTTTGACTGAAGTATCTAAGACACCTTTAGGGGTAGACTAAACTTCTGCCACTCTCTCCCAACAAAATATCTGTGTCATATGAATGTTGTAGGCCTGCCATTGTAAAAGAGAAAGTAATCAAGACTTTAATGGGATTATTTTTAATTGTCTTCTTGCATATAAAAATGAAATGACAGGTTCTGAAAGGAAACTTGGCATTTGGGAAAGAGGGTGGAAAAACCAGACAAATGTAATTATCCTAAACTGTTTTAAGGTACATTTTTCCTATGCTCATGTAAGAATTAAAATTAGTGTTTTAAAGAATAAGTTACTGGTAAATCGCATGGCAAAAGAACATACATGTTCATTTTTTCTTCCTTATTTCAATTTTCTGAGAAAATTTAAGTAGTTATTTCTCAGGTGAGTTTTAAAATTCATCCTTAGAGATTGGAAACTCAAGGGCCACGCATTGAGACTTACACATTTATTATAATAAAATATGCTTCTGGCATATTAACTTTTACTACCATGTTGTCAAACTTAGAAATATTGCAGTGGAAGCAAAACCAAGAAAATGGCTATCGGTATGTTCTTTGATGAATGAAGGTGTGTACACATAGATTGAACAAATTTTTTACACTAATTTATATAATGTTTAGCCCTTTAATGCCAAATATTACACATTTAATGTTGTCTTATTACGAGCACTCATTCCGGAGTACAAAAAATTGAGAGGAAAAACAAAAGAGACTTCTCTTCGCTATTGTAACTCCATGCTGGTTTGGTTGGTGCAGGTGTTTGGGTG
Organism: Homo sapiens; assembly: GCF_000001405.40. Classification (NCBI taxonomy): domain Eukaryota; kingdom Metazoa; phylum Chordata; class Mammalia; order Primates; family Hominidae; genus Homo; species Homo sapiens. The sequence continues at coordinate 6,638,801 of NC_000016.10, forward strand.
ATGGCCACCATTTTGGTCTTGTCAGTTACTTAAGGCTGTAGACAATAAAGGTTGCATTCCTGAAATAAAGAGTTGGTTCTCTAATCTTGTGGAAAGAACCAGTATTCATTTTCTACCAGGAAGCAAAATGCCAAGGTCACAGGGACAGAAAATATTGCTTCCCAAGAAACTGTGGTTGACAAGATGGCTCGAGTTCAAGTGAATCCTGAAAGTATCAGTTTCCAAGGAGACCTGTGGCCCCACCCAGCCACCTACAAAGCTTAGCCATCGTTTCACTCAGAGCAGCAGCCATTTCTTGCAAACTGGCAGCTCATTTCTGGATACTCAATAGGATGCATAAGAATGATAAATTTTTTTCAAATCATGTGCGCTAGCTCTGTTGACCTTCAGCTGTGCTGCGCCTTCTTTAATTGGCATAAATCTTGGACTGCCCATTGGATGTCTTTCTGGAATCTGATGTCTTTCTGTCTATCTGATTCCTAAGAGGAAGTGAAATATTCAATTAAATAGTTTCGTTGAGTCCTTGTAGTGCTAGGATCTTTACAAGAGCGGTTTAGTAGGTGTTGAGATAGACTATCTATCAGCTTCCCTTCCCAGGAGAACGTGTCCTGTTAGAAATTGCATCTTTTGTGGCCAGTAGGGGTCTGTTTAATTGACTGAAATAGTAATGACCCGGAGGAATTAAGACAGTTTTTAGAAACATCTTATATTGAGAAGGAAGAACAATAACTATGATAAAATTATACAAATACACAATAATAATAAATACACATAATTTAAAGATTACAATTGTGGGCCGGGCACGGTGGCTCACGCCTGTAATCCCAGCACTTTGGGAGGCCGAGGCGGGCGGATCACGACGTCAGGAGATTGAGACCATCCTGGCTAACATGATGAAACCCTGTCTCTACTAAAAATACAAAACCAAATTAGTTGGTCAAGGTGTTGGGCGCCTGTAGTCCCAGCTACTCGGGAGGCTGAGGCAGGAGAATGGTGTGAACCTGGGAGGCAGAGCTTGCAGTGAGCTGAGATCACGCCACTGCACTCCAGCCTGAGCAACAGAGTGAGACTGTGTCTCAAAAACAAAAAACAAAAAACAAAACCAAAAAAACAAGATTACAGTTATGACAGGTATTTTGACCCCTAACTATGTGTCAGCACTCTGTATAGCTTATCTCAGTACTAACACTAACACCCATATGATGATACCAGAGCTTTTAACCCCATTTTCTGAAATACAGAAACTAAAGAACAGATAAGTTGCTGCGAAAAGCCATATAAATATTAAGTGGTAGAGTCAGGATTTTAAACAGGGTACACTGGTTTCTTTCTTAATGTATTTTGATCCACATCTACAGGTGAAATTCAAATGCAGCTTATTGAATTTTCTCTCAAATATTATGGTGAATTATTTTATTATCTTAGTGTTTCAGATACGCCTTTTGCCACATTTCCTCAAGAAGTTGATATACTATTAAGAACTAGGCTATATTTTTAATTTTTTGTTAATTTAAATCCTTCATAGAGGCCGGGCATAGTGGCTCACATCTGTAATCCCAGAACTTGGGGAGGCCGAGGTGGGCGGATCACTGGAGGCCAGGAGTGTGAGACCAGCCTGGCCAACATGGTCAAACCCCATGTCTGCTAAAAATGCAGAAATTAGCCAGGCATAGAGCAGGCACCTGTAATCCCAGGTACTTGGGAGGCTGAGGCAGGAGAATAGCGTGAACCCGGGAAGCGGAGATTGCAGTGAGCTGTGATCATGCCACTGCACTCCAGCCTCAGCGACAGAGTAAGACTCCATTGCCAAATAAATAAATAAATAAATAAATAAATACTACTTTATAGAGCCAGTGTGGGAAGTAGGTACATTGGGGTATATCACATATAGGAAACACTGGGCAAATACTTGTGACCCTCTAGAAAGGAATAAAAAAACTCCTTCTGAAGGATACAAGTTCCAGTTCTGGTTTTTCCTTCAGTTGGCCTTGAACCAGAATACGTTCTCTGGGCCTCTCTGACTAGTCCCTGTCATGTTCTAGCCCCATCTTAGGATTAAGGCCAAGACCCAAAACAAGCAACATGAACATCAGAACAGCACCAGAAACCCCAGGTAGGCTTCGCAGATGAAAATAATGACTGTGGCAGCCATGCTACTCAAATGGAAGGCCTGCTTTCTTTTTAGAAGGAACCTAATTGGCAAGTAAGTTGCTATCTGACTTGATGGGCGTAAACTCACCGTTCTGCATCCCACTTTCCCGATCTTCACTTCAGTTGCTTAAATGGAGTGCACTAAACCTCAATTTGATAATTGCATCCTCAAAACCTTTAATGAAGGTGCCTATCAAAGTGTAAATAATTACCCCGTAATCTTGTATTTGCAAACTGCATCTTGGCTGTTTACGCTTCACCGAGGTTCAAATCAGAGGTTCAGGGCTTCCCCAGCCCTCACATTCCTGTTGACGTCAGAGGAATTTCAAGGACCTAGAGGACAGCATTGTAACACGGTTCAACCAAGGCGTTCACCTTCACTCCCTCCCAACGCTGACATCTGTCATTTTCTGGTGCTATTTATAAATCCAAGGGAGCATTGCTGTTTTGTTTTGGTGCTGGTGATGCAGACACTCATCCTCATTAGAATTTTTGCCCTGACGCCGGGCACGGTGGCCCACACCTGTAATCCCAGCACTTTGGGAGGCCGAGGCGGGCAGATCGCTTGAGCCCAGGAGTTTAAGACAAGACCAGGCAACAAAGTGAAACCCCGTCTCTACTAGAAATACAAAAGTTAGCTGGGTGTGATGGTGGGTGCCTGTAATCCCAGCTACTCAAGAGGCTGAGACGGGAGAATCACTTGAACCTGGGAGGCGGAGGTTGCAGTGAGCTGAGATGGCACCACCGCAATTCAGCCTGGGTGACAGAGCAGGACTCCGTCTCAAAAAAAAAAAAAAAAAAAAAAAAAAAAAAAAAAAAAAAAAAAATAGGTTCTGCCCTGAGCCTTTCAGGCCTGGCCTTGTTGCTCTGGGACTTGCTCCCTCCTCGCTAACGTGTTTCCTTCTTTGGAGATTACCCACTTTAGCTCACCTGGGGAACACACACACCACTGACCCAGTTAGGGCTTCTTCCAGCCTCTTCTCTTTTTTCCATTCTTTTGACTGCGTTAATTATTCACAGGAACCCGTCAATGAAAGCACCAGGGATTATCCAGGAGGCTGACCACCAAATTAGAACAAGAAAATACTTGAAACAGTTTGCATGCTGTCTGAGGGTGCAGCTACGGAGAGGGTATGTTTTAGGTGCTGGGGTCTGAGAGAAATGAAAAGAGACGCCAAGCCAGGTGACTGACAGAAGGCAGGCGACAAACCCAGGCTTCCCAGGCTCGTACTTTCTCTTCGGTGCTGTATTTTTCAGCACACAAACTTGCTGAGAGTTTGCAGCTGACATCTCGAGAAGTATTCTTCTTAAAAGCTGAGCGAAAATTATTCACCTCATGTGAAAACAAGTGCGATTTACATCTAATGTGGGTAATTACTTTTACAGTTAATTAAAAGCGCTCTCATTAAACTCCCGCTGTGATGCCAATGCATAGCTCTTATTTGCAAACAGACCTTTGGTTTGAGCTCACCTGGTGACAGGAGACTCCTACCTGAAACAGGGATGCCGTTCTCGGTACTATGTTTAATTGTGCTGAGCCAGCAACCCTCGAGTTACCCGGCCTTTTACCCCACGCCAGCTCTGCTTGTCTGCATGGCTAGATTTTGAGATATGGAAGCCTCTTGTCCTCTCATAACCACACTCCAAAAAAAAAGTAAGGTGAAGAAAACAAAATAACTCACAGGAGGTAGGGATGCCAAAGAAAGGTAGGGGACTCAAAGAAAGAAGTCAAGATGAAAAGCCTGCTGTCTTTATTTGCATAATAGTTTGGTTGGGGATCGTTTTGTAGTTGTTCTGGCTTTACAGCTTTTTCCTGCCTAAGAAGATATTTACTGTCAGAGAAAATATCCCCTTAGGCCCCCTGAAGATTCCTCCAAATGTTTATAAAGTCAGCAGCTCTGCCCTGCAACCTACCCAACTAAGGTAAACTTTACTCCCTTGGTTGAAGTGATTTGTGTTGAGATTTTACTTAGTTTACATGCGTTGTTTGCTGTTTGTATGATTTCAGGTGAAATAGCTCTTACATCGTGAGTCATCTTCATATTTAGGTTGAAACCATAGACTTTTCGGAATATTCTTTGCCCTGAAGCATCTCTGCCACGCTGAACCTTCTTAAACACATATTAATGAAATGTCTCCTCAAATGATCACATTCCTAGTAAGTAATTAGGGCTTAGTAATTAAAACATGCAGTCATTTGAGACTTAAATTTTGAAGGCACAGAAAGATTGAGAAATTTAAAAAGTTTACGGACCTGATGAATTGGATACTCTTGCATAGGACTTGGTGCTTTCGGTATTTTTTGCAAAGTTATTTGCTCCCATCTGCTGGCCATTTGTGATATTGCAGGTGCTGAGCTAATTTGTGAATGGAAAAGGAAGTGAATAAAATCTATCACTGCAAACATTTTATACTATTCTTCATGTATTCAAGTAAACTGATTTGAATCTTGGTTTTTGTTTGTTTGTTAGTTTTGTTTTGTTTTGTTTTGTTTTTGCGGTTGGAGGATTAAGTGAACACAGACTCTGAAGAATTCTGCTGAAAGGCAAGCATGATTTGAAATTTTTACCAACATCAGAGTTACTCAAGTTTTGAAAGCCAGAACACCCTCGTTATCTTTAATAAAGCAATTAACTTTAGAACATTGGTTTAAATATTCAAATTCAAGCACAGTATATTGTGTAAGGGAGAGTATAAAATACATAGCTCGTAGACCAGATGGATTTCAATCTCCCTTATGCTTTTAATCATCGGAGTGGTAGGAAGCCAATTCCCTACACTCTAAAACTCAGTTTTTTCACCTGTAAAATGGAAACACTGGGCAAAAGGGTCCCTAAGGCTTGAACTTATTCTCAAAATCTGAGTCTTTGTGAAGGTTAAAAAATCATATAAGGCTGAGCACGCTGGGTCATGCCTGTAATCCCAGCACTTTCGGAGGCCAAGGTAGGTGGATCACCTGAGGTCAGGAGTTTGAGACCAGCCTGGCCAACATGGGGAAACCCCATCTGTACTAAAAATAAAAAAAATAGCCAGACGTGGTAGCATGCACCTGTAATCCCAGCTACTAGGTAGGCTGAGGCAGGAGAATCGTTTGAACCCGGGAGGCAGAGTTTGCAGTGAGCCAAGATCACCCTACTGCACTCCAACCTGGGCAACAGAGCGAGACTCCATCTCAATAATAATAGTGTAGGTTGCATAAAATCACCAGTATGCTCTTAGTCTTAGCATCTAAACTCATATTCAGTGACTTGTCTTAAATTAGAAGCCGTTGTTATTTTCACAACAATAGGCAATGTAAGCATGCATCCAAACTATCAGAAAGCTTGCCTTTGCAAAGGAGACCATCTGTAATGTTGAGTCAAGATTTAAAATGCACCTTGAATGCTTTTTGGAGTGTGATGTCAAAAATGTATCTTGTGTTAATATTATAAACCGTTCTGCTATAACATTTATTTGCTGTTTAAGAAGGAAGAGCAAAACCTTCTTCCTCAGCAGTAATCAATTTCTCAGTTGATCATAAGCCGATTTGGGCTTGTCAGATGAACCTTTGACTGTGTCTCCTCACACTCCTGAGAGGTGGCTTAAGCTGTCCTGTATTTCCTATGAAAAGCTCTCTGGGACTTTGTATTTGAGTCCAGGAGAACAATGCTGTGCCCAGGATATGTGATCCTTACTTAGCTTCTCATGACAAGTCTAAGCATCCTGGTCTTTTCTTTCCATTGCTCTTCCAGAGTGAATGACTGCAATAATCAATTTAGAGGTTTTCAGGGGCTGTATTGTGGAAACACCTGGGCCCTGGAGCACAGCAGCCTGTGATTGCCCTGGGATTCCTTTTAAGGAATTTTTCTTGTCCCCTAGAGCTTAGACTAAGCGGAGGTGGCCTCTGGACCACAGTTATCTTTTTTCAGTATTAAGTAGCCAAGCATCCTGCAAGAGAGATCAGCACAAAGAGCTCCTTGATCCTCTGTATTTATTTTCTATGACTTCCGTAGCAAATCATCACAATCTAGGTGCTTAAAACAACTGAAATATATTCTCTGACAGCTCTGGAGGCTCTACGTCCAAGTTGAAAGTGTGAGCAGGACGGCTCTCCCAGCAAAGGTTCTGGGGAAGATTCATCTTTGCCTCTTCCAGTGTCTGGTAGCTTAGTGTCACATGACTTGTAGCAGCATCTCTCTAATCCCCACCTGTCTTCACATGGCTTTCTCTTCTGTCTCTTAAAAGGATACTTGTTACTGGATTTAGAACCCACCCAGATAATACAGAATTTTCTCATTTCAAGACCCTTAATTATGTCTGCACAGACTCCATTTGCAAACAAGGTCACATTCACAGGCACTAGGGACTAGTCGGCTTGAGCATATCTTTTGGGGGGCTGCTGTTGAACCCCGTGCTGGCTACTCACTTCTAAATCCTCTGAGGTCTCGGGAGCTTCGTTGTCCGGTGTTTCTCTCCACATTTTCTCGGGAATCTTTAAGTGCCAGATACTTCAGAGCTGGGAATGCTGCTGGTAAGGGATCCGGGATGCTGGCATCCTTGCATTGTGGGCATGAATAACCCTGACCTACAAAAATTATCAAAAACAACCAACACACCAAGTGTAGAAGAAAAGAAGTCTCTCTCGGGAGAGAGAACTGCTTCTGAAAAGAACGGACACATGAGTGCTTTGATGTCTAAAATCTCAAAGAACCTAGAGGCCTTGGAAGAGAAAACTTTAAAAATAGACATGTTTTTAAGTTCTCAATGCTTCAATCAGAACCAGGTTTCACAAAGCCTGTTGGAAGATGTCATCAAGGACAGCTGACATTTACTGATAACTTGCCATATGCTAAGACCCTGGCGTGTATTGGATATGCCTAGCCACAAACGAGGCAACCATGATTGTTAATATGCTTCTCTTACAAATAGGGAAAGTGAGGCTAAGCAAACTCGGCCTCCTTGTGCAGAGTTCCAAAACTGGTGTGGTTGAGTCCGGTAGGATAAACCCTAGCAGTGTGATTCTGCTATCTGTGTGGAATCCCATCTGTCGCCAGCAAGTGAGCCTCCGCTGTTCAGGGTTTCCCGGCTACAAAAAGTAGAAGGGCTGCCTTCTGTCGGGAAATTGATTGCTTGGTGATGAGTCCACAGCTCAAAATTCATACTTAACACTTTTAAGTAGTTGAGCTGTTTTCCAAGCGAAGTGGTCGAGTGGGGCTGAAGTACTTACTTGACGAGTCTGGTTCAGAAAAGGTCAGGTCGGAACCCACCCAGAGACACCGGCTCTAGGCAGCGTGATCCGAACAATAATTTGTTCTCGCCAAAGTGACATTTTTCCAATTTGAGTCCAGCATTGTTCAGAAGCAAATGCAGTCCCCTGGGGCGCCTCCCGCATAGATCTGCAGCAGATGACAAACTAACAATATCATCTAAATAAAAAATCCAGCATGGGTTTAGTAAATTAATCCTGACAAGAATAAATTGAATAATCTTAGGGAAATGGCGAGAGCTCTGATTCTGCCAGATCGCTCTTTTCTGTCGCTTGCGTGGGTCCTCGGTGGCAGATTAAGAGCAAAAATCTGCCTTTGGTTTATTGATTTCGTTAGTTCGTTGATTAACACCTGCCACTTCTGTGTGGGTAAATCATAATCGGATATGGACTCTTCCTGGCAAACTTAACATATTTTCACTCAAGGAGAGAAAGGAAATGCTTATTTCACCTGGTCAGAACGGGCAAAAGCAGACAGAGAGCTGCTTTTCCTCACCTCGTTTCTCAGTGGTATTTTCTAGGTTTAAAAGTAATCTGTGATTTTCATCACTCCCATATTGAGTTAATCTCCCGTTTCTGTTTAGGTTGCTTAGCAGACAAATTCAAGGAGAGTTTTTAGTAAGAGTGAGGGGTGTTTTTCCTGACTCAGTGTCCGAAGTCAAGCAGAGACTTCAGCCATTAATTTAGGAGACAGGGTGAGAAAAGGAAGATACCGCGTGTACACATGATCCCACGTCCTAGGACTGGGCCTTACAGGTCGTCTGGGAACCTTGTCTTAGTCAGCCTGGGCTACCCTAACAAACTGCCATAGACTGGATAGCTTCTGAACAGAACATTTACTTTGTCATAGTTCTTGTGTCTGGATATTCAAGATCAAGGTGCCAGCAGTGTCAGGTTCTGATGAGCACCCTCTTCCTGGCTTGTAGTCAGTCATTCTCACTGGGTCCTCATTTGGACATTCCTGGGCTTACGCTACCAGAGAGAGAGAGAGAGAGAAAATGAGTGAGCTCTCTGGTGTCTCTTCTTAAAAGGATACTAATTCTTTCTTTATTTTATTTTATTTTTGAGATGGAATCTTGGTCTGTTGCCCAGGCTCTAGTGCAGTGACGTGATCTCAGGGCTCGCTGCAACTTCCGCCTCCTGGGTTGAAATGATTCTCCTGCCTCAGCCTCCAAGTAGCTGGGATTATAGATGCCCACCACCATGCCTGGCTAATTTTTCTATTATATTGAAATCCAATGGGGTTTCACCTTGTTGGCCACGTTGGTCTTGAGCCCCTGCCCTCAAGTGATATACCTGCCTTAGACTCCCAAAGTGATGGGATTATAGGCGTGAGCCACCACACCCAGCCAAGGGCAGTCATTCTTAGGACCTCATTTAACCTTAATCACTTCCTTAGAGTTCCCATCTCCAAATACAGCCACACTGAGGGTTAGAGCTATGACATATGAATTTTAGGGGGGACACATACATTCAGTCCATCATACTACGTGTTAAAAATGTTGATTCTGATTCGATGTATCTGGGATGAGGTGTGATGTGTTGCATTTTTTTTTAAAGATGGGATCTTGCTCTGTCACTAGGTTGGAATGCAGTGGTACAATCTTAGCTCACTGTAGCCTTGACTGCCTAGGGATAAGTGATCCCCTTCTCTTTGTTTTGAAACAGAGTCTTGTTCTTTGTTGCCCAGTCTGGAGTGTAGTGGTGCAATCTCGGCTTACTGCAACATCAGTCTACAGGGTTTAAGTGATTCTCGTGCGTCAGCCTCTCTAGTAGCTGGAATTACACGTGTGTGCCACCATGCCCAGCTAATTTTTGTATTTTTAGTAGAGACAGGGGTTTCATTTTCTTGCCCAGACAGGTCTCAAACTCCTGGCCTCAAGTGATCCACCTGCCTTGGCCTCCCAAAGTGCTGGGATTACAGGCATGAGCCACTGCACCCGGCTTCAAGTGATCCTTCCATTTCAGCTTCCCAAGAAGCTGGGACCACAGGTGCATACCACCCCACCTAGCTAATTTTTTTCTTCTTTATTATTATTTTTTTTGTAGAGACACTGTCTCCCTAAGGTTTCCAGGCTGGTCTTCAACTCCTGGACTCAAACGATCCTCTGGACTCGGCCTCCCAAAGTGCTGGGATTATAGGCATGATGCATTTTAACTGGCTCCCAGGGGCATCGTACTTGCTGGGGTTGCAGACTCCACGTTGACTAGGAAGTTCCTCATACTCCCCTTATGTGCGGATGAGGGAAATTTGCTGAAGGACCGCATGGTTATTAAATAGTAACACCCTGCTTTAAGAGTCTAGTGCCGTGAGTCTAATGCCAGGAGTCTAATGCCAGAACTGGAATTACCCGCAGCCCTGTCCTCCCACCCTTCAGCCTTCAGTCCACTGCCACATCCCCTGGAGGGCTTGGTAGCATGCATCGACGGGCCCTCACCCTTTGAATTTTGGATTCAGTAACTGAGGGCTCTTCCGTGCAAACCTCATATTTTTCACTTCAGGAGAGAAAGGAAATGCATCACCTGGTCAGAACAGGCAGAAGCAGACAGAGAGCTGCTTTTTCTCACCTCATTTCTCAATGGCATTTTCTACAGAAAATACAGCCTGAGAATCTGGGTATTTTTCTTTGCTTATTTATGTAAACTGACAAAAGTTATATATATTTATCATGTACAACATGATGTTTGGAATGTGTGTACATTGTGGAATGGCTAAATAGAGCCAATATCATATACATTACCTCACAACGTCATTTTTTTGTGGTTAGAACACATAACATCTACTTTCTTAGCAATTTTCAAGATTACAACATGTTGTGAACTGTAGTCACCATGTTGTATAATATTTTAACTTATTCCTCCTGTCTCACTGAAATTTTATGTCTTTAGGCCCAGATCTCCCCAGCAAACCCCCTGGTAGTGAGGGTAGTCCCTGCCAGCCCTTGGTAACCACCATTGTACTTTTTAGTATATTTTTTGTATTTGTTTCATGCAGTATTTGTCTTTCTGTAACTAGCTCATTCAACTTAACACAGTGTTCTCCAGGTTCATCCATGTCATCACAGTGACAGGCTTTCCTTCTTTATTAAGGCTGAAATGGTATTCTGTTGTGTATATATACCACATTTGCTTTATGTGGTTCTTCCTTGATGGACACTTAGTTTTTTGCTTTTTGTTTTATTTCAGTAGGTTTCTGGGGAACAGGTGGTGTTTGATTACATGAACAAGTTCTTCAGTGGTGGTTTCTGAGATTTTAATGCACCCATCACCCAAGCAGTGTACACCGTACCCAACGTGTAATCTTTTATCCCTCACCACTCCCCGACACTTTCCCCTGAGTCCGCAAAGTCCACTGTACCATTCTTATGCCTTTGCTTCCTCATCGCTTAGCTCCCACTTATGAATGAGAACATGCAATGTTTCGTTTTCCATTCGTGACTTGTTTCACTTAGAATAATGGTCTCCAGTTCCATCCAGGTTGCTGTGAATGCCATTATTTCATTCATTTTTATGGCTCAGTAGTATTCCATTATATATGTTGGGGAAGTATTTTATTACATATGTATATATAAGATGTAGTATTCCATTTTATATATGTAAGTATATGCATGTATATTGGGTAAGTTTTCTGTTATATATGTATAGTATATTATATATTGTATTCATCTATGTATAGTATTCCAATATACCACACTTTCTTTTATCTACTTGTGGATTGGTGGGCCTTTGGGCTGGTTCCATATTTTTGCCACTGTGAATTGTGCTGCTATAAAAGTGGGGTATTCAGTTTGATTCCCTATCTTGGCTATTGTGAATAATGCTGCAGTGAAGAAGGAAGTGCAGAGATCTCTTTGACATACGGATTTCATTTCCTTTGAGTGAATATGCAGTAGTCGGATTGCTGGATCATACAGTAGATCTGTTTTTAATTTTTTGAGAAGCCTCCACACCGTTTTTTGTAATAACTGTAAGAATATGCCTTTTTAACAGCAGCTGATGCTGCTGGTTGGAGAGTCTCACTTTGAGAAGCACATGTACCTTGCTTCTCCAGGTTTTTTTGTTTGGTTGCTTGGTTTTATTTTTATTTATTTTTTTCTTTTTTTGCTGTGAATAACCCCTTCTTCCCATAGCAAGGAAAAGAATGAAACCTGTGGATAAATTATGTGGACTGACCAAACCACCTTGAGGAAAATAAAATTACCTGGAGGAAAGGGAAAGCACCTGATGAGGGATCACTTCTGGTTACAGATTTAAGCTCCCTCATTGTGTGATTCAGTATGAGTTACCTAATGGCTAATCACAATTATCATGCCACAGAGTAACTAAGGAATACCCACTTTGTCGAATGTTGGTAATTTAGAGACAGTACGAAAAACACCAAGCACAGTTCCTGGCACGAAAGAGGTATTTAATCATTGCTCACCGGTTCAGTCCCACTTGACTGATAGGAAAACAGTCTGTTCTACATAAAACAAGATATTTGCTATACGAGTCTTCACCTTATGATATTGTCTCTTTTTGTTCCACTCTGGATTCAAAGGGACCTAGAATTTGCTGTGTTTACTAATAAATCACCAGCTTCTCATATTAACCTTTCCTAATGATGCATCCGCAGAGAAAACCCCACTGCCTCTTGGTGAGAAAATCAACATTTCTGTAGACTTAACCACAATGGAGTCCCTAATGTTTTTTGGTTGTTTAATTGATTGGTTGGTTGTTTTTTGGAAACAGAGTCTCACTTCGTTGCCCAGGCTGAAGTGCAATGGCATGATCCCGGCTTACTGCATCCTCCGCCTTCCCGGTTCAAGTGATTCTCTTGTCTCAGCCTCCTGAGTAGCTGGGATTACAGGCGTGCACCAACAAGCCCAGCTAATTCTGTATGTTTAGTGGAGATGGAGTTTCACCATATTAGCCAGGCTGATCTCAAACACCTGACCTCAGGTGATCCACCCGCCTCAGTCTCCCAGAGTGCTGGGATTGCAGGCGTGAGCCACCACACCCGGCCTGGAACCCCTAATGTTTGTAACTCCCTACACAACCCTGCACATCCATGCCCTCCCTGCCTCCATGGAGAGCATGGCCAGGCTACAGACCGTGCAACGGCCCCAGGTCGCCATCTTTCTCTCCCAAGCTGTATCCTTTCTTTAAAGACGTCCCATTGATTTTATCTGGCCTCTGACTACTTCTCTCCCCTTCCCCTGCTACACCCTTATCCATCCACCATCATGTCACACCTGGACTCCTGTGGTAGCCCCCAAATTTTTCTCCCTACTTAAATTTGTAACCCCTGACTGCCGGTTCTGTTAAAATAGAAGTCAGATCATGCCTGTCCTCTCTTCATTATGCCTGAGTGAAACCCACAAGTGCCCATGAGGATGTGGACAGATTGGAACACTTGTGCACTGTTAGTGGGGATGTAAAATGGTGCACCTGCTGTGGAAAACGGTAGGGTGGTTCCTCAAAAAATGAAACATTGAATTACCATAGGGTTTGGCAATCTCACTTCTGGGCATACGCACAAAAGACTTGAAAGCAGGGAGTTGAATAGATACGTACACACCCGTGTTCATAGCAGCATCATTCACAATAGCCGAAAGGTGGAAACAGCCCAAATATCTATCCACAGATGGCGCTTATGAATGGATAAACCAAATGTGGTCTCTCCATACAATGCAATGTTATTCATCCTTAATAAGAATGAAATTCTAACACATGCTACCACATGGATGAACCTTGAAGACATTATGCTAAGTGAAATAAGCCAGGCACAGAAGGACAAATGTTGTATGATTCCACTTAAGCAAGTGTTAAGTCCTCAATTGTATAACTGTAAAATTCATATACTGAAGTCGTAACTTCCAATGTGATTGTGTTTTGGAGATTAGTCCTTTAGGGAGGTAATTCAGGTTAAGTGATGTCATAAGGGTGGGGTCTTAATCCAATAGGATTGGTGGCCTTAAAAGAAAGATGGCCACACCTTACGGTGGCTCACACCTGTAATCCCAGCACTTTGGGAGGGCGAGGCGGGCAGATCACTAGGTCAAGAGATCGAGAGCATCCTGGCCAATATGGTGAAATCCCATCTCTACTAAAAATACAAAATTAGTTGGGGGTTGTGGTGCATGTCGGTAGTCCCAGCTACTCGGGAGGCTGAGGCAGAAGAATCACTTGAACCTGGGAGGTGGAGGTTGCAGTGAGCCAAGATCTCGCCACTGCACTCCAGTCTGGCGACAGAGCTAGACTCCATCTCAGGAAAGAAAAAAAAAAGCCATGGGTCTGTCTCCCTTTCTCTCTCTCTCAGAAAGTATAGAGCAGCAGCTATGTGAGGCACCATGAGAAGGAGGCATCTACAAGCCAGGAAGAGGGACCTCACCAGGAACCCTGAGAGAGCCTTGACCTTGAACTTCCACCTGTAGAACTCTAAGAAAATAAACTTCAGTCGTTGAAGTCACCTAGTCTGTAATATTTTTTATGGCATTCCTAGCCGACTCATACAATGAGAGGAGTCTAGAGTAGCAAAATCCACAGAGACAGAAAGCAGAAGGTGGTTTTCAGGGGCTCTGGGAGGGGAAGTGAAGAGTTATTGTTTAATGGGTACAGGTGGAAAAATGAAAAAATTCTGGAGATGGAGGGTGGTGATGGTTGCACAACAGTTTGTATGGGTAATGCCCCAGAACTGTGCACCTACCATGGTAAAATTGTTAATGATATTGTATTTTATCACAATAAGGTAATAAAACTCTGAGTGGTTTCTCACTGATCTCAAAATAAAGTAAACATCTCCCTGTGATCTCATTCCCCTTTATTTTCCTCTCTTACTTCCCTCTAACCACAGTGGCCTCCTTCCTCTTGCTTGGCTCTTTCCAGTGCATTTCCCCCTTGGGGCTTTGAACTTGCTCTTCGTTTGCCTGGGATGTTCTCTTCCCCAGTGGGCTACTTGGCTCATCCCCCTAACTTCCTTCAAGCCTTTTCTCAATTGCCACTTTTTCAAAAAAATCAACATCAACATCGTATTCCCCTACCCTCAGCATTTCCCACCCCCTTCTCCTTGGTTTATTTTTCTTCATAGTACATATTCTTTCTGGAATACCATTAAGTGATATGCATGGTTTAATGCTTGTCTTGTCCAGAAGAATGTAAGCATCACCAGGGCGGGCCTGCCATGTGTCTTCTACATTGTTGAGTCCTCCATGCCTAGTGCAAGGTCTAGCAGCCAAGAGTTGCTAAAGAAATATCTTCCATTTGAATAAGTTAATGCCACTATTGCTTGTGGGACTGTGTCTGTCATTTTGTCTAATTAATGAGTTCCCTGAGGGTAGGAATTATGTTTGTTTCACCTTTTCGTACCAGGACAACAAGAAAATAGCAGAAAATCATAGGTGTGCAATAAATATGAATGAGTGGATGAGTGGAATGGTAGATGGATGGGTGGATGGATGGATGAATGGATGGATGGATGAATGGGTGGGTGGAGGGATGAATGGAGGGTAGATGAAGGAAGGAAAGATGGATGAATAGATGAGTGGATAGAGGATGGATAGATGGATGGATGGGTGGGTAGATGAATGGGTGGATGGATGGATAGGTGGGTGGATGGATGGATGAGTAGACGGATGAATGGGAGAAGGATGCAGGATAGATGGATGATTGGATAGATGGGGATGGCTGGGTGGATAGCTGGATGGATGAATGGATAAAAAGATGAATTTGGGTGGATGGGCGAGTGTGTAGATGATTGATGGATAGAGGGTGGATGAAGGATGGATGGTTGGACGGATGGATGGATGGATGGATGGATGGATGGATGGATAGAGGAAGGGTGGGTGGGTCAATGAATGGATAGATGGGTGGATGGATAGGGGAAGGATGCAGGATGAATGGATGATTAGATCAATGGGCATGGCTGTTTGGGTGGATGGATGGATGGGTAGAGGACCAATGAATGAATGGAGAGGAGATGAATGGATGGATGGTTGGATGGTTGGAAGGATAAAAAATAGATCCTGATAATTTGTGTTGAAGTGAGACATATCTGACTATCCTAAATTTTGAATGGGAGAGATATTAAAGGCAGTCTCTGCTGATGTGAACAATTGTATGGAGGGCAGATTATTTTATGAGCTATCAGTTCCTCTTTGCTGTGACCTCTGATCCATAGCCTTTGCCTACATTCCACATCTGCATGTAATAAAACTTACTTATGAGATACATATGTCTCTAATGCAAACACCGCAGTATGTACCTTTAAAAAGCACTATAAAGAGCAATGACTCGAGAAAGAACTATTAGGAGCATGAGCTCTTTATTATTTTAAAGGGCATTTCAACAACACCACTGAATGTTCTCTGACCATAAGTCTGACTCCTGTTCTTTCTCTCACTTTCCTTTCTTTTCTTCTCTTCTCAGGATATCAAAGCAGACTGCAATACCTGCGTGGAAATAGAAGACAGAAAGGTGAGTCAATATTTTTCATTTTTAGGGTTGCAAACAAAACAAGAACTCTGTGAATTGAACCCAGGTGTTTAAGGCATGCCCCTCTCGATGATGGTTTTTAGGTGATTCACGGTCTATGACATATTTAAAGACAATCAGACTTAAAAATGCTTGTCATTTTACTCCTTTACAATCTGTGTTACTTCTGATGGCTTCATGAGGAGTGCATATTGTAATTTTTTACAAAAAATGTGGTGCTGATTTCTGTTTCAGTCATACCCTTCTTTTCAGGAAAATACTTTAACACTTGTCACATTGAACTTGAATATTGATGTTGACGTTCATTGTGTGTATCATATGTATAATTAATTATATTATTACTTACATTATAGAATATATAATATTAGGCTTCCCAGGGTGTGTCCCTATATATCTGACTCATACACTTGAAAAAGAGCTCACGGCCAGGTGTGGTGGCTCATGCCTATAATCCCAACACTTTGGGAGGCAGAGGTGGGTGGATCATCTGAGGTCAGGAGTTAGAGACCAACCTGGCCAACATGGGGAAACCCCGTATCTACTAAAAATAGAAAAATTAGCCGGGTGTGGTGGCACATGCCTGTAATCCCAGCTACTTGGGAGGCTGAGGCAGGAGAATCACTTGATCCTTGGAGGTGGAGACTGCAGTGAGCCAAAATTGCACCAGCGCACTCCAGCCTGAGTGACAAAATAAGCCTCCGTTTCAAAAAAAAAAAAAAAAAAAAAAAAAAAAAAGAGCTCGCGCTCAATTTCCATCACAACACATCAACACATTCATATGAGCAACAGCGTCCTATCTGAGATTAAGGGGGTAGGGGGCAATGCCATTTTCTACATATTTAGAGTCCCCTCACCCATTTATCTTCTTTGCTACACTTAATGTGAATCCCCTCAGGAAAAGCAACCGTTAGACAATTGTTTGTTAATATTTTCACAGTCTCTTTTTATTGACAAGAGTTCACAGACATTTCTGCAGCAAAGCACATCCAAGAAGATCAGATTTTACCCTGTGTATGCCTTGGATCCAAAGAGGTCAAATAAGCAAGTTAAGAGTACATACCTCCTGGCTACTTTTGACATCGTTCCACAAGTTTGAAAGATGTTTCTCCTTTCAAGTGTACCATTATTGTCAAATGGGTTATTATTTCAAGCAGAGGTTTTCAGCTCTGATTGTATCATGACTGGGGCATGTCTGCTGATTAATAAGGTGGTGGAGGACTTCTCAAAACAAAAATTTGCTTTTAAATAAAAAGCAGTTGCCACACATTATTTTAGGGAGTGTTAATCTCCTCACATTGGGAAGAATAATGATACAGTAAGTTCAATTCAATCTGCGTGATCCCAGCTTGCAGTTTTGTGTTGCTCTAGTTTGCTGGCAAAGGAATTTCAATTCATGTTTGCATTCACCATGTGTTTGCATGCTGGTATATGCATGTGTGCATTTAGTGAGTTGGACAGATGGAATTGCTGCTTAGGTGAAGCGTGTGTCCAAAGTCTTCTACCAATGTTCTGCCCAGCCGAATCATTCCGCTCATGTCAGAGTGTTTAGAAAGCATGTTCCCCAACCTGCTTCCAAAGGTCATTGGCATTTCTCTTGGACTTTTATGGAATTCATCAACATGTTTTGTCCGGTATCTTTTTTAAAAATTTAATTGCCAATAGTGCTTGAAAGATAACATAGGAACTGATGCTGTTAGAACAACCTGAGCTCCATCACGCACAAGGTAAATAAGCAGGCAGGGTAAGCTCTGGGCAAGGAGAGTCACCCAAGCTCCACTCCACCTATGTGAACTGCCTTTGGTTAAGACATCATGATGATGGCAACTGCCCTGGTTTCTGGCTACTCTGTGATGCATCTTGGTGGGAAAAAGTCATTAATGGTCATACTGTGCATATGTGATTTCAGCTCTTCTCAAGAAAGGGGAAAATAGACACACACACACACACACACACACACACACACTTCTAGTTTTTTCATAAATTGTTGGATTGAGTCAATAATGTCAAATGAAGCCTTGTTTCTGATGAGTTTTCCCATTTTTTTCTAAACTTGACCTCATATGACTGATAGATAAATTTCTAAACAATTTGTTGCAGTTAATTGGTGATGCATCTTAGTGATAAGAAAAAATAATGCCCAGTTAAAATTCTCAGTGTCTTACTCTCTAAGGACTTTTTTTAAAAAAGAGTCTTTTAAACAAGGTAACTCCTCTCCTCTCCTCTCCTCCCCTCAACTCTCCTCTCCTCCCCTCTCCTCTCCTCCCCTCTCCTCCCCTTTCCTCTCCTCCCCTTTCCTCTCCTCTCCTCCCCTTTCCTCTCCTCTCCTCCCCTTTCCTCTCCTCTCCTCCCCTTTCCTCTCCTGTCCTCCCCTTTCCTCTCCTCTCCTCCCCTTTCCTCTCCTCTCCTCCCCTTTCCTCTCCTCCCCTTTACTCTCCTCTCCTCCCCTCTCCTCTCCTCTCCTCTCCTCTTCTCTCCTCTTCTCTCCTCTTTTCCTCCTTCCCTTTTTCTCTCCTCCTTTCCTTCCCACTTTCTCGTCTTCCTTCCTCCCTCCTTCCTTCCTTCTTTTTCCTTCCTTCAAATTCCCAGTAATACAGTGAATCTTATACTCACGCTATAGTTTCTCTGTTTCTAACAATTGTTAAGAAGAGATTGGGAGTGAGGTTTTAGGAGCTTGCTTTATATATGGGAGACATTTCTCTTAATTGAACAGTCAAGAAGCAAACGCTAATGATCCCTGAGGGACGGCGTGCCCCTCACCCCAGCAGAACAGCTCCATCCCCCTCCCTCTCTGCTTGGTGATATGGTGTGAGGCCACACAGGGAGCCATTGGCTGTGGCAGCCAGAGTGATTGCCGTCAGGTTCTGGGAGTGCACTCTGGTGCCTCTGCCACACTGATGGGTTGTTTAGGAAATTTCACCACTGGAGTGATGACAGTTGCTCACGCACGTGTGTGTGTGCATGTCCCTCTCCATTTAACCCAAATGCTTCTGGCAAAATCAGTAATTTGATAAAGTGGAATTGAAGTGACAAGAGATGGCAGAGGTGCCAAAATAATAAGTAAACCTGTCTCTGAAGCGGCAGCCTCTTGGCCTATGTGGATTTTTACGACTGTTGAGAGCTCTGAAAGAGAACTGGTGGTGCTTTCTTTAAAGCTCTTTTTATTTTATTTTATTTTATTTTACTTTAGTTAAGGGAGCTTCACAGAACCCCTATAGGATGTGATGGCTTCTCAAGAATCACTTTATTTTTTATTATTTTTTATTTTTCTTTCACCTCCCCTGGCTTTCTGTCTACTTCGTTTCCAGATATTCCACATATATGGATATATTTGTGTACCTCGATTTATAGCTATGTATATTGTTGAATATCTTCTTGATAGAAGAATTTTAGAAAAGACAAAACCTTAGGTTTTCCATGGAGTCCTACGGGGCCTCTCCAAATTGTGCCTCATTCCCATTCTCTTCCTTTCAATGGGGCCGATTATCTTGAGATGAATGATTTTCCCACTGAATCTTAGACCACATATCATGATAGAAGATAAACTGTGAATTTCAACAGTGGAAGAGAGCCTTCATTTTTTTTTTTTTTTAACAGTCTCCCTCTGTCTCAAATCTGGATTGCAGTGGTGTGATCGTGATCTCAGCTCATTGCAACCTCCGCCTCCCGGGTTCAAGCGATTCTCCTGCCTCAGCCTCCTGCCTGGCTAATTTTTGTATTCTTAGTAGAGGTGGGGTTTTACCATGTTGGCCAGGATGATCTTGAACTCCTGACCTCGTGATCCGCCTGCTTCAGCCTCCCAAAGTGCTGGGATTACAGGCATGAGCCACCACACCCGGCCGAGAGCCCTCATCTTGTTGTAGAGCAATAAAATCATTCTTCTTTATCTGCGCACAGTCTGGGCTCGATCTGAGACTCTTCATAGAATAAAAGAATTTTTATCCTCTCCTGTTTTTCTATTTTTCTTTATCCCAGAAGCCTATTTTCTCTCAGGCTGACAGGAAACTAATTGCCATTTGGAAAACCTTGCCTGGCTGTTTATGGGGAAATTCATAATGTGTATTGGAGTGTGGCTTTATGTTTTTCTTTCGCTTCCAAGCCCGCCAATTAGCAGAGCCCCTATGAATGTACCTGCTTGGATGGTTCCTGGCCATTGCTTAAACTCTCTCAGAGGGTGTCCTAGGGAGATCCTAAGGGATGGTGGAGTTTTTCACCCTTTAATAGGAAGCAGGAGCACAGGTTTTTTGTTTTTTTGTTTTTTGGTTTTTTTGTTTTTTTTGTTTTTTTTTTTCCTCCTGCAGGTGAACGTTGTGGAGCTAATGCAGATTTAGCAAAGGTGACGGGAGGTAACCCATCACTTGGAGTGGCTGTATGGCCTCACAAAACCCGATGCGTTTGACATTTACAGTACCTGTGTTTCTGCTGGGGCACTGAAGCATTTAAATTCATTTTTATTTGTGGTGTAAAATCCACCTGAATTTCAATACTATTATAAAGACTGAGATTCAGGTGATGAGAGGAGAGGCTGATGGATCAGTCAGGGGGAGAATCTGTCAAGAGGAGACGAGAGCCCATTTTATAAACACAGACAGGGCTTCCTCTTCTCACTTATCGCCTGGCCTGGTGCAGCTAAACAGTTTCAGATCTGCTATAAAATTGCATGAAAGGAGTTTGAGTGGTTTTCCAAGTTATGGCGACTTTCAGATTGGGTCCAATTGAAGGTGCGATTGGGAGATAGCTTTCGTGCTGTGGTTAACACTGAGAGTTCTGAACTCATCTTTTTACAATACTTCTTCCAGATCAGGTATCTTAAGTACCGCCGAATACTTAAAACAGTTGTGGTGTGGAAGTACCATCATTTTCCCTGTTTTACAGGTAAAATAAAGGAAGCTCAGGCACATTTAAGTGACTTGCCTGAGATCACTCAAGCATGAGACCAGGATTTAAGCTCAGAGATTCTTACTCCAGAGTCTGTCCTCTTAGTTTCAATACTACCCTGCTTGCGGTTTTCAATATGGGGCAGGCTTTCAGCTCCCACATTGCAGCTCTAGCTGGTTCACAGTGAGGATTCTTCACAGTGTTTACAAGCCTGCCCTTCCGGGAAGTAGTTGGCACCCAACAGTGGGGTGGTCAGATGTCTTCTGGCTTTGAGGGTGAGGGACAGTAGCACTGGAACTGGAGTGCTGACCTCAGTTTCCAAAGACCTGATTCGGTTCCTAGGTTTGGCAATTTCAGCAGAGTAGATACACGGGTTAGAAATTATTGCTTAAAGAGTATTAGGGAGGCTGGGCACTGTGGCTCATGCCTGTAATCCCAGCACTTTTGGAGGGTGAGGCGGCCTCCAAGATCAGGAGTTCGAGACCACCATGGCCAACATAGTGAAACATCATCTCTACCACAAATACAAAAATTTCCTGGGTGTGGTGGCACACGCCTGTAGTCACAGCTACTTGGGAAGCTGAGGTGGAGAATTGCTTGAACCTGGGAGGCAGAGGTTGCAGTGAGCTGAGATCTCGCCATTGCCCTTCAGCCTGGGCAATAAGAGTGAGACTTCATCTTAAAAAAAAAAAAAAAAAGCAAGAAATTCTTGCTTAAAGAGTATTACGGAAAATAGCTAATGCATGCTGGGCTTAATACCTTGGTGATGGATTGATAGGTGCAGCCAACCACTATGACACACGATTACTTATATAACAAACCTGCACATCCCGCACATGTACCCCAGAACTAAAAATAAACATAAAAAAGTAATTCTTGCATAGGTAATGGTTAGTAGCTCAGACAAATTAAGTCACTTGCCCAGGATTATTCAGGACGTATCATGAGGCCACGATTTGAGCTCAGAGATTCTTACTCCAGAGTCTGTACATAGCCTTTGGAGCTTGAAATGTCTGGGTTTCAATCCCAGCCCTCCCAAATAGCAACTCTGTGACCTTGAGAAGCTTTCTTACCCTGTATATATCTTCATCTGCTTATCTTTAAATTGGGAGTGATACAATCTGCTTGAAATATTGGCTTGAGAAATTCATAATACTGCAAATCATTTTATATAATACCTGGCACAAAATAAGAACTGGATTAACTGTAGCTGCGGTTATTTTTATTTTTGCTGGTATCCACACCTACAGGCCTACCATGTCATTTATAATTACATTTATTTTATCAAATGAGGCCCTGGAAAGTGTTAGGGGATCTCAGGGGAGTATGCAACCAATGGGACCTAGTAGGCCTTGGAAATATTTCACAAAGGAAGAGGATCCTTGGTGTAGGTCAGGAAATACAAATGCACCTGCCTGCCAAGTCCAGGTAGGAAATAATGAATTAATGAAGAGGCAGAGGAGTGATTGTCTTTAACGTGAAGTCCTATGTACTGCAGCGACCTGGAAGGTGATACCTTCATATCTTGGGAGCTGTTATTCAGCTAAATGTGGCCATGTGGAATATAGATTCAGTATTGCTGTTTTCTAAGCCAATCTGAATTTTCCTGTAATACCACTGATTTTTTACTTACTATGAGCAATCCAAATGAAGCACACATGCAGAAAAGTTTCAAGAGACTTACAAGACTTGAGTGTTGAAAGCTAACTCTCAGTGGGTTAGAAAGAGCTCCCATGTGCCTAATTCCAGGCTCTGTCGGTCTATGAAAGGCCCTCCTGGCAGAGGGAACAGAATGGCGAGGACAAGACGGTGTAGAGAACATGGTATGTTTATGGCGAATGCAAGTCCAGTGTGTGTGTCTGAGATTGGCTAAAGGAGAGACTACAGCAGTGAGTAGGTAGCAGGTTATGGAGGGAATAGTTTATCAGGCCAATGCATTAGGGTTCTGTGTCAATCCTCTGTCCCCACAGAAGGCAAATCTTTACTGTATGGGGCCAGAGTTACACAGCACCAAGAAGGTACTTAAACTAGTATGAAGAACCCAGCCAAAGTGAAAGTCAGCAGGGGAATAAGAACTGGGGTTGGAGCCCAGAGAAAGACCCAGAGACTGGCCCTGGGTGAATGCAGGAAGCTGAACACTTTGATTCGAGCAAGACGAAGTCAGCCAGGACCCTGAGAAATCACAGGGCTGGGTTGCCCCTTCCTTGTGATGTGTGACAGAATGAACATGGGAATGCAACTGTCTCTTTGAAATGTTGATTTAGCGGCGGGATGCCTGGATTATTTGGTAGTTCAACTTCTAATTTTTTGAAGGACCTCTATACTGTTGTGCATAATGGCTATAAGGATATATGAGAATATCCATTTTAACATCATGGGAGTTCTACAATGGAATATTATTTAGCCATTGAAACGAAGGGAAATCCTGCCATGTGCAACAAGATAGATGAACCTAGAGGACATTAGGTGAAGTGAAGTAAGCCACACACAGAAAGGCAAATACTACATGAGCTCACTTTTACCTGGAATCTAAGAAAGTGAAACTCAAAGAAGCAGAGAGTAGGATGGTGGTTGCCGAGGGCTGGGGGCGGGGTGAAAAAAAAGGGAGGATCTTGGTCAAAGGATACAAACCCTCATCATCAGATTAAGTTATAGATAACTAATGTACAGCACAGTGATGAGAGTTTAATTAATGTGTTTTAGACTTGAAATGCGGTAAGAGAGTAGATCTCAACTGTTCTCACACACACACAAGTCTGTGAGATGATGGATATGTTAATTAGCTTGGTAGTAGTAATCATTTCATGATATACACATGTATCAAAAGGTCACATTGTATCTGTTAAATATATGCAATTTTTGTTTTTCAGTTTTATCTCAATACAGTTAGGGAGAAAAAGAGAGATGTGGAATAGAAGAGGAACACATTTTCCTGCAGGCCGGTATTGTACAAGTGTTGAAACACTTAGATTAGATTTCAGGTGGCAAATGAGGTACCTTCAGGCAGTTCATGGATATGGTATCAAATCACGTAGTAGGGAAGTTATTTCCTTGTCAACTATTTCTCAGACCTTGAGACTACATCAAAGACATAATTTGGTGGTTGGTTAAAAAAAAAAGAAAAAAAACCTAAAAGACTCAAACATTTGATCATCTACCTTTTTGACCAAGAGACCCAGAGCCCCTGACAGGCAATTCTGGCATCTGGCTATAACCGAATGACAGTGTTTTACTTTTGCATTAGAGTTACTTTCTACATATGACAAAAAAAATACTGTTCTTTCTGCTCTTTCTGTTTACTTCAACGAGCTATTTCTTTTCTTTAAAACAAATACTCCCATAGACTCGTAAAACATTTATTGAGAACAGAAACAATTTAAAGAAAAGCACATGGATGTGTAAAAATTGTGAGTATGGATCGCACATAACTGAAGTGTAGGAAACACTGTTTTCTACTGGTGGGTTTGCATTCAGGGGAGAGTTTCTTGTTTGCATTTTGTAAGTTTCAAACTCTCCTTGTGTGCAGGAGGGAACCAGAAGTGGGCAGGGATGGATACAGGAGTACAGGGTGGAAGGCAGACTGGAGGATGGGTCTGAACTAGAGCCATGTAGGAGATGGGGAGGAGGAAGGTTTGCATTTTCAAGAGACTGGATAAGTCCTATCCACATGACTTACTGACAATGGATGGGTGTCATGAATGTCTCCACCCAGGAACTTGTCACAGACGGCTCAGCTTAAGTATTTGTATATAGTTTGCTGCCGTGAGGAAGAAGAAAGGAGTTGATCAACACTGACAATGGATTGATCTCCTGGTTTAGGGCTTATATGCCAGTGAGGTTGCATATGAGCATGACATAGCCAGCAGGATTTGTTTCTATTAGTGCCAGTCTCTTGCCCCTGGGAGTAGGAGTGGACTAGATCTGTGCACTTCTGATAGCAGAACAAAGACATGGGAGAAGGTTCACTCCTTCCTGGAAGGGCCTCTTTCTAGAATGGGGAGTATTCATGAAGGAGTTTCCCTTCAAAGACCAAAGCGAAGATACTTAAGGCACATAAGGGCAGAGGCTGCTGTGAGCGCCCATCTGGATGAGACTCACAGAGTCCCCTGGGGATTGGATTTCTTTTCTGTTTCCAATGTCCTTTGTTTAAGGCCGTTAGGCATATACATTAAAATGGAAGAAGCTCCAAAATTCCTGGAATCTTTGGAAATGAAAATTAGAGCATCCCTGAGAAAGGGTATTTAAGTTTGAGTCTGAAGGGAGATGGGGTGGAGAGCATCCTGGGCCAGGTGCAGAGGAGGGAGTCTGGAGGTTGAGCATGGCATGACTAAGGAACTGAATACACGTCAGTGTAGCTGGGGCTCAGGCAGCAGTGGGAAAAGTGGCTAGAGATAAAGCTCAAAGCAGGCAAAGGCTAATCCACCTGAAACCTTTTGACCAGGAAGAGTATTATGTCCTTTAATATAGAATGAAATCTGTGTCACATGGACTGTGATATCACCATGAGAAATGGTCAGGTGTGTAAAGACAGTTTCTTTGTCTTATAGAGTCTACTTGCTCATAGATCATGTTTATGTATGACCTTTCAGACTTCTGTCAGTTCCCTTCTGGTCCAGCCATCTCTAGCCAAGGAATGGGACAAAGAGATCTAACACCAGCAAAGCTTTTTGCTGTGTCGCTTGGCTTTTCTGTTCATTCTGCATTTTACATCCTATGCAAATTCCCTAAAACTGTCAATCATCTTCAGATTAGTAACCCTCATTCCTCTTGGGCATGGCTCTCATTCCAAACTAATGCATAGCCACTAGCCAGCCTGTTGTTTAGGGCAACACCTCACCCCTGGTCCTACTATCTCTGGTCAAAGAAATGTGCGCGGTCATCTAGCGTCAGCAAATCATCTTGTATCTACAGATCTGCCTCAGCTCCTTTGCTCAGTAAGAACTTGTGGATGGGATCTTGGTAGGATGTGATACATATACCACAAGTAGATCTCATTGTGTCCTTTTTCTCTGCTGAGAAGCAGGGCTGTGCGAGAGACAGCTGCGCATGTAGCCCACCACCAGTGAGATTCGACATCATTTTTACTGAGACTGGGGACCAGGCAATAGCAGAGATTATGAATCCAGTGTCTGAAATTGCGTGTTCAGAACCCACAGATAGGCAGGGATGGAAGTCAGTTCTGGAGATACTCAGTTGGTGGAGATGGGTTGCTGCCAAGAAATCCTCAGCAGTTTTGTTCACTCCTCCTAATTTATTTCAAAAGGCAAGGTAGTACAGTTTTGCAGTCAAACGGATCTGGAGTTGAATCCCGGTTCTGCCCCTTCACCAGCTGGCAGACCTTGGAAAAGTCACATTCCTGTCTGTCCACAGCTGCATCGTCTATAAAACAGGGACAGACATCGTTTGTAAATCATGCATCCCATGCACTGTTCTTGTGTGCCGCATTAGTCAGGGCATTTTCAATTGTCATAGAAAATGAAGTCAGACTAGCTTAAGGAGAAAAATAAGTGACAGTTATGAGTAAAGTGGGACTGTCTTCAGCATAGCTGGATGCTGGTACTTTAATTTCACCAGATGCTAAGGACGGCAACCACCAGCTGTATTAACTCCCACCTGTGGAGAAAAGGCGCTTCTTTTTCAGTGGCTTAGTAAAGTTCCTGGATGTGGCTTAAGAGGTGTCACTTAGCTATAAAGGGCGATGTCCCTCTTGTTTGTCTTCCCTCAGCCACCCCAGCAGTGGGATGGGGTCCAGCTAAATGACTTAAATGGACTAAAAAATGAGGGAGGGGGCTGGGCACGGTGGCTCACGCCTATAATGCCAGCCCTTTGGGAGGCCCAGGTGGGTGGATTACCTGAGGTCAAGAGTTGGAGACCAGCCAGGACAACATGGTGAAACCCCATCGCTGCTAAAAATAAAAAATATAAAAAAATATTAGCCAGGCATAGTGACAGGCACCTGTAATCGCAGCTACTTGGGAGGCTGAGGTAGGAGAATCACTTAAACCTGGGAGGCGGTGATTGCAGTGAGCTGAGATTGTGCCATCACATTCCAGTCTGGGTAACAAGAGTGAAACTCCATCTCCAAAAAAAAAAAAAGAAGAAGGAGGGAGTGTCACCTAATGAAACCTTGACTGATATTTTTTTTCCAGAAAGGAAAATAAATAATAATAATAATAGCAACTACCTTGCATTGAGGATTTACTACATGCCATAGACCATTTTTTAGTACTTTATGCATATTCTATTATTGAATCCTTAGAAAGATCCTTTAAGACAGATACAATATTTATCCCCATGTTACAGATGAGAAAAATGAGGGAAAGAGGTGATATGGTTTGACCACGTCCCCACCCAAATCTCATCTTGAATTGGAGCTCCCATAATTCCCACATGTTGTGAGAGGGACCTGGTAGGAGGTAATTGAATCATGGGTATGGTTTCCCCCACCCTGTTCTCATGGTAGTGAATAAGTCTCCCGAGATCTGATGGTTTTATAAGAGGAAACCCCTTTCGCTTGTTTTTCATTCTTTCTCTGCCACCATATAAAACGTGCCTTTTGCCTCCCATCATGGTTATGAGACCTGCCAGCCACATGGAACTGTGAGTCTATTAAACCTTTCTTTCTTTATAAATTATCCAGTCTCAGGTACATCTGTATCAGCAGCGTGAAAACAGACTAATACAGGAGGAGTTGAAGAATGTGACTGAGGCCGGGCACAGTGGCTCATGCCTATAATCCCAGCACTTTGGGAGGCTTAGGCGGGCGGATCACCTGAGGTCAGGAGTTTGAAACCAGCCTGGCCAACATGATGAAACCCTTGTCTCTACCACAAGTACAAAATGTATCCAGGTGTGGTGGTGGGCACCTATAATCCTAGCCATGCTATTCGGGAAGCTGAGTTAGGAGAATCACTTGAACCTGGAAGGCAGAGGTTACAGTCAGCTGAGATCACACCACTGCACTCCAGCCTGGGTGACAGAGTAAGACTCTGTCTCCAAAAAAAAAAAAAAAAAACAAATCATGTCACTGAGGTCACCCAGGTGGTAACTGTGGAGGTGGGATTCAAACCCAGGAAGTCTTTGTTTGACTCTTAACCTCTAGGCTGTACTGCCTCTTCCAAGCATGCTTCACAGGAAGAAGAAAATACGTCCCTTCTGTGCTCCTCATGCTCAGGGCCTGACACACAGGTAAACGGTGACTTACGAGAGTTATTGCAACAAAACCCTCCACATAACAGGAAAAACCTTGGCCACTGCTAAATGTCATCCTGTGATATATCTCTGCATTGAATTTCCTCCCAATTACTCAGCCTAAGGTATTATCTCGGGGTCCTCAATGAGTCTGCTCCACAGAACCATCAAAATGCTCACGGTTCCAAGCAGTGCCTCACTTGCCAGCACAGCTGACAGTTATTTTTGTAGGCAAGGGCTTCTGACTCTAGGATGGGTCTCTGCACCTGCCTTTTATATTTGATTCACAGGTTAACTCTTTTACTAAACGTTGAAAATGAGATGTTAGTCGTACTTTCCTCTTTCATTTATTTTTGGGAAATTTGAGGGTGGTGGTGGGTTGGGGGAGAGGGAGGCAGGTAAAAAGACGCAGAGCTTCTAAAATGAATGTGGTGTTGAGTTAAATTAGCCTCTGATGGGCCGGAAACCTAAACGACAGATGATGAGAAGCTGCTGGGCACCCTCAGCAGTGCCATGGACACAGTGGTAACCCAGAGAGTGTAATGAAAAGCACTGAGGTAGATCGGGCTATTGGTCTCATACACCTTCAGTCACCCTTGAAGCTGGCTTTGGGAAGCTCATCTAAAGAATGCCAGGTGTAATCGTGTGGCTAAGAGCTTCAGCTTAGGATTCTAAAAGGCCTGGCTTTGAACCCCAGCTTAGTGGCTTCCTGGTTATTTAACCTCTCAGATGCTCAAGCTCTTATATAAAAGGGAGAGGAGGAGAGAATATTTTCTGGGGTCACTATGGGACTCAATGAGCTCTTACACTGAGGGTACTTATCATCTTGGCTAGGCACAGGATGCACCTTGAATAACTGCAAGCTGGCTGGGCACGGTGGCTCATGCCTGGAATCCTAGCGCTTTTTGGACACAAGTGGGAGGATTACTTGAGCTCGGGAGTTTGAGATGAGCCTAGGCAACATATACCCTATTTCTGCAAAACTGAAGAAAAAAATATAGCCACATAGTTAGGCATGATGGTGCGTGCCTGTAGTCCCAGCTACTCAAATGGCTTAAGGAGAAGGATCTCTGGAGCCCAGGAGTTCGAGGCTGCAGTGACCTATAGTCGTACCACCACACTCCAGCCTGGGTGACAGAGCAAGACCCTATCTTTAAAAAACTAAAGAAAAAAAAAATAAGTACAAGCTGCCTGATTATTACACTTAAATCTGCTTTCGTCCTACTCTTTTTTAAATCTTTGACTCTGTTTCTTAGATTCCTAGTGAGATCAGAGAGTATACATCTAGGACAAGTTAAGATAATAGCAAAGTAAATTACAAAGCTTAAACTGGATACCAAACCCTCAATTACCTGTCTAGAGTTTTGTGTATCCTGTAGCTACTTCTCAATCTGACTGAAAGAGTATAGAGTTGAGAGCATAAGTAAAGGTGCAGACCAGGGATTGGAAACAGATTGAATCTCTGGTGTCAAGTCATATTGATTGTGGCGGCACAGAACACCTTGTTGATGAGGAGTCTGAGATTGTGGCATGTGGGTTCTCCCAGAAAGAGTGCATGATTGATTAGTGATGCCTGCCAAGGGTGGAGGAGTGAGAGCCACAGGGCACCTGCCAGGTATAGTTTAGTTGTTTCTGTCACAGAATCTGGCATCTGAGGAGTAATACAAAGCCACGTGTTGTGTGTTTCAGCCCAAAGATGCTTCTGTTCTTAGGGGCATGCCTGTTTTCCTTATGTTTTGGATTTGCAGCTTAACAAGGCACTGGTATTTTCATGGATAGTGCATGGCTTAAAGATAATTTAGCAAATAAGAGCTTTATATCAGGCATGGGTAGCTAGCCTTTCCTAGGTGCTCGAGAAGCCTTCTCTGTTGATTACATTATGGTAGCAATTCACATGATGTCATCCTCATATAACTAGGGTTATGTTTTGATGCCTTAATTTTAAAAGTGTGATTTGTCTATGATGATATTTGTCATCTCTTTGAAATTTTGTATTAATTGGGGCTGAAATGCTTACATTTTAATATCATTATTTATAGCTATTATTTTCATGTGCCACTTATTTTACTTAAAAGAAGCAAGTCTATTTTGTGTAATTTTTAGCAAACTTCTTTCTTTAAACTCTGAATTAAAATGCATTTAGGAAATGCTTAATCAAGCACAGAGCTATTTTTCAAAGATTGTTCTGTCATCTCTTCTAAAAAGATGGCAGTGGCTTTTTTGTGATGAGTGGAGTGAACGTTAATTAATTTTTCTTTCTCTTCAGTTGGTGGGTTTTATTATCCCACTTCTTGATGTGTGATTGGGTGACTTCACACTTTAGATAGAAAGCATGCCCTATCCAAATGTGATTTATGTTTTCCCAGCACTTTTGCATGGTTCAGCTGAAATTTTCTTCGTGTTGATCAAGGTCAGAAAACCCAGGGATTATGCCATCCATCTCAGCAAGTAGGTTGCTGGAAAAATTTGTGATGGAACGTGATGCAATAACAACAGAATTCAAGGGTGGGGTGGGAAACCATGCCCGTGTGTGTGCGTTTGTCTATCACATGAACACACTCACCCAATTCACTTCTTATATTGTGCTTCTTTTTATCAAGTTACAAGGCTTTTTGGGCAATTCTGGGTTAGGATTTATTTTTGCATAAAGCCATAAAAACTGTGTGATCTTTTTACTGTGGCCATCTTAAACTAACAGCTATCAGAATTTGCAGATCAACCAGAGGTTTTTCATATTTTCTTTGTTTTTTTCCAGAGTGATTGCAGTATGATTGACAAGTAAAAATTATATGTTTAAGATATACAGCTTGACGTTTTGATTTTCATATACATTATGAAAAAGTCGTTAGAATCAAGTGAATTAACACATCTATCACCTCATATATTGCTATTTTTTCTTTTGTTTCTTTTCTTTTGCGTGTGTGTTTGAGTGTGGTGAGAACACTTAAGATCTACCCTCTTAGCAAATTTTGTATTTCCTTTTCAACTGAAAGGTTTTCTGGGTGCTTTGGAGGACAGAACCTTCAGAATAGAAAAGGTCCTAAGCTTAAGGACTTCTAGCTTTTGGTTAAGGGAGCACAGTAGAAAAGCAAATGCTCACCATGAGCCAGGCAGGCAGATCTGATGGAGCCAGGGAGGTAGACGGCACTTATCATCCTAAGTAACCGACCCATGGTATATGGAGAATCCAGTCAAAGGAGTAACTTACAAACTTCAAGTCCACCTGTCAAAATAGCACCCTAACTTACAGTAAGGAAAATCTATCTCTGTCTGTCTATCTATCTATCTGTCTATCTCTATATATTGAGACAGGGCCTTGCTCTAGTGTCCACGTTGGAGTGCAGTGGTATGATCATGGCTCACTGCAACCTCACCCTCCTGGGCACAAGTAGTTATATAGTACCAAGTGGGCATGTTGTACTTACTCAGTGTGATCCTCCTACATCAGCTTCCCAAGTAGCTGGAACCACAGGAGTGCACCGTTATGCCTGGCTATGTTTTTTTTTTTAATTTTTGTAGAGACGGGGTTTTCCCTATGTTGTCCAGGCTGGCTTCCAAGTCCGGAGCTCAAGCAGTCCTTCCATCTTGGTCTCCCAAAATGCTGGGATTACAGGGGTGAGCCACTGCTCCCAGACAAACATATGTATTTTTAATTTGATCTATTCAGATTGAGTTTTCATGTTGATTGAATTCACCAATTCATAAGTTGACAAATCTTAATTTTGCCCCATGACTGGAATGTTTTCATAAAGAAATCATAAAATTAGAAGAGCTAAGGATATAACAGAAAACATACCCCCAAAGAAAGCATAAGTAGACTTAAACACCCGGTAATACCTTTCCTTGATAGTGGTATGAAAATGCAAATTAAAACCATATAATATACCAATCTCTATCTACTAAAATTAGCCAGGTTAACATGAAATAAGAATACTACCTTTTCCCATATTGGTGATGTTGCTATAAAACTGGTTTCCTTATGGCCGGGCACGGTGGTTCACGCCTGTAATCCCAGCACTCTGGGAGGCCGAGCTGGGTGGATCACAAGGTCAGGAGATCGAGACCATCCTAGCTAACACGGTGAAACCCTGTCTCTACTAAAAATGCAAAAAAAAATTAGCCGGGCATGGTGGCGGGAGCCTGTAGTCCCAGCTACTTGGGAGGCTGAGGCAGGAGAGAGGCGTGAACCCAGGAGGCGGAGCTTGCAGCGAGCCGAGATCGTGCCACTGCACTCCAGCCTGGGTGACAGAGCGAGACTCCATCTCAAAAAAACAAAAAACTGGTTTCCTTATTTACTTGGTATGTTGCAATTTGGTAGAAATCATTTAAAAACCAGAGTACTCATACGTATGAACAACCAGATAATTATTTCTTTTGACCCAATCTTACTCATTATTTCTTATTATTCCAGTCGAATGGAAACAAAAGGACACCTGGACTGAGCCACCATTGTTATTTTACTTGCAATGTCAAAATATTGGCAACAACCTAAATGCTTAATCTTAAGGTAATGGCTTCTTATGCTCAGCACAGAACATGATAGAGTATTATGCGGCTATTAAAAATGATGAATACACTTGTGTCAGAGGTCCATGGAATAGTAATTGATATAATGTTTAATAAAAACACATCTTATAAGATATTTTGACCATGTCTAAAATTTGCATGGAAAAGAGAAATATTCATGTTCATATTCAAACATCATTTTATTAATTTGATATTTGAACATTAGAAAGTAAGACATAATAGAAGAATAGGGAAGTCTGTTGGGATGCATCTAGGAAGGAATTTAGGACTGAGTTTGGGCAAGTTCCTTAG
Organism: Homo sapiens; assembly: GCF_000001405.40. NCBI lineage: Eukaryota > Metazoa > Chordata > Mammalia > Primates > Hominidae > Homo > Homo sapiens. Next base: position 6,671,553 of record NC_000016.10, read on the forward strand.
TCTTTCTGCATCTCAGATTCCTCTTCTGAACCCAATTTGTAGTTTTCTATCCCTCACCTGCTCCCCACCCTTTCCGCCTGAGTCCCCAAAGTCCGTTCTATCATTCTTACGCCTTTGCATCCTCATAGCTTAGCTCCCACTTAGGAGTGAGGACATACGATGTTTGGTTTTCCATTTCTGAGTTACTTCAATTAGAATAACAGTTTCCAGTCCCATCCAGGTTGCTGTGAATGCCATTAATTCATTCCTTTTTATGACGGAGTAGTATTCCATCGAATCAGCGTATCCCAGTAATTATAAGAGTTCATGAAATTTTTGTGTGCCATTTTACATTCACACTGCCTTTTCACACGCCAAGTTGCCTTTAAAAACTGTTGCGACTACTAAGTAGATAGGATGATAATGCGAAATAACAATATCGAACAGCTGATTTTAAATGGCTTGGTCATATGTTAACTTATGCACTGTACCAAATGTTTCTGACATTATTTGGAATAGGTGAACCCATCCGATAGTTGTTAATCACATTCGGTTTCAAAGACCGTAGGTCCATCTCACCTAATTATACTGGTATTGGAGGCTAAGGTAACATTAGCTAGAAATAGATACTTATCTTTTATTTAGTTTCTATTTATGAGCTTTTGGAAATACAAAGGTCATTGAAATATAATCATTTCTTATAATCCACCACCATAACGCTTAGAGTCCATTGGAGAAATATACATCCAATATAAATATACATCCAATATAAAATAACCATACAAATATTGTGGTGGGGAAGGGTGGCAGGGAGGGAGGAGAGTGAGAGAGAGAAGAGGGAGAAAGAGAGAGAGAAGGAGAGAGAGAAAAGGAAGGACGGATGGATGGAAGGAAGGAAAAAGAAAAGAAAGAGAAAAGAAAGGAAAGGAAGGAAAGAAGGAAAGAAAAAAGAAAAAGGGAGGGAGGAAGAAAGGAAGGAAGATGGGAGAAAAAAGAAAAGAAAGAACAGGAGAAAGAAAAGAAAAGAAAAGAAAGAGAAGAAATTCTGTTTATGTGACAGAATCTTAAACAAGCATATAAGACTACTGACTTCAGGTACACATGGATCCAGGTCCTGAAATGATTCCATAGGAAACCTCCACCCACCATGATTCCGCTTCTGCTTTTCTGCTTTTCTTGGGTTTGGCTTGCCTTGTGAAGCAGTGAGGCAGACATCAGCAGTGTTAGTCATACCTTCTACCAATTCACAGTTCTGGTAGAAAGATCGTTTCTCTTCCCAAGTAATCCTAACTTAAGCCCATTTCTTAGGTGGACCTATCTCTGATGTTATGGGTCACTTGCCCCCTTTCCCAAGAGACCCATTGACTAAACTGAATCCCCCTAGACCCCAGGCAAGGGCGTGTGGGATGTTGATCAACCTGGTCTGAATTGTACCCCAGTCCCTGAAGTGCTGATATGAAGCCAGTGCAATGCTAACAATATGGAACCACAACAGGGGAAAGACAGCTCCCTGAAGAAAAACCACAGTGCTTCTTACCAGAGTTGGAATAGAGATTGGTCACGTAAATGCAACACTTGCTTATAGCAGACAGAGGTGCAATTTCCAGGTGATCAGTGATGTCTACACTTCCCAGGCTCATCATTTTATGGTCTCCATGCTCCTTCCAGAGTAGTCTTCATCCCATCTGTGTCTTCTCTATCCACTCTCTGATCCCAAAGGTCCCTCATATCCCTGTACGAAGTTGCAAGTACCAGTCATTCAAAAATGTATTGAGGCCAGGCGTGGTGGCTCATGCCTGTAATCCCAGCACTTTGGGAGGCCTAGGTGGGTGGATCACCTGAGGTCAGGAGTTTGAGACCAGCCTGGTCAACATGGCAAAACCGCATCTCTACTAAAAATACAAAAATTAGTCGGGCCTGGTGGTGCATGCCTGTAATCCCAGCTACTGGGGAAGTTGAGGTAGGAGAATCACCTGAACCCAGGAGGTGGAGGTTGCAGTGAGTGGAGGTTGTAGTGAGCCTACATTGCGCCACTGCACTCAAGCCTGGGAGACAGAGCGAGACTCCATGTCAAAAAAATATATAGATATGTATTGAACACAAAGTAATGAAATATGGGGCTGACTTGCCGGGGTGGAGGACCAGCTTCATGATGGGTTCTGTGACCCATGTGCCTGGCAGAGAGAAGAGGCTATGGACAAAGGCAAGGACAGAAATGTATCATCTGTCATGGAGATAAGTCGCATATTCCTACTCACAAAAAGGCAGGTGTACATTTCTGGACAGAGAATGATAGCCAAGACAGTGCTAGAGAGAAAAGTAGTTACAGATATTAAGAGAAGAAGCAAACACTTGTTGGAGGAAGTGCCATATTGGGAGGATCCTGAAAGACTGGCCAGGTGGAATGGATCTGCACACCTCCAGAACAAAGGAAGGAGACTCTAGGAAGGGAGAAACAGTGAGGGAGGAATTACTTCTTTTAGAGACATGTTAAGAGAATCCTATTTTAGGATTACCCTAGGAAATAAGTAGGAGATTCAGCACTCTCTTGGTTCTAATAGAAACACCATTCAAATTGGCTTAAGCTAAGATTGGTATTAAGTCCTTGTTGTGGGTTGAATAGAGTCCTCCAGAAAAGATATGTTGAAGTCCTAGCTTTTCCCACCCCCATACCTGTGAATGTAAATTTATTTAGAGATAGGGTCTTTGCAGATGTTATCAAGTTAAAATGACGTCATCCTGGATTGGAGCAGTCGTAAAACCAATGACTGGGTTCTTTATTTTTATTTTTTTTTCTTTTCTTTTTTTGAGTCAGAGTCTCACTCTGTTGCCCAGGCTGGAGTGCAATGGTGCGATCTCAGCTCACCTCAACCTCCGCCTCCTGGGTTAAATTGATTCTCCTGCCCCAGTCTCCTGAGTAGCTGGGATTATAGGCACCTGTCACCATGCCCGGCTAATTTTTGTATTTTTAGTAGAGACGGGGTTTCGTCATGTTGATCAGGATGGTGTCGAACTCCTGACCTCAAGTGATCCACCCACCTCAGCCTCCCAAAGTGTTGGAATTACAGGCGTGAGCCACCGTGCCCAGCCCGAATGGGCTCTTATAAGATGGAGACCTGGAGATGTACGAATGTAGACTCACGGGGAAGAAACCATGTGTTGATGGAGGCAGAGACTGGAGAGATGCACATACAAGCCAAGGAGCACGAGGGGTGCTGGCCACCAGCAGAAGCTACAAGAGGCAAGGAAGGATTCTTTCCTAGAGTCCCCAGAGAAAACAAGACCCTATTAGGACTTTGATTTCAGACTTCTAGCTTCCAGAACTGGGAGAGAATAAATTACTGTTGTGTTTTTTGTTTGTTTGGTGGTTTTTTTTGTTTGTCTTTTGTTTTTTGACACAGTCTCACTGTGTCACCCAGGCTGGAGTGCAGTGGCATGATCTTGGCTCACTGCAACCTCTGCCTCCCAGGTTCAAGCCATTCTCGTGCCTCAGCCTCCTCATTAGCTGGGACTACAGGTATGTGCCACCACACCCACTAATTTTTGTATTTTTTTGTAGAGATGGGGTTTCACCATGTTGGCCAGGATGGTCTCGATCTCTTGACCTCGTGATCCGCCCACCTCGGCCTCCCAAAGTGCTGGGTTTACAGGCATAAGCCACTGCGCCCGGCCCATTTCTGTTGTTTTAAGCAACCCAGGTTGTGGTGATTTGTTGCACCATCCCTAGGGAACTAACATATTTCCATGTCTGAAAATCGAGGGATATCTGGCTTTAGGTATGCCTAAATGTAGGTGCTCTTGCAAATGTCATCAGAAGTGTATCTGTCCCAATTTCTCATTTTTTTTTTCTTGGAGTTGACTGCAATTCAGGTGGGCTCTTCCCAAGCAGAGCAAACTGGCCCAGAAGATTATTTCAAGACTTGCATTTGACAAATTTAGTGACAAAGCCCTGGGCTTGGTCAGGCTTGCATCCTGTGTTCATTGCTGAACCAGGCCCTGCCACAGTAGGCATGGTGTGTTAGTCTGTTTTCACACTGCTGATAAAGATGTACCTGAGACTGGGTAATTTGTAAAGAAAAAGAGCTTTAATAGACTCACAGTTCCATGTGACTGGGGATGCCTCACAATCATGGCAGAAGGAAAGCATGTGTTACATGGCGGCAGGCAAGAGAGAATGAGAAAACAAGCGAAAGGGCTTTCCCTTTATGAAACCATCAGATCTTGTGAGATTTACTCACTACCACAAGAACAGTATGGGAAAACCACTGCTACGAATCAATTATCTCCCACCAGGCCCCTCCCACAACAAATGGGAATAATGGGAGCTACAGTTCACGATGAGATTTGGGTGAGGACCCAGTGAAACCATATCACATGGGATGTGGTATTTGTCCAGGCCTGAGACCCTTGTGAATCTCTGGAACTTTGGACAAGCGTCAGCTTTACGTGGACACCAAGGGCGATGGGAGAGGAGAGGTTCTCAAAAGGAAAAGAGGTCCTCAAAAGGTTTAAAGGAAAACTGAAGGGAAGTCAACATAGGGGTTTGGGGTTGGGGGTGTTATTATCAGAAGTAGGTAGAAGGATGCTGCCTAGGGGACACACACACACGCGCACACACACACACACACACACACACACACACACACACACTTCCCTAGGTCAACTAGGATCAGATAGGTAGGCTGGAGAATAGTAGAGGTGAGTGTTGTAGTTACGGGGAGTTCGGAGGAAGGCCTTCCATGATCAGAAAGGTGTGTGGAGAAAGTGGATAGGGAATAGAGTACTATCCTGCCTTCCAGTCAATTTTGGGGAGTCATGAGCTGTTTCGTTTTTACAATGGCAGCGCCTGCCCCAGTTGGGTCCTAGCCCAAGGTCAACTCTCAATAGTAAATAAAGGTGCCAGGAAGGCAGTATAGCAACCAAGAGAGGAGGCAGAAAGGTCCTGAATGGGGAGGGCCTTGGGAATGAAAACTTTGACTTGATCATTACACATTCTATGCATATAATCCACAAACATTTACCCCTATCAATATGTAAGCTATTTCGTATTGATAGGACCAGCTCGGAAAAAAGGATACCAGGAGCCTTTACAGATGTTATTCTCAACTTACTTTCTTTTTTTTTCTTTTTGTTTTTCTTTTCTTTTTTTTTTTTTTTTTTTGAGACAAAGTCTCACTCTTGTCCCCCAGGCTGGAGTGCCATGGTGCGATCAAGGGTCACTGCAACCTTTGCCTCCCAGGTTGAAGCATTTCTCCTGCCTCAGCCTCCCTAGTAGCTGGGATTACAGGCACCCGCCACCACTCCCAGCTAATTTTTGTATTTTTAGTAGAGACGGGGTTTCACCATGTTGGCCATGCTGGTTTTGAACCCTTGACCTCAGGTGATCTGCCCACCTCGGCCTCCCAAAGTGCTGGGATTACAGGCATGAGCCACCATGCCCAGCCGTTAACTCAACTTTCTATGCACAGATCCAAAAGACCAAAAGACTTGAAAAAGAATAAAAGGCACTTTTAAGTACTAAATGCTTTCTACTTGCAAGACTAACTGCTTTACAAGCATGATTCATTTAATCTGCCTATTTAAAAAAGTAGATAGATACTTTTTTTCAGATGATGAAATAGAATTCCAAAATATTCAATGAAAGTACCAAGTTCACATAATGAGTAAGTGGCAGGACTACAACTAGAATACAGGTTTTCCGTGCTCTAGAGACCATAGATAATTTAGCTCCTGTTAGAAGGCACAGAATTAAGGGTGGTCAACACATCTGTCATTCCTTAAGGCCCTTTTGTAACACTGAACTGATATATCTCCATAGATACAAACACACATCAAGATGTAAATATATGTGATATGTTTCTATGGAGACTGGAGGCCTATTTTATTAGTCTAAGATCCATGGACTTATTGCCCCTAAAAGGCTACCTACATCAAAAGATCCTAAAAAGAAAGTTTTAAACATCCAGCCTAAATTAAGAATTCCATATCAAAAACATCAGGGAGCTAGGATTAAATAAAAATTAAGCCCGGAAGCAGAGTAATGACTCAGCAGTTCATTAGAGCCTTACATTTTCAATCAAAGATAAAATCTCATTAAAAGTATATTTTTGATTAGGGAACAAGTTTGGGCTGTTCCAAAGTTGGACGGCTGTATCCATAGACATGTGAGCCATGAAATCCTTTTTTCCTCTTTTGTAACTTTAAAGATAGTGAGCGATTTATCTTCTGACATCACTATACAAGTTATTAATATAGAGGAAGACTGAACAATGGTGGCAGAGCTTTTTATGTATCTACCAGTGACTTTTACCCCATAAAATTAAAAGGCCTATTAATATAGGCTCTTCCAATTTTAGGAGCAATTTTTGTTTATTACTAAAGTGATTAATCAGTAAGGAACCATAAAGAACATCTAACCTAGTACCGCCTAATAGAAATATAATGTCAAACATATATGTAATGTTACATTTTCTAGTAGCAACATTAAAAAAGCTGAGAAGAAACAGCTGAAATTAATTTTCCTCATATAATCTATTCATCCTATATAGCCAAAGTATTCTCATCATCTACTTAAATTAAAAGTTTTGTTTTGTTTTGTTGTGTTGTGTTTGAGACGGAGTCTCGCTCTGTCGCCCAGGCTGGAGTGCAGTGGCACAATCTCGGTTCACTGCAGCCTCTGCCTCCTTGAGTTCAAGCATTTATCCAACTTCATCCTCTCAGGTAGCTGGGACTGCAGGCGTGTACCACCACACATGGCTAATTTTTGTGTTTTTAGTAGAGATGGGGTTTCATCATGTTGGCCAGGCTGGTTTGAACTCCTGACCTCAAGTCATCTACCCAACTCAGCCTCCTAAAGTGCTGGGATTACAGGCATGAGCCGCTGCACCTGGCCAAAAGTTATTTATGATATATAATATGTTTAGGTGTGTGTATCTGTGTGCGTGTATGGGTCCTAAACCTTCAAAATCTAGTGTGCATTTTACACTTACAAAATAAAGAGAGTGAAACCAAAGATTTGAGATTTCTCTTTAGAGGTTTTGTGATAACACAAGTGTTTCTATTTTGACAGCGGATTGCATACTAGATTTTTCCTTTTTGCTTTACCATATGTGGGAAATGACACTTCTAAGACACAAGATACACAGAACAAATGTAGGGAATCCTTTAAGCTCTGTGTATCTCAGAGTAGATGCTCTGACTGATTAATTGGAAGAAGTGCTAAGATACCACTGACTTGAAGCTTTGAAAGTTAATCACTTGCCATGAATAGCTGATAAGGCTTGTAACACGGTTCATCCAGGAGGCTGAGTGAGGCTGGGTAGATGGGTGGTTTATCGCATTGTTTCCAAGTGTAGCATGAATTCCACCCTTCTTACATGAAGCCATTTGGGGTGGCACATGGATGTGGCATTCAGTATAATTGAATCATACAGTGAGACTCTAATTTCTTTCTCAAATCCATTTCATTCTTTCAGATGTCAAAGAGATCGACTCTGCGTGTTGCTATTATATCTCTAACACCTCTCTAACCCTTGCTAATCTTTTTGAACAGAGAGAGAGGGCAAGCAAGCTTTCAACAGACAAAATATGCAGCCAGAATTTCACAACTGAGGAACATTGCAGTGTTCCACCCATTCAGTCTGAGTCTCCATCTATTTATGGCATATCAGACTGGTTTTCAGTTTTGACGATGACATGAAATCGCGTTTTAAAGTTTACTGACACGTAAAAAAGTGAGCTTAAAGAAAAATAATAAGCTAATCATGGTAAAGGTGACTCAAGGAGAAGATAACAATGACGAGCTTGATATGTGGATGTTCTGATGTTTGGGAAATGCTTGTCTTGCTATATTGGTGATGGAAAGGGGAGACTTCTCCATGCTTGCTGCAGACATCATTGCAGTGCCTCGTTTCTTGGTCTCACTTTCCTTTCTTTGACCTGGGAAGTTTCCACAAATGATGCTTCATGGTCGCATTCTGGATCACATCTTACAGAGCAATGGGGAAACATGTACAGTCATACCCCTCTCTTCTAGGAGGTAGCCTCATTATCTTTTTATGCTAAGAACAAATAGATTGGAAAGGGTCTAACATTTTTTTGAGCATCTCCTTTGCTCAAAACTTTAAAACACCTGTATAAAGCATAGTCTAAACTAACCACCACACCATACAAGAGTACTTGAGTGAGTTCTTTGAGGAGGAAATGGATGAGGATGTGGTATTTGTGCATGTAACTTCCCTTCCTTTCTGTTTTCAAGTTCAGTTTGTCCAGTATTAATTCATCAGAGATGCAGAGAAAGGCTAAACAAACACTGGGACCTTCTACATAAAGCCATAGTTTCTACTTGTTTTTTTTTTTTTTTTTTTTTTTTTTTCATACTTTTCTGAGCTTTGCCTAATGGTCTCATGGAGTTCTTTAAAGTAGTGTTTTTATATAATCTGCCTGACAGGCAAGACAGGATGGTTGAAATTTATACTCCCAAATATGACAGAGTTCAACCCAGTTCTGCTGTTTCATAACAGTGTGGTCTTGAGGAAATCTGAAGAGATTGGCAACTTGGAACTTCAGTTTTCTCATCTGTAAAATGGGGTCATAGAAGGACTACCACATAGGGTTGTGTTTGGGAATGAGAAGAGATAGAATAGCAATTTCGTATGGAGCTGCGCATATATTCAGTAAGTGGTCGAAGTACAATTTTTACTATGAGTATGATTCCTGTCTTTGCTTTGCTTTTCTCTCTCTCTTTTTTTTTTTTTTTTTTTTATTTGTCGCCCAGGCTGGAGTGCAGTGGCGCCATCTCAGCTCACTGCAAGCTCCGCCTCCCGGGTTCACGCCATTCTCCTGCCTCAGCCTCCCGAGTAGCTGGGACTACAGGCACCTGCCACCACACCTGGCTAATTTTTTTGTATTTTTAGTAGAGACGAGGTTTCACCATGTTAGCCACGATGGTCTCGATCTCCTGACCTCATGATCCGCCTGCCTCGGCCTCCCAAAGTGCTGGGATTACAGGCGTAAGCCACCGCGTCCGGCCCTCTTTGCTTTTTCTTAGACCTCCTAGCAGATGATTTGACTTGAGTTTTATTCTAAAATAACAATAAAGTTTCAATTTTATACTCTTATTTTAGTTTTCCACTATCAAAGTTTACCGCTTAGAGGTAATATTTAATGAGACTTTAATCAGACTTCTGCGGTTCTGATTTACATGTTTGTGTTTTATCTTTGTAAGGCGGAAAGATGCTAGATGGGCACCTAACTTTGCAAACCATTTTTTAAATAAATGTTGCAATATTAAAAGCTTCTTGGTTAAAACATGAATGAAGTACCTTTCACTGTTTCAGCTACCATGGTGAGCATAGAATTGAATCAATATTTATACAAAGATTACAATATAAATGCAAATTGAGCTGCATGATAATTGGGCCTGAGTAACTTTTAACATAGTTCGTAGAAAACTTCAAATTTCTGTACTGGTCTCAAAGTAAGTAGAAATCTGTTTAGGCTGGGCATGATGGCTCACACCCATAATGCCAGTCCTTTGCAAGGCTGAGGTGGGTGGATCATTTGAGGTCAGGAGTTCGAGACCATCCTGGGAAACATGGTGAGACCCCCATCTCTACTAAAAATACAAAAATTAGCCAGGCATGATGGCACGTGCCTGTAGTCCCAGTTACTTGGGAGGTTGAGGCAGGAGCATCACTTAAGCCTGGAAGGCAGAGGCAGAAGTTGCAGTGAGCCAGGATCACACCACTGCACTCCAGTTTAGGTGACAGAGCAAGAGCCTGTCTGGAAAAAAAACAAAAAAATATATTTTGATCGCATCTTGGTTAAGTCTTTGCTACCTTGGTTAAAAAGTTTGGTATCTTGGTAGCAAATTTTTATCAATTGGTAATATTTGCCTGGCAAGCTGTGTGAAGAAGAGTTCAGAAGTATAACCAGATTTAGCAGAAGTAGTTCTGTGATCAATTAGTGATGTTGTCCTTGTCTCCAGAAGAGGTGTTTTTCATCTCCAAACTTTAGTCAGTTGAGAAAATAAAGTAACAATTTGTTGTTAATTTGGCCCGTTAGTTAAAGCCGTAAACAAAGAAATAAGCAATAACATATAATCACAATTGCCCCCCTCCACAATGGTCATTTAACCAGAAAAAAAAAAAAAAAATCTTTCTCCAATGAGTAAAATGTTCAAACTTATCTGACGATATTGATAATAATATAATTAATAGACATAACCACTCTCTGTAATTCAGTTCTCACGTCTGTAATGTGGAGATAATAGCTACCCTTTCTTTTCAGCCGGGATACTCTAAAGACAAAGTGAGCTATTTTGAGTGTCAATCCAGTAAATCTTTAGTCTCTTCTGCTATTCTCCAGGAATATGCTTGTGAAAAGTCAAGTATGTCCCTTAAAGTAAGTTTTGATATTAATATCTTTCTTTTCTGAACCTTTATTTCTTCTTCCAAATCTTGAAGTTATCTCAGAAGGATACACCCTTACTCCTGACTGAGAACTCTTTGCTCATATCTACTGGATCCAGTTTGTTTTGCCCAATAGAACAAAATGTCACGATTCTTTTAAAGTTCTTCCTGGGCAATAGTGAAGTGCCTGTGCCTTGAATGTGTATTGTTTGCCTGTAAATTTCATCATTTGTGCCCAAGGATTAGGGCAATTAAAACAACAACAGCAACGAACAACGCAACAGAGTCAGCGCTTTCAGCTCCCACTCTCAGATAGGAAGCACACAGCCCTGCCTCCTCTGGAGGGATTGAGCTCTCAGGCGTCGATTTCCCAGCTGACCACTAGAGGCGCCCCTTGTGCTTGTACCGCAGTTGCTGCCATCAGGCTTCGAAGCCGATTGCCCCTTCTTGGGGAAATTGTGAAGACTAAAAAAAAAGTGTTTCATTTTATGGAAAAGGAAAGTTAGACATTTGTTAAATATTAATGACATTGAATGTGCTTAATGGTTTTGTGGTGATGTAGAAAAGGGTTTCTCAATCTTGGCATTATTGGCAAACTGGACCGGTGCATGCTTTGCTGCGGAGAGTGTCCTGTGCATTGTGGGTGCTGAGCAGCAGTTCTGGCCTCCAACCGCCAGATGTCGAGAGAGCTTTTCCTTCTCCCATTGAGACAACCAAAAATGACTCTAGATGCCGCCATGTGTCCCCCGGCGCGCAAAATTGCCCCCTGTTTGACGATCATGGTGTGAGACGATGTTATCATTACCAGTAGATTCATACTAAAATATTTCAGGGTGAAATTTTCACAGTTTATTTTCAGATAGCTTAATCAGAATTGAAAACAGGATAAAGGCAAAAAGAGAACATTTTTGAAAAAAGAAAAGAATTAAAAAAAAAAAAAAAAGGAAATGGAAGGATAAGAAAAAAAACTATGAGAGCCAAAATTCACAGGCCAGGCAAGTCACATCAGGCCTCATAGGGGTTGACAAGCTGCAGTGTTGAGTGCTTTACACAGCTGGGCAAGGAGTGAGGACAGCTTCTCCATCCATATGACCCTGCTTTTAGGAGAGGAATGCGTGTGATACAACATGTAGAATACTGGAGACTCGAGTTTAACCACAGGGTTATTTATTTAATGATGAAAGAGCTAACTAGCAGATGCGTATTTTCCTTGGGCATTACACAGAGGACTTACATTAAATTGTCACATAAAAAAATAAAAAGGGTGAGAGAACTGTTCTAAATTTAAAAAGACAAAAAGGACATAGTTCCAGTGCAGAGGTCAAATTTTTTCAAGCCTGTTAATGACCCTTGAGACCTTTAAATACGGTCCTGGGCATTAGATTTAATTTTGAATCAAAGTTAATATTCTTAGGTGTGATTCATGGAATTGTGGTTATGTAGGAGACTGTCTTTATTAGGAGATGCATGCTAATGTATTTGGGGAGGATATATCTATGTCTTTCAAATGGTTTAGGAGAAAAAAATACCTGTAATATATACATGCATCCAAAACTATATATAAACAAAACTATATATATATGTATATAGCTTTTGTTTTGTTTTCGTTACAAATATATACGTTTGCATACACGTGTATACATGTGTGTGTGTATGTATATATCTGTGTTTGTGTTTGCATATCCAAACTGCATAGACCAAATGGCTCATACCAGGTTTAAGGCGAAAGCAAGCCCTCAGATCTGCACACCCTAGTCTAAGTACAGCAGGGTGTGTGAGATGGTGAGACGCAGTTCAGGTAGTGCCCATCAGAGATGGAGCTTTGCGGTCAGACATACCTGGATTGCAATCCTCCTTCCACCAGTTAACAGGAAGTTGACTCTTCATGGGTTTTGTAACTTTGAAGCCTCAGCAAAGTGGAAATAACACTTTATTTTACACGAAATGGTTGTAAGAGTAGAGGGAGATCGCATATGTGAAAACATGTGTCACGCAGTGGGTGCCTGCTAATACCTCTTCCCTTCTTTTCTCCATGTTACCCCGACATGTTACAAGGTGGGGAAGATAGTGAATGGTCCACAGTGTGAACAGCAACCTGTGGGCATCCTCAAATTTGTTTGCATCTCATTTGTGTGTACACGGTATGTTCAAGCAGAGAAAATAGCAGAATTTCCTGATGGTTTTCAATGGTATCAGCATGCTTTTATGGTTCGACTTTAGGATCTGATGTTAAACGCAAGGATGTACGCAAATGTTTATTAGTTTCTTATGCATGGAACTGGTGGGTTGCTGGTGTTAGAGGCTAATGTGGCCAGAAGATGGCAGTGCACGATAAAGAAAAGCTCCCAGGCGCCAGCCACTGTTTTAATTAGCTAAAAGGAAGACAGGTATGCTTTTATATAGTTTTTGATTTTGTAATTTTCCTGAGCAGCCATTGAGGGCAGATGTTTTCATCTTTTCCCCCAGTTTAAGTATCATAGGAGAGGGAATATCAAGATGCAATCAATTGCTGGCCACGGCAAACCTCCTGAACTTAAGTCTTGCAAACATCATCAGCTTGTGCCATCTTAGAAATTGCTGCAGTGGAAACAGGCATGGAGCTATCAATTACTTCTAGGGCTGCAATCCCCTCTGTCCTTGAAAAGGAAGCCAGCTGATTCTGTGAGTGAGATGAGGGGACAGCCACTGGAATGGGAGGTGGCTTCTTTATCAGTGTCTTAGAAGTTGATCTGGAGCCCTAGAGGAAGAAATTAAAGATCACCTTAAATTGTGCATGAGGGCCTAGCCCCCTGTCGTGAATGACCGTTAACTGGTCAGCAAAGTAATTGAAACAGGAAAGTTTGGAGGAAAAGAAAAATTCCTTAAAGCATTTCTTTTTTCTCTTCTAGTTGTTACCTTTGTCTTTAGAGTGAGTAATCCTTCATGCAAAAGGAGCTAGCATGTTCTCTATACATACGAAGTCCTAGGCATACTTTATACATTTTCTGGCTTTACTTAGGGTGATCTTCAATTAATCTCTTTGGCAGGTTGTATTAGTAACATTTTACAAAATGGGAAAATGGGGGCTCAGGAATAGTGAGGAACTTGCCTAAGGCTGCAGGATGACTGAAAATTTACAGGTGAAATTCAAACCTCCATCCCTCATCATTTCCCTATTTCCTGTCCAGAAAGGAATGCTAAATAAATACGAGCTGTCACCTTTTATATTCCATTCCTTTTCTTTATTCCTGCTGTACTTACTAACCAAAAATAAAGACAGGAGGTGTTGTTAATCATTACACTGGCAATAAATGACTTCACGTAAGTGTACTAAGAGAGGGAGAGTTTTTCTTTTTTTTTTTTTTTTTTTTGAGATGGAGTCTCACCCTGTTGCCCAGGCCGGAGTGCAGTGGCTGGATCTCGGCTCACTGCAACCTCCGCCTCCCAGGTTCAAGCAATTCTCTTGCCTCAGCCACCTGAGTAGCTGAGATTACAGGCATGTGCCACTATACCCAGCTAATTTTTTTTTTTTTTTTTCTATTTTTAGTAGAGACAGGATTTTGCCGTGTTCGCCAGGCTGCTGTCGAACTCCTCACCTCCGGTGATCCGCGTTCCTCACTCTCCCAAAGTGCTGGGATTACAGGCATGAGCCACTGTGTCTGGCCAAGAGTTTCATTTTTTGGTCACACTTAAACCAAGTCCAGACATCATTTGCTAGTTACACAAAAGTCATCCATACTTATTGTAGAACATTTAAAAATATAAAAAAGGAGAAAAACAAGATGGCCTCATCACTCAAGAATACCAATTTTAACAATTTGGTGTCTGCCCCTATCCTTTTTCCCTCCAAGCACCTGAAATTTTAACAAACAGCCTTCACTCAATGTTGTTTTCATTATGTCATGAAAGTGTTTCCTACAATAATAAATATTTCTGTCTTAAAGCCACCATTATTAATGACTTCATGTCCTCTTCCATCATATGGACATTTTCTAGTATTTAAAAAGCTTTTATTTTTGTACACTTAGGTTGATTCCAACGTGACAAAACCAAGCAGGTTCTGTCTAGCTTTTGCAAGACAGAAAAAATACTGCATATTGACAAAAATGTTATTTGAAAATGTCCCATATGTTTGGCTGGGCCCAGCGCTGTGCTCAGCACTGCATTATTTCATTTCAACCGTGCAGCAGCAGCAGTGGGGACTATCATTTCTTCTACATATTAAGCAGAGAGAATGTGAAGGAACAAATCCCTTCGATGTAATCAGACAGGTTTCCACGGTTCAGATGTTCTTATCACTCAGGTAGAGGTCTCAAATTAGATGAGACAGTGGTCAGGGCCATTCATAGCAATCGAAGGCGTCTTTCTTCATGGGAACTTCACAGATTTGTGTGGGCTTAGTCTGAGCCCTCGCCCCTCCTCCTTTGCTTTATTGATGCTTCAGGAAGCCTGTGGGCCATTCAGTTTCATGTCGATGACAGTACACCTAAGAACTGCTATGCGCAGGCCTCCGTTGTACTCACAACGCAGCTTGTTTTTGCATAATTTAAGCACTACGTGGTTGTGTCGTTTAAGTTCTGTGAAATTGGTGTTCTTCCATCCATGAAATTATATACATCTTGGGAACATTTCTCAGTTGCTAAAGGGGTGAACACATTCTTCAATAGGGGTGAGACAGCAGTGGAGTTGATAGAGCTTCCCCCGAAAGCACAGGTATCTCTCCTTGTCCTTTTGAGACACAAAGGTAAGCATTTTCTTCTTTAATGCTAAGGGAACGCAATTGTGAGACTAACCTTCCCATTATGTTTCAGGCCATAACTCTTTCCTTTTCTCCCAACCTCCCCCATTACACACACCCAACCCAGTTAACACATCAAGAAACCCACAGATTGCACGTCCTTTTTAAACATTCTCTGCATTGCTGCTACTGTGTTGTATTTTGAGTGCTTAAGACAATGATAATCTTCCAAGAAATGCTTTTGATTAATTTGTGTACCTGATTTGTGTGTGTATATAGATTCTGCTCGTAATGATATGATGTGAAAATACTCATTATATATAACAAACCAATAATATGTCGTCATGGAAAAGCATGGTTAAACTCATTTCAGAAATCTTTGCAGTGTTAAAAACAGGAACAGCAGGTATCTAGTTCCTGAAAGAATCACACTTACAGATGAAGGGCTTTTGTTGTTATTGTTATTACTTGGGGCATCCATAGAAATACAGATTATGAGTATCCTTTGAATTCTTGGTTTTAACATCAGGTAGTAAATACCGTATGTTCTGACTTAGAAGTAGGAGCTAAGCTATGACTCTGCAGAGGCACACAGAGTGATATAATCGACTTTGGATACTCAGAAGGGGGAGGTTGGGAGGAGAATGTGGGGGTAATAAACTGCATATTAGGTACAATGTACACTACTTGCGTGACAGGTTTACCAATATTTCAGAATTCACCACTATATAATTCACCCATGTAACCAAAAACCACTTGTATTACCCAAAGGCTACTGAAATTAAAAATATGTAAAGTTAAGTTAAATAATTAAACTTAAAAGTGGTGATCTCTGCTAGTCAGGATAAGCTAGTCTGTGCTTCAGTAACAAACATGTCCTGATATCTTGGTGTTTTATCACTTGCAAGCTTATTTCTTGCCACATAAAATTAACTTCAGGTCTAATAGTTCTATAAGAAGGTTCTCTTCCAAGGGGAAGTGCCAGGATTCAGGCTGCTCCTGTTTCATCTAGCTGTATTTATGTCCTGTATGGTTTTTCAAAGTTGCAGCGGCCGGGGAGGACAGAGGATGGAAGGCTCACAGCTACTCTGTTATAGGTCAGCCCAGAGTGGTCACATGACACTCCTCTTACTCCCTATTGGCTAGAACAAGTCACATGGGCCCAACCTAACTCCAAAGGAGTCTGGGAAATGTGTGCTCAGGAAGCACAAAATGAATGATGACACAGTGAATGCATGTTATTTCTCTCCACCGTATTTTCAAAACAATCATCTTGAGTGAGAGCTTCAGAAATGAAAGATGACACATGCTAACAAAACCACTCTTGGAAACATCTTCTATGCCAAGCACTGTGCTATGCACCTCACCTGTTGTATTAGTCCATTCTTGCACTGCCATAGACAAATATTTGAGACTGGGTAATTTACAAAGAAAAGAGATTTCATTGGCTCCGGGTTCAGCAGGCTGTACAGGAAGCACCACGGCTTCTGGGGAGGTTTCAGAAGACTTTCAGTCATGGTGGAAAAAAAAAAAGAGAAGCAGGCGTGTCTTAGGTGGCTAGAGCAGGAGGAAGAGAGAGATGGCAGGAGGTGCTACACAATTGTAAACAACCACATCTCATGAGAACTCAGTATCATGAGACAGCACTAGGGAGATGGTGCTAAACCATTAGAAACCACCCCCATGATTCAATCACCTCTCATCAGGCCCCACCTTCAACAGTGAGGATTACAATTGGGCATGTGATTTGAGCAGGGACACAGATGCAAACCGTATTACCTGCATTCTTTTATTTAGACCCCTTGGCAACAGCAGTGGGGATTTTCATTTTCTCCATATAAGAAGTGAGGAGAGAGAGGTTGAGCAAAGTAACTTCCCAAGCACCGTAGTGGGGACAATAGGAGTCAAACTGAAGACTACCAGAGGTGAAGCCTGTATCACTGTCCAACCAGCCATTTGACCTGCAGATTGGTATTCTTTATTTTATTATTATTATACTTTAAGTTCTGGGATACATGTGCAGCATGTGCAGGTTTGTTACATAGGTATACACATGCCATGGTGGTTTGCTGCACACATCAACCCATCATCTACATTAGGTATTTCTCCTAATGCCATCCTTCCCTAGCCCACCACCTCCCGACAGGCCCTGGTGTGTGATGTTCTCCTCCCTGTGTCCATGTGTTCTCATTGTTCAACTCCCACTTATGAGGGAGAACATGCAGTACTTGGTTTTCTGTTCCTGTGTCAGTTTCCTGAGAATGATGGTTTCCAGCTTCGTCCATGTCCCTGCGAAGGATATGAACTCATCCTTTTTTATGGCTGCATAGTATTCCATGGTTTATATGTGCTGCATTTTCTTTATCCAGTCTATTATTGATGGGCATTTGGGTTGGTTGCAAGTCTTTGCTATTATGAACAGTGCTGCAATAAACATACATGTGCATATGTCTTTATAGCAGAATGATTTATAATCCTATGGGTATATACCCAGTAATGGGATTGCTGGGTCAAATGTTATTTCTTGTTAGAGAGCTTATCCTCTAAGGCTGATTATGTCTGGAGTTTTTGTAGGAAGTGGTTGCAGGATCCTGAGGTTGAATTGTTTCTTGTTTTCATATGTGTTTATAATTCACATGAAGTGATAGAATAGACTTTGAAATATAAGGAAGGTATTTCTCTTAAGTCTTCACCTCCACATATATTATATATGAAAATCTAGATTTATTTGATGTGGGCAATAGATAATACTTTTTTCCTAAAAATATTATTTTTATATGGTAATTTCTTCTCATGTGTTTTAAATACTCATCTTCTAAGGCTGAGTAAGTGTATTTAATGCACAAATTTTTTTTATGTTTATGCAAGAGATGTTTACACAGGACTTATCTTTCCTGTAAGGTGCCTCAGCCTGTCTATGACAATGTCTACTATAAACAATATCAAAGGGTTTCTGTATTTTATATCTTCCTGAATGTAGACATATTCCTTGGGGACAGTTGTCATGAAAATCCTCTGGAAGTACTTTGGTGACATGTCCGTCATTCATGTTCTGTTTGGTTCTTCCCTGAAACTCCCACAACATGGAAATAAACAGAGAGCCCAGCTGTTTTGTTTCTCCGTCTTCCTACGGGGAGAGACTCAATGCACAGACTTCTTGAGCGAGGGCAGTAAGCTTTGTCTCCTGCAAAGACATTTGTCTCTGAATGTGGTTTCCTTTTGTTTCATGCTTGTGAGTGTGTGCTTGTGTTTGTCAATTGAGAATCAGCAACGAAGAGGTGTAAGAGTTGACTGTTCCCCAGAGTATAAGGGCAAGCTGATAGAAAATCAGCTTTGGGTATTGATGATAAACAAGTTAATCTTCTTTGGGTAATCTTTTGAAAAGAATCCTTGCTTTATTTATTTATTTTTGCTTTTTTTCCTGTTGGGAATTATCCGTGAGTGAAATAAAAATGCTTAGAAGATGGTCTTAGATTTCAGCCTCTAGCTTATAAGGATTGAATAAATGTTTTATTACTCATGAGTTAAAACATAGGCTAATTCAAAAAGAGTTTACTTTAAAGAGCATGACTCTCTAAGAAGATATTTGATTTTATCTTATTGGAATACTAGGATGTGGAGAAACAATGATAATATGTGTGTTTTTAAGTGTGCTTAGAGTGATAACATCACCTATGCAATATACGTTTCTAGAAAAGATAATTCACAGATCCATTCGTGACAAAAATTCATATAAAGGGCCATCACACTTTTAAAAAAATGGAGGGACTATTTGAAATGCAAAATGATTTTGCCTACTATAGTTTAACATTAAAGAAAAAAATAAAATTAACCTATTTGTTTAAAAAAATAGTATATAAGTAAAAGGCAAACAAAACCTCAAAGATCATCGTTTCAAAACTATACTGAGATGCAGGATGATCTTATGTATCATTATTTAGTAAGACCAAGCAGGGATTGGTTGATTCGTTGGCTGCTTAGGAATCATAAACCTCTGCTTTTAGTCGATTATAGTACAGTAGGAAGTGGGTTGAATCAAAAACAATATTTCTAACTCCAGGATATTTCAAGTTCGGTTTGGTTTCTTTTCTTTCTTTCTTTTTTTTTTTTTTTAACTTTAGAAGTACCATGAGCCAAGAAAGGTAGTGTCCCCAGGCCATCATTTTCCTTCCTCTAAATTCACATTACTGAATTTTTCCCCCCTTGGACTCTGAAACATAATCAGGGGAATTGGCAGGTTTGGGTTTTCATTTTCACCTCCGGCTAAATCTGTCAACCTGTGATGAGGTTGGCTGGGCATCATCAGGAAGCGAACTGTTTTCCTATTTGTAGAGTGGAAACAAGTACCAGCGCTTGCAGCTTCCAGTCATTTTGTTATTCATGTTACATCATGTTCCTTCTGATTGTTAACATGACGATGTCACTGTGTCTTGAGAGATGTTGGGAAAAGTAAAAGGGAATTACAGAGTCCTGGAAAGAAATCTCCCAACCATGTCTTTTGTATCAAAAAGTGTCTGCTATTAGCTGTGGGGGAGCTAGATGTCACTCCCATCAGAGGATGGTTTTCTGTCCCTATAAAATTATTCCCGTGTCTATACAGAGCATCTCGATGTGTGCGTGCTGCAGAGGTAGGGGGTGGCAGAGCTTTAAGCCCGTAATAAACATAACTGTTTCTTAAGAAAGCTTATTTTGCCATCATTCTTCACTCTTCTCTGTCCATTTCCACCTTCCCAATCCAAACTTGTCACTTTCAACACCTATTAATTCTCCTTCCTCAGTACCTTTACCATCTATTCCTTTTTCTTTATTTTTTTTGTGGATGCCACTCAAGTTTGGGAAGTAAAATCATTCTGAGTAAATGCGTTTCGCAGGTTTCCCGTTATCACATTACACGCGTTATATGTATCATTTGATATCATCTTTACATCAATCCCAGGAAGAAAGAATGTGTGCCTCCACTGTTTAAGATGACCTTGGCTTACAAACGTAAAATGACCATGGCAGGTAGGATAATGGTCCTCCAAACTGTCCACGTCCTAATCCCCAGGAACCATGGATATGTCACCGCACATGGCCAAGGAATTTTGCAGATATGATTAAGTTGAGGACCTTGGATTGAGGAAAATTAATTATCCAGATAGGCTCGATGTCATCCCAAGGGTCCTTGAAAGCTGAGCACTTTTCCTTGCTCTGGTCAGAGGAGAGAAGTGACAGTGGAAGAATGGTCAGAAAGATGCTACTTTTCTGGTTTTGAATATGGAGGAAGGGGCCATGGGCCATGGACTGTTGGTGGCCTTTTGAAGCTGGAAAAGTTAGGGACATGGATTTTTCCCCTACAGCTTTCAGAGGAAACACAGCCCTGCCTGTTGACACCATCATTTCAGTCCAGTAAAAGACAAGTCAGACTTTTAATATACAGAACTGCAAGATAATAAACGAGTAGTTATTTTAAGTAAGTTTAATTAAGTAAGTTAGTGGTAACATATTCTCCTATTTTACAGATGACAAAACCAAGGTAACTATAAAGATTACTTTGTTACAAGTTTAGCATCAATAGGAAACTAACTCAGTGACCTCCCTGTAAGATCACCCAGGGAGTAAACGTGTGTCTGAGCTGTGGTTTGGATTCATACCTCTCTAACATTAAAGAGCAGATGTCGTTTTCACTAAGTGTTTCATCTTCTTTATTTCTTACCTAGATCCTTGAAGTCATTTGATACCTGGTATCTCTCCCTAGAGTTCCTCTCATTTAAATCCATCCTACTCATCACTGGTACATTATTCTTCCTAGAACATTGAAATGTTTAACTACTTTCCGTGACCCTGTGGCCTAACAAAGAAACAAACAGCATGTGTCGGCCTCCTGGTTCCTCTCTGAATTACTTCCACTTAAGTTGTTGATTCACCTACACTCTAGCAAAGCTGGAAAATTTTTGTTGTCCTCCTTCCACCATGCACTTTTCCATCCAAACACATTTTTTTTTTTTTACTGTTTCTTCCACCTGAATGTGTTTCCCTTTAACCAACACCTAGTTGAAATGCCTACTATATACTCCAAGTCAGAGTAATGTCTTTATCTTCTGATCTGTTTCAACCCACCTCTGGTATCAACATCATCATCATGATCATTGTCACTATCAGTACTATCACTACCATCATCATCAACATTATCTTCATCCACTACCATCACCACCATCATCATCACCATCCTCATCCATTACTATCACCACCATCATTATCAGCATCATCTTCATAGTACTACCATCACCACCATTATTATCAACATCATCCCCATCCACTACCATCACCGGCATCATTATCACCATCGTTCTCCTCCACTACCATCACAACCATCATCATCAACATCATCCCCATCCACTACCATCACCACCATCATTATCACCATCATCCTCCTCTACTACCATCACAACCATCATCATCATCCTCATCCTCCCCCACCATCACCATCATCATCACCATCATCCTCCTCCACTAGCATCACCACCATCATCATCACCATCATCCGCATCCGCTACCATCACCACCATCATCATCACCGTCATCCTCCTCCACTACCATCACCACCATCATCATCATCCTCATCCACTAACATCACCACCGTCATTAGCAACATCATCTTCCTCCACTACCAACACCACCATCATCACCATCATCCGTCTCCACTAGCATCACCGCCATCATCATCAACATCATCCTACTCCACTAGAATCACCATCCCCATCCACTACCATCACCACTATCATTATCAACATCCTCCTTCACTACCATCACCACCATCATCATCACCATCATCCTCCTCCACTACCATCACCACCATCATCATCATCCTCATCCACTAACATCACCACCATCATTAGCAACATCATCTTCCTCCACTGCCATCACCACCATCATCATCGTCATCATCCTCCACTACCATCACCACCATCATCATCAACACATTTTTATTCACTACCATCACCACCACAATCATCATCATCATCCTCATCTGCTACCATCACCACCATCATCATCACCATCATCCTCCTCCACTACCATCACCACCATCATCCTCATCCTCATCCACTAACATCACCACCATCATTAGCAACATCATCTTCCTCCGCTGCCATCACCACCACCATCATCATCATCATTCTCCACTACCATCACCACCATCATCCTTATTCAGCAATTCTTTAGTGTTCACAGAGTGCCATATACAATGTTGGATCCTTTATGAGAATCATCTAATTGACTGTTTACCCATATGAAGTAGACACTATTATTTCTCCTATTTTACAGATGACAAAACCAAGGTAACTATAAAGATTACTTTGTTACAAGTTTAGTTTTCTATTGTAATATAGGCATGTGTTTGTCATATGTCACTACTCAGATGCTGAAATGTTTGAAACAAATTTCAATAATTCAACACCCAGGTTTGGAGAAGAGTTTCATCTTTTGTTTAACCTCATCATGACTCTGCCAACTGTTGGAGTTTTCCTTGTTCCTGCTAAATAATCCCTTTAGGGCAACTTCTATTGCATATTGTCAGTATTCCACCCATTGTGCGATTCTCCAATTTTGTTAAATTAGAGAGGAGGTTGGTGTGTGAGTCAATTTTTCTGTCTTATTTATCTTGACAAACAATTTAAGAGATTATCTGGCATTTGGAGTTGGCGGAGATTAATTATGTAGATTATATCCACAGTTCTCATCCAAATTCCACTATAAACACAAGAAGAAAAAACTGGTTGGTCTTACCATGTGAACATTTCATTTTGGATATAAAGAGGGAAATGAAAATGTTGATGATCCAAACCTGCCTGACCCAAGGAAATTCCTAAGTGTTTTAGTTACATGTCCTTGAAGTTGTTTCTTTACACATTTTGTTCACTGAGGGCCTCTTTACTGGCTTGGGTGCAGGAACTCAGTCTCATGTTTGCCATCCCAAAGTTCTGCCTTACACTGTGTTGGTCTTATCATGGCCATTGTTTTTCCACATGGTAGCAAGATGGCCACCAGGAGCCACCAGCTCTATCATATCCTCCCAGCAACTCCATTGGTAATAGGTATAAAAATGAATTCCAGCATTGCCTCTCATTTAACTAATTCAGGGCAAGGGCTTTTCCGTGCATCAGTCACTGTGACGGAACACAGTGATTGGACAGACCTGGTCTAGAGTCCAGCCCCGGAGCCCTGGGAACCACACGGCAACACACAGAAGACAGCATGCGTGGTAAACAGGACTAACACTTGTCAGATCTCGGGGGAAAGGATGTTGCATAGTTCAGTACCACAGGTGTCACTGTAGGTGAAGGGAAAAAAATGACACATAGACATTCTAAAAGCTGCATTTCATATTAAATCAGCCAGGCTTTGATGCATATGGAGAAGAACTTTTAGATGAATGCTATTTCAGAAAGCCCTTGTCCCAGTGAATATTACTGTGTGTAAAAAGGAAAAAAAACAATGGCCGGGCGCAGTAGCTCATGCCTGAAATCCCAGCACTTTGGGAGGCCAAGGCGGTTGGGTCGCCTGATGTCAGGAGTTTGAGACCAGCTTGGCCAACAGGGTGAAACTCCGTCTCTACTGAAAATAAAAAATTAGCTGGGCGTGGTGGTGAGTGCCTGTAATAGGTACTCAGGAGGCTGAGGCAGGAGAATCGCTTGAACCCAACAGGTAGAGGTTGCAATTACCTGAGATTGCGCCGCTTCACTCCAGCCTGAGAGTAAGAGAGAAACTCTGTCAAAAAAAAAAAAAAAAAAAAAAAAGGAAAGGAAGGGAAAGGAAAGGAAAAGAAAATGACATAATTAAATGTATCTGGTCACTGTTGGATTAAACAAGTTTCTTTAAGATTTCTTGGAGCCCTTAAGTGGCCGACGCGCCTATTATGAATGTTTCAAGTATGAGATATAGAATGATGAGCACTCTCAATATATTTTCACTTGGAATCTTCTTTAGGGAGAATATATTGTAAAAGACGATCATAGTGTCCGGCCTATTGTTAGTACTCCATAGATATTTGTCAAGAAAGTGAATGACTGTCACTTATTTTGGAAAATATAGTTCAAGAATCATGAATCCTCTCTGTACTTCTTGTAGCAAAAGTAAATAACAGTTCTTTGATATCTTCATTGTCATGTCCTGTTTTGTTTGTTGGTTTTGTTTTCCCTGCTGGAAATCCAGGTGGCTCAGGATGAACATCTCCATATGGCCGTGAATCTATGGGAGGAAATTGCATATGGTGAAAATAGTGGACAACTGACTGTTCCTTTTATAACCACATTGCAATAAGCTTTTAAAGAGATGTACAGACATACACACACTGATCTGATTTCTACAGCGTATCCACTTAAACTGGCAAAGACGTTTACCTTGCTTGAGGCAATTGTTGTATCTAGAAAACTGTGAAAATTGAATTAAATTACAGGTAGAATACACTGGGGAGCTCATTACTAAATGGATCCTATACTGCGTGTTTTTGTAGAATGAGGAATTATTTCATAAAAGGAATAATACTCTCTAGTTGATATAATAAATATGCTTAAATTGAGGTATACAATATCTGTTTGTACCACTATTACAGGCACATAATTGTCATTTATTTAAACTTATCTCCAAACTAAGTGAAATATCTCTGACTTTTTCTTAGAAGTTTTCTTTGGAAAAAAAAATTTAGACTAGCACTTTCTTTATAATATGCAGTGAGTCTTGTTTTATATTGAAACCTCAATTCATTTTCTTCCTAGTGAAAAATGCTTTTTCATCCCCTCTGAAATAAATATAATCTTTGAAATTGGAGTCGATGTAAATCCAGAGGTAATGAGATTCAGTTTTTCATTGTAGCCGAATTAGATGGAGAACTTCAAATATTTATTTGAGGTTTAATTCGAGTAATTTAGGAAAACATTGAGCTTTCTCATTCATAAATGATAATTACGTCTCTTCATCAAATATTATACTATATTCCCTTCTGCTATCTGTACAGTCTCCTTCAGATATGAACAGTTTTATATCTCAAAGGAGATTTTTTTTTTCCATGTAACTTCCTTGGCTTGTTTAACTTACAAAACCTTTCGAAATGCAGTTTGCTGTGCCTGTGTTTGGAGTGTTTAGTTTTGTAGAAAAAAAGAGGTGAGAAGTAGAATAACATTTACATTGATTTTCTTCAAGGTTGTGCTCTACTGAGAAATAGTATTTTGTCTTACTAAAGCACATGTTTAAGAAATGGAGATTGCTGTCTTGCAAAACCCCCAATATAAACTCCAGCAGGCTAAAATGCCTGTAGCCTCTAGTTGATTATAATTCTGTACCAAATCAAAAGTGACTGCATTTAAAAACTTCCATAAAGAAAAGCTTAGACATTTCAAACTAATGCTTGGCCAATGCAAAATTATTTATTCCTTCCCCTTCAGAATTTCTTCTGGGGAAAGCCAAAGAAAAATCATATGAATTGCTTGAAGATATTCAGGGATTGACTAGAGAAATAGGGCCTCTACCTTGGTGGTGATGATGTTATATATTATAATATGTATATATGGTATAGTGGTCACTGTAGTGGTAGCTGCAGTAGTGGACCAGGTTTTTAAATTTTCTGCATCTTAAGTCCTTTTCCACCCACTGTAGTCATGGTACTTGACTTTGGTCACTAAGCTTGCCAGAGGAAGTCATATTAAGTATTCCACCAGCCAGGGATCCTTTGGGTGCAAGCAACAGAAACCCAATTCAAACTACCTTCAACATAAAAGGGAAATATACTGGCTCATAGGAAACAGCCCACGGTGAGACTGACTTCAGGAATTAAGGAATCCAAAAACTAAATGATGTACAGAATCTAATATCTCCTTATAAATCTGCTTTCCATTGTGTGATCACATGGTCCATTCTCACTGGAGCAGCTTGAGTCAAAGGCTTATCCTGGAACTGGTTTCTGTGTTGGTGGATGGAATGATGATGTGGGAGCACCAAGCCAAGGTTATTTGCTCACCTCTGGATTAAAAGGGGAAGAAAACCCCATGGCGAACAAATGAAGTTTGGGATGATCCTTCCCCAAAGAAACAGGCTGTTGTCCAAAAAAGGAAGGAAAACAGATACTGAGCAAACCAGATCAACAGAAGACCCAACCTTGGTATTGGAAGTCCATATCTCTACATGGCCCACCTTTAGCCTTCTCCAGGGACACCAGATCTGCCCAGACAGTAGAAGAACAATTGTAATCAAGGGTAGGATGTGGCCAGAAGACCAAAAGTCTCTTTTTTTAAAACATCTGTTCTATTAAGGAACCAACCAGAGAGTTGATTGGTCTATGGTATGTACTTATGTCTTAACTGATCAAACTTATTATCCTCCTCAGTAATTAAACTAACTAGAATTGTCTCTTGTCCCACTGCACACTGTCTGTGAATTTGGAGTTATTTCAACTGTTTGGAAATCATAAAATATGCATTTTGTTACTCATGAATTAAGAGCTAGAAACCAGAAATCCACTTATATTTCTTCCACCTCCCTTAAAATTTTACTTTCCCTCGTGCTCCAATTTGACAATTAGATCATGTAAATATCATTATGTAAAATAATACAGCATTAAGATGTCCACAGAAGATATGGGGGGTAATCTATTTGTACATCTAAACCAGTCCATTTTTCTAAGATATATGAGGATGTGGGAAAGTCTGCATTGATCTTCAAGTGCAAATTTTTAAGAGAACACAATGGATGGTTTAGCTACAAAAACTAGAGATTCTTAAGTAAGACCATTCTTGTGAAGTTCTCCTGTGGCCGCCATAACGCAAATCAATCCTGTCATTATCTCTTCCTGGGCTGGGCCCTGTCTTTCCCCATGAGCGCTTAACTCTTTCTTTTGTCTCTTCAAATTTTTGTTTGCTCTTCTGAAGTCATCATCGTCAATTAGTATTTGCCAGAGCCCCACAGGGTCTAACATGCCACTTCTCCATCTGTTATTCACCGAGGCAGACGTGGTGGGACCACCCCTTTTAGGTTAGAATCACATTATTCTATGCTATTTTCAGCATCTCCCACCTGCTGTCCTCCAAGCCGTTCTCAAATCCCACATCTTTGTTCTGCCCTGTTTTCCTCCCCCACGGTTTGACTTTCTAAGCATTATGCAATGGTGAGAAATGTGAATCCCTTATAGTGATATGGAATTCCATGTCCCCCACCTTCTAGTTAATATGACCTTGGAGGGTTTTTGGATTCTTTGTGATATTTTCCCCCTTATTCATAAAAGAGGCATATTGAATGTGTCCATAGCGTACGAAGACTCTAGAACAAGGGGTGATGATTGTGAAAATGAGCTTAAAGCTAGAGAATGTGGCGTTGTTCTTGGTACACATTAGGTACTAAAAATGGGTGTTTCTGTTATTACCTTAGGGATTCAAGTAGGCAGGCAAGTGACAATCATAACCAGCATGCAGCCATCATCAGTATAAGAAACAGCGTCTTCAACCCATTTGAAGTGCCACCCAGGCACCCCTGTCATGTCAGTTTTTAAACCATTTTTATCAGTATGCAAGGCAGCATATGGACTACTGTTCTGGGACCACCTTAGCCTTGAACTCTCTTCACGTTCACTGTTGTGAGGCTTTGCCTTCATAGTTATCCTCCCTATGTTACTTTTTTTTTTTTTTTTAAAGTGACTTTCAGGATCAGTGACTAAAATAAGGTTCTCTGTAACAGTCATAATAAGCAGGTATTTTTTATGCAAAAGTGGTGTCTTTCAGAGTCCAGACCATGCTGCGTGTCTTTGAAGGAGAAGCCTGCATTTAAAAGCCAAGCCATTTTGACAATATTAATTCAGTTAATTTCAGCACATTATATAATGTGTCCAGTGACCTATCAACGCTGACTGGTTGGGCACTCCAGTAACAAACACCAAAGCGAGTGATATGTCATAACAGACAAATGGGCTCTTTAAACTGTACGACGGGAAGAGTGTTTTTGTTGGCATGAATACTCATCTGTCAACCAGCCCCTGCCCTGTTCTGATGATGGACAAGGCATTGGGTTAACACAGAAGGACATAAAATGAATGATCAGGCATGGCCGTTGCCTTGAAGGAGTTTATGATCAAGGTGGGATAATGAGGCATAAGGACATGAACACATGCAGGCACGGTGAAGAAAAACTCATGATGGTTGTATGTAGATAAGTGTCAAATGAGGGGTCTGGGCACTAAGGATAGCTATTCTGCCACAAGTCCTTCAATTTGGGCCCAAAGGTAATGTTAAATTTGTGGACAGGTACACATTGTTTTGAGTTATTGCATCAAAACATAATTTGCCCTGGTATGTGGATGAGCTAGCTGACATACATGTTTTCAGGGTATCTTTTCCTTCTCTTACGATTGGCAAGAAAAAGCTTAAAACCTCTCTCTCATCAAATACTCTCCCCCACTCACCGTAGCATCCCTGAATAAACCAGGTGGGTACCTGGAAATTGTAGAGGCATTCCCCTAAGGTGATGTATTTGATCATCAGAGCCAGAGTCGGGGGACTTACTCAATTTTTCACCCAGAGAGGAACGTGAGAAGTGTACCATGCACTGTCCTTTCCTGATCTCAGGGCTTCCTCTCAATAGCTGAACCCAAGGCTTGTTGAAATGAAATGAAAAATAACAGTATAACATGCTTACATAAATTTTTAAAACATCAGCACCATAGGCAAGGTTAAAACAAAAAAAAAAAGAATTTTGACCAGGTGTCATGTCTCACATCTGTAATCTCAGCACTTTGGGAGGCCGAAGCAGGCGGATCACCTGAGGTCAGGAGTTGGAGACCAGCCTAGCCAACATGGTGAAACCCTGTCTCTACTAAAATACAAAAAATCAGCTGGGTGAGGTGGTGGGTGCCTGTAATCTCAGCTATTCAGGAGGCTGAGGCAAGAGAATTGCTTGAACCCGGGAGGCAGAGGTTGCAGTGAGCTGAGATCGCACCACTGCACTCCAGCCTGGGCAACAAAAACGAAACTTCATCTCAAAAAATAATAATAATAATAATTTTTTAAAAATTACCATAAGTAGATTCGTGAAACCGAGTCACCTGGTAAGACAGACTTTCTTGAAACTCAAAATTTCATTACTACATTTACCATGTTATCTATGGCATATCCCAGCAAGTAATTAAAAGTAGTGGTTCATGACATATAGAATTTATCTAGTAATGAAAACTTGCACTAGGAGTGTTTTTAATGCTCCAAATATCCTCTTTACCCAATTTGCTAGTCACGTCCTCGGACTACTTAACCATTGTTCGAGGTTGGGTTCACAGATAATCAGAAGGCATTGGGGGTACCAGATGCTTATGAGGGATCCATACCAGTAAAAGAAAGGAGTAGAGAGCAGAGTTGGGCAGAGGGGGGGGTGAGTCAGACTATGATGTGAGCCTGGAAAGCCTCAGCTGACCCATTGGGGAGCTCCAGAGGTGAAGAGTTTATCAGTGTCTCTGTGTGTGTATGTGTGTGTGTGTGTGTGTGTGTTTGTCTTGGGCTGAAATGGCTGGGACTTTACCTCCTACCTCTCTCAGTCATTGGATGCAAGTTGCCCCAGGAAGGGTGTGATCCTTGAGCAAGGAGGCTCTCTGCAGCTGACGCAGGCCCTGAAGGGGCTGACAGCTGTGGCTGCCTGCTGACGTCACCCCCTGCAGCTGGGTACGGGTATTTGTGAGATGCATCTCCCTGTTTACCATCATCTTACTGACTCCACAAAGTGGGAAGACATCTGCATTAGTCTGTTTTACATTGCTGTAAAGGAATACCTGAGATTGCATAATTTTTAAAGAAGAAAGGTTTATTTGACTCTTAGTTATGTAGGTTGTACAAGCATGGCACCAGCATTTGCTCAGCTTCTGGTGAGGCCTCAGGAAGCTTCTATTTCTGGTGGAAGGTGAAGGGGGAGCAGGAGTGTCACATGGTGAGAGAGGAGGAGGTGCCAGGCTCTTTATAAAAATCACATAAAGGCGTACGTACACCTGTGTTCATTACCCAGCACTATTCATAATAGCAAAGACATGGAATCAACCTGAATGCCCATCAGCAGTAGACTGGATTTTAAAAATGTGGCACATGTACACCATGGAATATTATGCAGCCAGAAAAAGAATGAAATCGTGTCCTTTGCAGCAACATGGATGGAACTGGAGTCCAGTATTCTAAGCAAACTAACATAGGAACAGAAAAGCAAATACTGTGTTCTCACTTATAAATGCGATCTAAACACTGAGTACACACGGACACAAAGGGACAACAGACACCGGGGCCTGCTTGAGGATGGAGGGTGGGAGGAGGGTGAGGCTCAAAAACTACCTGTTGGGTACTATGCTTATTACCTGGGTGACAAAATAATCTGTACACCATACCCTTGCAACATACAATTTACCTGTATAACAAACCTGCACATGTACCCCTGAATCTAAAATAAAAGTTTAAAAAATTAGACCTCGTGGTAAATCACTCATTACAGCAGGGACGGAACCAAGCCGTTCATAAGGGATCTGCTCTACCATGATCCAGACACCTCCCAGTAGACCCACCTCCAACACTGGAGATCACATTTCAACATGAGATATGGATGGGACAAATATCCAAATTATCGGCCAGCCGTGGTGGCTCATGCCTGTAAACCCAGTACTTTGGAAGGCCGAGGCAGGCAGATTACCTGAGGTAAGGAGTTCAAGACCAGACTGGCCAACATGGTGAAACTCCATCTCTACTAAAAATACAAAAATCTGCCTGGCGTGCTGGCATATGCCTGTAATCCCAGCTACTTGGGAGGCTGAGGCAGGAGAATTGCTTGAGCCCGGGAGGCAGAGGCTACAGTGAGCCAAGATTGTGCCATTGCACTCCAGTCTGGGTGACAGAGCGAGAGTCCATCTCAAAAAAAAAAAACAAAAATCCAAATTATATCAACATTCTATTCCTTCCCAAAAAGTTCTGCTGAAGACTAAATGAGGTCATACTTCTAAGATACCCAGCCCAGTGACTGGTGAGAATAATTGCTCAATAAAATCCTGTACGGCAGATACTGTTCTCTCTCTGGTTTTTGTTTTAGTCTTTAGATTTTTTAAATTATTTTTTTGTTATGGTAAAATAGACATAACATAAAATGTACCACCTTAGCCATTTTAAATGTAGAGTTCAGTGGCATTAAATACATTCACATTGTTGTGCGACCATCACCACCATCTGTCTCCAGAACTTTATCTTCCAAATGGAAACTTTGTACCTATGAGACATTAACTCCCCATTCTCATGTCCTCCCAGCCTCTGGCCACCAGCATTCTGCTTTCTGTCCCTATGGATTCGATGTTCTAGGTACGTTATCTAAGTGGAATCATATGGCCCTTGTCCTTTGGTATCTGGCCTATCTCACTTGCCTCAAGGTTTATGTTGTAGTGTGTTATTCTTATTTCCTTCGTTTTTAAGGCTGAATAATATTTCATTGTGAGAATATATCATGTTTTGTTTTGTTATATCATGTTTTGTTCATTTCTCTGTTGATAGACATTTGGGTTGTTTCCACCTGTTGGCTACTGTAAATAATGCTTCTATTAATTACTTATTATTATTTATTATTATTACAGAGCTGTTAATTTCATTTCATAGATAAGAAAGTGGCTGGGAGTGGTAGCTTACACCTGTGATCCAGCACTTAGGGAGGCTGAGGCAGGAGGTTTGCTTGAGCCCAGGGGTTTGAGGCCAGCCTAGGCAACATAGTGAGACCCCATCTCTACAGAAAATATAAAAAATATTAGCCAGGTATCGTGGTACATGCCTGTAGTCCTAGATGCTGGGGAGGCTGAGATGGGAGGATTGCTTGAGCTCAGCAGTTCAAGGCAGCCTAGGCAACATACTGTGACCCTGCCTCTAAAATAAAAATAAAAAAAGCCTGGTGTGGTGTTGCACACCTGTAGTTCTGACTTGGGAGGCTGAGGTGGGAGGATCACTTGAGCCTGAGAAGTTGAGGCTGCAGTGAGCCATAGCTGAGCCACTGCACTCCAGCCTGGATGACACAGTTAGACCCAGTTTCAAAAGAAAAAAAAGAAAAGAAAAAAGAAAGTGGCTCTGAGAGTTCAAGGACAAGACCAGCAACTGAATCCACATCTGTCCAACCCAGATTCCAAGCTGCTGACTGCCATCTGGGTGGCTTCCCCTCTCTGACAAGGATAGCCAGCAACTCTGAAAAGCAACTTACTCTGTTACACCTGAGGCTACAGCAGACTCCTCCTATCTCATAGAAAAGAGGCCTCAGCTTCCCAGCCTCCAGCAAAGGGAATTTTCTAGGTCCCAGTCCCCCTGCTTTGATTTTAACCCTCTCTGTGTCTCTCTCCTCTGACTTCTACTTCCTTGCTCTCCATCTAATTCCCCCTCCTCCTCGAGCTCTTTGAAGTTGAGGGAGTCTATACTGCCAGGCACTATCCTTGCTCTTCTAATTTCTTAATTCATTTCACCTTCCTCCTAGCCCCATGGGGCAGGCATTGTTATTATCATCCCCATGTTGTGTGTAAGGAAATGGGTCATGCAGGAGTTAAAAACCTGCCTAACTTTCACGCAGCTAGTAAGTGGCAGAACTGCAAATTGAACAGCCAGTCCCTGCTCCACAGAGATATGCAATGCTACCTCTTGAGCTAAAACAGAAATTCAGACCCCACTTTGTAGACACAATGGCTCAGATTTAGGAGACGACCCTGCAGCCAAACCTAGACAAACATGAGGTGGTTCTGCTGTCCTGAGCTTGCTGCTCACCGTCTCTGCCCACATGGCTCTAGCTGGGCTCAGGACTTTCCTCTTCACAGCAGGCTGAACAGCAAACCCAGAGGCCATTGCAGCTGCCTCGGTATTCTACACCCCCCTTGGGTCTGGAAGTTGTTGGAGGCAGGCATACCAGACTGTTTATAATATGGATGCTTTCTCCTTCACCTAGCTGGAGCCAAGAGGGGTGGGGGAAGACTGAGAGAGACAGAGACAGGGAGAGAGAGAGAGCCTGCCTAACTGCCTATTTATCCCAAATCCATATATTATTTTGGAACATTCAGTATTGCAGAAATACATGGAGGGATAAATCATTTCTTCTGCCATCTGGTCTCGGAGAACCTTCCCAAGAACTGTAGCTTCGTTTAATTTTGCTGCGTTCCTTTCCCACCCTCTTTGTGCTTTCCATCATCTTTTCTTGGCTGTATTTTTGGGTTTGTTTTGCTTCAGTTTCTTGCTCTTTTAGCTGTTTCTGGATTTCAATTTTTAAAAAGAAATAACGGATCGCACTTATCCAAGTCGTGCCAGATTCTTTATTTGGGATAATGCTACCTCATGGCTATTTTTTAACTTTAATCCGGAACCTTGGAGTGACGTGTGGATTTTTTTTTAATGCCCCAACCAGATGCACTAAGCAGCTTGATGGTCAGTAATGAGGCAGCACCAGGACCCTGTGGTCCTAGAGTTTCTTGGCAGTGCCTTCATGGCAAATGTTTCAGTGAGATGAGCGTGGCAGACCCAGCCCAGCCATTGCTCTATGGTTCCAAAGTCCTTTTAAATGAACAAATGGGTTGGCATTCATCTAGTGGGACTGCAACTCCAGTGAGGTTACTCAAAACATACTGGGCAAAGGTTTCTCACTGTTTGAGTGGGAGGTTACAAGGGAAGAAGTCTAGAGCGATCCATGGCATGATGGATGGGGGTTGGCATCAGAATGAATCATGTTTAGCTTAATTGGGACACAGATGGTTAAGTATAGAAATACCTACAGACATACATACATCCCTGGGTTACTGTACACATAGATCTTCTTGTTCCGTCAGTTTAGAGGTCCTGGAAGCCACAACCCCCCAGCAGCAATGAGCATGCCTACTACCCAGATCTCAGTTTCTAATACCATTCTCCAAAAAGGGAAGAAGGGCTCCTTGGAGAAGCGGCTGCTTTTAGGACTCAGCTATGAAATATACAAGATGAGCCTGATAGCAAATATTTTACAGTGCAAGAAAGCGCTCACAACAACAACAAAGCCACTGTGATAGAGTATGTCTTATAAATGAGAAATAAAGAGGGATAAAATTATAAATTAGGGCCTGGCATGGTGGCTTAAGCCTGTAATCCCAGCAATTTGGGAGCCCGAGGCAGGCAGATCACTTGAGCTCAGGAGTCCAAGACCATCCTGGCTAACATGGCAAAACCCTGTCTTTACTAAAAATACAAACATTAGCTGGGCATGGTGGTGCATGTCTCTAGTCCCAACTACTCAGGAGGCTGGTGTGGGAGGAGCACTTGAGCCTGGGAGGTGGAGGCTACAGTGAGTTAAGATGGTGCCACT
Source organism: Homo sapiens (assembly GCF_000001405.40). Taxonomy (NCBI): domain Eukaryota; kingdom Metazoa; phylum Chordata; class Mammalia; order Primates; family Hominidae; genus Homo; species Homo sapiens. The sequence continues at coordinate 6,705,981 of NC_000016.10, forward strand.
GAACTCCAGCCTGGGTGAAAGAGCAAGACTCTGTCTTAAAATATATACATATATAGATAGATATAGGTTAGATGGACAGAATTGTGGACCACCTTTCACGCCTATTAAAACCCGGATGCTTAGCCCCAGTGGCTGGCTTTGTACAGGCATTGTAATCTTTGTTGTGTCAGGGTTTGTGTTGAAAACTTTTTACTGCTCCCGTGAATAGGTAAGCCCTAAATTCCTCTCCTTAGGTTCACAACAGCAGTGGCTTTCCTGGTCGCCCATGTCCCAGTTTTGATGATAGGGCAACTTGAAACTAAAAGAGTGAAAAATAAATCACATTTACGAGGAGAAAATGGAGTCATTGCAACTCAATTATTAATGTGCAAAACTGTTATGCAATGTAGCAGCCCAATTAATAGGTGTCTCTTGGGGAATAATCAAGGCTTAATTTGGCATGATAATTAGTAGCCTCCCCTTCCAGCTTTGGATGGGGGGCCCCTGTAGGACAGCCTGATGGCTGGTAATGAGGCAGGATCACTTACTTTGCAGCCGTGTTAATTGTATCTTTCTGTGCATGGGGACAAAACAGATTTACCTGTTTCTGGATGCTGGGATGTGCCATTGCTCTAATAGAGTTGTACTTGTTTCCTGGTCTTGCCAACACTGGCCTTTCTGAAGGGCAACACTGTTACACTTTTGAGACGTCTTTAATTGGCTGAGTTGTTCTAATGGCTACAGCTGCAGTCTTTTTTTTTTTTTTTTAATAGAGTGTGTGGCAGAGTTCCAATCTTACAAGACATACGGCCAGAGCTGACATATTCTTAGGAATAACAGAAAATTGTCCTGTTTAGGGTATCTGTAATAATAGGTGACCAGAAGTCATCTGGTGTAGGTATCTATCTCCTCTATGTGTCTCAGAGAACTCCTGTTTTTTGCAATATTGCTAGTTGTTTGTACAAGCTGTATAGTCACTTAAAAGAAAACCATGAAAAATTACAAACGTGTGGTATTTTTACTGACAAATGTGGAACAGCACAGAGAAGAAAATAGTATATCATCTCTAATGATCCATCAGCCGAGGGATAACCACTGTCATCATTTTGGTATAATCTCTTTCCAGACTTCCATGCACACACACATTTCTCCCCATATATATTTAATCCAGATGTGATTTCTATTTGCAAAAAGGAAATTGTAAGGTGCATACTATTTTGTTAACATGTCGTTTGATCATAGGAACAGATTTTGAACCAGATCAATACCAGCATTTCCTAAACGGTCCTCCTCCAATATTTGGGAGCTGCTGATCTGTGTTCTGAAAGTGAGGCTGAGACAGACGCATTTCCTCTCCTCCTCTAGGTAACACACAATGAACATTCATATTTCAAAGTCTTTGTTTACATGTTAAAAACATCATTTTAGGGAAATCATACGTTAACAGCTCCTACAATTGTCTTCCTTAAACTACATGTGGGAAAATGCTAGTGAATATTTAGATGGCTTCCCATTTTTGTTTTTTTTTTTTTTTTGCTGTTGTAAACATCACTGCAGTGAACATCCTTGTACATGCATCTTGGGGCATTTCTAAGATTTCCTTAGAATCAACCCCAAGAAGGATTGACAGTCAATGGACATACTGAATTGAAGATGCTGGATCTCCTTGGATGAACTGCCGTCTCCAGAAAGGAAGGGCATGTACATTTACAAGCCCAGGAGAGTGATAGGAGAGTGCCCTTCCTCCCAGTTTCTGCTCCATAGCACATTTTTAATTCCAGATTCTGCAACTTTAGTAGCCGTGTAGGAGACCAAAAGAGAAAGTTTATTAAATTCTTATTTATGTGTTCAATTTGCATCCGCCTTCTCCTTCCCCAAGCTCAAAGCGCCACAAAGAAAACATTAAGCTTGTAACTCTTGGATGTGCTCCTCTGTGAGAGAGGGACTTAGGGGAAGATTCAGGGAATGGAGTTGAGGAAATAGTGCAGAGGTAGAAGCAGGATGCATTGTAAAAGAAAACCTAGACATCAGGTAGTGCTGTGGAGGGTTTCAAAACCTTAGTTTCAGAAGAAAGGCCCTTTTCCATCGTCTTTCCCCTGGCTTCCCTTTTGAATGGTAGTAGAAGAAGCCACAGTGAACAGTTGGCATCTTTTGTTTACTACCCACAGACACCTGGCTTGGGGAGCGGGGGATGTTGGGGGTTATGACTTTTCCCCTTGTTTCTTATTAAGCCCCCTCCTTTGTTGTTGAGTCCTCCCTAAATGGTCACTCTTATTTATTATGTTGAAAGTCATTGTGTGGGCTAGGATAGTCCCAAAGCATTTTTGAACACACACACACACACACTCACACTCATTCACAAAAATCACTGTCTTCCCAACTACCTTGAGACCATCTTCTGTTTTCTTACTTTCCATCATTTTTTCCTAAATCAGACAGGAGTTAAGTTCTAAAATTATAGGATTTTGTACCTGTCATTTTTGTGAAAAGTGTTCCTTTCTCCACATGCTGCCCAATGAGGGTCCTTTAAGATATTTTCATCACGTTCCTCTTGCTCTTGTGTTGGACAATTTCGCACAAATATGTTTTTTGCCCAATGATTTAAGATGCTCTTAATTGCTTTTACTGAAGGGAAATAGAACACCTTTTAAGCCAACAGCTGAGCGATTTGCTATGACAAATCTGCCACTATGCATTCACTTAATTTCCAATTAATCAAACATTCAATAAATCATTAGTATAATTACACCTGTTCCCTTCTTGCCCTAGCCCATTAGCTCAACTCAGGCGTCCCTTCGACTGGCTGTGGGGAAGGTGTTCATTTGTCTGCCCTGGCTGGGTGCACATTCTTACTCCCTGTGAGCTTGAGAAATGATGAGTAAGAAATTGTAATTATTTCAGGCACCAGAAGTTTGCTTGGTTTTCCTCTTCTCTGCTTCCCACTCCATTGCGTCCCCAACAGCTTAAGCCAACATCATAGTGGCCTAGTAGCGGTGGCTGGTTAATTTCAGCAAGCTTTTCTTTTTTTTTTAATCATTTTTATTCCCTGACTGTGCCTCTTTGCTAATTACACCATCTCCCCAGGTGAGCAATAATTCCCTCATCACCATATATCTCAAGCACAGATTATTAAAATAATACAGCTTATGTCATATAAATGTAACAGAAAGTATCTTAAAGATGCTTTATTGAAAGCTGGTAAATTGGTTCAACAGATGAATGTTTTAAGGCCTGTTTTTAAAAGGTTGCACAAGTATAAACCCACTGAATTACTGCTGCAGTTTCACACGAGCGGATGCAATTATTTTAAGCATCTAACTGTGCAGAAGACAGATCTGAAAGGCAAGGAGCTAAATTCTCCGAGATTAATTAAAGGGTTTCATTTTGCTCTTGATTTAAAAATAAATTTCAAGCATGCATCACTTGTTATTCTGTGGAAGAATTTGCATTATGGGGTTTAAAAAAATACTGAGAACGTTAAGTTTCATGAGTTCTTCATACAATATAGCTGACAGCTCTTAAAAAGAGGGGTTGACCTACTGTTGCAGCAGCATTTTCTCCTACATACTTCTTTCTACTTTTACATTTGTGAAGGGTATTAATCTTCAAACTCATTTCCAATGTAAGATTGTGCATTTACATGAATCTCCCATAAGATTGCTCCTGATTCGATCTATGCTTATTGATTTAATTTCTTTTACCTCTCAGAGCCAGTGGTGCTGAAGGGTTTATTGTAATTACAGTGTTGCGGGTTTCGGTGGAACAGTTCCCTGGTAACTTAAGTGTGGGTTTGATTCCCTCTAAACTCGCTCAGCCCAGGAGATACTGCGGCAAGTATCTTGGAGGCAGAGAGCTTTCAGGCCAGATCAGAACGCTGGCTGGTACACAACCGGAAGGTATGGGGAGGCTGGAGAGGGAACGGCCGGGGGCTACTGGCCAGATGGATCGCTGTTCTAACGGGGCCCTTTTGAGGTGAATCACTTGGCAATTTTGTGAGTTGGCAGACGGCACAGCCACCTGTGCTCAATGTGAAATGAGATACAGGTAACCTACTGATCTGAAATATGCTGCTCACCCTTTGAGAGATGGGACAGTGTTGCAAGAGGTGATTTGCCCTATTTGTGGGGTATTGGGGAGGGAACCACAGCAAAAATACCATGAGTTTTGGGACTGAGGGGAGTCCAAATCCAAGCCGTGTGTCTCTAGAACTGTAGTTTCTAATTTGGTTTAACTTCTCAAAACTGAAATGTTTGTCACTTATTTTCCTTAACTTCTCAAAGCCAAATTGTTCCTCTGTAATAGCATTGTCTAGAAGAACATGATTAAAGCTGCATATGTACTTTTAGTTTTTTAATGACTGCATTTTTTAACAGTAAAAATAAACAGGTGAAATTAATGCATTTTATTTAACCCAAATATCCAAAGCATGATCATTTCAGCGTGTGATCAATATAAAAGATATTTTACATTCTTTTTTTCATCCTAATTTTTTGGAATTTATTGTGCGTTTCATGCTGACAGTGCACCTCCATTTAAACTAGCCACATTCCAAGTACTCAGAACCTCAAAAGGTGATGGTTACTTTATCTAAAGGTGCAGGTCTGGCTGATCCGTTACCGGAATAGTACCATTTGCAACTGAAAGAAGCCTAATTCAAATGAGCTACAGCAAGGGAAGAAAAATTGTCTCAAGTATGGCTGAATCCAGAAACACACCTGCTGCAGTTTGGAAATTCCCCACATCAAGGCCCTGCTTGCCCTCGGGTGGCCCATTAGATGGCAGGAAAATGGCCCTTGGCAACCCCAAGCCTTAGGTGGCCCTTAAGTTTGTGACCTCAGGAAATGAGAGATCCTCTTCCCCTGTAACTGTAGCAAAAACAAATTTGGTGAGGAAAAGGAGGAAAGGGACAGGCTTCATTTGTGCCAAGTGTCTGAGAAGACTCCTTCTAGAAGACAGGGAGGGGATGATGGGCAAATCCATGAAGGCTACATGTAACGGGAGTGCAATTCCCCAAAGAAGCTCTACTGAGCGGAAAAATGGCACATACCCATTGCAAGTGAAATGATACAATCTGCCTTAAAGGTTGTGGTAAGGATTGCTTAGGCCAAAACTCTGGAGTCTTTCTTGACACTTCTGTTTCTCAAATATCATGCGTCTAATCCCTGCTGCAGGAAATCATGTTGGCTTTAGAATTTATCCAGAATTGTATTGACTGCCACCATGGGGACCATCATCCTGAGCAGGTTCTGTCTTTTCTTGCCTGGATTATCGCATCCTCCTCCTAACTCTGCTTTCACTGTTTTGTCTCCACACGCCCCTCCCCCCATGGCTTCTGTCTCACTGAGAATAAAAGAAAAAGTCCTTGAAATTTTTCACAAGGTCCCCACATTCTGGTCCCTACCAACTTTGTCATCTGGTATCTTGTCCTATCTCTCCTGATATGGTTTGACTCTGTGTCCCCACTCAAATCTCATCTTGAATGGTAATCCCCACGTGTCAAGGGAGGGACCTGGTAGGAGGTGACTGGGTCATGCTGTTCTTGTGGTAGAGAGTGAGTTCTCACAACATATGATGGTTTAAAAGTGTTTGGCAGTTCTGCCCTCACTCTCTGTCTCTCCTGACACCATGTAAGACATGCCTTACTTCCCCTTCGCCTTCCACCATGATTGTAAGTTTCTCGAGGCTTCCCCATCCGTGTGGAACTGTGAATCAGTTAAACTTACTTTATTAAGTCTCAGGTATGTCTCTGTAGCAGTATGAGAATGGACCGATACACTCCTCACTGAGCCCATCCTGTCTCACCACTCTCATTCTAGACTTCGTTTTCTTTCAAGATCTTTGCATTGTCTATTTCCTCTACCTGGAGAAACCTTCCCCAGGTACCCCTAGGTCTTATTCCTACCCAATTTGAGGTCTTTACTCAAAAACCACTGTTTCAGTGAGGTATTTTATATTGAAAATTGCCTTCTCCTACATTTCTTGTCTCCCATTCTTCCTTTGTAGCTGTAGCATTTTGTATAGTATACGTTTTAGTGATTTTGTTATCTCGCTCTCTTTCTCTGTCTCACATATACTATATGGTAAAGTCCATCAGGAAAGATATTTCTGTGTGGTGTTACATTCCTCTACCTAGAACAGACTTATTAGAGAGGCTTAACAAATATTTATTGAATGAATGAATGATGGAATGTAGAGGTGCTCAATGAACAGTAGCCATCATCATTATTTACTATCAGAGGCTGTTTCAGCTATGGTCAGCAAGGTTAAAACTCAAAATGGAACTCTGCTATGAACCCTTAAGTGTCAATGCCATCAGTCTACAAGGTGTTGCAACCTTCTGTCATCTGGGTCTGCCAAATACCCATTTGCGCATGTGTGCCCGAGACCACGTTGTTGAAATGTTACGTCTGTCCTGGGCGTGAACTAGATAATCTGCCTAATGACTGGGCCACAGTAATAGGATTTTCAGAGTTTTACTGTGTACCATCCTAACCTTTCCTCTCATCTCCCGAGGACTATTTTCTCCCAGTTTTTTCCATCTCAGTGGATGGTATTATCATCTTTCCAGTGACACAGGGCATCATCTTCTGAAACTCAACACCCAAGCTTCAGTCCAATGTCATCCATGGCAAGATAATATAATTTAATCATTCCTTTATTCAGAAAATGTTTATTAGGTCCTATCATGGCGTAGGCACTCTGATAGGCATGGCAGCCAAAATGTCTCCTAAGTATCTCTGAAAACATACCCACTTCTCCCCACCTCCCCTCCTATCACCTGGCAGCTGGACTATAAAATATTCCACTTACCAGTTGATATGGTTTGGCTGTGTCCCCACCCAAATTTCATCTTGAATTGTAGCTCTCATCACCCTCATGTGTCATGGGAGGGACCCAGTGGGAGGTAATTGAATCATGGGGGTGTTTTTTTTTTTTTTTTTTTTTTTTTCCTGTGCTGTTCTCATGATAGTGAATAACTCTCATGGGATCTGATGGTTTTATAAAGAGCAGTTCCCCTGCACATGCTCTCTTGCCTGCCGCCATGTAAGACCTGCCTTTGCTCCTCCTTTGCTTTCCACCATGATTGTGAGGCCTCCCCAGCCATGTGAAACCATGAGTCTATTAAACCTCCTTTCCTTTATAAATTACCCAGTCTCAGGTATTTCTTACAGCAGTGTGTGAGAATGGACTAATATGCCAATCTTTTGTTCCCTCCCAGTCTTGCGTATCTTCCATCCATCTTCTGCCTAGAGCCAGGATAATCTTTTCCTTCTCACATGCAACTCTGACCATATCATACCTGGGTTTTTGTTTGTTTGTGTAATAATAACAGTCCCCCATTGCTCACAGGATAGTCTCAAAGTCTCACGGGAGTCTTGATGACCAAGTTAATGCCAACCTCCACATCCCCATCTCTCACCAAATTCTGTTTAAGCTCTAATCTCCAGTCTAAGATTTCTCAACCTTGGTATTGGGACATTTAGAGCTGAATAATGCTGTGCTGTAGGGGTCTGTCCTGTGCATTGTAGGATGTTGAGGAGCATCCCTGGCCTCTACCCACTAGATGCAAGTAAAACCCCCTCCCCAGTTGAGACAACCACAAATCTCTCCAGATATTTTCAAGTGTCCCTTTGTGGGCAAAAATAAAAATCCTTCCTTTCTCCATTGGGAACAACAGCTTCAAACAAAATTGAAGTTACAGTTGCCCAAACATCCCCTGTCCTCCCTTGTTTTTAGACATTTGCAGAACCTCTCTTCCTCTCTCTTTCCACATCTACCTCCTTAGTTATGGCTGGCAACTCCTGCTCACCCTTCATGTTTCAGTTTTGACACCACCTTCTGGAAAAGCTTTTTTAGACTTCTCCCAGGTAGTAGGGTGATGGCAAGATCCTTGGTAAGACTTGGGGACTGATAGCATGTGGAGAATTTGGACAGGAAGATATCATCCTTTTCTCAGCTGGGTTCTGCCAGAAGCAGACCTGAGGCAATAATTCACATGAAAGTAGTTGATACGGTTAGGCTTTGTGTACCCACGTAAATCTCATCTTGAATTGTAATACCCATGTGTGGAGGAAGAGAAGTCATTGGATTGTGGGGGTGGTTTCCCCCATGCCATTCTTGTGATAGTAAGTGAATTTTCACAAGATCTAATGGTTTTATGAATGGTAGTTTTTCCTGCACTCTCACGCTCTCTCTCTCACCTGCCACCATGTAAGCCATGCCTGCCTCAACTTCTGCCAAGATTGTAGGTTTCCTGAGGCCTCTCCAGCCATGCAGAACTGTGAGTCAATTAAACCTCTTTCCCATATAAATGACCCAGTCTCAGGCATTTCATTATAGTATTGTGAAATCGGACCAAAACAGTGGTTTATTTGGGAGGAAACACTAGTGTTCATGGTGGTGGTGGTAGAAAATGGTGCAGGGGAGAAAAGGCCACCTGCAGAATTTATTTTGTGAAGCCACTGACCACTATATGGAAGTGAAGCTTTATCCCACTACGGGATCCTTGGAACCAACGTACACACATAGCTTAGTATTATCCTACCCAAGGGCAGGGGGCCTGGGGTACTTATACTGCAAGTCTCATTAGTCATTGGTAGAGGGGTTCTGCTTTTCCTGCTGCACAGGTAGGAAATGTGATTTCAGCATCAAGAAGAAATGCAGGTATTGAAGATGAACATATTACAGCCAGGTCCATGTGCACTGATATCATAAAGGTGTAGGTAAATTGGTGGGGCCCTGGAGTGCCTCACGTGGTGGCTTCAAGGTGTTGCATCTACACAGCTGGGACATGGGCAGTACCGTTTTCTAAACAGTGCAATTTGTTAGGAGGAGAAACTGGCTTATTTCTTTGAACCACCTGTGCTACATCCATAAGAGGCTGCGTTTGAGGTTCTGTTTGGGAGGCAGAAAAAAGTCTCTAGAAGGCACCTGGAAATAAGGAAGCTAAAAGTGGAGACAGATTGGAGCTGAAGACTTAAGTTGTAGAGGCACCTTGAAGGAATTGTGGTTAAGCCTCGAAGATGGGTAAGGTGGTCACAGGAGTTGGAGGTCTAGGAAGGAGGGGTAACTGCAGAGAAATCCATATTTGGGATTAGTTTTGTTCCTTCTCCTAAAGTCTGTGTGCGGCAGCAGGGAGTGGTGAATACAGTCAAGATTTGCCACTTGGGACTAAGCCACAGTGTTTCCAAATAAAGACTTTAAGAAACCCTCCTCACTCATAATGAATTTAAGGGCTAAACCTTATCAGTCACACACACAGAACAATGAATCTTTCCCTGAGGCAATGCAGGATAAAGTTTTAAAGTTTTTTTTTTTTCTTTTTTTAACCCTGTTCTGTTGAATTATCTTCAAAACTGCCTTAGATTCTGGGACCAGGGTGCGGAGGGACAGATGGGGTGAGTGATTTTGAATGCTGCAGCTTTATCTTGCTGCATTATAAATATGTGATGCCATTTAACATAGCAAGCCATCAGGTTAGTAAACAAATGATTGCCAAGTTTATAATTGGCAAGGAAGGAGGTTATAATCTATAAGGAGCTTTGTGTCCCAACCAATTTATTCTCTAACGGAACTTTATTGCCTCCATCGCTGAAAACTCCCGAAGAGTCTTAAGAGCTAAGAATCCAGATTGGCTGAGCTAGTTTTCTCTTGTGGTCTCCTTTCTGGCCTCATCTCCTATCCGGATAAAGATACTTGGAAAACCCATTTCTTGAAGATGAAGCAGCCCACCTGGCCCAGAAATGCCTGGTTTGTTGTTTATGGGTGGTTTTTATCCAGTGAATTGGCAAGAAGTGAATTATGTGGAAGAATCCATTTTAAACCCTTTCAGCTACACAAAATTGGAAAATAAAATATTGTGTTTCTTGAGATCATGAACCAATACTGTCTGGGTTTCTTAGGGTATGAAGCCCCTTTGGGGTCAAGGCTCAGCCTGCTACTATTACAGCCTCATACCCTGCTTCTCTCTTCCTAGTATGATGATTAAGTCAAGGATACGACGCAATTGACCAGGTGTGCAGTGCCCAACTCTGTGGGGCCATTAACTTCACAGCCTACATAAAGAAGCCACTTACGGTTTTGTGAGCTCACACTGCTCAGTTGTACATGATGGCCCTGGTGACAATATGTGTTTTTGGAATTAGATTGGCCTGAGGCAAATTCTACAGAAAAATAGAGGGAACTTAGATAGGTTGCTTTATTTGTAAAATAGAGGGTTATAATACCTTTCTAATAATGTTGTTTACAAAAATGATGCAAGAAATTGCTTCTCTTAGTATGTATTTCCCCTTTGCCTGGATTACTTACCACAAAGCCATCGTTGCTTTTCATAAACAACTTCCGATCCCTTCTGTGGGGTATTTTCCATGACCTTCCCTCTTGCTCCCTCATCTTTGCTGTCTCTGAATATAGGTATCTAACTGGAAGGCTGGAAGTGCCATTTCAAAGCGGTGGAATTTTTTTTTCTTCATTTGTTGTTTTATTTTGCTTTATTGCATTTTCCATATTTTTGGCTAAATCTGTTATTACCTGCCCATTTCAGCAACTAAAATCTGTTTGCTTTCTTGTTTACCTGCATAGAACTTACTCTTCCATCTTCTTGGAATGGAACTTGTCTCAGAATCTTTCAGGCGATTGCCTGAGTCCTTCTTACAGACAGGACTAACACTCCCCTTGGACCCCAGGTATCTGCCCATGACTCAGTCTTGTTCATTCAGCATTTTCCATTCCTCTGGCCTTGATGTTTGGTTCACCAGTGGGCATGTAACCCAATTCTATCCAGTTATACTTGTGTTGGGAAGGGATTTTTTTTTTCCCTGGGGTTGTGAAAGTAACAGGATATAAGTTTGGGACAGCTGATGGCCGTGTTGACATTATGTGAGTGTAATAAACTGAATGTTTGTATCCTTCCAAAATCCATACATGGAAATCCTAACTCCCAATGTGATGGTATTAGGAGGTGGGGTCTTTGGAAGGCCATTATATCACTAGAGTGGAGCCCTCACAAATGGGATTAGTGCCCTTATAAGAAGAGACAGAAGAGCTTGCTTTCTCTCTTTTCTCTCAACCATGTGAGGATACAGTGAGAAGGCTGCCATGTGCAAACCAAGAGTTCCCTTCCCACACACCAATCTGTCAGTGGATTGATCCTGGGATTCCTAGACTCTAGAACCGTGAGAAATAAATGTGTGTTTAAGATGCACGGTCTATGGTATTGTGTTACAGCAACTCGACTAAAATGGTGGGGAAAGCCAGTGTGAATGCAAAGCAAACTGTTAAAAAAAAAAGATACCCATTTCTGACATTATTTGAGTGTCAGACTTGCATCTAATTGAGCCGCAAGCCTTGAACTTATCAGCTTTGTGATAAATCTCCCCTTTTTTGTGTATAAGGTAGTTCAAGATGTATTACTCAACTGTGCATCTTCCTACAGAGTCTTTTCTACTACAGCATAAGAAACTTGAGAGCAGAATGGTGGATCTGCATGACACGTTTTGGCACTTGTTACGTTAAACTCAAAAACTCCAAACTTGGAGGTTTAGAAGCAGAGATTTAACAACCAAAAATTGTGCATAGTCAACCTGATGAATTAAGATAGCCTGTGAGCCTGAGATGCTGAAGTCTTTTTTTTTTTTTTACCCAGAAATACGGTGATTTTTTACATGTCACATCCTGGATCGACTCTCTGTCAGCTCAGCAAGTGTCTTCAGAGCTGACAAGTGATAAACCAGTTGAAAGTGCCAGTCACATTGTTTGGTTATTGATAATGCTGCTGTACCAGGGATGTGTCATTAGTATGTGTTTACGGGCTGCAATTCTCAACATGGACCCAGCAGAAAATATTGGGTACTTCAGGCATTCTTGTTATTTACCCAGATGGTGTTTCGTGGGATACCCCCTGCCTAGAGCAGATCTGGATATGTGTCTACACTGGTTCCAAGGATCCTATACTGGGATAAAGCTTCAGTTCCACATAGTGGTCAGTGGCTTCACAAAATAAATTCTGTAGGTGGCCTTCTCTCCCCTGCACCATTTTCTACCACCACCACCGTCATCACCACCATCATCACTGGTGTTTCATCCCAAATAAACAGGTGCATTTCTTTGTCTAATTTTAGAGCCAGTGGCTACTTCTTACCCATCTGGTGGGTATTTTTTACAGAAGACCTGATCACTGAGTTCCTTGCAAAGATGTCCCCATCTTTTGCTTCCATTGTCTCATCAGTAGAAACTCACAACATGAAATAATAACAGCAATTAATGTTTATATATTGGTCTTTTCCATATGGTAGGTATGTTGGCACTATTCCACGTGCTGGGGTTGGAGTGGTGAATGGAACAGACGTGCCCTTGTCTTTAGTAAATACACTACAACTTGTATATTTTAGTGGGAGAGATAGATGATAAGGAAGTAACTCTAGCTGAAAAATATAATTACAAGTTTTGAAAAGTGGTGTAAGGAAGTCCACAAGGTAATGCGAGTAAGAGTAATTGATGATGGTGATAGGTGTTCACGGTTGGACAGAGTCTTGAGAACAATTAGTTCCAAAGTGAAACCACCTTTAAGGAGGCAGCATTTTCGTGGAGACCTGACATGGTTTGGATTTGTGTCCCCGCCCAAATCTCATGTTAAGTTGTAATCCCCAATATTGGAGGAGGAGCCTGGTGGGAGGCAATTCGATCATGGGAACGGACTTCCCCCTTGCTGTTTTTGTGATAGTGAGTGAGGTCTCACAAGATCTGGTTGTTGAAAAGTGTGTACCACTCACTGAAGGTAACCATAGTAACAGCAAAATCCCAAATGAGTTAAACTCACAACTAGGTTGACTCCAGTCTCCGCATAAACACACTGGCAGAAGAGATGTGCATGTTTCTTTCTTTTTTTCTTATCTTTTTTTTTGTTGTTGTTGCTTGTTTTTTGAGACAGAGTCTTGTACTGTTGCCTAGGCTGGAGTGCAGTGGCATGATCTCAGCTTGCTGCAGCTTCAACCTCCGGGGCTCAAACAATCCTCCCACCTCAGCTTCCCAAGTAGCTTCTGGGACTACAGGTGTATTTCAACGTGCCTGGCTAAATTTTTATATTTTTTGTACAGATGAGACTTTGCCATGTTGCCCAGGCTGGTCTTGAACTCCTGGGCTCAAGGGATTTACTTGCCTTGATCTCCCAAAGTGGTGGGATTATAGGCATGAGCCATAGTGCCTGGCTGAGATGTGTACATATTTCTATGCAAAAATGCTATTGACTTCAGTCTTCACTACTTTCCTTCATAGTATTCAATATTAAATAGTATTTAAATAGAAATACTAGGATTCAATATTCAACAGAAAAAAAGAGGAAAAAATAGCCCACTTAGACAAAGCAATCACATCAATTAAACTCAGAAAAGACCCCAGTGTTAAAATTATCAGGGAATAAATTTAAAATAACTATTACTAATAGTTTAAAAGTTTTAAAGCATAGTTTCCTCATCTTCAAAATAACCTGTTTTTTTTTTTTTGAGACAGAGTCTTGCTCTGTCACCCAGGATGGGGTGCAGTGGCATGATCTTGGCTCACTGTTAGCTCCACCTCCTGGGTTCATGCCATTCTTCTGCCTCAGCCTCTGGAGTAGCTGGGACTACAGGTGCCCATCACCACGCCCGGCTAATTTTTTTTTTTTGTATTTTTAGTAGAGATGGGGTTTCACCATGTTAGCTAGGATGGTCTTGATCTCCTGACCTTGTGATCCACCCACCTTGGCCTCCCAAAGTGATGGGATTACAGGCGTGAGCCACCGCACTTGGCCAAAATGATGGTTTTTTAAAGTGCCAAATTCTTCTGGTTATTGTGCATATTAAATGACATAATGGAGCCCGGGCATGGCTGCTCACACCTGTAATCTCAGCACTTTGGGAAGCCTGGGCGGGCGGATCACCTGAGGTCAGGAGTTCGAGACCAGCCTGGCCATCATGGTGAAAACCCATCTCTACTAAAAATACAAGAAATTAGCCGGGGGTGATGGCAGGCGTCTATAATCCCAGCTACCTGGGAGGCTGAGGCAGGAGAATCGCTTGAACCTGGGAGGCAGAGGTTGCAGTGAGCCAAGATCATGCCACTGCACTACACCCTGGGCGACAGTGTGAGACTCCATCTGAAAAGAATAAAATAAATAAATAAATAAATAACAAAATGTTAGTAAAGTGCATGCTTAGCAAAATATCTGACACAGGGTAAGGATTTAGTAAATGACAGTAATTGTAGTCCTTATCACCTTGGATACTTAATGAAATACTGCTGAATGTTCAAGAAAAAAAAAAGTGTGTACTTCTTCCCCCTTCACTCTTTTTCTCCTGTTTCTGCTACGTAAGACATGCCAGCTTCCCTTTTGCCTTCTGCCCTAATTGAAAGTTTCCTCAGTCTTCCTAGCCATGCTACCTTTACAGACTGCAGAACTGTGAACCATGTAAATCTCTTTCTTTATAAATTACCCACTCTCAGGTAGTTCTTTATAGCATTGCAAGAATGGACTCATACACGACCTATGTGTTCAAGAGGAGCCAGCCAGGGATAATTCAGGAAAGGGTGTTACAGGCAGCAGGAACAGCAAAGGCAGAGGCCCTGAGCTGGAAGGAGCATGGTATGATGGAGAAACAGAAGTGAGAGGGGTGCTGCTGGAGAATAGTTGGGGAGAAAGAGACGTGTCGGGAGAATAGTTGGTGAGAAGGAGACATGTGTCAGGAAGAGCTAGAGAGACCAGGGTGGTGGGTCAGCTGGGACACACATGAATGATTGGAAACATGAGCTTCATTTCTGAGTGTGCCACCTTTTTTATTCTTCAAATAGGTGATAAAGTAGGTACTTCTGAAGGATTAAGGATGTTGCTGAAGTGTATCCCACAAGTGAATATCAGAACCATGATTCATTCCCTCTCTTTGCACAATCCATCCATTTTACCTTAACATGATGCTACCATGTTATTAATTGGTTTTGAAGCTCCAGGTACATTAATACTGGGACAGTATTAATTCCTACTTAACATAAGGATCATGAGGGCTAAGATGAGGTCACGAATATGCAGCTTTTATGCTGGTGGTCAGGCATAGTCTGTTCACAATAAACAGTAGAATATTGCCTCTTCTGATAGCTCAGTGTTTGCTTTATGTAACCATTTTAAAAAATGTAATTGTGGTAAAGTACACGTAACATAAAACATATCATGTTGGCCGGGCACGGTGGCTCACTCCTATAATCCCAGTACTTTGGAAGGCCAAGGCAGGTGGATCACCTGAGGTCAGGATTTTGAGACCAGTCTGGCCAACATGGTAAAACCCTGTCTGTACTAAAACTACAAAAATTAGCTGGGCATGGTGGCGGGTGCCTGTAATCCCAACTACTTGGGAGGCCAAGGCAAGGGAATCACTTGAACCCGGGAGGCGGAGGTTACAGTGAGCCGAGATCATGCCACTGCACTCCAGCCTGGGGGACAGAGCGAGACTCTGTCTCAAAAACAACAACAACAAAACCGTGTTAACCATTTTTAAGTGTACAGTTCTGTAATGTTAAATGCATTCATATTTTTGTATAACCAATCTGCAGAACTTTTTCATCTTGTAAGATGGAAGCTTTATGTTTGTTAAATAACAGCTCCCCATTCTCCTTACCCTCCAGCTCCTGGCAACCACCATTCCACTTTCCCTCTTTGTGAATTCCTATTCTAGCTACCTCATACATGAGTAGAATCACACAGCGTTTGTCTTTTTGTGACTGTCTTATTTAATTCATTAATGTATTTGTTTAATTAATTAATTAATTAATTTTTTGACCCAGGCACTGGCCCTGCAGCTGCTTCCTTTTGGGCGTGGAAATTCCCACTCATTTCAGGGATCACGCTCACACGCCTATTGCAGGAGTATTAGTAAGCACCCCCCACCAGCCCACATTATCCCCCCAAAATAACGAGACCTCACCTGGCCTCTGCATTTCCACATCCCTGCTCAAAGCCAAATCCATTCCTGCTCCCTCGCCCTGTCCTAAGGTTCATCTGTATTACAGCATGTATCAAAATTTCCTTCCTATTTAAGGTTAAATGGTATTTCCTCCTATGTATCTACTGATGAACGCTTGGATTGCTTTCACCTTTGGGCTATTATGAATAATACTGGTATAAGCGCGGTTGCACAGATATCTCTCTGGGACCCTGCTTTCCATTCCTGTGGTACATACCCAAAAATGGAATTACCAGATCATGTGATATTTCTAGTTTTAAGTTTTGAAGGAACCACTATCCTGTTTTCCAAGAGGCTAAACCGTTTTGCATTTCCACCCACAGTGCCTAAGAGTTTCCACTTCTCCACAGCCTCGCCAACTTTTGTTATTTTCTGTTTTTGTTTGCTTGTTTGTTTTGGCGGTAGCCTTTCTAACAGGTGTGAGGAGGTTGCTCTAAGTCATCTTGGTCATGTCCTTAGGAAGTATATTATTTGCAGAGCAGCTGGAAACATCTCATTCTCTTCCATCCACTCCTTTCTGATGAAAGCGGCATATTCCATTGATGGAATATTTACCATGTAGATAAATACTTGGCATTTTGCCAAGTCATTTTGTATACTCAGTACCATGTTTGTGTGATATTAATGAGAACCTACAGACTTCTTTAGAATAATCAAGGGGTCCTTAAGTTTCTGTCTTGTGTACTTGAAAATATCCAACTGGAAACCATTTAAATATGGCTAAAATTCTGTGTCTCTCTTGCAGTTGCACAACCCATAATTAAATGATTTGTAGAAGCAGTCTGAATTAAGGGCCCCGTTCATCAATACTACATGAATTATGTAGGCATATCTTCATTTTTACATTATTTATCTCAGCGGCCAGATGGGTACATTGGCTGCAATATTCATCAGTAAGAAATCCAAATGTAGCTTTGGCACACTGACATCTGTGCCTGGTCTGGCCCCCCGTGGGGTAGAGTGAATATTTGTGGTTGGGGACTAGGGGGCCCTCTGCTTCTAGGCAAGTCAGGAGTTCTGCAAGTGATGGTATTTGACACTTTATCAGTCACCTCCTAAGTAGCTCCCATCAGAGATAAGTGGAAAGGATCTGAGAGCTACCCAGGCTTTGGGGAGGGGATGGGCAATGTCCCATGAGTGGTGATGTGGACACCAGAGTTTTCACAACGTGTTTGTCTTGGTTGCTGATGCTCTGTAAAACTCAGTAGTAGCTAATATTTAGGAAGGCAGTGTAATATAGTGGATAAAAGTGTGGGCATTGGGGTTTACATTGTGGCTTTCCCACTAATACTGTGAGACTTTGGGCAAGCAGTTTCTTCGTGTTTCTTACCTGGACAATCATTTAATATAGGCACCTACTGTATCAGAGTGGTCGTGAGAATTCACCGAGCATAGGCAGGTTATAACATTGAGTATAGCATGCAACTGTGGATTAAAAAGATAAAGACTTAAAGATACCACTATGGAGTTATCTCAAAGATACATTATTGGTGAACACACAAAAGGGCATAATGTTATGTATTATAGTTTTGATCTGGGTAGAAAAAATAATACAATTATAGATTGTGTTTGTATGTGCATAACATTTCTGGAAGGTTCTAACACAAGTCATTGGTTTACTTTGGAGAAGTGGATGGCAGTAGGGGATATCTTGAGTGAGCCCTGTTGTATATTGTGATCTTTGTTTTAATTTTACGATTTGCATATATTAGTATTTTTGAGGAGCAAATAGTCTGATTTTGAAAACAAGGAATGAGTTACAGAAAGCTGCATCTGTCTCGTGAAGATTTTTTTTTTCTTTGCAGTTAGACAGGAACCTGGTGATGAGGCTCCCCTAGACTTCTGGAGAGTCTTCCAGCTACGTACTCAAGATCTTAGCTTACTGACCTGTATGTTCTGCACGAGGTTCTCACCATTGTTTCCAGCTCCACACCCTGGCCAGATACAGAGCACTCACCCAGTCATGATCCATCAGGAAAATAGGAAGTTGGAAGTGGGCTCCACCTTGGCCCATTGCTGAGGGCAAGTAGGATTTTCACTTAACCGTTTGGGAGAAGTGGATATTTGCCTCTACTATGGTCTGAATATTTGTGTACCCTGAACATTTATATGAAATATTTATACCCCGGGTGATAGTATTAGGAGGTGATGAGGCCATGGTGGCAGGGACTTCATGAATGGGATTAGTGCCATTATAAAAGAGGCTTTACAGACCTCCTTGCCTTGTTGTCCTGATATGAGGACGGCGAGAAGGCATCTTCCATTTTTTTTTTTTTTTTTTGAGTTGGAGTTTCACTCTTGTCACCCATGCTGGTGTGCAGTGGTGCAATCTCTGCTGACTGTAACCTCTGCCTCCTGGCTTCAAGCAGTTCTCTTGCCTCAGCCTCCCCAGTTGGTGGGATTACAGGTGCACTCCAGCATGCCCAGCAAATTTTTATATTTTTAGTAGAGACAGGTTTCACCATGTTGCCAGGCTGGTCTCGAACTCCTGACCTCAGGTGATCCACCCACCTCGTCCTCCCAAAGTGCTGGGATTAAAGGCATTAGCCACCACACCTGGCTGCCATCTTCTGTGGACGAGGAAGCAGGCCCTCACCAGACACCAAATCTACCAGGATCTTGATCTTGGACTTCCCGGCCTCCAGAACTATAAGAAAATAAATTTCTGTTATTTAGAAGCCACCCAGTCTGTGGAATTTTGTTATAGCAGCCCGAATAGACTAAGACTGCCTCAAAGTCAACATTTAAGAGTTCAGATTAGACCATATAGGGTAACTTTTTTTTTTAATTTTAATTTTTATTCTAAGTTCTGGGGTACACTTGCAGAATGTGCAGGTTTGTTACATAAGTAAATGTGTACCATTGTGATTTGCTTCACCTATCAACCCATCACCTAGGTGTGCATTAGTTATTTTTCCTAATGCTCTGCCTCCCCCAAAGCCATATAGGGTAACTTCCTGACCTTGCTGTAGCATTTGTAAACTGTCATGGCAGTAGTGGGAGTGTCTTTTGGCATGCAAATGCATTACAAATAGTGTATAATGAGTAATGGGGACAGCCAGGAGTCACTTTTGTTGCCCTCTTGGTTTTGGCTAGCTTTTTTTTTTTTTTTCTTTTTTTTTTGAGACAAAGTCTTGCTCTGTCGCCCTTGCTGGAGTGCAGTGGTGCGATCTCGGCTCACTGCAAGCTCTGCGTCCCGGGTTCACGCCATTCTCCTGCCTCAGCCTCCCGAGTAACTGGGACTGCAGGCACCCGCCACCATGCCCAGCTAATTTTTTTGTATTTTTAGTAGGGACAGGGTTTCACCGTGTTAGCCAGGATGGTCTGGATCTCCTGACCTCGTGATCCACCCACCTCGGCCTCCCAAAGTGCTGGGATTACAGGTTTGAGCCACCGCGCCCGGCCGGTTTTGGCTAGCTTTTTAAGGCATCTTTTTACCAACGAGGTCTTTGTGACCTGTACCTGGTGCCGACCATCTGTCACATCCTGTGACTCACAATCCCCAACCTACCGTGAATGCAGCCCAGTGGGTCTCAGCCTTAGGGGATGAACCCTCAGTTTTGGGAATTGCCCACCCCTTTCCTGGAAAACTCACAAATAATCCACCCCCTGTTTAGCATATAATCAAGAGATAATCATAAAAATATCCAACCATCAGCTCTTGGGGCTGCTATGCCTATGGAGTAGTCATTCTTTATTCCTTTTAATTTCTTAATACATTTGCTTTTACTTAAAAAGAAGAGTTCAGATTAGTTCTTCTAAAACTCTATATTCAGGGTAGATTTCCATCTGTTTTCTTTTTCTATAAATGAACCAAAAATGTTGAAAATTCTATCATTTTAAGCCATTTTCTGGCGCCGTGTGTGCTCTTCAAGCATTGGGTTGTGCAATACTGTTTGCCTTTTTCCAGCAGTGTTTCTCATTTGATTTATCAGAGATGATACTTGGTAATTCAGTTTGATATTGTCCCCTGTATCTGATGATAAACACTTGAGGGAAACCAGGAAATCTATTTTTTATGTTAAATAATAACACTGGCCCTTTCATTATCCTTTCAGCATTGCAAATCACCCTTTCTGTCTCGGCAAAGAGAGAGGAATTAAGATTTGTTCCGTGTTGACTCCTACGTGATTATGTTATTCAGTGTTAAATATGAGAGAACTTTGTTACACAGAGCCAGGAGGGGGCAGTAAATTTCCTTTTTTACTGTTATTAAAAATGGATCCTGCGTTTCATGCATAGCAAGATCTCACCCGTTTGCTCTAGAATACCACTAATTCCTACCCCCTACCCCAGCAAGGGAAATTTTTGAATTCATTGTGACTCTGGTTTTATGTAACATTTCCATTAGGTTTTAAGTAGTGTGCTTTCAAATTACTACCTGTAAAGAGGCAAAAGCAAATTTTTGCATTTGTAAAAAAATAATAAATAAAAATAAAACGCTATTTTTTCTTTTTTTTTTTTTAACTTTGCAAAGGAGATAAAATCACGACTTGTCTTAAGATCTGCTTTAGCTCTTCCCGTTCCCAAGTAGGTGAAGGTGGAACTATCACTAGATAAACTGAAATCAAAGTACAGTGCCTGGACATGTTCAGGTTCTTGTGAACAATGAGAGAAGGCAAGGATGCCTTTAATGTACATAGCTGCTTTCCTGGTCATATTCTATCAGTTCAGCAAACACTATGATTTCAAACAGGTGTGCATGCCCAGAGAACTAGCTTGCTGATCAGCGTCTGGACTGGACCCCTGGGCTTGCCTGTGCGTTTTCTCTTCCTTCTGCTGTGGCTGCTGCTTCCTAAAACTTGTGTCTTTGAATATCATTAACTTACGTAATTGCTATGTTCCCTACCAGGGTACCTAATATATCTGGCTAGTTTTAAGGAACACCAAGTTCTCTCTGTGGGATGATTTGGGGGTGGCTTGGGAATTATTATTGGCTGTGCTATAAATGGCTGAGGAGGGAAATAAAGGACACTTTCAGGACACAATTAACACTTTCTAATGGCACAGCCTATGTGCTACCCAGAGACTGGGAGGCAGTGCAGACCCAGAGAAATAATGACATACGATGAGAGCGCCTCATGACCTTCAGGTATTTGGACTGAACACACACACACACAGACACAGAGAGAGACACACAAAACACACACAGACACACATAAATATATGTGTGTGTGTGTATATATAAAACATGTATATATTTGCCTTCAAAAGTCGCAATTCCATAGAAAGAAGAGGTGAGACTCACTATCCTGCAATTCTGACAATCCCTCAACCTGCAGACTGGACATTTCTGGTGACTTCTAAAAGGTAATAATAGGTTAATGTAAAATTAATTGCGTTTTTTGCCATTTCTTTCAGTAGAAAAAAAAACGCAATTGCTTTTGCACCAACCTAATAGAAACTATCTAAAGAATATTTTCTTAAGTATCCAGGTTCTCATTAGTCTTCATTTTACAATTGTTCCTGGTTTTTTTTTCTTTTTTTCCTTCATATTCCCCCGCTGCTTCCACCTACACCAGATGAAGCACAGGGCAAAAACTGGATTATACGCAAATTGTACACTGATTTATTAGCGTGAGCCAGGAGTTTAATGAGGGGAGAGGGAACCGTACAAACAGCTCTTGGGGCCTATGCTTGAGTGGAGTTGTGCCGCCATACTAGGTTTCAGTATGAATTTGGGATAGGGTCTTCTACCCCCTCCTTCCTTAAGGTAGAAATGAGGAATGTGTCTACTTACAAATGTCCCTGGTACACCTATCAAATGGGCTCACACGTGTGAGTCTCTCCATGAAGTACCCTGCTGAGTTCAGTAGCATCCGTCCAGTATTTGTTTTGTCAGGCATTTGAGGTCTTTAATGTTTTCCAGGACATTTGACTTTGTTTCTCTGTTCCTCCTCGGGCATGTTAGTGGCATTAACTTACAGTCCAGTATTTACCTGATTCCATTTTGAAATCATACAGCCTGTTTTGGAAGGCTAGTTCTACTACGTACGCACAGAGATGAAGGGAAGAAAATTATTTTGGTCTCTTTAAATTCCCTATCTGTAAATTGAAGAAATTGTAGTATTTCCATCCTCACAGGTTTGTTTTGAGATCTAAGTAACATAATGCAGTCAGGATTTTAGCATAGAGCTAGCCACCAAGTGAACTTCAATAAATGGTTAATATTTTATCATTAGTTTTGACTTTTGTTTTCATATCCATTCATTATGCTTTTTGGAAAATTACTTCAAGCAGTGTCACTTCTTACGGTCATTGTATCACCTTAAGTGAAGCTTCTGCAGGACTGCTATATTGTGGTATTTATGCCTTTAAGCAGTTTTCAGCTTGGGGAAATACAAGGTTGCAGTTTACTTATCAAATAGTGAAAAACGTAACTTGAGCAAATTTCTCTCCTGTATAAACAGTTAAATCCCAATGTCTTGTCGTTGTTTCTTCTTCTAGAAGAGGTTATTCCTTGAGCCCAGTTGTATTTTGTATGTTTCATAACCTTGGAAATTGTTCATCTCTATGAAGTAATCCCTTTTATTACATAATATAAAGGGAAGATAAAGTTTTTAATTCTCAACGCATCTGAAGTGGTGACATGTAGCAAACAGCTCATTATCCCCCACAAAAAGCACAATTACTCAATATAGGGAAGCAGTGCTTTCAGAAGCTGCCTCATATTGGAGCTGCCCCACGCTGGCTAATGTTGGATATTGATTCTGAATAATTCAAATAGCAATAAAATTGGGTTTTCATGACAGTCAATCAGAGGCATTTTATATTTAATGCTCAATAGAAGAAACACGGTGTCTCCTTACCTTCTGAATTTCAAAGCCATTAAACTAATTGTAGGTCATTATGTGAAATTTATCTGCATAATTGGAATAGTTGATCTAATTCATGTAGCATTCAAAACAGTGGCCAGAGAAGAACTGATGAATTTTTAGATAATGATATATATATAGTACATGTATACATATGCATACATACGCACACGTATATTTGTATACATACACACACTTTTAGTCAAAGTAGTGTCACTTTACCAGCATTCATTTTTGTTAATACAGTCAACAAATCATACGGGGATAACTTTAAATAATTCATTTGATCCTGTTTCTCACATATTCCCAGTGGCCTCAGAAGTGAATAGCTTCTGTTGAAATGGAGATACTAAACTAAGGAGTTTTGTTCTTTATATGATTTTGCTGATATTTTCTTCTTAGTTTTCATCTGTCTTTCCAAAATAGACTTACCTGGGAGATATATATGATTATATGTATATAATTGGGGTCACCAGACCCCAGGGATTCTGATTTAATTTACTTGAGATTGGGACCTGACGATCAAGATTTGTTTAGAAGCTCCTCAGTTGATTCTACTGTATAGCATAGAGTGAGAATCAAGGTAAATCTAATTCAGTCATTCACTCACTCATTAATAAAATAGTTTATCAAGTACCTTTTATCTTCTGCAGTCTTACAGGCGTTCTGACGGCTAAAAGGTGAGGAAGATAGTATTGTAGGAGCCTTCCCAGCAATCCATTAAAATGTTTTAAAGTGCCAGTTTAGACATAGAAACAAAGAAGATGTTTATATACAGCTGCCTGGAAAGCCTAATACTTCTGTCTCTGGGAATATTATCAAAACCCTAGAGGGAAATGGGCTTCTAAAGGGTTCTTGGCTGTGTGTAGAAAGTACCTCATTCTCTTCTAACTTTAGACTTGCAACCCTTAATATATGACCTCAGATTAGTTTGTTGGAAGGTAGAGTGACATATGAAAGCAGAATTCCACCTTACTTGGGAGTTGGGTCTTAAAGTCACACTCTGTGTTCACTTAAGTTGAGTTTGTTTCTAGCATGTGCAAAGCAGAGATATTTCTCCTGGTAAATGCTGAAGTATCGTGGGACAAATGGAGTTTGGAAGAAAGCTGCTTAGAAACGAGAATGGCCCAGGAGATACAACATGTAAAACTTGTACAGGATGCCCGACTCCGAGAAGAGATAATGGCTGATCAAAAACTCAGATCCTGATGCCAACAAATGACTATACTTGTTGAATATTTTTGTCTAGGAAGTAATTTGGAGAGCTTGGAAATAATCATGGAGATAATCTTGATGTTCTTTATATATTCCCAGGCTGCCTGTTAGAAAGACATCTCTCCACCTTGGCAATTCCTGCTTCCTTTGACTTAAGTATTTGCTTCCCTAAAAGAAGCCTTAAATAATTATAACTCTTTACCCATAAGGAGAAGAGGAGGGGACATAGGAACAAAGCCTGAGCAAATATATATGGTTCATATAGGGAGATGGTAGAACCGTACACCAGTGTACGGCCCTAAGGATGGGGGTAGCAATGGTGAGAATCCCTTGAATCTCATTCTTGCCCAATTTAGAATAAGAAATACATTATATAGTAAGCAGTAAGCATGTGGAATCTCTCTCTCTCTGTCTCTATCATCTGTGCATCTGTCATCTCTCTATCTCATCTATATCTAATCTATCAATTTATCAAATTATCTAATCTATCCATCTATCTAATTACCTAACTGTCTAATCTATCTATCCATCTATCTACCTGTCTACCTAATCTGTCTATCAATCTATGTATCTATGCATCTATGTATCTGCCTATCTACAGTCCTGAAAAAGGGATTGGATTCAGAGATGATAGTGATATCATTGTTTAATGTGAAGACTGGTCATTTTGTGGAAAATCTTCAATCATGGTGAAATAACACCTCTTAGATGAAATGCCACTGTCCAAACGATTTTTAAGGTCACTGCTAGGGGCAAACAGACAAAACCGATTATTTAGTGGGTTAGGAATTCTAGAGTTGGAAGATGGCTTAGATTTCATTTACTAGGAGTTTCTCATATGTGGCTGAGGAGCAGAGCCGCAAGGGGACTGTACTAAAGATTCCCAGACCCCACCCTGCTTCCTTGAATTAGAATTACCAAATATGGGGTGGGGAGATTTCTATCTTTGACAGGTTCCCCAGCTAGCTCCACAATGATCAAGAAACAGCAGTGAGGAAACACTGCTTTTGTTAGTATCATTGATGTCAGAGATCACAAAAGAGAGGTTATGTTTGCAACCCAGATCAGAAGCCAGATTATAAATTCCTACCTCAGGAATATCCTTTACCTTTGGAAAACTGGTTATATTCCTCCCTTGGAAAGCCTGAATTAGAAGATGAATACAGAGGGACTGCTGAGGACAGCTAGAATTATCTAAGATGCAAAAATACAGGGAAGATACATATCAGATCCTAGAGGAACTAAATCCAGATACTGAAGGCTAATGGGAAATGGTAAGATGAGGTGGGAAGTAGAGTTCTGCACAACTAAAAAGGACACAAAAATATTGCCAGAAGCACAGGCAGATACTGACCATATATCATTGTGGATCGTTGATGTCTAGGGCACGACTATACTTTAGAAACAGGGGATCAGTGACCTCACATCTCATCTTTTGTAGCATACTGCTACTCTCTGTCCTTCATCCTGTGGGTTTGCCATCTTTTTGTGCTCTTGCAGAATTCTAGCTGCGAGTATCTGTGTCTCAGTTCTTGAGAGTATTTCTCAGGATTATGGGAAGTTGCTTTGCCCATGCACAATAGGAGACCAGAATTGTGAGGCAATTAATACTCCAGGGAATAGCCCTTAACTAATGGCTCTTGGGAGCTGGAGTGTAAACACCCCAGCTCCCTCACTCCATGGGTAGGATAATGCTGAGGCACACGTTTTGAAAGTTTTCCCACATGACTAGGCTCATTGTATATCTGGCTTCTTAGTCCATCCTTTATTACAGGATGCTTTTTTCTTCCCTGTGCTAATTTCTCCATTTCTCCCTTCCCCACTGCTGTTTCCTACCTTCCAAAATGAACAACGTTTTCTAAAATCCTTGGCTCATTGTCTGCCTCTAGGGGAATCCAAACAAACAAAGTATCTGGGTCTTCCTATGTTTTCTTGCACAGCCAGTTAAAATCTGACATCTAGGAGTAATGTATGAAATTAGCTGAGCCTACTAAAACCAAATTTGAATCAAAAGGGAAGATTTTTTTTAAAGGATCTAGGTAAATTCTGGGAACTGTATTGGAATGACTTAAGCTATGGCTTGAGATCTATCCCTCTTTTAACCTTTCCTTCATTTCTCTTTCAGTCTTCCCTTTGCATCTGATTCTTCTGCATAGTTTCTGGTCTCTTTCCCCTATACATCTGATCCCTCCATCTTTCCAAAGATTGACTTTCCCTGCTTACTCACAGTTGCTGCTTCTCTGCAGCCTCAGCTGGCATGTAACTGGATTACAGTGGTGTTAGATGTGGCCAAGAATCCACAGTGAAATTCCAGCTCCAGAATTCACCGTCTCGGCCCCAGGCTCCTGTTCAGATTCTCACGAGAGAGTGAGTCTCTGACAGATGCAGCATTCCTTGCTGGGAATCAGCTTCCCCAAGGCAGGTGACCTCTCTGGCCCAAGCACCTGCACTGCACCTGCACTGGGGAGTTTATTGAGGATGGTGAGGTCACCTGATTCATTGAGTATCTCTTCCAGGGGGATGGGCTTAGGATCGTAATCTAGAAAACATTTAGTGTAGCAGGCAATTGCTTTTCATCCTGAATAGGCAGACTTTCCACCACGATTAATGCACGTAGTAGGTCTGCAAGGCAGGGACCCTCTGTGTTAATGTAAGGACAGTGACATTGGAGAGAAGAGCAAGGTGAATGCTTAGCATTTACATAGTATGTTGACGTCCTCTGTTGCCTAAAGCACATAAGCCTGATTTATGCCATGGGAGAACTAGCACATTCTGCCAGTGCCTCTGTACATGCTGCACACCTACATTTTTGAAGAGTAAATAATGAGGTGGAGTTTTTTTGTTCATGTTTTTGTTTTACCTTGGACAGCCATTATGTAAACTTTTCACAACAAATTTGCATCTGAAAGTTTGTTGATCCTTGTGTTATATTTCATGACAAATGATGAAAATGCTAATTTCTGAATAAAGTAAGAGCTACTTTTACACATTTATTTGCAGAAGGAATTATAATTTCTTTATTGGCATTTTTTAAAGGTTAGGTACATAGTCTTTTTAAAAATTAACTTATTAAGAGACGTCAACATCTAGGGCTCCCTCTTACATAAAAAGATGCTGAAAACAGAAATATATGAATATAAGCACTGTTGAATGCAAATATCAAAATGTGAATAATGAGAACAGCCAACCCCTCATCTCCCATAGGTCATTAGAAAGTGCTTCTTCACTATTTATTTATTAGCAGGTGCCAGAGCCCTGGCAAACTCCCTTTTTTGAAATTTGGCCTTCAGTGTGATAGAAACAAATATGACTTGGGATGATAGAAACAGAAATATGACTTGGGCATATATGTAGTCCTTCCATCCTTCCATAATCCAGATATGCTGAACTGATCTGTACACCCATGTGTCAGAGCAAAGCCTGTGCCTGTCAGCTGAACCCACTCAGTCCTACAGCCTTCCTGAAAATTAAATTAAAAAAGGTTTTTTGGTGGCTTTTATAAGGGCAATAGCAGAATTTGCTAGGTCAAGCTAGTCAACATTTTTATAATGAACCATTTAATAATTAATATGTAGCAAATATAAATAATGGTTGTAGCCTGCAGTAGTTAAAAACCTGAGATCCTTACAGGAAGTAGCCAGGGGTGGTGGTGTGCACCTGTAGTCCCAGCTACTCAGGAGGCTGAGATGGGCAGGTCGCATGAGCCCAGAAGGTTGAGGCTGCAGTGAACTGAGATCACACCACTGCACTCCAGCCCGGGCGAAAGAGCGAGACCCTGCCTTAAAAAAAAATTCTGACCTCTGAAATCTGACAAAGCTGGGTTCTACTACCATCTCTGTGACTTGCTGCTGGAAAGCAGGAGCTCACTCCAGAGCTGACGTTCACCCAGAACGCAGGGCCAGTGTTGGTTCTGATTGTCAGCGCTATGCTGTACAGGGTTTCAGTTCTTAGATAGTCTGAATAGCATCGTTGTCTATCTTTAAGGGTTGCCATAAAGACAAAGTTTATAGGACACAGTGTTCAGTCCCTGCCACATCATTACAGTTTAACACGTGCTTATGTTTCTTGCCATGGTCATTTTAGAGAACTTATACCCCACTGCCTGGGTATGAAATTCCAGTCTTATTACCAGAATTGCACAGGGATCCGCCAGAATTATACAGGGTTCAACAGGTTTATTTGACGTTTTTTGTGCTTTTGATTTCAGCCCACATCCGTGCAGCTCTGCAATTGTATGATGTCTGACCCCTCTGTCCAACTCCCATTGAATATCTATGAATGCCCTTTGTTAAGCAGTGTGCATGCGAGGGCTGGTATAGAGATATTTGCTTTGTTCAGAAGGCAAAAAGACTATCCTCTGGGCTCAGTTTTGAATTCACAAGATTGCTAATCATTGATCGTAACAGCTCTAATTTACTGAACACTGACAATTATGTAGCCATTTCCTTTACGTGGATTATCTCATTTAATCCTCATGATAAAGGTCATGGTATTGCCTCATTACAGATGAGGACATGGGTCCAGGAAGTTAAACCACTTACTTGAATTCTCCCAAAGTACAAATGGCCCAACTAGGAGTTCAGTCCATGTAATTAAGACTGTGCTCTTAACTACTCTCCTAAACTCAGTGGGACTAGGTCTCTATTCCTCAGACATTCTTTTCTTTGTGATAGTTTCTCCTCTCATTCTACACATATTTTATCTTATTTGTGAGGGAAGAGTCAGAAAGCAGCACTAGACTTCAGTTCCTCTCTCCTTTCTTTTCCTCCTTTTACCCCTATCCAATCAGGACAATATAAGTTGTACTTAAGATTTGTGGAAAATATTTTTTACGAAATCTAGATGCATAAAGCAAAACAGGTGCAGCAATGAAAAGATGAGTCATTTTCAATAGTTCTTGACGCCTAGTAAAGGTTATCAGAATGTATTAGGTTGTGTTGCCTCGCTTGAGCCCAGGAGTTTAAGACTGGCATGGGCAACACAGTGAGACTGTGTTTCTATAATTTTTTTTTAAAGTAGCCTGTTGTGGTAGCACAGTGTATGTCTGTGTTCTCAGCTACTTGGAAGACTGAGGTGGAGGGATCACTTGAGCCAGGGAAGTCAAGGCTTCAGCGAGCCATGATTAAACAACTGTATACACTCCAGCCTGGGCAGCAGAGTGAGACCCTGTCTCAACAAAAACAACAACAACATCAACAACAACAACATCAACAACGAAAACCAAACTGGTGGCTTATTGCTAGATGCACATGATTTAATAGAAAGGGTATGGTTTGGGAGTTAAGTACACTTGCCTCCTACCCAACTCAGCCACTCACCAGTGGGTTCATGTTGGTGGAATTACTTAAACTCTAAACCTGGTTACTTAGTGCCGTCAGCTAGGGAGCTTGTACCTACTATTCAGGGCTTTACTTTTAAGGATTGGAAAATTGTAAATAGGTAAATGGATAGATATTTTTCTGTCTTAGTCTCTGCAGTGCCTGTCGGAGACTAAATCTTCAGAGTATACATATTTCAACAGTTATTTATTTGGAGACGTTTGAGTGGCAGCTACTGTTGTGTCTTTTAACTATTTCTCGTCCCCATGGATGTGACTTGTATTTGCTTATGTCCCATTGCATGGCTAAAATAACTTGAAACAGAAGTTGTGTAACATTGGATCGATCACAAAATGTTTGGGTAACAATGCTGAGACTCTCTCAGATCCCTAGGGTTGCATTTCCCCTAGAAACTGAATTTGGTTATGAAAAGCCCCAGTGCAGGAGTCTACCATGATAGTTCCCAAGTGGCATGGGTGGTGATCTGTGGTTCCTCTCCCCCTGTGAAGAACACAGACATGAGGAAATGAATCCTTGAGGCGGAGCATTGGTTACATAATTCACAGGCCCTCCTTCTGAGACCTCTGGAAATAAGCAGATGGTTGAAGAATGAGGGAGTTTTTGTCGCCATTTTTTTTTTGCCTTTTGCTTTAATTTTTGGAATAAATAAGGTTTGCTTCCCTACTGGGCCTGCTCAAGGGTAATTAACTTCTTCTTTTTGAAAGGGATTTAGAATTTTCAGCATGGTTACCCCAATATTTTTCTGATCTATCCAGTATTACACAATTTTTGTTCAAATTATTTTAGCCATCCAAGGAGACATAAATACAATTTATGTCCATGTTGTTACCATGGAAAACCAGTTTATTTTATTTTATTAATTTTTTAAATTTTATTTTTCCATAAGTTATTGGGGTACAGTTGGTATTTGCATACACGAGTAAGTTCTTTAGTGGTGATTTGTGAGATTTTGGTGCACCCATCACTGCATCATATTGTCTTTTATCCCTCACCCCTCTACTCTTCCCCCCAAGTCCCCAAAGTCCATTGTATCATTCTTATGCCTTTGCATTCTCATAGCTTAGCTCCCACATATCAGTGAGAAAATATCATGTTTGGTTTTCCATTCCTGAGTTACATCACTTAGAGTAATAGTCTCTAATCTCATCCATGTCATTGCAAATGCTGTTAATTCATTCGTTTTTATGGCTAAGTAGTATTGCATCATATATATACATACCTCAATTTCTTTATTCACTCATTGAGTAATGGGCATTTGGATTGGTTCCACGATTTTGCAGTTGTGAATTGTGCCACTATAAACATGCATGTGCAAGTATCTTTTTCAAATAATGACATCTTTTCATCTGGGTAGATACCCAGTAGTGGGATTGCTGGATCAAATGGTAGTTCTACTTTTAGTTCCTTAATGAATCTCCACACTGGGAAAACCAGTTTAGAAGGACAGGTTGTGATTTGTAGCAGGTGGTGGTTCTGACCATGTATGGAATGCTGTATTCATACATCTGAATTCCAGATGTGGATACCCTGGAAAGTGGGATACCTAGAGTCTGAAGCAATTGATTTGGAGCCTAGGTATAGACTTAGCAGGGAGGAGTGCTGTGATGGATTGGTGATGTCTGCTGTGAAGTTAGCATCGGGAAGCGACAGCCTGTGTGCCCTGTATTCGCCACTTATCCCTGACACGGGAACCGTCTGAAAAGAGGAGCCTCATTTAAGCAGTATTCAGTGAACATCTACCATGTGTCAGATACTTCAGTGGGCAGTGAAAAATCAGTTCTGAGTAAGATAGTCCCTGCCTTCATTGGGTTTACAATAGAGGAAACAACAGAGGCAAAGCTGTAAAGAATATTGGCAAGAATGGTAGATATTTGGCTATAGGTCAAGCAAAAAATAACTCAATGTAATTTAAATAAAGGGTTATGATATTTTTGCATTTCCCCGTATTTCTTCTGACAAAAGTTCACTTGTGATTATCCCTACCCTTATATGTTATTTATAGATTTCTTGTTTAGAAGTATAAAAATGCATCAGTTTTATCTGTTGTTTAATTATCAGGTAAAGACTAGAAGAAATATTGGGCCTTCATGTAAGTGTGCATCACAGTATTAAAATAGAATTCAAATATTTGAAAGTTAAAAAGAACAGACATGTTACTCCTTGTCCAGTTCAGATGGCCAAAACAGCTACTACGTGGTGGCTATGAACTTTCTGGAAGTCATTGCTGCTCAACATCAGTTTTAAATCTGGACTCTGCTTCTAGGATGTGTTTTCTCGCCCGAGGCTCATTTGATGTGAGGGCTTAGCAAATAAATACAGTTGGGAAGAGTGAAGAGTGTTAATCAGGTTCAATATAGGCTAGGCTTTTTCCTCAAAATGTCCCAGAGCCTTAGGTTGGATGAATGTCTAGGTACACAAATGATATATGGGATTTAAATAATAGTCCATTTATTAATAAGAGGAAAGGTATCTTATATCAAGATTGTTTATATTTCATTTAGTTAACTCCTTTTATTTGGGACATTGCAGACTTTTCCTAAACAAAATGTACTATAATATTTTCGAGATGGGGGAAGCCATGAAGCCTAAGTTACATTTAAAAATTTGTTAAATAAGATAATGAGTAAACATTCCCAGCACAATGCTTGAGCCAGAGAAAAGTGCTAAATAAATTCTAACTATTGCCACTGGGAATAATAATGTGTGTCTGCAACAGAAAACAAAAACACAAAGGACTTGTCTCTTTTTTTTTTGCGGTAATTCTTAAAAAAAAAAAAAAGTCAGGCATTTTCCTCTTGTCAAGATGGTGTAATAGGGACCAGATGTAACCTCTCATCTTAAATGACTGTATGATGATCAAAACACATGGAACAATGGTTTGCATAACACTGTACATCAAATAGTAATGGACAGCAATCCTTGACAGGAGCAAAGGATGTGAGTCCTTTGATTGCCCCAGCTTACTGCTTTAAGAGTTTCCATAAGGAGAGGAGGGGAACTGAGATGAAGCCTGGAGTACTCCCTGTATTGAGGAAGTGGAACTGAGGGTCCGGGGAGCAAGGCACCTGTCATTCTGAGTATAGAGCATCAGAGTGGAGAGTAGGAGCCCAGGAGAGTATTTATAGGAATTCTGAATGTGTATGTATCGAATAAAAGAGCTGTAAAATCTGTGAAGCAAAAACATGTAGAACATAAAAAAACAGATATATGAACCCACAGTTATAATTGTAAACCTCAACATCCATCTCGCAACAATTTATAGAATGACTGTATAGGACATAAGGAAGGATAGAGAAGAACTCACCACCATCAACCAACAAGATGTCATTGACAATTACAGAACCCTTTACCCCAAAAGAGCAGAATACACATTCTTTTAAGGAGCCCATAGAGCATATACCTTGAGAGACCATGTCCTAGGCCATAAAATAGACATCAGCAAATGTAAAGACAGTGAAATCTTGGGGTGTGGTCTCTGACAACAGTAGAATCAAACTAGAAATTAATTCATAAAGAGAACAGGAAAAAATCCCAAACACTTGGAAGCTAAACAGTAAACTTCTCAGTAATCCATGAGTTGAAAATGAAGTCTCATAATACATTTTAAAAATGACATTGAACTTAATGAAAATAAACATACAGTGTATCAAAATGTGTGTGTCGCAGCCAAAGCAGTCATTAGAGGGAAATGTATACCCCTAAATGCTTTCAATTTAAAAATGACAATTCTAAAATCAATAATGTAAGCTCCTACTTCAGACAAAAATAGGGAAAGAAGAGCTAAATAAACCTAAAGCAAGCAGCAGAGAGGAAATAATAAAAATTGGAGCAAAAGTCAATGAAATTGAAAACAGAAAAACAAGAGAGAAATGCTAGTTCTTTAAAAATATAGAAGAAAATGGCAAACTTCTAGTAGGGATGATAGAAAAAAAAAAAGAAGGGAATAATTACCCATATCAGGAGAGAAGGTGAGAATATTACTATAGACCCTGCAGACATTAAAAGGATAATAAGAGAGTACTCTGAACAGCTCTGCACTTACTCATTTGAGAGCTTAAACCAATTCTCTTGAAAAGCACAAACTGCAATTCACCCAATATGCAATAGATAATTTGAATGACCCTATAACTATTAAGGAAATTGAATTCATAATTTAACATCCCCCCTCCCCCCACCCCAAGGGAATCTCCGGTCTAAATGGTTTCACTGGAGAATTCTACCCATATTTTTAAAACATTTAACACCAATTCTTCAAAATATCTTCTAGAAAATAGAAGGTGGGCCAGGTGGGGTGGCTCATGCCTGTAATCCCAGCACTTTGGGAGGCCGAGGTGGGTGGATCACATGAGGTCACGAGTTCGAGACCAGCTTGGCCAACATGGTGAAACCCCATCTCTACTAAAAATACAAAAATTAGCTGGGCGTGGTGGCAGGTGCCTGTAGTCTCGGCTCCTCGGGAGGCTGAGGCAGGAGAATTGCTTGAACCTGGGAGGCAGAGGTTGCAGTGAGCCAAGATTGCACCACTTCACTCCAGCCTGGGTGACAGAGCAAGACTCTGTCTTAAGAATAAAACGTGGTGGTCCACATTCCACTTTATTTTATGAAGCCATTACACTCTGGTCACAAAACTGGACAAAGAAAGTAACAAAAGAAACAAGAAAACTGCAAATCAATATCCCTGATAAATATAGAATTAACACTATTTAAAACATTTTCAAATAGAATCTAACAATATATAAAAAGACTTATGCACCCCAACCTAATGAGGAATAGTCCAGTAATACAATACTAATTCAGTATTTGAAAATCAATTGATGTTATTCACTATACCGATAGGTTCAAGAAGAAAAATCACATGCTCACATTAGCTGATGCAGGAAAACATTTGACAAAATTGATACACAACCAGAAGTCTCAGAAAAAAATAAGAATCGATAACAGTTTTCTTAACTCGATAAAGGATATGTGCAAAAAACCTACATCTAATATTGTGTATAATGGTACAAATGAATGATTTCCCCTTAAATACAGGAACAAGACACCACTGCTATTCAACATAGTAGGGAATTTCTAAACAGTGCAATAAGACAAGAAATATAAATAAAAGGCATACAGATTAAAATAAAGAAATAAAACTATCCTTATTAGTGGATTCCATGGTTATAGAGTAAACACCAAAAATTTAAAACCCACACACATTTTGTGGACTGACAAGTTAGCTCACCAAAGTCACAGGATATGAAATCACATTGCCAAAAACAGTTTCTAAATTTCTTACAGTAAACAGATAAAAGCAACTTAAAATACAATACAATTTTAATCACCCAGAAAAAAGGGAAATATTTAGGTGTGCATCTAACAGGACTTGTATGCTGAAAATTATCAAATGCTGATGAAAAAGGCCAACATGTAAATAGATGGAAAAGCACAGTGTGTTCATGGATTGAAAGACTCCACTTTGTAAAGATGCCATTTCTGCTCAAATTGATACACAGAGGTAATGCAATCATTTCAAAATATCAGCAGAGTTTTTAAAAATAAATATAGACAAGATTATCTCAAAATTTGAATAGAAAAGCAAAGAAACTAGAGTTGTTAACACAATTTTGAAAAATAAGAATCAGGTGGGACAAACCAGTCTACCTAGTTTCAAGACGTTATGTAACTCCAGTCATCATCGCTATGTGGTATTTGCTTAGATGTAGACACCTAAATCAATGGAAGGGAAGAGAAGACACTGAAATAGCCCCAGACAACATTGACCAGCTGATTTTTGCCAGTAATGCAAAAGCAATTTAATGGGGGAAGTATAATCTTTACAACAATGGTGCTGGAACAATTGGCTATTTATAGGCAAAATAATAATAATAAATAATAAATCTTGACCTAAACTTCACATCTCATAAAAATTAGCTCAAAATGGATCGTAGGTTAAATTGAAAACATAAAACTATAAAACTTTCAGGCAATCCTATAGGAAAAATATCTTTCGAACTTAGAGCTCGGTGACATGCCACCAAGGGTCTATAAAAGAAAAAAATGATAAATTAGACTTCATCAAAATTTGGCTGGACGGGGTGGCTCATGCCTGTAATACCAGCACTTTGGGAGGCTGATAGCAGGTGGATAACCTGAGGTCAGGAGTTCGAGACCAGCCTGGCTAACATGGCGAAACCCTGTCTGTATTAAAAGTACAAATTTTAGCCAGGCTAACTTTGGTGGTGCGCACCTGTAATCCCAGCTACTTGGGAGGCTGAGGTAGGAGAATCGCTTGAACTGCGGAGGTGGAGGTTGCGGTGAGCCGAGATCATGCCACTGCACTCCAGCCTGGGCGACAGAGCCAGACTCAGTCTCAAAAAAAAAAAAAAAATTAAGGATGTGGTCTCTGAACAATCCTGTTAAGATATTGGAAAGAAAAGCTATAATGTGGAAGAAAATACTTGCAAATTTCATATCTAATAAAGAATTAATATCTATAAATTTATGAAGAAGTGAAATGGTGGTTACCAGAAACTGGAAGGGTAAAGGGTTAGAGAAATGTTTGTCAAAGCATACAAAGTTTTAGTTAGATAGGAGGAATAAGCTCAATAGATCAATTGTACAACATAGTGATAGACTGTAGTTAATAATTCTGTATTATATTCTTGAAAATCATTAACAGAGTAGATTTCAAATGTTTTCACCACAAAAATTATAAGTGTGTGTGGTTCTGCATATGTTCATTAACTTGAGTTAGCCATTCTACAGTGTATACATTTTTCAAAACATCATGTTGTACGTGATAAATATATACAGTTATTATTGTCAATTTTAAAATGTCAAAGAGTGAAAACCAATCCATTTAGAAAATCTTTTTAAAGTGACTTGAAGAAATATTTTACCAAAGAGGATATATGGAGGCAATCAAGAACATGGAAAGAATTCGGCATTACTAGCTATTAGGGAAATGCAGATTAAGAATATAATAACATATCATTATACACATGTTAAACAGGTAAAATTTAAGATAGAAACTATCAAATATTTACAAGGACGCATAGAAAGTGTGTCTCTCATATACTGATGATGGCAATGCAAAATGACACAACTCTTCTGGCAAATTGTTTGTAGTTTCTTAAAATAAATAGACATTTACCAATGAGTCAACAATCACATTTCTGGACATTTATTCCACAGAAATGAAAGTTAATGTCCACGAAAAACCCCAGAAAGCTATACACAATTATTGTCAGCAGTTTTATTTCTGAGTCAAAAACTGGAAACAACCAAAATATCTACAGTAGGTGAATGGTTAAAGAAACTGTGAGATACCCGTACTGTGAACTACTATTCAGCAATAAAAACTGAATGAACTATCGATATACACAACACCTGTGATGAATCTCAAGGGCACAATGTTGAATGAAAATTAAAACAGTCTCAAAAGGTTATAGACTATACAATGTCATTTATATAACACTTTGACCATGAGAGAAGTATAAAGATTTGGACATAGTTGCCAGTATGGTGGGAGAAAAAAAGATGGGTAGAACTATAAAGGTACAGCATGAAGGAGAAATCTGTGGTGAATTAGTTCTGTATTGTATTGTGGTGGTAGTTACAGAAATCTATACGTGTAATAAAAGGGGTTAAACTTATACAAACACACTTTATCAATGTCAATATCATATAGTACAATATGATATTATAGTTGCATAAGATGTAACAAATGGGTTACCAATGTCACTAGCAGGATAGGGAAACAATACTTCTCTGTAGTGTCTTTACAACTGTCTGTGTATTTGTAATATTTTCAAAATAAGTTATAAAGATTTGCCTTTTATAGTGTTACTGTAAACCCTTAAGTTCCCACTAAAAAGATGAAATGTAGAGTTATAGCTAATAAGCCAGCAAAGGAAATAGAATAATAAAAATTTTCAATTATTGTGAAACAAGACACAAAAAAGAGGAAAAGGGAAAGTTGGGACAAATGAAAAACCAATAGGTTATAGGTTTAAACCTAATTCTGTCAATCACATTAAATATTAATGTTCTAAATATACTCAGTTCAAAGGCAGAGATTGTCAGACTTAATAAAAATAAGATCAAATTATAGGCTGTGTTATAAGAAGCACATTTTAAATATAAAGACACAAATATGTTGATAAGGATGAATGGTAGTGCACACCTGTAGTCCCAGCACTTTGGGAGGCCAAGGCAGGAGGATGCCTTGAGCCCAGGAGTTTGAGACCAACCTGAGCAACATGACAAGACCCCAACTGTACAAAAAATTTAAAAATTGAAGTGAGCATGGTGGTGCATGTCTGTAGTCCCAGCTACGTGGGAGGCTGAGGTGTCAGTATCACTTGAGCCTGGGAGGCTGAGGCTGCACTGGGCTGTCATCACACCACTGTATTCCAGCCTGCACTCCACTGCACTCAGGGCAAAGCAACACCCTGTCTCAAAAGGAAAGAAGGAAGAAAAATAAATAAATAAATAAATGTTCATTATTTTTTCTCATGTGTTTTGACTATTTAAAAAATCATGTTCATTTATTTCTGATTATTTGTAACACATTTTCCTATACATTAATTAAGGATATTAACCATTCATCTATGATATATACAGTAAATGATTTTCCAGTTTTTCATTTGTGGTTTAATTTTGTCAATGTTATCTTTTCAATATATAAAGCAAGTGGTGTGTTCGCATGTTTAAATAAAGTGTATTTCTTTCCTTTAAAAAGTAATAAAGATACAGAATGTGATCACTAATCTAAAGAATACTGAAGTAACTATACTGATATCACACAAATAGATTCTAGAGAAAAATACATCAGGGATAAAGAAGGTAATTTCACAATGGAAAAGGTGACTTAATCAAGAAGACATTAAATATTTATGCACCTCAACTTTAAAATACATGAAACAAAACTGTTGGAACTGGAAGGAGAAATAGCCAAATATTTCAGTGCTAGTCTCTCAATAACTGACAGAATAAATAGCTAGAAAATTATTAAATATATAGATTTGAATAGTAGTATTAATTAATTTGCCTTAATTAATGACTGTAGAACCCTCTATCCTAAAATAGCAGGATACATATTGTTTTCAAGTACATAAGGAAATGTTTTCAAGAAAAGAGCTATTCTGGGCTGAACTATTTTTTTTAATCAATAAATTTAAGAGAATTGAAGTTATTTCTCCAATCGCAGTGGAATCAAACTAGAAATAAATGACAGAAATATAAAATGAAAATCTCCAAACACTTGGAGAATAAGCCACACTTTAATAAATAACCTGTGGATCGAAGAGAAAATCTAAATGGAAGTCAAAATAAACAGTGACCTGAACAAAAATATACATAAGACATATCAGATTTTGCGTAGTGTTATTAAACAATGCTTGAAGAGAAATTCATAGC
Organism: Homo sapiens; assembly: GCF_000001405.40. Taxonomy (NCBI): domain Eukaryota; kingdom Metazoa; phylum Chordata; class Mammalia; order Primates; family Hominidae; genus Homo; species Homo sapiens. The sequence continues at coordinate 6,744,717 of NC_000016.10, forward strand.
ATTAAATACCCATATTAGGATAGTGAAAAATGGTCTTAAATCACTTACTTTATCTTCTGCCTTAGAAAAATAGAAAAAGAAGGTGAACTAAATTAAGTAGAAGATAGGAAATAAAGATCAGGGTTGAAATCAATAAAACAGGTAGTAGGCCAAAAATGGAGGAAATCTTTGAAACCAAAAGCTGGTGTTTTGAGAAAATTAGTAAAATCAATACACTTTTAGCCAGGCTTAGTAAAGTTAAGGAGAAGATACAAATTACCAATATCAGTATAGAAAGAGGAGGCATCACTACAGACTCTATAGGTATTAAAAGAAAAATAAGATCATATTATGAACAACCTTATTTTATGATATTAAGATTTAAGGGTGAAATGGGTAAATTCCTTGAAAGAGATCTAAGAAAGCTCACTAAAGAAGAAATAGATCATCTGAATTTCCTGATATATATCAAATAAATTAAATCTGGAGTTGAAAATCTTCCCTCTAAGAAAATTCCAAGCCCAGATGACTTTGTTAATAAACTTTACAAAACATTTCTTTCAGAAAATGGAAAAGGAAGTTACATTTCCCAATCCATTCTATGAGGCAACGATTACTGTAATACCAAAACCAGGAAAAAATTCACAAGAAAAAACCCCCGAAACCACAGACTAGTCTTCCTCATGAATACCTATGTGAAAATTCTAAAACAACAAGCAAATGAAATCTATTGACACATGAAAAGGATACTATATCAAGAATGAGCAGATTTTGTTTTAGGATTGAAAAGATGCCTTAACATTTGAAAATCAATTTATGAAATACACCATATTAACAACAAAATGTGAACTAACACAATTATTTTAATAGATGCAGAAAAGGCATTTGACAAAATCCAAAATGGATTCTAGTTTTTTAAAAAGCTCAGCAAGAATAGAAGATAAATTGGTCAATATGATAAAAGGCATCTATGGAAAATGTATAGCTAATATCATGCTTAATGAGGAAATACTGGTGTTGCCCCCAAGATTGGGAACAAAGCAAGGATTTATGCTTTCACCACTTCCCTTTCGCAGTATTTTAGCCAGTGATAATGAGCAAGAAAAGGAGGTAAAAGGCATCTGTTTAGAGAAGAAAAAAACTGTCTTTATTCATAGGCAGCGTGATCATCTGTGCATAAAATTTTATGCTCTCTAAAACAGAAAGTCACTGGAACTTAGAAATGAATTTATCAAGTTGCAGGATGCAGTATCAATATATGTAATTCAATTATATTTTTATATATTACACAAATTGGAAATTAAAGCTTAAAAATATCATTTGCAATAGCATTTTGAACAGTGAAATACTTAGAGGAACAAATCTGATGGAAGATATGCCAGTCCTATACCCTTAAAACTACAGAATAGCTGAGAGGAGTTGAAAGAGACTTAAATATGTGAGCATACAGGCCAATATCGTGTGTAGGTTGAGAGACTTATCTTAGTCTCCCCTAATTGATCTGTAGATTCAACACAATGCCAATCAAACCCCAGCAGGCCTTTTTTTCAATAAAAACTCCCAAACATATTCTAAAATTCATATAGAAGTGGAAGTCAACTTGAATGGCCAAAATATCTTTGAAAAAAACAATTTGGGAAGATGAATACTGTATGATTTGCAGACTTAATGGAAAGCTACAATAATCAAGAAAGTGGTGCGCTGGGCATGGTGGCTCACACCTGTAATCTCAGCACTATGGGAAGACTAGACAGTTGGATCACTTGAGCCCAGGTGTTCAAGACCAGTCTATGCAACATGGCAAAGCCTCATCTCAACAAAAAATACAAAAAATTGCCGGGCATGATGGCACATGTCTGCAGTCCCTAGCTACCTGGGAGGCTGAACTGGGGGGATCACCTGAACCTGGGAAGTTGAGGCTGCAGTGACCTGTGATTGTGCCACTGCACTTCAGCCTGAGTGACGAGTGAGACACAGGTGTCAGGGAAAAAAAAAAAGTGTTGTCTTATTAATCCTTAACTATTATTAATTAATTGAAAGTTTACATAGGGCAGAAAAGTGAAATATTGATACATATAATCAATACTTATATATTTATAAGCCAAAGTTTGCTAGTGATCCCAAGTCTGTTATAGGAATGTGAGATTTTATTAAGCATAACAACTCAAATGTTGATGTCCAGTTCATAGAAACTCCATCTCCTAGCAGTCTTCTCAGTATTTTGGGAGACTTCAGCAGGTGTCTCACTTGGGCTCAAACTAAAATCTCATCTCTCCTGTGGAGCTATACTACTGTGCAGATATCCCCTCACCACAGATTATTGAGGTGTTAGCCTACAGAAGTCCTAGCAGACCTCTGCAGAACCCCTCACGGTACCATAGCAGGTCCCTATACCATGCCAAATGGGAGATCCTTAAATTATCTTACTGGTCGGCCAGGCGCAGTGGCTCACGCCTATAATCCCAACACTTTGGGAGACTGAGACGGTCAGATCACAAGGTCAGGAGTTCGAGACCAGCCTGACTCACATGGTGAAAACCCCGTCTCTACTAAAAATATACAAATTAGCCTGGCATGGTGGTGTGTTTGAAATCCCAGCTACTCAAGAGGCTGAGGCAGGACAATTGCTTGAACCTAGGAGGTAGAGATTGTAGTGAGCCAAGATGGCCCCATTGCCCTCCAGACTGGGCGACAGAGTGAGACTCAGTCTCAAAAAGAAAAAAAAAATCTATCAGTCAGTCAGTCAGTTAGTCTGTCTGTCTGTCTGTCTGTCTGTCTGTTTATCTATCTGTCTATCTGTCTTACTGGTTTACTTGTTGTCACCTGGGATATGTAAGAAGCCTGTTGGGGCAGTATTCACATAATCTCTGTTAAAAGTGATATTTTTAGTATCTTCTATGGGTCTTCTCTTTAAACATCTCAGATATTGTCTCTTGTATAAAAAGTAAAAGTTGCTATCCCACACCACCCCTACTATGTCCTTCTGATTGCTGCCTTTTTTGCAAAAGCAGAAATATGTCTTCTGGGCACCATCCGCTTCATGGACAGCAACTTGTGCAAAGAGATTCCTGGGAGTTGTCAATCTACATGCTCATAGATGTCTGAATTGTGACATATCCTCAGTCCCTACCCGCCATCCAGAGTCATTTTTCTGACATAAAACTTTCATAGGCAATCCATACCTTATGGCTTCACCATTGTAAAACTGGTGGAAAGCACAACACGCTATCAACTTCAGCATCATGAGGATTGGCCTTTGTTTTCTAAATCCTTTCTCTTTTGAAATGCACCTATTATACAAGACTTAGGTTGTATGATTTGAAGGATTGTTCACCAGTAGTGACACCGTTATTTATTGAACCATTTTCCTGATACTTTTTTTGTGTTAACTGAACTTGTATATGTAATTATTATCTGGTAGGATCATTTTTTTTCCTAGCGTTATTTATGGCATGATTTACTAGCATCTCGTTAGGCAATAAATGCATATTTAATTGGATATCCTTATGGGTTCAGTACCATGCTGTGCATAAATTCCAGAAGTATACAGACCCAGCCTTCTTTTCTCTTTCTCTCTCTCTCTCTCTACACACACACACGCAAATACATACACACACATATATACGTACACATACACATATAACTATATACATATGTATGTATGTATGAGCACAAATTATTTGGGGTGGGCACTGTGGCTCACACCTATAATCCCAACACTTTGGAAGGCCGAGGCAGGAGGATTGCATAAGCCCAGGAGTTCAAGACCAGCCTGGGCAACATAACAAGATCCCGTCTCTCCAAAAAATAAAGATAAAAAATTAGCTGGCCATGATGGCATGCATTTGTAGTCCCAGCTTGGGAGGCTGAAGTGGATCTCTTGAGCCCAGAAGTTCGAGGCTGTTGTGAGTTATAATTACACCACTGCACTCCAGCCTGAGCAACAAGGCAAGATCCTGTCTCAAACAAAACACCTAATTATTTGGAGTATATAGAATTTGAACTTGTTATGCATGTATGAACAGAAGTTATTTGGAGTATATAGATTTTGAAGTTGGCTTAGATGTATGATGAATTCTCAGAGGTTATGATTAATTATCTTTACCTTTCATTCTATAAGATTTTATTGAATACCTTCTAGATGCTAGAATTTCAGCAATGAGCAAGACTGATAAGGTCTTTGTCTAAGGAAGAACATAGACCCCATAAAATTAGTGTTACAGTTCTTTCAGAATTTGTCTAGCAACCTTTCTGGTTTTTGCTAGAAAGTTCTCTCCTAATTGATAAAATAAAAATATTTTTGAAAGGGAAGAATTAAAAATCATGGGATTAAATGACAGGAGGAGCCAATCTGGGTATTCATAAAATGACTGATATTTCTGTCCACAGTTGAGTGAAAAGTATTGGAAACCAACATTCACTGAGCAACTACTAGGAAGGCCGGATGGCATTCGAGAGAAAAAGTTATGGTCTCAGGCAGATCTGAGTTTGGATCCTGCTCTGCTGTGCATTCCAGGCAAGATCGTGTTTTGGCAAGTTGTCTGTCCCATCTGAGCCTGGGTTCCTCATTGGTACAGAAAGTCAGTAATGACATCAACCCAATTAAATGAGAGAACAGATGCACACAGGACGCATTCCACACAGCGCCTGGTTCAAAGTAAGTGCTCAGGACATGAGTGCCACCATCCTTCCCCCAAGGAGGCATGAGATGGACCCTGGTTCTTGCTGTTACGGTCACTCAGGCAATTTATACTCATAACCGTCCGGGGAGGTAGGACTCATGTTTTCCCCACTTTCCAGATAAGGATACTGAGGTTCTGGGGATTTGAACTAACCTGCCTTTGACTTCATATCCAGCAGGCAGCCATGCCGATTTCAAAGCTCCTTCTCTTTTCATTCATTGCACCGTTTATTGACCTCATATACATTCTTCATCTCCTGGAGTGTCTCTCCTAATCAGTACATCAGGGGTAACAAATCTTAGTGACCTCAGTAAATAATAAGCCCAAAGAATTGCAGTGCACAGATTCTTGCTTAAGAATAACAGCGACTTGGAAAGTTTTTCAGTGTTAACAGAGCAGCCTTATGATTAAAATCACTGAAGAATGCGATGTAAAATGTTTTTATTTCGTTTTGCTTTCTGTTTCCCTTGAAATAATAGTCAGCAGGAAACACATTTCTGAAAGACTTCTCCATTTCTACATCCTCAGAATACAATAAGGGCCAAGCTGACTGTGTCAGGGTGTTCAGAGTTAGTAGGCACACAAATGAAAAGATGGTGCTCTCAGAGTTTTATGAATTTTTCTGTCTAGCAGTCTTGGGTTGGAAAGTCATCTTTGAAATTGATGTAGCTATCAACTAGGGGCTAACATTAAGATTTCAGTCGAGGTGTATAGGGTTATGATCTTTCTGTTACTGTCAGAACTGCAGCTGTTGTATTTGCATTGAGTGGCATGCTGGAGAGAGCAAAATGGGATGCAGGAGAAGGAAAAAGAAATAGCAAAACCTATTGAATTGTGGGCTCTACCTGAGGGCATTTGTTAAAGGTAAATTCATCAATAGCTGTTAAGTCATTTGTATTGAATCATTCTCATAGCCTCACAGCAGTTCTTAGTTTTAATAATGGGTCATAGAGAGGAGCTTGGTGATAGATGCCTTATTATGGTATTTAGGCACTTAATTGCAACTGGGCTTAAAATAGCAGCAGAAGCTGAAACCAGGGTGGCTCAGGAGTAAATTATGTTTTCAGTCTACCAAAACACCCTTTTTAAAATTCAAGTTTAATATTTCTTGACATATGTTTCTTGATACGCTGTTAACAGCAGTTTATCAGAGATAGAAGAATGTTAAAATAAACTGGTGACCGAACTATGGTATCTAAAGGCATGCCTTGTTCATCACCATCAGAGATATTTTGAAAGAAACATTGAGACCCAAGTTTAAAACACCTGCAATTATGCTGGGACAGGGGTGTTCATTGATTCATTCATTCATGCATTCATTCATTATTCGTCATTTATTGCTAATGTTAAAGGGATAGGGCAGTGTATGAGACAGACCCTTGCCTTTGTGGACTAATTATTCAGTGGTGGAAGTGAGAAAAACATAAATAGTTAATAACAATAAACGCCAAAGGGGGATGTGTGTGATGATGAAACCAGGAAGCTGAAATAGTGAGTGATGGTAGAAGATACAGTAGTGTTTTCTTCAGATTAGTGGGCTAGGGAAGTGCTCTTGGAGAAGAACCCATTTAAGCAGAGGTCTGAGTGATATGAAGGTGCCAACTGGCCAAAAAGAGGAAGGATCATTAGAAACAGAAACAGCATGTTCAAGGGCCCTGATGTGGGAAAGAACTAAAAGGAGATCAGGGTGGCAAAGCTTAGCAGAGAAGTCAGTGGAGGGGTAGGACATAGGTTTGAATAGCAGATAAAGGCCAGGTCCTGTGTGGCCTTTTCATTTACTTTACATTTTATTCGAAATACAATGGGAAACAATGAAGAGTTTTAAGGACAAGGGTATTGAGCTCTGATGTATATTATTAGGAGATTGTTTTTATTGACTCTAGAATGGATGGGGAGTAGGTGGCTAAGGAGGAAGTTGGCAGTGGTACGGGAGAGAAATGACAGTGCCCTCTACCAGAAAAATGAATGGACTGAAAATGTACTTAGAATGCATGCTAGTAGATAAAGAGGAACTAGCTAGGAAGTTCCCTAAAGGAGGGTGGTCTGTATTCTTGGGGCATTTGTACCCTGATGACTGAACATCCTGACTTCCTATGTCTTAGTCCATGTACAGCAACTCTTTGCCTCACTTGTAGGTGAAATGATTTTGGAGTCACTAGTTGGATAAAGAACTAGAAAGGTAGAACATACAGTGCTTCCTCTGCACATCTGATTTGGGAGTTTTGAAGTTTACTTGTCTTAGACTGCATGAAATGTCAAAGGAAGCCAGTAACATTGATTTATTTCTTGAGTCCGTTGGTTATCATCAGCTTGCTGCTTACAGTATACAAGCAGATAGAGCCAGAAGCGGCATTTCCAGGAATTGAACCTGCGTTGTTTACTGCCCCTGTGGTCTTATGAAGAATGTGTGATTATCGTAACCCACTTGCTATTATTTTCATAACAAAGCTGTCTCTGACCAGCTACAATCTTGGACTTACATAATTGAATTTTAGATGGAGATGCGCTGCTGGTTTATATGAATTTTCCAGGGGTGCCAGCGTGAGTCCAGGCTTTAACAAACAATATTTTTAATTGAGATTTTATGTCCTTGCCCTCAAATCAAGCACTTTAATAGGATCCCAGTTGGAATAGGTGACTCAGTAACAAGTTACCACTGCTTTCAACTTCAGAAAGGTGTTAATTTCTCTAACTCCTGCTGGGCGTCCATCTACTCCGGTGACCCACTGCCTGCATGTACCATAAAAACGAGTGTTTTGCATTCCATTAGTTTCAAAGTACAGCCTTAGTAGTCTGCATATTTCTTGTAGCATGTGCTGGCTTTGTTCCATCAGGCAACATTAAGATAGAAAAGTATTAAAAATATTGATTTGTCATTTATAACATCGAAGTGATAGATTGAAATGCAATTTGGATGTACTCCAGACCTCCAATAACTTTGACATTATCAGACGAAATACAATGATCTCAGTCTAATTAATATGCTGTGTCCATATGAGTAAAGTAGAGAGAATGAAGCAAGAAATTGGCCACAAGGAAGTGATAGCTCCATGTTTCAAGTAGTTGTAGAATTTAGAGATGGAATATGACATGCTCTGTCGCTGGACCTTGCTATGTGCTGGAAGCTGTGTTCTTTCCATGTTTGTTCATCTTTGAAAGCAAGTTAGCGCATTCCTAAAGAATAGAGTGATACTCTTCACTGAACTTTGTAAACTTCTTTAAGCTTTTTATTATGGCATCTTGCCATAATGTTCTTCCATTCCCCTGCTCTGGAATACCGGTAATAACTCTAACACACACACCTTTCTGCGTATCGGTTTCATGCAACAGGTGCACCTATCTTGATTTCAAAACTTTCCTATCCCCCTTTCCCTTACTGCTTCTTCACTTCCATCCTTTCCTGCTGGTAATGAAATTGTCAAACTTTATTCCTACTCCTATTTTTTTTTTTTTAGCAGGGTTCTGTGTTCTCTGTCAGCCTCTCTGCTCACATATTGCAGTTCCTCTGTTCTCCCAGAGAATTTTTATCTTCCTGTTGGCAATATGTTTATACGGTGTGAATATGTAATAATTGTACTTGGTTGCTATGGAGAAGGGAAAAATACAAATGTGCAAATTTCAAATACACAATTGTGCAAATTTCAAAATTTATTGTAACTTTTTCATAGTGGTCATATAGTATTATTAGGAAGTAATGGCATAAAAAAATACAAATATTGAACTTGAGTAAACATCATGTATACTGAAACTTGTAGGGGGTATTTTAATGATGTGTGAAATTTACTTTGAAATGCACCAAAAATAAGATGGGTTGATGGTTGCAGAGAGGGATGGACAGATGGAAATAGCTGGGATAAAGCAAGTATAGTAAAATGCCAGTAGTAGAATATAGGTGGTAGATATATGGATGTTTGCTGTAAAATTCTTTCAGCTTTGCTGTTTTGAGATTTGCATACTGCAGTATTGGAAAAATATGGTACAAAAGTGAATAGTCATATAGTCAACACATAGACTGAGATAAAAATTGTGTGCCTGCATTAATATCTATTCTTTTATTTAGGGATGCTTTCAGGACCGTAGTTGCAGGAAGATCATCTTGCTATAACCCAGTGTCCCCCTTTCATCTCCTATACCATGTCTCTCTGCCTGTTTTCTTCTTCTCTTTGAATATTTGTTACATCTGTCTTAATAGAGACTGTGCAATTTCATCTCTTCATCAACTCCTGTAAGTAGAACCAGCAACAGAGCGAAAGGGAGAAAAAGAAACGTACTTCTCGCCTGCCTTCCTTTTCTGTCTCCCCGTGAGAAGCCTCGTGCCCTCCTCCTGTCTTGTGTCTTGTGTCAGAGTTAGCGGAGCAGCAGCTCTGGCCTCCTTGGATTTATGTGATTCGTAGTGAGAGAATGCTGCCACAGCTGAGGCTGTTGCCTGCTCTACATTGATTGAGTTTCCTGGGCTTGAGGGATTTTTGCCGAGCTGAGTTTTATGGTTGATGTGCTCTCGGTCATTTGTCATAAAATCATTCCCACCAAGCTGTTTACTGGGTTTGAATGCTTAATTACTGAAGGAGAAGAGAATCACTCCTTATGGAGCTGACTGTTGACTTGGATGCTTTTTACTGGGTTGTCTTCTGGTACCCAACTCTTGCTGAGTAGTTTATCCAATATACATACCCACTCTTCAGCATAAAAAAATAAAGACACCCATAATTTTACCTAAGTATTTTGAGCAGTGCAAAGACATATCATTTCACTTCATATTATGACAGCATTTTTCTTTTGAGTACAAATTGATTGCAAAACTCAACACTCAGGCAGCTACAGCTAGGAAAGTGTCTATGCTCTGGGGTTCAAATGACAATGTTCACCTGCTTTATTCAGATCAATTTCCAGAAATGCATTGCTGACTCTCCGCCAACTCAATATCCTCAATCCAAATTGCATAAATGGTGTTGGATATAATTATCTCTCTGAAAAATTTCACCTAAATTGGAATTAAATTTATTTGTAAAAGCAAAGTCATCTTGGGAATTATATTTCAAAACCTACGGTCGAAGATTCAGTGAATGAAGCTCTTTCCTTTTGTTTCTTCCACAATTTCAGCTCCTCTTTTTCATGAGGAAAATTGAAGCACTCTTCGGGTTCCCACTGCTCCCTCCTCTGCACTAATTCCCACATAGAATTTCTCTCTACAAATTGGCCTCCACTAATTTTTTGCATTGGTTGTGTCTTGTTGAATTTTTCAGGAGCACACTTTTATATACGGGGATGTTGTTTTAGAGGTGGGAGAAAGAGAGAATTAGAGAGAGATGCAGGAAATGGAATGTTGTTTTTTTTTTATTATTATAGTTTAAGTTTTAGGGTACATGTGCACAATGTGCAGGTTAGTTACATATGTATACATGTGCCATGCTGGTGTGCTCCACCCATTAACTCGTCATTTAGCATTAGGTATATCTCCTAAAGCTATCCCTCCCCTCTCCCCCCACCCCACAACAGTCCCCAGAGTGTGATGTTCCCCTTGCTGTGTCCATGTGTTCTCATTGTTCAGTTCCCACCTATGACTGAGAATATGCGGTGTTTGGTTTTTTGTTCTTGGGATAGTTTACTGAGAATGATGATTTCCAATTTCATCCATGTCCCTACAAAGGGCATGAACTCATCATTTTTTATGGCTGCATAGTATTCCATGGTGTATATGTTGCACATTTTCTTAATCCAGTCTATCATTGTTGGACATTTGGGTTGGTTCCAAGTCTTTGCTATTGGGGATAGTGCCGCAATAAACATACGTGTGCATGTGTCTTTATAGCAGCATGATTTATAGTCCTTTGGGTGTATACCCAGTAATGGGATGGCTGGGTCAAATGGTATTTCTAGTTAGATCCCTGAGTAATCGCCACACCGACTTCCACAATGGTTGAACTAGTTTACAGTCCCACCAACAGTGTAAAAGTGTTCCTATTTCTCCACATCCTCTCCAGCACCTGTTGTTTCCTGACTTTTTAATGATTGCCATTCTAACTGGTGTGAGATGGTATCTCATTGTGGTTTTGATTTGCATTTCTCTGATGGCCAGTGATGGTGAGCATTTTTTCATGTGTTTTTTGGCTGCATAAATGTCTCCTGTTTTAATGCCAAGATAACCCGTCAGAACACCTGAAATATTTGCTACAGTTTTGATGTTTCATTTATCTCTTAGTGGAGCATTGTGTTGTTTCAGTGTTTTATCATGAAGAACTGTGGCTCTTTTAACTGTAAGGAATGAGAACTTTAGTAAAAACAACTTTTAATCACTTTGCTATAAATATAATACTAGAGAATTCGTTTCTTGGAGTATGATTTCCCTGTTATTCAAAAACAACTACTTGTCACCCCCTTGTACTTTGGCCTTCTTTTTTCTTCTCCCCTTCTTTTAACTGTTGCCCCTATTTGGAGCGATTATACTTAAAGTAATATGGATTCTTTCAGAGCTGCCAAAAGGTGAAATTGACTTTTTGAGAATGTATTGCTGAAAACTGCAGCAGATGCACTTTTTCCATGTAGAAACATCCTGTGTGTTAAGACCGAAAGGGACCATTTACAGCCAGTTTCAAATTGCTAGCTGAGGTCAATAAGTGCCCACTTCTGCAATCACATCAGCCCCGTTTGGATGACAGTACACAATGAGGTGCCTCCCAGGGAGTGACCACATTGGCAGCAAAACCCTTTTTGCAAGTTTTATTTGGTCATTCATAGTAGAAACCTTTAAAAATCTTCAACATTTAATTTCAAGCATTTAAAAAATATATACTGTAGTACCATTTACCTATAACTGGATTTATTTAAAAATTATATGGATTGGGGAAAGGACACCCTCTTCAATAAGTAGTGCTGGGAAAAAAATGGATATCCGTATGTAGAAGAGTGAAACAAGACCCTATTTCTTACCGTATACAAAAATCAACTCAAAATGCATTAAAGATTGAAACCCAATACTATAAAACTACTAGAAGTAAACATAGGTAAAATGCATTAAGACACTGGCCTAGGCAAAGATTTTATGGCTAAGACTTCAAAGGCATAGGCAACAGAAACAAAATATACAAATAGGACTATATTAGACTAAACAGCTTTGGCACAACAAAGGAAACAATGAATGCAGCAAAGAGAGGATCTGTAGAATGGGAGCAAATATTTGCAAGCTATTCAGTCAACTCATATCCAGAATATATGACAAGGAACACAGTCAACTCCATAGCAATAATAATAATAATAATCCCATTTAAAAATGGGCAAAGGATCTGAATAAACATTTCTTAAAAGAAGATATACAGGCCGGGCCTGGTGGTTCACGCCTGTAATCCCAACACTTTGGGAGGCTGAGGCAGGGGGGTCATGTGAGGTCAGGAGTTCGAGACCAGCCTGGCCAACATGGTGAAACTCCATCTCTACTAAAAATACAACAAAAATTAGCCAGGCGTGGTGGCAGACACCTGTAGTCACAGCTCCTTGGGAGGCTGAGGCAGGAGAATTGCTTGAACCGAGGGGATGGAGGTTGCAGTGAGCTGAGATCGTGCCATTGCACTCCAGCCTGGGCACCAAGGGCGAAACTCCATCTCAAACAAACAGACAAACAAACAAACAAACAAACAAACAAAAAACATACAAATGGCCAACAGGTATAAAAAAAATGCTTATTATCACTAATTATGAGGGAAATGCAGATCAAAACCTCAATGACGTATAATTTCATCCCAATTAGAACGACTATTATCAAAAAGATAAAAAATAAATGCTAGCAAGGATGTGGAGAAAAGGGAACTTTTATGCACTGTTGGTTGGAATGAAAATTGGCACAGCTAATAGGGAAAACAATACAGAGGTTTCTCAAAAAGACTAAAAATAGAACTACCATAAAATCCAGCAAAATCCCACTGTGGATATTTACCCAGAGGAAAGAAAATCAATATCTGAAAGGACCTGCACACCCGTGTTTACTGCAGCATTATTTACAATAGCAAAGATATAAAATCAACCTAAGTATCCATTAAGAGACGATTAGATTAAAAATGTGGTATATATGCACAACAGAATACTATTCAGCCCTGAAAAAGGATGAAATGCTGTTTGTTACAGCAACATGGATGGAACTGGAGGGAGGTCATTATGTTAACTGAAATAAGCTGAGCACAGAAAGACAAATATGACATGTTCTCATTCATATGTGGGAGCTAAAAAAGTTGATCTCTGGAGGATAGAGAGTAGAATGGTGGTTACCAGAGGCTGGGAAGGGTAGAGAAGGTGGGATGAGGGGAGGCTGATTAATAAGTACAAACATATGGTTAGATAGGAGTGAGTTCTAGTGTTCCACAGCATAGTATGGTGATGATGGTTAAAAACAATTTATTGTACATTTCAAAGTAACTAGAAGAAAAGATTTGAAATGTCTCCAACCATAGAAATGACAAATGTTTGAGGTGATGGATACCCCCAATTACCCTGATCATAACACATTGTGTGCATGTATCAAAATGTCACATGTACCCTGTAAATATGTACAATTATTATGCATTAGTAAAAAAAGATTTTAAACAATTACAACAACATCCAGGTTTTGTTGGTTGTTTTTAATGCGGCAGACCCTGTCCTCTATTACATTGAACTGTCACACTTTTAAGAAGTCAGTCCAAACTACTATCTTCTTTATACCAATAAGAAGGATCAGGACACAGAAAGTTAAGTAAATGGTCCAAGTCAGTAAATGGGGATTCATGATTTTGAAACTTTGTGGTCAGACTTCAGGTACTGTCCTCTTAATGTCTTGCTGTGAGATTTGAGATCCAAGATAACTTGGCATTGTTGAGATATTGGGAAGCTACTATCAGAATCAGTCCTCTGCTTGCTTTGTTGGTGTAAACTAGAGATAATTTAGTGTAAAATGTCCCAATAAAAATTTTCCCCCAAGCATATGTAAACCACGACATAATAGATTTATCAAAGTAGCAGAATGCTATTATGTTCAAGAGATTAACCAGACCAAAGCTATTTGTCATAGCAACGGGTGCTAGAGTTGACAAATTACAATTGAACCCAGTTTGTAGCAAAATGTTAGACAGAGCCTTGGCACTGATTAATTGACGTGAGAGTCCAGCCTAGAATACATTAGAGCAATTTAAATATCATTCAAAACAGAATATAACCATGCTCTCTAAAACATCCCAAACTGTACCAAGCAACTACATTTGATTGATTCTATAATGCAAATATTTTATGCCTAAGACTTTTAAAGCACAGACTGTGTTAGTAGCAAGACACACCACCAATTTAGTAATTTCTAATTAAAAAGAAAATACATTTTACATTAAATGCTTATATTGATTGCCAAGGAACCTGACTACAGGTCTTTTAAAACTTGCATCATGGGGTTGAGAGGGACAATCATCTCTTAGAAATTTCTTAAAAAGAAACTTTAACTCTGGGTAATGTGTTTACCCTAATTAGATAAGAAACCTCATCCTAATAAAAGTAATGGACTGAAGGTGACATGTGTTCAGGGAGTCGGGGGGGAAAGAGTTTAGAAAGAGGAAAAGCCTTTGCTTTCTAAGCTAGAAAAATGGATGTTGAACTTAAATCTATTCAGACAATGATGAGCTAGTCATATTGTCACAAGAATAGGTTACCTCTTTCTTGCATTTAAGGTTCCCGTTATGAAACAGAAAACAAGATTATATTCTACTGAAAATAAAGTTGAAATGGAGTAGAAAAAGTGGAGTTTCATATTACTTATCAATTCTTTTTTTTTTTTCTTTTGTGAGACAGAGTCTCGCTCTGTTGCCCAGGCTGGAGTGCAGTGGCATAACCTTAGCTCACTGGAACCTCCACCTCCTGGGTTCCAGCAGTTCTCCTGTTTCAGCCTCCCAAGTAGCTGGGATTACAGGTGCATGGCACCACAGCTGGCTAATTTTTGTATTTTTAGTAGAGACAGTGTTTAGTCGTGTTGGCCAGGCTGGTCTTGAACTCCTGACCTCAGGTGATCTGCCTGCCTCAGCCTCCCATAGTGCTGGGACCCAATTAATTCTTTAGTCAACCAACTTCATTTCTTGATATGTCAGTTGTCTGTGTGTGTGTGTGTGTGTGTGTGTGTGTGTGTGTGTGTGTGTGTGTGTATTTTCAGTTTTTGTCCATCTGACAGTTGCTGTTGTTTTCATTGTTAGGATATGAGTTCCAGTTCCAGTATTTCTGTGGCAGAGCCTTTTGTTCTTTAGCATGTAGGGATTTATTTAGGTCTATTACTTGTTTTCACTTTCTCTTTGCCTTTTCTTAAATTTCAACTTTAATAATAGCCTTTAATAGAATAACAGTGCATTAGCTTTCATTGACTACATGTATGCTGAAGAATTCATGCTAAAGAAATAATAAGGAATGTGTGCCAAGATGTGGCTATGAGGATGTTTATTACTAGATTGTTTATAATAGCAAGACAGTGGAAAATTACCCAAATGGCCTATAACAGCGAACTGATGAAATCAAGTATGGTATAAGGCTACAGTGGAATTCTCATTAGTTTATTAATCATTTATCAAATATTAGTTGAGAGGATATTTTGTATCAGCCCTTGTGGAGTCTCTGAATATGTAGCCTTCAAGGGCATTAATAGTGAAATGGTGGAAGAATCGTCAATGGCACAGCAAAAGGTGAGCATATGGCTCGGGGAGTCCAAACTCAGTGTGATCTTGTTTTCATTAAAAGATAAAAGGAAGGTAGAAATATGTTTTCTTAAGAAAAAAAAATGTACGTACACAAAGATAAGCATCGCTATGTTTGACTCCTTGGATATTTATTCTCTAAATAGTTTGTAATGAATTCCTCATGTCTTTAAGCAGGAAACAAATTGCAAATGGTTTAAAAAGGCAATTGCTTTAAAGGATTGAGGAGAGCATTGGCACCTATGTTTCTGTTATCTATGAAGGTGGAAGGGGAATCAAGATGGTTTCAGTCTTTTGTTTTTAAAGCAAATGGAATTCTTCAACATCTTAACTATCTTTTAACTCTTGCTCTTACAAGAAGTGATACTTTAATGTTTAAGAAAGGCATGTATTATTAAGAAAAAATAAGATAAAATACCAAGGATACCAGCAATCACAGCGGACTGAGTGGTATGTGAAAAGATAAACAGTAAATGCTTTTGGAAGGAATTGTTAGTCTTCTCGACAGTTTAGCATTTGATCTTGTTTTGCGTTGGTAGACTGACTTGAAGTACTAGACTGAATTGGGTGAGACAAATAAAAGCATATACTGGAGCAGAGAGATCCAATCTTTCCCTTTCTCTGCAAGGTTTGTATTTAGGTTATAAAAATAAGTGTAGGAGGGAAGATTAGGGCAAGGCACAGCCTTGGTGCAAGATGCAGAGATGAGCAGTCACGTATTTCACACAGAGTAGGATCAGAGATTCCAACTAGAACCAACACCAACAGTGTGTGGCCCCAGGGAGTGGCGCTGCCTCTGGTCAATGCCACCCACCAGAATTGGACTCTAATGGATAGATCTTCCTAGCACTGCGTCTGGTCAATGCCACCCATCAGGATCGGACTGTAATGGAGAGATCTTCTTAGCTCTCTCCCTAAAAGTTGACTGAGCCATCTTTCCAATTAATAAGAAAATACCAAACAGAACATTAAAGTTTATAGCTTCACATTTTTGAATTAAATTACCTATTGATTAGTAGGGGGCTATCATTAAAAATTAGCACAATCACGACTGACAATGCCTTAGAAATTTTCATCATGATGACTTTGATCAAATTGTAAATGTGAATCTGTACTTTATTTTAGAACTAAAGGAGGCAAATGAGCAATAAATTTGAAGCCCAGGTAATTGGGGGAAAAAGTAATCAATTTAATCCGTCCGAAGGGCTAAGTGATTCAGAGAACTGACACTTGGATATTTGGTTGAAGCCTTTTGTCTGAAAATGTCACTTGTATATGTTTAAGAAAATATTCTATACCAGACATACATTTAGTCTTTGCATCTCTTATGTTGTTAGTTTTCAGTTTTTAAGCATAAACTCAAGGTAACAGTTTTCCTGTTAGTTTTTAGTTTTTAAACATACACTCCAGGTAATAGTTTTCCTTTCTCCCAATCTCCTTTTTTTTTTTTTTTTTTTTTTTTTGAGACAGAGTCTTGCTCTGTCACCCAGGCTGGAGTGCAGTGGTGCGATCTCGGTTCACTGTAACCTCTGCCTCCCAGATTCAAGCAGTTCTCTGCCTCAGCCTCCCAAGTGGCTGGGATTACAGGTGCTCGCCACCATGCCTGGCTAATATTTGTATTTTTAGTAGAGACGAGGTTTCACGAACTTGGCCAGGCTGGTCTTGAATTCCTGACCTTGTGATCCACCTGCCTCGGCCCCCTAAAGTGCTGGGATTACAGGCATGAGCCACCACGCCTGGCCCTCTCTCTCCTTGTTGCTACTACGCCATCCAGACTCCAGTCACTCAAAGCAACTACATCTCTCATTCCAAGCAGGTACCTTCTTCCTCACTCTAATCCCACATTGTCTTCACCTCTAGACTGATGATCATTTATCTCTGACATTTTTTGTTCAACCACAGCCCACTTATGCCTGCCTTCTCACGTGCCGCTCAAGCTCGACAACTCTACAGGTGCTAAGATGAAATATAGTGTAGATGTTAAAAGGATTTCTCTGGAGCCTGATCTCCACATGTGGTTCTATCTTCTGCTAGTTGAGTTACCTTGGGAAATTAGCTTAGTTTTCTGCTACCTCTGTCTTCTCCTCTGTAAAATGTAGTAACAGTAACATAAAAATTCCATAGGGTTATAATTAGAATTAGATAAAATAACTAAATAATTGCAAATAATCTATTATGTAGAGAGTGATAGGTTATATATGTAGTGTCTAGAGTGCAGACTTCTAGTGAAAATACTGACTTTTGGTCTTCAGTAAACTAGTAATATGTCAATGTTGGCTTTTTCAAAGTAATTTTTAGCAACCCTTACTAGTGCACTTAGAAGGTAAATATTAGCAAACAGTACTTAATTGAACATACCACCACCGACAATGAAATTATGGATTACCTACCTGTAAGAACAAAAGAAAAGGTGTGAATTTTTGGATTAGTTTATGGCTCACCAGTGTTACCCCTTTACAAGGTATACGCCCACGGTCGTTATGTTCAAAGGTTGAAACTCTAGACTACTATATTTAATTCTCCTCAAGAATCTTAGATATGAAAGGAACAGCAAAAGTCATTTTATCAAAATTTAGTCCTGGTAGAAGAACTCCATTAAACTTGGCATTTGGTTATTTGTTTTGGGCCCCAGTGATTTGCTAAAGAATAGGTTGAGTTCTAGAGATAGAAAAATAGTAAGGTAAAGAGCCTTACCCCAAGGGGATAGGGGGTAGTCAGGAAGACAGGCAAGGAAACAGGCAATTGCAAAATAAAAACCAGGTGTTACCAGAGTCATAGTGGCTCTCAAAGGAGGTACCTCTCCTTGCCTTGGGTGGGAGTAAGTGGGTACAAAGAGAATTTCAGAGAAAGGTAGCATCTGAGCTGAAACCTGAAGAACAAGTAGGAGTTCCCCAAATGAAGATAGAGGAATACAGCAAAGAAATTTGCCCAGTGCAAATAGGAACATGCAAGATAGAGAATGTGACGTTCATTCATGGCTGTTTATTATTAAGGTCCTACAATATATCAGGACTGTATTACGAGAACTTATGTAAATGTCAGACCACTGTCTCCTCCACCTCTAAAATGAGTTTTTTCAGGGCAGAAACTGCCCAATTTATCTTTGCTAACCTAATGCCTTCAGCTCAATGTTTATCAAGTGGAAGATGTTCAATAATTATTTGTTGAAGGAATGAATTAATCAATAAATGGTTTATCACAATTTCCTCCTGTTAGTGAGAAGCAAAGTCATTGGAAAAACCATTTACCAGTATAGGGTCAGGCTAGACACTTGTAAGCCCATCACCAGTGATTACTTTCCTGTTGGAGAGCCATCCATTCCATCAGTATTGTTTGGCACAACCATTCAACCAGCAAACTGTATCTTCATGGGCCTGTACACCTGTCTTATTCATGGATATTTCACAAGCGTAATGGCAGATGTGTGATTTCTGACCTCTCCTCCAACCTGGTTGACTTGGGTTATAGCAACAGAGAAAATGAGTTTTGCTTGGGGTTATTTCTTAATAAGCTATCATTGACCATTAATCATCAACAACCACTTGCCTTTCCAGTGTCTCACCAATTACGTATTTCATTCTCTGTTCTACCTCCCAGCAAAGTATCGGGTCTGTTTTAGGATTTACGTTTTTATTAGAATGTTTGCCCCTTTTAGCCTGATAGCACGTTTATCATTCCAAAACCACTGGACGGATTCCACACAAACATTAAATGTTTAAATGTGTTCACACTGAAACGTGTGGGAATAGCAAATGGTCTTTTGTTGTAACTTTTGAAGATCTTCTGTAATTCCTCTATTTCATTTGCATATTGAAGTGCTTGCTTATGTTCAGGAACCTGTGCTTAGCGTTTGTATATGTCCTATGGTTCCCAATATTAATGAGTCCTGGAGAAAGTTGAATCTGCAAGTTTCTTTACAGTGGCCATCAGGGAATGAGGTAGCAGGATGTTAATGCTGTCTGCATGCTGTGAAGGATGATAAACTGTACTTGGGTGACCTTATTAATCACTCATAACGTGATCTTAAAGGTATGTGCATTTTCTGTGCCTCCCAGTCTTTGCGTATGGAGAGGGAAAGATGGGCATTCCCTAGTCCCCTTAAGCTCTAGGTGCCCTCAATATCTCCCACTTGAGCATCTGAACTTCATCTCAGTTTTATGACAGCAGCTGGCATGCAAATTGGCTGGACTTGAAAGCACTGAAGTTCACCTCACTTTGCTCAATCTGTGCACAAATGATCAAGCTCAGCAATTTTGAAAATGGCCCACCCTTTTAAAGGGAAAACCTGAAATATTTTCAGTCCTTATGGTAGTCGGGCCAAGCAGTGTCTGGTAGCCCATTCTTAGTTCTGTTACCAGCAGGTAATGCAGGTTAGCTTGATGAGCACAACTCTTTGTCTTCTCTCCACCTGTCTCTGTCCATTCATTCATCCCACGGATGCTTATTGAATGTCCACTCAATGTTGGAGCAACAACAGGAAATAAGGACATGGTTTCTGTCCCCATGGGACTTACATTCTACTTGGATATACTAGGGAGAAAAAAGAGTAAACAAAACAATTAGAGATGATAATTATTAAGAGTAAATGCATGGGCTGGGTGCAGTGGCTCACGCCTGTAATCCCAGCACTTTTGGAGGCTGAGGCGGGTAGGTCACTTGAGGTCAGGTGTACGAGACCAACCTGGCCAACATGGTGAAACCCTGTCTCTACCAAAAATATAAAAATTAGCTAGGCATGGTGACGGGTGCCTGTAATCCTAGCTACTCGGGAAGCTGAGGCAGGAGAATCTCTTGAACCCAGAAGGTGAAGGTTGCAGTGAGCCGAGATTGTGCCACTGCACTCCAACCTGGATGACAGAGCAAGACTGTTTCAGAAAAAGAAAGAAATAAAAAAGAAAAGAGTAAATTAATGGGATATTGTAATGGAGAATCATAATGTGTGTGTTGGCTAAGGTTTTCAGAAAAAAAAAAATTCATGGTGACATGAAATTTAAGCAGAAATCTAAAGTCCTAAAGAATGCGAGGGAATCTGGGGAAGCGTGCTCTAGGCTGATGGAACAGCAAGTAAAACGACAGGGAATCTGTGAACAGTTTACCTTGCATGAGGCTCTGAATGCAGCACGTGGTAAGGGAGGGGGTGGACTAAAGGCTGGAGGAACAGAATGAGGCCAGAACACACAGGCTCCTGCAGGCCAAGATCTGGGTTTGATTGCAAACACAATATATAGCTCAAGTTTACTTTGTACTCAACAAAATCCATTCTGTCTACCACTGGAAATAATAGCAAATACGGCTTGTTGGAAAGTCCGTGTGTAACTTATCTCTTATTATTGCTGAGAGGATCAGGAAAAATAACTGTTGAGTATTAGACTGAATACCTGGGCAATGAAATAATCTGTGGAACATACCCCTATAACTCAAGTTTATATAACAAACCTGCACATGTACACCTCAACTTAAAGTTTAAGAAAAAAAGAATGCTGGTGGGAATGTAAATGAGTACAACCTCTATGGAAAACAGTACAGAGATTTTTCAAAGAAGTAAAAGTAGGTCTACCATTCGGTACAGCAATCACTCTACCCAATACTGGGTCTCTACCCAGAGGAAAGATGCCTGCTTGCATATATTTATCATAACACAATTCACAATTGCAAAGATACAGAATCAGCCTTAGTGCCCAGCAACCAATAAGTAGATAAGGAAAATATGGTATATTCACCTTGAAATACTACTCAGCCATAAAAAAGAATGAAATAATGTCTTTTGCAGCAACTTGGATGAAACTGGAGGTTTCTTCTAAGTGAAGTAACTCTGAAATCAAAAAGCAAATACTGCATTTCTTCACTTGTAAGTGGGAACTAAGGTATGAGGATGCAAAGGTATACAGTATGATGGACATTGGAGACTCAGAAGATGGGAGGGTAGAAGGGGGATGAGGAGCAAAAAACTACCTATTTAGTACAACGTACACTACTCGGGTGGCAGGTGCACTAAAATCCTAGATTTCAACACTATGCAATTCATCCATGTAACCAAAACTAACCTGTAACCCTAAAGCTATTGAAATTTTTCAAAAAATATTTAAAAAGAAAAAAAAGCAAAATTTTAGATATGGAGAAAAAAAAAGACATGAATAAGAGCCCTTCAGTCCAACCAGAATTTGATTTCACTTTCCTCTCCTTGTCATTGTTTTTATACAGCTCTTTATCTCTTTCCAACAGAAAAAGTAAAGAATTTTTCCTTTTTTATTTAGTTTTTTAATGTTCAGAGTGGAAAAGACATAACTTTTCCTACTTGAGCATTTGTCTGTTTTTTCATTGTAAATATTATTATTGTCCCTGTAGCCTGGGAGGCCTTTCAAAGGTCACTTGGCCTTTTCTAGTACAGTCACATGCCCTTCTTCATTTTTAAATCTTTGAGGGGGAGAGGGGAATGAGAAAATATTCCGGAATAGCACTGTCCAATAGAACTTTCTGCAATGACACCCATGTTCTTTATCATCAGTGTCTAATGAGGTACCTACTAGTCACATGGGACTTGTGAGCACTCACAGTCAAGCTAGTGCTACCAAGGAGCTGAATTTTAAATTCTATCTAATTAGCCACATGTGGCCAACAGCTGTCATCTTGGACAACACAACTCTAGAGCCTCTTCTGAATGTTATGCCAGTGAATTCACTGAAATTCACAACTGGAATTTACACCAGTGATGGTCTTCATATGGGCTTCCGTTAGTGACTTTGGTGAAGTTTCAGGCGAGACCTAAAGGATGGGAGGGGATCTGGGGAAGCATGTTCTAAGCTGATGGAACAGCAAGTAAAAAGATACTCAGTCTGAGGACACTTGACCTGGCATGAAGCTCTGAATGCAGCCCGTGGTACTAGCCCTTGGTAAGTCGGGGGAGGCTGAAGGCTGAAGGAACAACCTTCCAGCTCAATTCCAGGTCATTTCTGGTCATGGCGAGGTCTTTTTCACAAAATAATCATTGTTTTCATCTATTCAGTATCCATTTCCTCATCCTGTGGTCCTATAATTGCATTTTTCTTAGGGGACCACCTCTCTTGCATTTTTCCTCCATACTTCCAGAGAGCTGGCTCCTTACCGAGCTCTAGAGTTGGGTATGGAACCTAAACCTAGCCAGCTGGCATAACTCCAATTCCCAGCCACAGGGACTGGCTCCTAGATGACCAAGTGGCTCAAGTCTCTCCAAGGAGACTCAGTCTCAGAACACTTGTTAAAGCTGTTAGAGACTGAACACATTGAGCCTGAAATTGATGGCCATTTCTCTGCCCCCCTGAGAATGTGGCCAACCTCCTAGAAAGACCACAGGGCTAGGACTGAGTTCCAATTCTCTGAATGTAGCCCTGCTGCAATCTATAATTATCCTGAGGTTTTTCACTTATGTGAACGAATACATTTCTTTTTTTGCTTAAGCCAATTTGAGCCAGTGTTTTAATTTAAAACCTCACCCCCAAAAAAATTCTGATGAATACAATAATGTCAAATATAGCATTTGTGACAGTATAAATCTTTCAAATCCCAAAGAACTCATCCCTAAGAAATTATGGAGAGGCTAGGTGTGGTGGCTTATGCCTGTAATCCCAACACTTTGGGAGGCCAAGGTGGGCAGATCACGAGATCAGGAGTTCGAGAGCAGCCTGGCCAATATGGTGAAACCCCATCTCTACTAAAAATACAAAAATTAGCCAGGCATGGTGACGGGTGCCTGTAATCCCAGCTACTCAGGAGGCTCAGGCAGGAGAATCGCTTGAACCCGGGAGGTGGAGGTTGCAGTGAGCCGAGATCGCGCCATTGCACTCCAGCCTGGGCAACAGAGTAAGGACTCTATCTCAATAATAATAATAATAATAATAATAATAATAATAAGAAGAAGAAGAAGAAGAAGAAGAAGAAGAAGAAGAAGAAATTATGGAGAAAACTGGACAAAACTGGGAGTACAGAAGTGGAAAATCACATTGTGAAGGAGCTAGTGAATTTTCTCCCTTAGTTATTTAGCTGGAAATATGAATCCACTGATAAAGGTGGATTTGCTTGGCCCCCGAGGCAGAGGTTGCAGTGAGCAGAGATTGTAACACTGCACTTCAGCCTGGGCAATAGAGCTAGACTCCATCTCAAAAAACAAAACAAGACCGAAAACAAAAGAAACAAGGACCTCACTTTTTACTCCATATACTTTTTTTTCCTGTTTTTGCTTTTTTAAACAATAAATGTTTGTAATTTATATGACAATAAAGAGTCTTATTAAAAAGTATTTCAAAAATTTTTTTTCTTCTAGGGTAGATGGTGTAGTTTTCTTATTCTTTGAAAATACAAATATAATTGCTCCAAGCAAATCAAACATATAAGAGTGCAGAGAGAGAGGGAAAATTCCCCCCCAGCCCACACAAGCCTTCTAAATGTACTTCCCTTCCCAGAGAAAACTACTATGAATAGTATCTATTTTCTATACATTGACAAAAATATTTAGAGATAGTGGGTATGTATGAGAGAAAAAGATGGATCAATAAATACACATCTACAAACATATATGATTTGGTTTAAATATCGCCTACCTGTATATATTCATTAGTATGCGTATGTACAGGCATATATATGTAAAATATATATGTACCTATATATATATATGTATATATGATATTATGATGATATTATTTTTCTTTTTTTTTTTTTGAGACTTGCTTTGTCGCCAGGTTGGAGTGCAATGGGGCGAACTCAGCTCACTGCAACCTCTGTCTGCAGGTTTCAAGCGATTCTTCTGCCTCAGCCTCCCGAGTAGCTGGGACTATAGGCACCCACCGTCATGCTCGGCTAATTTTTGTATTTTTAGGAGAGATGGGGTTTCACCATGTTGGCCAGGCTGGTCTCAAACTCCTGACCTCGTGATCTGCCTGCCTCGGGCTCCCAAAGTGTTGAGGTTACTGGCGTGAGCCACTGCGCCCAGCCAATATTACTTCTTTTTCTGTTTAACAGTTGATATTGTTTGGCTGTGTCCCCACCCAAATCTCATCTTGAATTCCCACGTGTTGTGTGAGGGACTGGGTGGGAGTTAATTGAATAATGGAGGCAGGTCATTCCCACGCTGTTCTCATGATAGTGCATAAGCCTCATGAGATCCGATGGTTTTATAAAGGGGAATTTCCCTGCACAAGTTCTTTCTTTGCCTGCTGCCATCGATGTAAGATGAGACTTGCTCCTCCTTGCCTTCCACCATGACTGTGTGGCCTCCATAGCCATGTGGAACTGTAAGTCTATTAAAGGTCTTTCTCCCGTAAGTTGCCTAGGCTTGAGTATGTCTTTATCAGCAGCATGAAAACAGACTAAGAATACAGCAGTACATCAGGAATATTTTCCATGAGCTACATCTCCACTGCAACATTCTTTTTAGCAACAGTGCAGCATTCTGTAGTTTGTATGTATATCCTTAATGGTTTATCACCCGCCTTTTAATAAACATCAGGCTGTTTCCTGTTTTTGCCTATTCGTGACAATGCTGAAACAGCTTCATTGCGCATAAGCAAGACTTCTCTATGGCATCTCCAAATGATGACTGTTGGCTCTAATGTATAATACGAGTGTATCTTCCATATCCCTCTCTGCTAATGTTCCCTGCTGATGTAGGATAAGCTTCTGTGGCTTGATCTTGGCTGATAATTTGGGTACAAATCTAACAAAGGCATGAGATGTGTTCTAAACTTACCTCTAGAAAAGTCAGGGTTTTTTTTGCAGCAATGATGCCACAAAACACATTCTGAGGACAACTCACCACGAGTTTGAAGATGATTTGTTTGGAGCGATTTGAAATCAAAGTTCAGATTTATTTCTCATAAGTCTGTTGTTTAGAGGGGGATTTCGTGAACTGTTCCTATCTATGTGCCTTATGCCTGCAGGCTACAGGTCCTTTATGAGATGGCTATTTTTAAAGGAACACCTCTATTCTCAGGATGGTTGACAGGACTTTTAATGAGGAAAGAAATTAGAAATCAGAGCTGGAGGCAAAGTGGTCAGCAGAAAGGAAAGAAAAACAAGGAACTTGTATTAAGCAGAAAGGCAGCTTAGTATACCCTTTCAAGTGTCTGTTATTGTAAATATTCTTGTATATATCCATTAGCAGTCATGGGTGAGAACTACAGAATTTTTTGGGTTATCATCATAGGAAAGTACTTACCACATCTCCACAGGCTCCTCATTTTACTTAAACTTGACCAAATCCAGTAGCAATTGAAACTGTACAAATCAAATAATGTATTTAATGCAACAGGGCAGGGGTTGGAAAACTGCAGCCTGTGGGCCACATTTACTCCACTTGGATTATTATTATTTCTGTAATAAAGTTGTATTATGTATACCCAGCTGCACCTATGCAAGCATATATTTCTGCGGCAGCTTTTGGGTACCACGGCAGAGCTCAATATTAGGATAGCCCTGCAAGTCGAAAATATTTTCTTTCTGCCCCTTTACGGAAGATGTTCGTCAACCTAGGGAATCTCACAATTTCAAGGTGTTCCCTGTTCAATTTTTTTTTTTAATGTGAGAAAAGAAATCAATCTCTACTCAGAGGCTGCAGAGCCTTCCTGGGAGGAGAGAAGAGTCCACAAAGTTCTCCGTCTGCCTGGGAGGCAGATGCAGATGAGAGGAAGTGGCATAGGCTGAGCTGTACCTGCTGGATTCATTCTTCTTGTCTCCCCAGTTGGGAAGTTAAGGAAGTTACTCTTTATATGACAGGGAGGAAATGAGCAATGGAGAGAGCCCATTTCTAAATAGTAGGGCTGAAGTCTCCCATGGATAATGCAACACAGTTGTCAGTGACACAAAATGATGTGCTTGGGTCTGAGAATTACCTCTTATTTGGAGGCCGAATTGTGTCTCCACTACCCCCGATTCAAATGCTCAAATTCTCACCCACAGGACCTCAGAATGTGAGTCTGTTTGGAGACAGGATCCTTAGGAAGTTAATTCGGGTTTCATGAGGTTATTAGGTTGGGCCCGAATCCAGTGTGTTTGGTGTCCTTATAAGAAGAAAAAATCAGAACCCAGACACACAGAGAGAATACCATATAAACAACACAGAGGGGGAAGATGGTCGTCTGCAAGCCAAGGAAAGAGGCTTCAGAAGAAACCAACACTGCAAACACCTTAGTCTTGAACTTCTACCCTCCAGAATTGTGAGAAAATAAATTTCTGTTGTTTAAGCCACACAGTCTACGGTGCTTTGTTACGGCAGCCCTGGCAAGCTGACACACTTCTGCTCAAGTCTATGTTGGTATCTTCTTAGATATGATGCAGATAGTACACAGATCTTTCTGACGCCTAAGTCAGCAGCCCTGGCAAGCTAATACACTTCTGCTCCTGTCTGCATTGGTGTCTTCTTAGATATGATCCAGATAGCAGAGAGACTTTCTGATGCCTAAGTCAGCAGTCCTAGCAAACCCTAGCAAGCTGAAGCCAACACACTTCTGCTCAAGTCTACCTTGGTGTCTTCTCAGATATGATGCAGATAGTATAGAGAGCTTTCTGATGCCTAACTCAGCAGTTCTCAACTGTGGACAATTTTGCTCCTCAGGAGACATTTGGCAATGTCAGGAGGCATTTTTGATTGTCATAATTAGTGGAGCAAGGCACTATAATGCTACTGGCGTCTAGCGGGTGGAGGCCAGGGATGCTGTTTAACATCTCACAATGCACAGGACAGCCCCCTATGACAATAAGTTACCCAGCCTAAAGTGGCAATTGTACCAAGACTGAGAGTTCCTGATGGGGCAGAAGATGCATTACTGTCAGGCTGTGTCTTTTCCCTTCTCCCCATTAGACCTTTGGTGTTCTTTGAAGGGGCCGGAAGAGGTTATCTCCTACTCTGGGCATTGTGTAGAATAGCTATATAAGATCCTCAAAATAATTGAAACGGAAAGACTCCCTTCGGCTCTTTCTGCCATTCCAGTAAATTCCTGCTAAGTATGCTCTAGGAAAACTATGAGGTGCTGTATGATTTCTGTGACAGGAACTGTGGCTTTCCTGAGGAACAGTCTTCCTTTCAATGCTGTTAACTTCCCCCAAGTTTGTGGTCTGTTGGTGGTTCCGGTGTGGGCAAAGAGGAATGAATGATTGATGGACTGTGAGCCTCCCAAGTAGAAGTGGGCTAGTGGGGAGTTTTTTTAATATCATATTTTATATACAACTGCAGGTCAGGCCAGGCTATGGATATACAGTGCCTGACCCTAGTACAGAGGAAGGATCGATTGTGCTCAAACAGTGAGCTATCCAAATAATTTATTTATGCAGCAATGCAGCTGTCTGCTTCTTTGGAGGTGGGCACAGGCTGGAAGGGTTTTGTGTGTGCGCACGTGCGTGTGTGTGTGTGTGTGTATGTATGTGTGGGCATGGGGTGCATTTGTATGTGTATGTGTGGGTATGGGGTGCGTTTGTGTTTGTATGTATATGGGTGGGTATGGGGCGCATTTGTGAGTGTATGTGTATGTGTGGGGTGCATTTGTGTGTGTATGTATATGGGTGGGTATGGGGTGCATTTGTGAGTGTATGTGTATGTGTGAGTGTGGGGTGCATTTGTGTGTGTGTGTGTGTATGTGGACTTTGAGTGCATTTGTGTGTGTATATGTGGGTGTGGGATGCATTTGTATGTGTGTGATTGTGTATGTGTGGGTTTGGAGTGCATTTGTGTGTGTGTGCATATGTTGGGATGTGGGGTGCATTTGTGTGCGTATGTGTGGGCCTGGGGTGCATTTGTGTGTATGTGAGTGTATGTGTGGGCATGGGATGCATTTGTGTGTGTGTGTCTGTGTGGGCGTGGGGTGCATTTGTGTGTGTGTGTAAGTGTGGGCTTGGAGTACATTTGTGTGTGTGTGTGTATCTATATATTTGGGTGTGGGGTGCATTTGTGTGCGTGTGTGTGGGTGTGGGGTGCATATGTGTGTGTGTGTGTGATTGTATTTGTGGGCATGGGGTGCATTTGTATTGGGCTTGGGGTGCATTTGTGTGTGTATATGTATGTGTGGGCGTGGGGTGCATTTGTGCGTGTATGTGTATATTGGGGTGTGGGGTGCATTTGTGTTTGTGTATGGGTGTGGGGTGCATTTGTGTGTGTGTGTGTGGGCATGGGGTGCATTTGTGTGTGAGTGTATGTGTGGGTGTGGGGTGCATTTGTGTGTGTGTGTGGGCATGGGGTGCATTTGTGTGTGTGTAAGTGTATGTGTGGGTGTGGGGTGCATTTGTGTGTTTGGGTATGGGGTGCATTTCTGTGCATGTGTATGTGTGGATATGGGGTGCATTTGTGTGTGTGTGTGTGGGCGTGGGGTATATTTGTGTGTATCTATGTGTATGTGTGGGAGTTGGGTGCATTTGTCTTGGGGGGCATAGGGTGCAATTGTGTGTGTATGTGTGGGTGTGGGGTATATTTGTGTGTGTCTATGTGTATGTGTAGGAGTTGGTTGCATTTGTGTTGGGGGGCATAGGGTGCATTTGTGTGTGTATGTGTGGGTGTGGGGTGCATTTGTGTGTGTGTGTGTGTATGTGCATGTGTGGGCATGGGGTGCATTTGTGTGTGTATGTGTGGGTGTGGGGTCTATTTGTGTGTGTGTGTATGTGTATGTGTATGTGTGGGCATGGGGTGCATTTGTGTGTGTGTATGTGTGGGTGTGGGGTGCATTTCTGTGTGTGTGTATGTGTGGGCGTGGGGTGCATTTGTGTGTATCTATGTGTATGTGTGGGAGTTTGGTGCATTTGTGTTGTGGGGGCATGGGGTGCATTTGTGTGTATATATGTGTGGATGTAGGGTGCGTTTGTCTGTGTGTATTTGTGTGGGCATGGAGTGCATTTGCGTTGCGGGGGTGTGGAGTGTGTTTGTGTGTGTGCACACGCACATGGTTCTCATGGTCCTCCCGTTTTCAACTGAACCTGTAATTAGCTCCTCAGAGACCAGGTAATCACAGTTTGCTTTTTCTACCTGTAAATGCTCATTGGCTTTCTGATTTCCCATTAATTTCCTAGCTTTAAATTACCAAGAATTGGACTTTTTGTAAAATACCAAGTTATCGGAACAAAGACCGGCACTCTGGGAAGGCAAATGAAAAATTCCAGTGTCTCTGTAACTGAGATTGCCTGTTATTAGTAGGTTTCTCTGTCTGTTTGGTTTTGTCTACATTTGAAAGGAAGCTTTTGAGGAATTCATGGAGCATGTCTACTCTATTCCCTCCCAGGTGAGATGGTGCCCCTCCAGGAAAGTATCAGAATGCAGCCATTAGGGCTGGACATTTCTAACTGGCCAAGTCTACACAGGCATAACAAATTGAGCAATTGTGGTTATGATCACAATTTCTAAAACTGGGACTCTAAATAATAGGTTCCAGAAGCAAATTAAATATCAACAACCCAATTACCTTTTGTCTCTGCTACCAAGCATGAATTCTGATAGTCATTGTCTTACTTCTCTATGTTCAGAGAATTATATTTAAGGGAAGAAGCAGCTAATGATAATTTACTGATTGTTACAAACAATCTACATGTCAGCTATATAGAGTCATCTATAGGAATTAATTGTATGAGCTATATATGTCAGGAATATATAGAGTATTCTTGACAGTAAATTAGCATTAGCATTAAAACGATTAGTATTATAATTTTATAATACTAATTATAACTATTAGTTAATTAGTTCAACTGTTGAGTTGAACTTTCTGCAATGGTGGGAGTGTTTTATACCTGAGCTTTCCAATATAGTAGCCATGAGCCGTATGGGCCTACTGAGCATTTGAAATGTGATTAGTGCAACTGAGGGGCTTTTAAAATAATTTTAGTTAATATAAACTTAACCCCATTGAGTAGTGGCTACCATATTGGACAGTATACGTCTATAGGCCCTAATCTCATCTCCTCTTTAAAAAGAATGAATATGTATCTTTATTAATAATCTGTGTTCATATCTTATATAACATACCTAAAAATGTAGACAAGGCAGGGCGCAGTGGCTCACGCCTGTAATCCCAGCACTTTGGGAGGCCAGGTCTGGCGGATCACGAGGTCAGGAGATCCAGACCATCCTGGCGAACATGGTGAAACCCCGTCTCTACTAAAAGTACAAAAAAAAAAAAAAAAAGTTAGCCTGGTGTGGTTCGGACGCCTGTAGTCCCAGCTACTCGGGAGGCAGGAGAAAGGCGTGAAACCGGGAGGCCGAGCTTGCAGTGAGCTGAGATCGCGCCACCGCACTCCAGCCTGGGCGATACAGCGAGACTCTGTCTCAAAAAAAAAAAAAAAAAAAAAAAGTAGACAAAAAGCCTACAAACAGACACACCCAACTGTTAAGACCTCTCAGGTTGGGATTAGAAAGGTATGAAGAAAGGATTTTAACATCTTGTCTTGCCTAATCCCAAAAAGAAAAAAAAATAGGTGATAAGATTAAAAATGAATCAAATAAATCAGATGCAACCAATTATATCATGGAACCAGTTATGTCAGTCCATCTCTTTGAATTAAAATTAAAGGAAAAAAGATGGAGGGTTCTGACAGTTATCTCTCTAATCGAGACAGCCCTCTCCCTCTCTCTGTCCCCTTACAGAGAAAGTGAATTTGGGAGCTTCGGTCAAACATCCCTTGTCTTTCGTCAAATTAGTGCCTAATGTCATCATTTTGGTGGCTTTCAAAGGTGTGAACCAGCAAACGGGTGACAGTGAGAGGAAGGAACAAGCATGTGAACAAATGCGTGAACCACAGTCAGTCTCTGAATGGAAATCCATGTGTCTTATGAAAATCAGTTATTGTTGAAAGCCATTTGCAAAGCTTCCACGATCCTCGCTTGGCTGGTGCACGGCTGTGAGTGCTTCTTTCCAAGTCTCCTGTGGGTGACGGGGAATGGCTAACCAGGGATTGTGTTCACAGGCATATCGATTCCAAGTCTGATCACAGCCACAAATTTCTTTCCCAGGTTAGTAAGAAGAAATCAACACTTTACTTTCTTGGATCATATGTTTTTAAACATTAGTACTGAGGAAATAAAGAAAGGGAGAGAGGAAGAAAAAAGAAGTACAAGAAAGAATACACTGGGCTGGGCGTGGTGGCTCATGCCTGTAATCCCAGCACTTTGGGAGGCCAGTGCAGACAGATCACTAGGTCGGGAGATCGAGACCATCCTGGCTAACACGGTGAAACCCAGTCTCTACTAAAAATACAAAAAATTAGCCGGGCGTGGTGGCGGGTGCCTGTAGTCCCAGCTACTCGGGGGGCTGAGGCAGGAGAATGGTGTGAACCCAGGAGGGAGAGCTTGCAGTGAGCCGAGGTCATGCCACTGCACTCCAGCCTGGGTGACAGAGTGAGACTCCACCTCGGAAAAAAACAAAAAACAAAAAACAAACAAACAAACAAAAAAACATCAAGGAGAAGCAACACAGTGCAATTCTTTAAAGTGCATACAATTAAAACACATAGAAGAGGAACCTTGGCTAGAATTACAGAGCTTGATCAAGTCTCATCCATGGTTGACACTGTTTGTTGGATGATTTGGACATTTGGAGCCTCTCTATGTGGGGAGAGTTTTCTTTATCCCTTTCAAATCGGTATGCCATCTCTACATACCTGAATTATTATAAAGGTAACAAGGTTATAAGCTCCCCCATGCCTGCCAGGATGCACTGCTTTGCTGTGACTGAGCCACACTAGGTGCTAAACTTTTCTGCACTAATGCAATCAAATTAGAAGTTAAATCTGATACTGTAACAAGTTACCACCTGGGAACAGAAATGCTTTGCTGTTTTATTTTTTCTTCGTAGCATTGTGAAATGAACATGGCATGTGGCACATTTTAATTACAGCAAATATTAATTTTTAATGGGAAATGTACACCTGGCTTTGTATTGTTCATAAATTATCTGAGAGGTTGAAATTTATTTACGTGATTTTGATGCAGTTGTAATTAAAGTGAAGAAACTAATAGCCTTCTGTAATTGAAGGCACATTAATCTGAAAGCTACCTGAGGGCAGGGATTCTGTGTTAACCGTGTTGTATACTCAATTTAGTAAAATACGAGTCTTGGGATTAGTGGTCTTGTATGCGATGTGCTACACATTTTCCAGATATTTCTAGGGTATTTTCTGAGCTTTAGAAAAGTGATAATATGATCTAGTACTGTAGGTAATTATGTGCTAAGAAAAGAGGATTCTATCACATTATCTGGCATTGCTTTTTTAGTTTTGTAATGGAGTAATTGATTAGTACTACTGCATTTTAGCAAGGTATTTTGCTCCTATACCTAGTGGATGATGTTTAAGTTAACTCTATTTGTGTGTCCCTGAGAAAGAGAACCGAGGCAGGCGCTCGGGGAATGGAACAGGGACAAAGAAACCAACCAAATAACACTAGGTATCAGTTTTCAGCTGCATGTAAACTCAACTTATTTTTTAATGATTTTATTAGGAAGCTTTCTACATTCTATTTTGTAATGCATTTCCCTGAGGGAACTTTAGACCTTGCAGGCCTGTTTGCAATTCCTGTCAGATTAGGGGGGAAAGAAAGAGAACAGAATGATGGAAATTTCACACGTTATTCAGTGTTTTAAAAATCCAGTTTCTTAGCCTGACAGTTTCTTAAATCTGTAGACCTTGATGTTTTAATCTTATGCATTCTGATGGAGCTTGATATTCATAACTGGTGGGCTTGGTAAATTTTTAATCAGGAAGTTGAATATGATGAGAAAACACAAGGGGAGGTTTGTGTTTTGCACCTTGTCATCAAGCTTTCCAGTTTCATTTTCACTTTTTGCACTAAGAGTATTCCTCAGAGGTGTCAGAGCTGCCCAAAGCTGACTTCCATCCATATTGAAATGACTTTTTCTGAGCTTTCCAAAATTCCAATTTCAGTGCAGGTGGTAATATCTGAATGTGAGCAGCAGAATAAATAGCAGTTTAAAACTCATATAAATATACATTTATGCTCCATGTGTGAACTCATAAGGTGTGGGATAAATCTTGTCATTTCAACATAAACGGAATAACAAATAGATTGAAAGTGGGATGCACTGTTGCGAATACATGATCTGGATGCGCAGTGCGATTAAACAGTGATGGCTTCATGAGAATCGAATTTCAAAGATCACACAATCGATTAAAACAATTCAGTCTCCCTGGTCATTTTTGTCAGTAAATTAAAACATTAATTTCATCCCAAGAATGTTTTTCAGTGTTTTTTATTGTACAAAGTAACAAACACATGCAAAAGTAGAGAATAGTAACATGATTCCTCATGTACCCATCCCCAGATTCGATAATTAAAACTCATAGCCAATCATGTTTAATCTATATCCCCACTTGTTTTCTCCACATTCCTGAATTGTTTTAAAGCCAAGGCCAGACATCACACATTTTATCCATAAATGTTTCAGTATGTATCTCTAAATATAATTACACCCAATCCTTCAACATTAACATTGATTCCCTAAGATGATTAATATCTGATCGCTGTTCAGATTTTCCCAGTTATCTTACATATTTATAAAGTTTCCTTGAACTGAAATCCAAACGAGGACTATAGAATGCAATTAGTTAATATGGCTAGAGTTCCTTAGTCTATAAAGAGTAAAGAACTTTCCATTCATATTTTACTCTCTTTTTTCTTAGAATTCTTAAATTAAAGAAACTAGATTGTCTTCCTGAGTCTTTTGTGAAAAATATGATTGTGAATTTTCTTGTTTATCGCACACAATAAATCCACCTTATAAATTATTGATTGAACCAATAAAACCTATCAAAACAATTTAATTGAATACACATACACCACACACTCTAGTTTTTTTTTTATTTTTAATTTTTATGGTTATGGAAGAGTTGTACATATTTATGGGGACATTTTTATAAAAGCATACAATGTGTAATGATCAAATCAAGGTAATTGAAGTAGCCTAACTTTAAATATTTATCATTTTGTTGTTTTGCAAACATTCCAAAACTACTACTCTAGTTATTTTGAAATATACAATGCATTATTGTTAACTATAGTTGTCCTATTGTGCTAGTGAATACTGGATCTTATGTCTTTTATCTAATTGTATTTTTGTACCTATGAATTTACCTACTTCTAACTCCCCCTTGCTCTCAACTCCCCTTCCTTGCATTTGGTAAACATTATTCTACTCTGTATCTCCATGAGATCAATTTTTTTAGCTCCCGCATTTGTATGAGCACATGCAATATTTGTCTTTCTGTGCCTGGCTTATTTTAGTTGGCATCATGTCCTCCAGTTGTGTCTATGCTGTTTGAAATGACAGGATGTCATGCTTTTTTGTGGTTGAATAATATTCCATTGTATGTATGTACCACATTTTTTCATTCGGTTCATACATTGGTGGACACTCAGGTTGATTTCATAACTTGGCTGTTGTGAAGAGTACTACAATAAACATGGCAGTGCACATATCTCTTCTATACACTAACTTTCTTTCATTTGAATATATACCCAACAGTGAGACTGCTAAATTATGTTAGTGTTAGTTTTAGTTTTTTGAAGAACCTCCATACTATTCTCCAGAGTGGCTGTACTAACTTACGTTCCCACCAATAGTATACAAGGGTTCCCTCTTCTCCATATCCTTACCAGCATTCATTATTGCCTATCTTTATTTATTTATATATATATTTATATATATATTTATATATTTTTATATATTTTTATATATACTTTTATATATTTATATATATATTTATATATATTTTTATATATACTTTTATATATTTATATATATATTTATATATATTTTTATATATTTATATATATATTTATATATATTTATATATTTATATATATTTATATATATTTATATATATTTATATATATTTATATATTTATATATATTTATATATATTTATATATATTTATATATTTATATATTTATATATATTTATATATTTATATATTTATATATTTATATATATTTATATATATTTATATATTTATATATATTTATATATATTTACATATTTATATATATTTATATATATTTACATATTTATATATATTTATATATTTTTATATATTTATATATATTTATATATATATTTATATATTTATATATATTTATATATATATTTATATATTTTTATATATTTATATATATATTTATATATTTTTATATATTTATATATATTTATATATATATTTATATATATTTACATATATATTTATATATATATTTATACATATATATATTTATACATATATATATTTATACATATATATATTTATTCATATTTATATATATTTATACATATTTATATACATATTTATATACATATTTATAGATATATTTATACATATTATATATATTTTTATATATATTTATATATATTTATATATATTTATAGATATATTTATATATACATTTTTATATATATTTATATACATTTTTATATATATTTATATACATTTTTATATATTTATATATACATTTATATATATTTATATATACATTTACATATATATTTACATATTTATATATATTTATATATATATTTATATATATATTTCTTTTTTGTTTTTTGTTTTTTAGTTGTTGGTTTCTTTTCTTTCTTTTATATATGTATATATCTATATTGCCTGTTTTTTCAGAGAGCTATTTTAACTGGGGTGAGATATTTCATTACAATTTTGATTTGCATTTCTCTAATGATTAGTGACGTTGAGCATTTTTCCGCATACCTTTTGGTCATTTGTATGTCTTCTTGAGAATTGTCTATTCAGATGTTTGCTCATTTTTATTTGGATTATTTGGGTTGGGGTTTTGTACCAAGTTGTTTGAGCTCCTCACATGTTCTGGCAGTTATTCTCTTGTCAGGTGGGTAGTTGGCAAATGTTTTCTTCCATTTTGTAGGTTGTCTTATCACTTGTTTGTGGTTGCCTTTGCTGTGCAGACACTTTTTAGCTTGATGTGATCCCATTTGACCATTTTTGCTTTGGTTACCTGTGCATTTGGTGGCTTACTCAAAAAGTATTTACCCACACCCATGTCTGGAAGCATTTCCACAGTGTTTTCTTGTAATAGCTTCATTGGTCCAGGTCTTACATTAAATTCTTTAATCCGTTTTGATTTGATTTTTGTAGATGGTGAGGAATAGGGACATAGTGTTTGGTCTTCATTATGTTGATATGATATGTCACATTTATTGATTTGTCTTTGTTGAACCATCCTTTTATCGCAGGAATGATTCCCATTTGATCATGATGAATGATCTTTTTAATATGTTGAATTTGATTCGGTAGTATTTTGTTGAGGATTTTTGCATTCATGTTCATCAGATATATTAGTCTGAAGTTTTCTTTTTTCGTTGTGTATTTGTCTAGTTTTGGCATTAGGATAATCCTGATCCTGTAGAATGAGTTTGGAAGTATTGTCTACTCCTTGATTTTTTAGAATAGTTTGAATAGAATTGGTATTAAGTCTTCCTTAAATATTTGGTAGAATTCAACAGTGAAGCCATCAAGTCCTGGCCTTTTCTCTGGTGAGAATCTTTTTATTACTTCTTTTATAGCATTACTTATTGATTTATCCATGTTTACTATTATTTCATGTTTCAATCTTTGTAGTTTTTTATGTCCAGGAATTTATCCATTTCTTCCAGATTTTCCAAATCGTTGGCCTATAGTTGATAAAAATACTCTCTAATTTACCTTTGAATTTCTGTGGTATCTGTTTTAATATTTTCTTAGCTCTGATTTCATATATTTGGACATTCTCTCTTTTTTCTTAGCGTGGCTAAAGGTTTGTTGATTTCGTTTTTATTTTCCAAAAACAAGTTTTTATTTTGTATTTTCTCTCAATTTCATTTATTTCTGCTCTGATCTTTAGTGTTTCTTTTCTTTGACTAGTTTTGGGTTTAGCCTGCTCTTACTTTTCTAGTTCTTTAAGATGCAGTTTTAGGTTTTTTGTTGCTGCTGTTGTTGTTATTGTTGTTTTTTATACGGAGCCTTGCTCTGTCACTGGGCTGGAGTGCAGTGGTATGTTCTTGGCTCACTGCAACCTCCGCCTCCTGGGTTCACGTGATTCTCCTGCCTCAGCCTCCCGAGTAGCTGGGACTACGGGCATGCACCACCACACCCAGCTAATTGTTGTATTTTCAGTAGATACAGGGTTTCGCCATGTTGGCCAGGGTGATCTCTGTCTCTTGACCTCGTGGTCTGCCCACCTCGGGCTCCCAAAGTGTTTTGTTTTCCTTTTTTGATACAGGCATTTATTGTTATAAACTACCATCTTAGTACTGCTTTTGCTGTATCCCATAGGTTTCAGTATGCTGTGTTTCTACTAAATTTCCTTCTTAAATTATTTAATTCATCCAGTAGTTATTCAGGAGCATGTTATTTAATTTCCATGTATTTATATAGTTTCCAGAGTTCCTCTTATTGATCTCTTCATGTTTTCTATTTTTTCATGGTTCAATCTTGGTAGGAATTTTATGTCCCGGGATTTTTATGTCCAATAAATGCTTATTGATTTCTAGTTTCATTCCATTGTGGTCAGAAAAGATACCTGCTATGATTTGGATTTTTCTGAATTTCTGAGACTTGTGTTTCGGCCTAACATATGGTCTACCCTGGAGAATATTTTATGTGCCCATGAGAAGAATGTGTATTATTCAGCTATCGAATGAAATGTTTTGTAAATGTCTATTGATCAATTTGTTCTGTAGCGCACATTAAGTCAGATGTGTCTTTGTTAATTTTCTTTCTAGGTTTTTTGTCCAATGCTGAAAGTGGTATGTTAACTTAGCATTCCCAACTATCATTGTGCTGGGGTCTGTTTCTCTCTTTATCTCTAATAATATTTGCTTTATATATCTGAGTGATCCAGCATTAGGTTTATATATATTTACAGTTCTTATATCCTGTTGCTGAGTTGACTTCTTTATCATTATATAATGACCTTCTTTGTCTCTTTTTACAGATTTTGTCTTGAAATATATTTTATCTGGTATAAGTACAGCTCTTTATGTTCTTTTTTGGTTTTCATTTGCATGGCATATCTTTTTCTGTTCTTTCATTTTCAGTCTGTGTGTTTTCGTAGGTAAAAATGAGTTCCTTATAGGCAGCATATAGTTGGGTCTTTTTAAAAAAAAATTTATTCAGCTAGTCTGCCTTTTATTTGGAGAATGAAGTCCGTTTACACTCATTGTTATTATTGATAGGTGAGGACTTACTACCGCCATTTAGTTGTTTTTTGTTGTTGTTGTCATTTTGTTAGTTCTCTCTTCCTTTTTTTTTTTCTTCTTGTCTTCCTTTCTATATAAGCAATTTTCTGGTAATGTTTTAATTTCTGTCTTTTAATTTTTTTGTGTCCCTGTTAAAGGTTTTTGCTTTGTAGTTACCATGAAGCTTGCAAAAAAAAAAAAAAATCTTATAACCAATTATTTTAAATTGATTAAAGCTTAACTCTGGTCACAAAGAAAAAACATTAAAAAGGAGAAAACTAAATTCTACGCTTTATCTCCATCTCCTGCAGTCTGACTTTTTGCTATCTCTGTCTTTTTTACTGTCTTTCAACAAATTGTTGTAGTTATTATTATTTTTCATAGGTTTGTCTTTTAGTCTTCGTACTAAAGATATGAGGGCTTTACATACAATTATAATATTAGAATATTCTGTATTTATTTGTGTGCTTGCTTTTACCAAGGAGCTTTAGACCTTCAGGTAATTTCTTGCTGCACATTTGTACCCCTGTCTTTCATATTGAAGAACTCCCTTCAGCATTCCTTATAAGACAGATCTAGTGTTGATGAATTACCTCAGGTTTTGTTTGTCTGAGAAAGTCTTTACTTCTCCACGTTTGAAGCATAACTATGCTGAATATAATGTTCTAGCTTTGAAAGTCTTTTTGTTCAGCACTTTAAATATGTCATCCCACTCCCTCATGGCCTATAAGGTTTCTGCTGAGAAGTCTGCTGACAAACATTTGGACTTCTTTATATTTTCTTTGCTTATTTTCTCCTGCTACTCTTAGGGTCCTCTTTTTGTCCTTAACCTTTGAGAATTTGATTATTGTATACCTCTGGGTTTCATCTGCTTGGTGTTGCTTGACTTTCTTGTACCTGGATATTCACTGGGTTTGAAAAGTTGTCTGTTATTTTTTTGAATAAACTTTCTATCCCAATCTCTTTCTCTACTTCTTCTTCAAGGCCAGTGACTCTTAGATTTGCCGTTTTTAGGTTATTTTCTAAATATTACAGGCATCTTTTGTTCTTTTTTAGCTTCTTTTTTTCTCTACAGACTGTATTTTCAAATAGCCTCTCTTTGAGCTCACTGATTCTTTCTTCTGCTTCACCAATTTTGCTGTTGAGACACTCTGATGCATTTTTGTGTTGTTGATTGCATTCTTCAGCTCTGCAATTTCTGTTTGATTTTTTTGTTATTATAATCTCTTTGCTAGATTTATCTGATAGAATTCCAAATTCCTCTTCTATGTTATCTCCAAGTTTGTTGAGTTTTCTCAAGACAACCATTTTGAATTGCCTGTCTGAGAGGTCACATATCTCTGTATCTCTAGGATTGATCACTGATACTTTATTTAGTCCATTTGGTGAGGTCGTGTTTTCCTAGATGTTCTCCTTGCATGAGGGCATTTGTTAATGTCTGATTTTTTTTTTTTATAAAGGTGCTTTATTGTGTGGATAGTTGTTCAATTTGGTGTTCCTGTGGTCGGGGGTTGTGGGGAAGTAAATCCCTGGAATTTTCTATTTAGCCATCTTGTTCCACCTCATATATTTCATTGTTTTAAGAAAAATGAGTAGAAGTTGAAAGAGTTGTATAAGAGCTAAGTGAAGGTCGGCTGGAGTTATTGTCACCAAGCACTCTTCTAAGTTGCTTGAAAAATAGCACAAGCAGTGTTTCTTAACTGCTCATATAGGGGATCTTTCTTCCTTGGGTAAACTCATGGTTGGCATTGACATTGATTTGTTGCACTTCTGAGTGAAAAAAAATAGGCATTTAACATAAAAGAGATTACTCTTAGGAAATACTGGATGTGACTTTAGAAAGTGGTCATGGTTCCTTCCAAAAATATTCATTATTAAATATAGTGTTATATTTCATTTCTGAACAAAGAGATCTACGAGATCTGGTCTGCTCTGGAGAAAAAAAATGACAAAGGAGAGAATTTGAGGGAATCTCCCAGTCCGTTCGTAACTAACATAAGAGTTTATGCAAAACAAGAATTATTCTAAACACCATGGATGGTGGGCCATAAGCCATCTCATTTATCCAGACATCTCTGTGGTTCAGCAAATTTCCCAGTTGCCCTGTGTATAGAGCTTTTAGGGAGTGGAGTTATTGTTGCTAAGGAGAGGTCACTGTTTTTAGGCTGGGCAAAACTGCATTGATCCTTAGGAAGAATCTAGACTAGACAATTGGCAATAAAAGCCATTTGCATCTGGGCAACACCTTTCCATCCTACCTTCCCCAAAGCACACTCAGCAGTAGTTCCTCTTACCACTTAAATAAAAACTTCAACATGTGGGGACAAGTTTTCCATTAAATAAGCTATTTTTCCTTTGTTTTCAACTGCACAATAACCATCAGAAACACTTACCTAATATTTATTTCCACGTTCCATGTACCATGTTCCATGTGAGCATGTTACAGCCACTGTCCAGTTTAATATCATATGAATATGAAATACCAATTCCACTATTGTTATCATCATTTTCCAGATGAGGATACCAAACAAATGCAGGAAACAATGAGAGCATGATGAGAACTTACTTTAGAATACAGAGCTAGAATTAGACTCAAAGTCCATTAGACTCTAAAACTGATGCTGCTCCTCAGGCTCCGCTTAGCATTTACAAAAAATGGCACTGTGACTGAGGAACCTT
Source organism: Homo sapiens (assembly GCF_000001405.40). Classification (NCBI taxonomy): domain Eukaryota; kingdom Metazoa; phylum Chordata; class Mammalia; order Primates; family Hominidae; genus Homo; species Homo sapiens. The sequence goes on from NC_000016.10 coordinate 6,785,932, forward strand.
GTGTACATGCATGTGACTTCCCAGGTGGCACTTACCAACAGACCATCCTTCCAAATAGCTGCTCCTTAAACACCCCATCTTGAGCTTAGAGACACACACAAATGGTAGTGTCTGCACTGGGGAGGATGTACCTGGGGCAGAAGCCTGTTCAGGGCCTGGAGTGGGCTTTGTCACTTTGGCAAAAGTCTGCATGACTTTGGGTCCCCCTAAATGAATGGAGTTCGGGGGCCAGGCGAAGATTCCCATGACCCTGTTGACTCCTCATTCCTTGGGGAGGGGTATGTCAGAAGAGGGTCAGAACTGGACCCTCACAAGTATGGGCCTGGCCAGGAGACGGGGCTTTTTGGCTCTGAGATCTCTTAACCACTTGTTATAATTCTTCCCACATTACAAAGGCCCACAATGTACCCCCACAATGAGGAGAGTCCCTGTTGTCCCAGACAGCATTATTCTTCTTGTACCTTTGGGCTTCATGCATCATTTTTCAGGAGGTAGATCAAGTGGAAGAAACATTTTTACAGGGAAAAAGCAGAAAAATAACAACAAAGAGCTGTGTAGCCCCTTAAAAGACTGTAGCTGTGAACATTTCAGACAGAGTTCAGAGATCCTGGAAAGGAAACAGTAAGCCAAAAAACCTCTCCAAAAATTAATAATAAGGACAAAGCTGGTTCCCCTGATCCTTATGAAGGGGATGAGGAGAATGGATGGTGCTCTGTGCGCATTTAGAGGTCAAGTAGGTCAACAAAGTTCTGTTTTCCCTGAATGGGGACCCTAGCACTACGGTGCTCCCATCTAGCTCTTTCCTTAAACAGTTGGAAATGAGATACTTAAAGAAACTCCACCCAATGGAAGTGGACATGAGGTCACATCGAGGGTCATGGTCACAATTGACTAAAAGGGTAGGGAATTGATTTGAGGATAGCATATTTCAGACCAGAAGGAAGAGAATTGCTTAGCCGGCAGGCTTTTTTACTTTTAAAAAAAAAAAGGCTTATTGACTCTTAGGGACCTTATCTGAAAGTGTCATGACCATGTCTCCCTCTGCACAGGTCACCCATCTCACTAAAAACTTCCTGCTTTGGGGTTCAGGTTGGAATGTCAGAAATACATTAGTTGATTTGAATTTTGAATACGTGAAAAGAAAGCATCCCTCATAGATTGTACCTTCACCGAAATGCAATGATTTCCTGCCCCAATTGAGTGCTCTCCAAGAAACGTTGATGAAACATTTATCAGATGTGTGGAGTGAAGGTCGTATGTGGCACGCTTGGACAGAAATAAGCTGGATAAAGCAGGCAGCATTCTCTATGCAGTTCCCTAACTGATCGGCCCGTTCTAGGCAGCATAATCTTAAGAGCAAAAGCCAGGTTGGTCCTGCCATGTTCGTGTATTCATCAATAACAGCACATAAAGAAGTTCTTTCAACTTAGGATTTTATGCAGAAACGGTGAAATGATTAACATCAGAAATAGCAACAATGCCGTGTGATTTCCAAAATTATTTTATTTTTCTCCTGGTTATACAGTTAGAGTGTGAATTGGAGTCTCCCTGTGGTTAAGTTGAAGTTGTGTGACTGTATGCTGGGCAATAGAAATTGGGTGTAAACTGTATTAATTTGTGCCAATTCCAGATTTAGCCGTAAATCACCTGTGACACCCTTCACAGTCTCTGTTCTCCATCCACTGTGACCTTGGAGGCCAGGTTTTGAAGACACGTTATTACAAGATGAAAGAGATTGCATCCCTGAGTGATTCATGATCGTAGCATTCCATTGATTACTCTAAACCAAGCTGCAAATGAGCACAGAGCTTCTGCTGGCTTAATCCCCAAAACCTGGAGTTGTAAAGGACTTAGTCTTCCTCCATAATACAACTTAATCCACGTCTACTGAAATAGAAGTATATTTATATTCTATAAAGTTAACATAAGCGTAACTCGATACTATAGAGAGAAGTTTTAATATTAATAGCCAATCTGTCATTACTAAACAGCTGGTGAAAGGCCAATGAGGCCGGGCACGGTGGCTCATGTCTGTAATCCCAGCACTTTGGGAGTCCGAGGTGGGGGGACCGCTTGAGGTCAGGAGTTCGAGACCAGCCAGACCAACATGGTGAAACCCCATCTCTACTAAAAATACAAAATTTGGCAGGTGTGGTGGCGCATGCCTGTAATCCTAGCTACTGGGAAGGCTGAGGCAGGAGAACCGCTTGAACCTGGGAGGCGGATGTTGGAGTGAGCTGAGATCGTGCCAGTGCACTCCAGCCTGCAACAAAAGTGAAACTCCATCTAAAATAATAATAATAATAAAATAAGCCAATGAGGTCTGCTGCATCATACCTGTTCTGATTTGAATAGGATGTCCCTTTTCCAAAATTCCCCAGCATCTGCAGAGTATTTTATTCAGGTTCAACACAAGCTGGTGAGGCATGTAACTACCTTGTAACTAGTTTCATAATAATTATTATCGTCTCTCTGAAAATAGTCAGCCTGCTTTGGACACAGGTGCTGCACTGATTTTTTTTTTATTATTATTTATTTATTTTTTATTTTTTATTTTTTTGAGACAGAGTCTCTTGCTCTGTCGCCCACGCTGGAGTGCAGTGGCGTGATCTCGGCTCACTGCAAGCTCTGCCTTCTGGGTTCACGCCATTCTCCTGCCTCAGCCTCCCGAGTAGCTGGAACTACAGGTGCCTACGACCATGCCCAGCTGATTGTTTGTATTTTTAGTAGAGACGGGGTTTCACCGTGTTAGCCAGGATGGTCTCTATCTCCTGATCTCGTGATCCGCCCGCCTCGGCCTCCCAGAGTGCTGGGATTACAGGTGTGAGCGACCGTGCCCGGCCCCCCACTGATTTTTCTGAGGATGCCTCTGTGATGTCATACGATGTGCCAATTTCCATCTTATGTCCTAAAATGGCATCGCCTCACTTCTGAGAAATACTGTCACTCTGTAGCTAACTCTCTGCTCTAAGAACTCAGCGTCCCCAAGCCAACTTCCCGAGTTCCTCCTAGCATTCTCTATTCTTTCCGCCGCACAATGGGACATGTGGTTTTATTCCCTGAAAAGTCACTTCTGGATGGACCCAGTCTGAAGATGGTTCTCCTGCTGTATAGAAACATGGATGTCGCGAAATTGCCTATTAAACAGGGAAGCTATTAAACAGCCTCCCTGAATTTACCAGATTAGGATTTTAGTGAAAAATTACCGCCTGCCCACTGCTTGTGGGTAGAGTGTTCTTCAGAAGAAACATTAAGGTTTAAAGACTGTAAGTCATGAAATGCACGTGACAAGATGAATGTCATTGTATCATTTCCCAAGCCGCGATCCCCATGGTTCACCAGAACTTAAATACAGCAGTTGATATTTATAGCCAGTGGTATAAGACCTTGTCTTCAAGGTGGTGAGTTTCCGCTTTGAGATGTATTCCAGAATGTTACAATGTTAAGGGGTCCTAGGTGTTAATATCAATTTTATAATTTTTAAGACAAAGAAAGTGAAGCGTGTGGAAGGCGAGAGAAACACTAATGGTGTCAAGTTGGTATTTTAGAGAGAAGCAGTCATTTCATTCTCAGTTATTACCTATGCTGGTTGTGCAAATTTAAGCAAATTATTGCACTCAATAGGCGCCATTTTCTGTATCCATAGACAGTGGGGACTGTTTGACTCAGTGCTGTGCCCATCTTTGCATAAAAGGCATTTTTACATTTGTGTGCATTGGTGTGAGTTGTCTGTTTCTTTTGCCCATTTTCATCCTTTTCTTGTTTCATTTTCTCCATGTCTTCGAATTTTCACAGTAATTTACACAGAAGTCTGCATAGTAGTCTCTTAGTTTTTTAAAAAATCTTCTGTTTGAATGGTGATCCTCTTGTAATTTCTCATTTTCTGTCTTTGTGCTTTCTCCCACCTTTTTCTTCATTAAGTGGTTAGCTACTTTTTTTCTTATTTTCAAAAAATACCCTTAAAACATATGATTTGGTTTATTAATTAGATCTATAATTATTCTCTTCCCTAACTTATTGATTTCTGGTCTTCCGTAACTTACTGGTTTCTTACGTTTATGAATCCTTTCTTAAGCTTTTTTGTTTGTTTGAATTTACTGTTATTTTTCTAAATTTTTGAGATGGAGATTTAATAAACTTATTTATATTTTTCTATTATATTGAAATTTTTCATGCTGTGAATTTTCTTCTGGTTCTGATTTAAATGTGACTCTTAGATTCTGGATTTTATTTTATTCTATTATTATTATTATTATTATTATTATTATTTTATGACAGACTCTCGCTCTGTCAGCCAGGCTGGAATGCAGTGGTACAATTTTAGCTTAGTGCAACCTCTGCCTCCAGGGTTCCAGCCATTCTCCTGCCTCAGCTTACCGAGTAGCTGGTATTACAGGCACCCGCCACCATGCCTGGCTAATTTTTGTATTTTTAGTAGAGATGGGGTTTCACCATGTTTGCCTGGCTGGTCTTGAACTCCTGACCTCAGGTGATCTACCCACCTCGGCCTCCCAAAGTGCTGGGAATACAGGCGTGAGGCACTGGGCATGGCGCCCTCCATCGTTCTTTTTGTTTTGTTTGCATCATAGTTTGCAAAGTGTGGTTCTCCTTTCCTATTTAGCCTCTATTCCCCCAAACCATTGTTTTCCCAACACTGCCTTCTCCAATTCAGCACATGTTTTTAAGTCTCTTTACTGTAGTTAGGACTCTGAGCTTCCTGTTCTGTCTGTCATTATTTTCACTTGTATGGTGGATGTGATTTCAGTTCAGTCTTGGCTCTCCATCCCTCCTCTTCTTCTTCTCCTGTGTCTCTAGACCCTCCTTATTCTTGTCAAAAGCTCAGGATGGGAAATAGGAAAATAGTTCTGCTAGAGGGTGGTATTTATTTTCAAATCACAGTTATTTAACTTTATAGTTTTGTGTGTGTCACCAAATTATGGTAAAGGATGGTATTTGTGTGGTTTATTTTTTCCTGTTTATCTTTTTTTTTTTGCAATGGGGTCTGACTGTGTCACCCAGGTTGGAGTGCATTGGTATGATCTTGACTCACTGCGTCTTCTGGCTCTCAGGTTCAGGTAATCCTTCCACTTCAGCCTTCTGAGCAGATGGGACCACAGGCATGCCACCACAATACCTGACTAATTTTTGCATTTTTTGTAGGGATGGGGTTTTGCCATCTTGGCTAGGCTGATCTCAAACTCCTGACCTCAAGAGATCCTCCCGCCTCAGCCTCCCAAAGTGCTGGGGTTACTGGTGTGAGCCACCACACCCGGCCTGTTCTTGTCTATCTTTATAGAGTTGGCAGAAGATGCTAGGAGATTCCAGCTGCCATTGACTCAGCTGCATGGAAATTGCTTTTCTTTTTTAATACATTCATTATATATGATTAGTTATTGATTATTCATTTTAAAATACTTTGCATCAAATTATTTCTCTTTCCAGGCAGGACTGGCTGTCTAATAGGTGCAGCCCTGTGAAAATGAAAGTTCAGGGCCCCTTCCTAAAAAATTGTAAAGAACTTCAAGATGGCGAAAGTAGAGCATCACGCCAGTCACATTGGCTCACACCTGTAATCCCAGCACTTCGGGAGGCCGAGGTGGGTGGATCTCTTGAGGTCAGGAGTTCGAAACCAACCTGGCCAACATGGTGAAACCCCATCTCTACTAAAAATACAAAAATCAGCCAGGTGTAGTGGTGCGTGCTTGTAGTCCCAGCTACTCGGGAGGCTGAGGCAGGAGAATTGCTTGAACCTGGGAGGCAGAGGTTGCAGTGAGCAGAGATCGTGCCACACTGCACTGCAGCCTGGGGGAAAGAGTGAGAGTCTGTCTCAAAAAAAGCATCAAACCAGGTGCAGGACCCTTTGAGTGGCATCCCTGTGTGTACACAGTCATACCTCCAGGAAGGTGGTACTGGTTCAATACTTTTATATATTAAGTAACTCTTGTTTAATAACTTTATATGTGTTAAGTTATCTAACACAGAGAGAGAGAGAACTAGAGACTGGAACTTAGGAGAGCCGAATTCTATTCCCAAATGTGTCTTGGATTTATAGTCTGACTTTGAACTCTGGAGTTCTGTTTTCCTACTTGAAAAATGAAAGATTTTACCCTGAATTGCGTTTCACGAACTATCACATATATTACTGATAATACCTAAATACATTTTAATAGTGGTATTAATTATATCACATAAATAGAAAAAAATTGAAACACATAAACTATGCTTTTTCTGTATATTTTTTCTTAGCAGGTAGTTAAGGTGAGTAATAACAAAACAAGGTCAATTTTAAAGCACTATTGGAGAATTATAGGTGATATTTAGATTTTGTAAGAATTGTGAAGATTACATAAATACATCTAAAGTTTGGAAAACGTTGCTCAGGATGATCCCTAAGGACGCTTTCAAGTCCTTTCAGCATTTTAGGATTCTATAATTGCATATCTTTATGCAGAATTATGCATTTTTTGATTTAGCAAATAGGTAGATTTAAATATATAATTAAAGGTCAACCTGTTCATACCTTCCAGAAAGACTGGGGTGAGATGAATTCCATATTTTTGTGTCATCTACCACCACAAATTTTATTTCAATTTCATATAAAGGTTAAAAATTGAGATGTCCCCATGTACACTCAACGCCATGTAGTACTGTGCCTCCTACTACGAAGTCAGGGTTGCAAAAAGCCTTCATGTAACATTGCTGTCTATGGTAACTTGATGTCATGTCTTTTTCATTTCTGGTTTTCATGTCTGTTGTATCTGACATTCTAAAGAATTCAAAATAGATTGTTCTTGAAGGGGATATAAATAGAAGTGATGGGCCGGCATGGTGGCTCACGCCTGTAATCCCAGCACTCTGGGAGGCCGAGGCAGATGGATCATGACGTCAGGAGTTCAAGACCAGCCTGGACAAGATGGTGAAACCCTGTCTCTACTAAAAATACAAAAAATTAGCTGGGTGTGATGGCGGGCACCTGTAATCCAAGCTACTAGGGAGGCTGAGGCAGAGAATTGCTTGAACCCGTGAGGCAGAGGTTGCAGTGAGCTGAGACTGCATCACTGCACTGCAGGCTGGGCGACAGAGTGAGACTCCATCTGAAAAAAAAAAAAAAATAGAAGCGATAATGCTGTACATCTGTTAGCCACTTGGATGCTCTCTGCCAGATTGCACAAAAGTTCATGGTACGCCTGCTGTCACCAGATTTGGGTATTATTTTTTAAGAACCCAGAAATTAAAACAGATAATATGATCCTGTTGATCAAACAGTATAATTTTTAAAAAGGTACTGTTTGTTAATTTTAAGAACATTCCAGTAGACCGATTGGAGGAGAAATGTGGTCCCCCTGTTAGGCTTAGATTTTACATAAAATTTTTAAAGTGAAATTTGATTGGAGAAGTTGAGTTTTTTTTCCAAAATATGATTTTCTTCCATTGAGATTGATTGGACTCTATAGGTTCACTGCAGGAGGGTGGGACATTCTTACCTGTTCGTAATACAGAATTCTCTGAGAGAAATATCCCTTCATCTCAGTGTCTCAGTGGACATTGTTGGTATTCCTGAGTGTTTTGACATTTTGGCCATTTCCAAACATTTCTAGGTCTTTGTTATTGACCTGCCTACATTTCAATTCTTGGCCCTTCCCTCTGTTTTGAAATGACTCATTCTTCACAAGAGCAAACTGAAAGCTTTACTGTTAAGCAAAAAAAGAAATCTTGAGCCAAAGTATTATAACTTGCTCTGTAGGAAATGAAAACAGTGCATTGGCCATCTTTTCACCCTGTTGTTAGAGTATATTAAATTAAAATAACACAGCAAGAAACATTAGTTTCCATGATTCATTTTAGATTTATGTTGGTGTGTGGATTTGGTTGGTTGTTTCTTTGGTTAGTAGAAGGTGATGTATTAAAGTGGAGGTCTGGTATAGCTGATGGAAATGAGTTTTTTTAAAAAGGTTATGAAACATCTATCTCCCTCTTGAGCAGTAGTCCAGGGGAGTGATCACATACTGAGATGAAAACAAGAGGGTGGTAATACAGCAAGTGGTGTATGATTCAGTAACTCCACCGGATTGCTTTATTGGTTAGGTAATGAAGCACGCTAGGGAATTTCTATCAAACAGGAGTCAACATACTGCCCAATAACATCTGAAATGACTGAACTATAAGTTTAGGGAGCATGGGATGAGGTGTACTGTTAAATCGCTCCTATGCTGGAAAGTGTTCCCTAAGTTCTTCCCATCACTACCTGGAGAAGTTGATGCGGGATTACTGGGAGAAGGCTTGTGACTTTTAGGTCCTCTCAGAGCTCTTCACTTTGCTCCATGTTGTGTGTTGTTTTCTTGTTCGTGATTTTTTTTTTTTTTTTTTTTTACAATGAAGGCATTCCAATCGGGCTAATACAAACATGAGGCATTCTCAAACTACAGGAAATTGCTTTCCTTAACTACACTCTTTGAAAAAAAATGGGGTTTAATTACCTGCTGCTTTTCTATTGCTCAGATTCCCTTCAGGATGCAGGGGGAGGGATGGGAGAGAAGTTTCCTTTGTGATTTAATGTAATTATTCATAATGACTACATATGGTCATTTTATAAGTTCCTAATTATTTTAAGTGATTGGTGCATGGTCATTTGCATAGGCTGTTTAGCAGAAAACTCATTCAGTGACCTACATATAAATCATGGAATAGTTTCTAGGCATGTAAAGCGGGTGAGAGAAACCAAACCCTTCCCCCCATCACTTATGGTTCCAATGTATGCATCCCAGAATGTTTAATGTAAATCATAATAGCAGCTTGGATCCAGTATTCTTCATACAAATGTGTGGTTGATGTAGGGAAACATGTTTAATGTTTTCTTTCAGTAGCAGATGGTACATGGATTTTTATTTGATGCAGGCACTGCTTTCCAAGGTAATTGTCAAGGGCTTTTTTCCCCCTATGAAAAAAATGGAGGGAAGGCCTCTGGATCAACCCATTCATTTCACAGATGAGCAAACTGAGACCTCAAATATTGAGTAATTTTCCCTAAATCACCAGTTTTTAAACAGAGTGAGGGCTAAAATTCACATCTCCTGACAGTCAGCTTAATTCTCTTTTCGTCATACTGCACATTTTCTCTTGATAGTTGATGTGATATATGTCACTTTAAAAAAATGAGTTTCCATTTCTGGGTATATTTTATCTACTTTCCTCCTCAGAAAGCCAAGTTCTGTTGATTCATAGTAAGGACCAGATATTTCATAGTGCTAATTCCAAGCTGGGTATAATTTGTGACTTCTAGGTTACCCACTTGTGTCCACAAACCACCTAAATTTTTTAATTGTACACAGTCAAGTCACCTTGATAGAAGGGGCCTTGAGAGCTCATCTAATTCAGTGATTTTTCCAACACTGGTTTCAGGGCTGCTGATGTGCTATTGCATTTCACCCGAGTCCACAACAAAATAAGAAGAAAAAAAATCAGCTCTGGGGAGTTTTGTCCTCAAGTTAAATTAATTCCCATTTTTTTTAAGTTACGTCTTTATCAAATGTTGATGCTTAAAGAGAGACATTGTTGGCTGCGCACGTTGGCTCACGTCTGTAATCCCAGCACTTTGGGAGGCCGAGGTGGGTGAATCACGAGGTCACAAGTTCAAGACCAGCCTGGCCAATGTGGTGAAACCCTGTCTCTACTAAAAATACAAAAATTAGCCTGGCATGGTTGGGGGTGCCTGTAATCCCAGCTACTTGGGAGGCTGAGGCAGGAGAATCGCTTGAAACCAGAAGGCAGAGGTTGCAGTTAGCCAATGTTGCACCACTGCACTCTAGCCTGGGTGACAGAGTGAAACTCCATCTAAAAATAAAAAATGAAAAAAAAAAAAAGATAGTCATCGTTGCTTTCTTTTATTTTCATGAGAAAACAAGAAATGACACATGTATGTCAGCTTTCCACAAAATCACCCCCTGCCTTCCCTTTCCTTTTATGTTCTTATGTTTTTATTGTGTTTACCTGTCAGTGAATCCAAACATTGAGAAACATTGGGATAAGGGAATGTTATTTTCTAGGAAACCAAAGTTTTAAAATATCATGGTTACTGTATTAGTCCATTTTCATGCTGCTGACAAAGACATACCTGAGATTGGGCAATTTACAAAAGAAAGAGGTTTATTAGGCTTACATTTCCACGTGGCTGGGGAGGCCTCACAGTCATGGCGGAAGGTGAAAGGTATGTCTCACATGGTGGCGGACAAGAGAAGAGAGCTTGTGCAGGGAAACTCCCATTTTTTAAACCATCATATCTGAAGAGACTTATTCACTATGAAGAGAACAGTGAAGGAAAGACCCACCCCCGTAATTCAGTCAACTCTCACTGGGTTCCTCCCATGACACTTGGGAATTGTGGCAGTTACAATTCAAGACGACATGTGAGTGGGTACACAGCCAAACCATATCAGTTACTATAGTCATTTTTTGGCAAAACCAAGAAATAGCAAACTTGAGCCCGATTCCTTAAAACAGATAAAGCACCCTAACCCCCCACTGCCAAATCAACACTCTTCCACTATATCATTTTCCATTTTCAATAAATAACTCTTTCATCCACTGTAAATAACAGAATAGATGTTGTCTATGAATTCACTGCTTAATATTTCATTTATCTACTTCCTTCTACCCTTATTCATACCTATCCTAAACACTTTTCAAAGGAACTTTCTCTCTGTCTCTTGTTAAAAATTTTCTCTTGTAATTCTTAAATATGTACAGATGTTACCAATTGGTAAGAGATTCTTTTTTGATGAACTTTCTCTCCTGGGTACACATTTATGATCCTAAACGCCCCATGAAGATGGGCCTACATCTGCCTTCCAACTTCTTCTATGTCCCTCAGTCATAAATATCTACATTGTTTCTTTGATAAATTTTGGGAATGATAGAAGACAATAAGTTGCATGATGACTGCTTGTCTTGTTCTTTGTTAAATGTACCTATGTCTCCACCCCCTTTCTTCCACATCTCAAATTGGAAATCATTGAGTACTAGGAGAGAGAGGAAACAGGGCATTCCTTAGTGGGAAAACATAAGATGCCACGGGCAGTCTAAATGTCAAGATTTGGACTGCTGGTCTAAAAGGTTTCCACTCTCTGGGTTGCTCTAGTGAAGCAAATAAATAGAGTAACACATCGATCCTCCCACAGGTAGAAGGCTCTGCTGTTCGTTGTTTTACTACTCTGCAGATAGGCAGCAGCAGCAGCAGAATTTGTTAGCAAGGATCAGTCTGAGTCGCCTATGTTTACTAAGGAATCTGTCCAAATTGGCCGTGCCTTTGATGGATATTGTTATTCCCCCATAACGCTGTCCTTAGGATCCTGGTAAATCTCAGAAATCTCTATACAAAGTTACCGTTTCAGAGCAATGAATGTGGGCAAAGGTGAAAATCATTATGAAGCAGAGAGTGGAGATTATTAACAGGTGGTCGAAAGAGAGAGCGAGAGAAAGGGGGAGAGAGATAGAGTTGCTTTGTTGCGCAATAACATGAAGATAAAACAGTTAAACACATATATCCTGTTTCCCCCAGTACAAGCCTAATGTTGCTGATTTCAGGTTCCTGTGACATCATTCATTTACTGCACCTATTATATTACAATGGGGGTAAAAGAAGCACTTTCCATTTTCATGACAGAAGAAATGAAACAGCACCAGCATTAACAATAGCATACTGGGCACTGTATCTGTTCTCCTTGGTTCTGGAAAGGTCCTAGAGATTTATGAGTAAATTGGACCATTCCAACTATAGGCATTAAAGTTCTGGTGTTTCCAAACCACGTTGGCTCTTGGGGTCCATTATACCTGGTTTTATGATGTTTAAAAATCCAATATCATTTGGTAAGAAGTAACACAACATTATGTCTGCAATCATGAGCTCTAGAACCACTCGACTTGAGTTGCTATCCCATTTCTACTAACTGGTAGCTAGCTGACTTTTGGAAAGGTACTTAAACTTTCTGTGTCAGTATTTTCTTGTCTTTGAAATGGAGATGATGATGATGGTGATCACGGTGATGGTGATAGCGGTGATGGTGATGATGGGAATAGGGATGATGATGATGATGATGGTGATGATGAAGTTGATAGTGATAAAACCCAACACATAGGCATGTTAGAAAGACTATAAATATATGCCACACCCTTAAACAGCATCTAGCACGCATTTAATAAATAGGTCTCATTGTGATTAGCAGAACAAATGAAAGCAGGGCGTTTCTAGTCTCTTCTCTGGTCGTGTCCCTAAGAGAAACTGGAGGTGCCTAAGAATCACTGGGGATACTAGTCCCAGAGAAGAGTTCCTGGATCCTGTTACATGCTTCCTGAATCTGCATAGATTGTATCTAGAAACTTGCATTTTTGATAAACTCTGAAAAAGGTTAAATTTTGAGAATTGATGGATTTGGGCAAACGTGAAAGCCATTCTGAGACAGAAGAAGTAGAGGCTATCACCAGGTGGTCCTGCTTAATAGATAGGGAGAGACAGAGAGCTGCTATGTTGTTTAATTCAGAATGGCAGGGAGCTGAAACATTGCCTAATTCTGAACCAGACCCCTGATGCTTAAATAGGAAGCCCAGATAACACCCCCAATTCTAACTGCAGCCATGCTAACTAAGATAACAGCTGTCTGTATTCAAAGACACATATATCTGTGCTTTGTTGACTAGTGCCTTTCGTTTCTCTGGCCAAAGCAAATGTGCTTTTTTGGCTTTAATTTTGTGCTTTTCACTAATTAAGTTGTTTATATGAACTAAAATATTTATACACCCAAGATAATGAAAATAACCCATGATAAATGGAACAAATGGAGTAAAAGTAAAGTAGATTTAGTGGCACCATAGTTTATTGAGCATCTGTGATTAGATTGTGTTCCCTAGGATGCTTCGGGGAGTGTAATTCAATCTGCAGTTTGAACTGATGACTCTTCCTTTCTGTAGAGGTTTAGAGAAAAAAAATGAATTCTTGTTTTTAATATCTCAAGTTTCTCTTCAAATGGCTACTTGTTACATCTTGGGGTAGGAGGGGAGTCTTTTAGGAAAAAGAAGAATGGGTATATTTTGTTGCCATCCAGGAGGGAGACTGGGCAGAAAATTAGGCTATATTTGGTAGCTTATAATCTAGGATGTGTGAAGATGGGGTACGGTGACTAGCTGATGCAGGTGAATCCCAGAACTGGGGCTCAGCTTCGAAGAGTTCTTAGCTTTGCTCAGGAAAGAATTCAAAAGTGTGCTGATGGAGGAGAGCCAGTTTACTAGGGGAAACCGTGCACAGCAATATGGCTGCTCCATAGACACAGCAGGGCCACCCCACAGGCCGAGTAGCACTCCTGGATTGTTGGCTAGCTGTATTTCTAGCTACTTATCATTATATGCTATTAGGTTGGTGCAAAAGTAATGGCAGTCTTTGTAGTTAAAAAAAGGTAAAAACTGCATTGACTTTTGCATTAACCTAATAAGGCGTGAGTTATTCGCAAACTTTCTGGAAAAGAGGGAGTTCCCAGAGCCATTCATGATGGTTAATATTAGGTGTTAACTTGATTGGATTGAAGGATGCCTAGAGAGCTGGTGAACTATTGTTTCTGGGTATGTGTGTGAAGGTGTTGTCAGAGGAGATAAACACCTGAGGGAGCGGCCTGGGAGAGAAAGACCCACCCTCAATCTGTGTTGGCACCATCCAATCAGCTGCCAGTACAGCTCGTATAAAGCAGGTGGAAGAAGGTGGGATGAGCTAGTTTGCTGAGTCTTCCACCTTTCGTCTTTCTCCTGTGCTGGATACTTCTTGCCCTTGACCATCAGCCTCCAGGTTCTTTAGCCTTTGGACCGCTGGACTTAACACCAGTGGTTTGCTAGAGGCTCTTGGGACTTTAGCCACAGACTGAAGGCTGCGCTGTCAGCTTCCCTGCTTTTAAGGTTTCGGGACTCGGAGTGAGTCATTACTGGCTTCCTTGCTCTTCAGTTTGCAGATGGCTTATAGTGAGACTTCGTCTTGTGATGATGTGAGTCAATTCTCCTTAATAAACTTCCTTTCATATATATTAAACACATATATCCTATTAGTTCTGTCCCTCTGGAGAACCCTAATACACCATCTAAGATAACTTCTGGGCATTGTCATGGTGTCAGTAAACTGTCATGGTGCTGGTAGGATTGTCTTATGCAGATGTATTATCGTTCCTAGTCCTACTGGTTTGGGCCAATTTCTTTGCGACATCCAGTTTTGATCAACAGGGTATTGAAAACAAGTCTTGCTGTTTTCCTGCCTCATAACCATGTCTGTTTGCCCAAGACTGTCCCAGTTTTAGCACTCAGCATTGAAAACCCAGCACCCTGGAAACACCTTAGTCCTGGGCCAACCAGACGGGCTGGTAGTACCAAAAGTCAGGGCTACCTATTTTTGTTTTTCATGCAATAAGTTAAGGAAGTGGTTTCCTACTCTAGGATAGTGCTTCTCACTCTTTAACAGTGATAGGCATTGCCTGGGGATCTTGCTAAATGCAAATTTTGGTTCAATAAGTCTCGGGTGGGGTCGGAGCATCTGCATTTCTAATAGGCTTCCAGGTGATTCAAAAGCCGCCCTTCCGTGCACGCTACACTTTAAGTAACAAGCTTCTAGAGGGCCCGGTAATCACCTGGCCGGATGGTTAAAGAGCAAATTCAGGATACCAACATTTTTTAATTCTTTGCAATTACTTTTTTCTCTCCCTAAAATTTTTGCCTTTTAAATCACTGGAGTAGGCCCGTGGACGTTCAGTTTTTCCTAAAAAGACTCCTTTTATCTTTTAGATAAAGTACAAAGTAAGGGTCTCTAGAAAGCAGTAGATGACAAAGTAGCTTTTGAAACTAAAATCTCATGTGAGTGACTGTATAAATAGCATACAAAATGGAAGGATTTTTCATTTTCTTCTGGTTGTTTTTCTATGTAGTTGGAAGTTAATTCACTTCAAGTGGAAATCTGGAAACTAGTTTGCTATCCGTCTTGCCCCTGTTTGAGTATCTCTCAAGGGTATCTGACAACAGTGTGGGAAATCAATAAATGTTTGTTCAATAAATGAAAAAGTGAGAATCATTTAATTCAATGATACTTAAACTTGAACATGCACAAAAATCAGACGGAGGACTTGTTAAAAGTGCGGATTGCCATTCAGTAGATCTGGGGATTGACCTATTAAGCATTTCTGATATGCTCCTAGGTGATGTTGATGTCTTGGAACACACTGTGAATGGCAAGAATCAAGATTGAACATGCAAAAAAAAAAAAAAAAAAGTAACGTTACATATCATGTATTTTGCCATGCAATTAAAATGCTGGGAAGTGTGATGATGATTTTGTCCTTTAGAACATATAAATGGGATCTACAGTTGAGAGAGAACCATACAAGGCTCTTGGTAATGGTCAGGCTTATGTATTTAAGGTGTAATTGCATCTATCTTTATACTAGTTCCTTTCCCTTGGGAACTGCTCAGCTGAAGATAAATAAGCAAAACGGGCACATGTGTAGCCTAATAGCAAATATAAAGATTATTGAGCCAGTTTATAGTGACTCAATAAAATTCTGCTTGTCATGGGTAAGCAAAAGTCAGGGCCCTTGAAATTTAGGGTGCAGCAAAAGGAAGCCCATAATTGGGGTGGAGGTTGGGGAGATGGCCAGGAGACTCATGTGTCCATCAGGAGACAGCTAATTGGGCAGGAAAGGTGTTTCTGGACCAAACTGAGGGTCACACTGCTATTTCTCGTGGTCTAATAATGAGGTGCAGATGAACTGGGGAGGAAGAGAGTTTTTATTTCTGTAACCAGTTACAGGGAGAAGGTCTGGAAAATATTGCCAGACCGACTCAAAATTACAAAGTTTTCCAAAGATTATATACCTTCTAAGTTGTATGTCTACATGTAAGTGTGCATTCATCTGAAGACCTAAGTGGTTCATTTATTGTCATCTGTACCTAAGATCTGAGTCCTGAGGACCTTCATCTGGACCTTCAGTAAATTTAATCTAAATGGGTCTAGGTGCTGGGGTGATTACCCTTATCTTGTCTCGTGCTAATCATGGAGGTTGGGGGAGTTCTTTTAGACCCCGCAATAAACTTGTTTGTGGAGGCCTGGGGAGTTTCTTCAGATCCCAGTAAAACTTGTTTAATCCTAAACAAGTCCTGTTAAGAAATCCTTCAGTATCTTGTCAGGATTTAAGCCCCAGGAAAGGCCTGGGCACAATTCTGGGTGGGCTTTGGTTGCATCCCAGCCTTTGTAGATGGGCTCTGGCTGCCTCAGCTTTTATTATTTAACTTAACCACTCAGTCAGTGCCGAAACAGTAGTTGTGGAGGCCTGTGTTAGTGAGACCTGATTTGCCACACAGGGTCCTGTTGTGCTTCTCTGGGAATTTCATTGCTTGGATGTTATTTGACATTTCCCTTTTAACAGTTAATGTTAGAAAGTCCATGTTATGGCCTGGCGCAGTGGCTCATGCCTATAATTCCAGCACTTTGGGAGGCCGAGGTGGGCACATCACCTGAGGTCAGGAGTTTGAGACCAGCCTGACCAATTTGGCAAAACCCTGTCTCTACTTAAAATACAAAAGTTACTCGGGCATGGTGGTGCACACCTGTAATCCCAGATACTTGGGAGGGTGAGGCAGGAGAATCGCTTGAACCTGGGTGGCCGAGATTGCAGTGAGTTGAGATTGTGCTACTGTACTCCAGCCTGGGTGGCAGTGAGACTCCGTCTCAATTAAAAACAAAAAAAGTGCATGTTATTTGATGGTTTTTATATTCCTTTATTCATTTCGGCAAAAGCCATTCCCCCACGTTGTTGTAAGAATCTGATTGTTAGATGATACTCTTGAAGTAGGCTGACCCAAAATATTTTTCGGAGACTTGGCTATGAAGAATTTTATAAACTAACTTAAGTTGCCTTTCTTTTAAGGAGCTGACATAGTGGAATTGTGCAAAGAAGTTATTTTAGTTTCCCTTAGGGTTAAATATTTATTGAAGAGGGAAGATGGCTTCTTCCACAACAATTTTTATTTTCTCCTTTTCTAATCTGTTCTAAAAGTCTTTTAGCTGCCTTGCTACTAGGAAAAGGGACTTACTCATTTCCATTGAACTCAAAATGTTACTTTGTGTGTGTGTTTAATTTCCCCATCACCCACTCTGCAGACTCAAAACCTCTGAGCTAGACCATGCCTTGATTTTTTTTTTCTTTTAAATGCCATGAGTTAGACATTTAAGGACACCAAATGATTGAAAATAGTCGAAAATGTTCACTTGACCCTCATTGCCTATGACATTGCTGTTAGCTTTCTGCATGAAAGTGCAAACTTCAATTTTCAGGAAGGCCCACATCCCAGAACTGGCATTGTTTCCTTAGTCATTGGAAGCAGAAAACTACAGCAGAAGTGTTGCCTCCAGCCGTACAGAGAAGAACAATCTGCAGGCACAATCTGGAAACCTTTCCCAGTGAAGGGAGAAAGTGAGAGTGGCGTTCTGGCCTTGGAAAAACAAACATTTGTTATTACTTTCCTAGGGACTGAAATTTTTAGCTCCCCAGTGCAATCTGTGTATAATCTAGATTTCCAGATTTCCTAAATGGAAAACAGATAAACAAAAATCAGCCTTCTTAAATTATGTATGGTGGTAAAATAAAGTAACTGAGAAGGAAACAGGATTCCTAAACCGAATGGACTTTAGCAAAAGAATCTTTCACCATTAATAATTTCTCCCTGAACAAATATGCAGATATTTTACCAGACAGAGAATAGAGACTTTGTTTTGGCTTATCTTGCTTAAGAGTAATTCTGAGAATCTATTACTTGTGAGAGAATAAGATTCATAAGGAATGTTCGTTAGAGAGTTGTACTGGGAGATTCACAGGCTACATTTCTAATTTTTTCCTAAAGAACTCCTTTTACAATAAAAAACCATGCTGTAAGCTGCAGAGTGTTGCTGAAATGTAAGCTTTTACCATTGTTGTAGATCTGGCATCTTGTTTAGAACCCATAGTTTCCTAATATTTGCACGTTATAACATATGAAGCTAAACTGTATAGTACATAAAACTCATACAATTTTTTTTTTTTCGAGATGGAGTCTTGCACTGTCACCCTGGCTAGAGTGCAATGACATGATCTCAGCTCGCTGCAACCTCTGCCTCCTGGGTTCAAGTGATTCTCCTTGCCTCAGGCATCCAAGTAGCTGGGATTACAGGTGCCCGCCACCATGCCCAGCTAACTTGTTTGTATTTTTAGTAGAGATGGGGTTTCACTTTGTTGGCCAGGCTGGACTCAAACTCCTGACCTCTTGATCCGCCCACCTCAGCCTCCCAAAGTCCTGGGATTACAGGCATGAGCCACCCAGCCCTGCCAATACATACAAATTTTAACTCCAGGGTAAATTGATAAGACTTCTTCCTTCATGGAAGTTAAATTCTAATAGGATCCCTAATGCCCCATCTAGCCCTGCAGTATTTCAGGTCAACAATAACTCTTTGCTGACTGAAGATTTGACTGGATGGTACACGCCCTCCAATGGAACTAACAGGCTCAACAGCTCTAGGTGCATAAATAATCTTCATCCTACAAATAAAGAATTCTAAATTGGACTCTAAATATTGTATGTGGCTACTGTGGAAGCTAGGAAGATTGATTGGATTAATATCAAGTTTCACAATGTGTTCTTTCATTAGGATGTCAGTAATGAGAATGAACTATTCATTAGAACAGCCAACTTTCTAAAGAATAAGAGTGCTGACCTCACACATGACTGGGGCAGAACAGGGTACTGTTTACTTCATGAGAGCCCTAGAATGGGACGCAGTGGATTGGGGGCCGTTCCCTACTCTATTGCCAAGTATGTGCATTTGCCACTCTGACTTCTTATAGGTAAAGTATTGGCAGTTATGTCCTCCATAGTCAATTTCATTCTTAAAAAGGCCATGTGTCCCAAACATTAACTGAAAAACAAAAAGCGAGATTCAAAGACTTCTCATATGCTGTTGGTCGGAGTGTAAATTAGTTCATTGTGAAAAGCACTGTGAAAGGCAATTCATCAAAGATCTGAAAACTGAATACCATTTGACCTACCAGTCCCATTACTGGGTTTATATGCAGAGGAATATAAATTATTCTACCATAAAGACCCATGCACGTGAATGTTCACTGCAGCATTACTCACAATAGCAAAGATATGGAATCAACCTAAAGGCCCAGCAATAACAGATTGGCTAAAGAAAATGTGGTACATCTACACCATGGAATACTATGCAGCCATAAAAAATGAGATCCTGTCTTTTGCAGGAACATGGATGGAGCTTGAGGCCATTTTCCTTAGCAAACTATGACAGGAACAAAAAAACAAATATTGCATGTTCTCACTTACAAGTGGGAATTCAGTGATTTGAACACATGGACACACAGAGGGGAACAGCAGACTTTGGGGTCTCCTGGAGGATAGAGGGTAGGAGGAGGGAGAAGAGCAGAAAAAAATAACTTGGGTACTTGGCTTAGTACCTGGGTGGTGAAATAATCTGTACCATCCCCATAACATGAGTTTACCTATGTAATGAACCTGTACATGTACCTCTGAGCCTAAAATAAAAGTTAAAAAAATTCTCACTTCAGTTATCACATTGAAAGGAATACAGATCATCAGACAATGAAGAGCAAATCAAATTATTCCTGGTATCTCTTCGAGGATGTTTACAAGGAGGGAAGTCTGTTAATGAATGCTGAAAACATGTGAAATTATCCTTACCATCTTGTCCATTCTGCATGCCTCACAATGTACCCTCCTTTCTTCAAGGTTTTTCCCTCCACTGTAAAGTCTGAAGTGTAACACCCAAGCCATGTGGAGATTTTCACATCTTCGCTGCCCTGTTGTCCTCAGCATCTATCTCCGCCTTTCTCCTTACAGTCACACTTGGCTCTTTCCAACACGAATCACTAGCCTTTACTTTCCCTGTTGTATCTTCTTTACTCATTGCTTTAGTTCTAAACCATAGAATTCCAAAAGCCAAGCTGGAAAAGGAGGAGTTACCTTTTGTGAGGTGAGAAGGGGAAAAACTGTGGGTATTCATACTCAAAATATTTGCTAGTTGCAGCTCTATAAGAAGTCATCCAGCAGCTTGGAGAAGTATATGGTTCACAAAGATGATTCATCCAAGAACCAGTTTGAATATTTAGATGATTTAGAGTGGAATTAGTTAGAATAGAAATGAGTATAGAATTGCCACAGGTCACAATATAAGAGAAAAATTAGCAAATTAATTAATTGGATGTTGTTCTATAGCCAGTATTTGTTTTAGAGATTTTTATGAAGTACTTTTCCTTCCTGAAAGTCATTATAAAGCTTTGTAGTAACCTGATAATGTTGAATATTTACTTTAATGTCATCCAAAAAACTATAGAGTTTTGAAAGATGGAATGAGAAACTGGTCTGTAATAAGGAAAAACCAGAAAGACTGTAATACATTTGCATCTTTTTCAAATTCATATGCTAACTAGAGCTAACAAATGTTAAATAATTTCAGAAAGTATCTTTGCTGGGCCTATTCTGACCAGTAAATAAAAGCATTTGAATGAGTTCACCATCTTACATGGATAGTCTGTGGAGAAGAAATGGATTTTAAAGAGCCTGAACTAGTTCCCAGCAAATTTGATCACATCATTGGTTTTTTAAAACATGTCTTTTACCTACACGCGGTAACAGATTTGTATTATATGCGCTAAAATGATAATATTGATATTAATGAGGTGATATTGTCTTACATGTATTACCAGGGGAGCATCTTTCTGTTTTTTCTCCCTTTCTTTTTCTATTTTTTCTTTGTTTCTTTTTCTCTTTCCTTTTCATTTATATATATAAATAAATATATAAATATATATATATATATATATTTTTTTTTTTTTTTGAGAGAAAGTCTTGCTCTGTTACCCAGGCTGGAGTGCAATAGCATGATCTCAGCTCACTGCAAACTCCACCTCCTGGGTTCAAGTGATTCTCCTGCCTCAGCCTCCTAAGTAGCTGAGATTGCAGGCACGTCTCACCACGTCCAGCTGATTTTTGTATTTTTAGCAGAGATGGGGTTTCAGCATGATTGCCAGGCTGGTCTTGAACTCCTGACCTCAAGTAGTATGCCTGCTTCAGCCTCCCAAAGTGCTGGGATTACAGGTGTAAGCCACCGTGCCCAGCCTCTTTTTTTCCTTTTAATAAAACACTGGTTACAATGTGAGAAACAGATTGGAGATTGGACAGGGAGACCAGTTAGGAGTCTGTTCCAGTAGTTCAAGTGACAGCTGATGCCCTCTTAAACTAAGGTATTGAGGGAGATGATGGGAACTAAACAGCAGATTCAAGAGTTCTAGGGCATACAATGAAGAGAACTTGGCAATAAATTGATAATGGGAATTTTGAGACAAGGATGAGTGAGTCCAAGTTGATTTCTGCATTTAGGGTTGGTTGACTGAATGGTGGTGCCATTCACCTGGATGGGAAATGCTGGAGGAATGTTGGAGTAGCACACAGGGCTGGGGTCCTGAGTTCTGCACTCACTAATGGGACTTTGCTTGTCCTATGATATTAAGATGCATACTATGGCGGAGTGTGGTGGCTCACACCTGTAATCCCAGCACTTTGGGAGCCTGAGGCAGGCAGATCACAAGGTCACGAGATTGAGACCAGCCTGGCGAGCATGGTGAAAGCCCATCTCCACTAAAAATAAAAAATTTGGCTGGGCATGGTGGCAGACGCCTGTAATCGGAGCTACTCGGGAGGCTAAGGCAGAAGAATCACTTGAATCCAGGAGATGGAGGTTGTAGTGAGCTAAGATTGTGTCACTGTACTCCAGCCTGGTGACAGAGCGAGACTCCATCTCAAAAAAAGATGCTTATTATATATATAGTTCTATTGAATATGTATGTTAGTATATATATCTAGTTCTGTTGAATATATATTATTGTGTGTGTGTGTGTGTGTATATATATATAGGGTATAATATGCATATGTAATATATGCATTATATATAATATGCGTATTGTACCCTGTATATATATATGCATAGAACTATATATAATATGCAAATTATACCTTGTGTATATGTATATATACTATCCTATACAATAGAACTATATATATATAATCATACTCAATAGAACTAGATATATATAGGATGTAGCAATATGCATAGAACTATATATAATATGCATATTATACCTTATATATGTGTGTGTGTGTGTGTGTATATATATATATATATATATAGTTCTATTGAAGTATGCACTAGCTTCCAGCATGTAGCCTTTATATTCTACTGATGCCCCATCACTTTGGAATTACCTCTTATCTTTTTCTCTCCTGCCTTTCTAATATCACCCCACCACTGATTCCCATCTGATTATGCCTACTTCACTGAAGCACCCTTGTCACTCCCTTCAATGCCTAAAGTATTGCTTTCTTAAGTGCTATGGAAGCAGAGTTCCTTTTCTTGCAGTGAATAAACTACATCCCAAGGATCTCACCCCTTGCTTCCCCAGTGAATAGCTCTCAGATGGAAAATAAAACAGCACCATTACTCTCTGAGATTAAGAGGGACAGGTTTGCATACTCAACAAACATTGTCTGATGGGGAATAACTGCCAAATTTATCATCTCAGGGTGTTGGTAGTTGTTATTTTAATGTAAATTTTGAATAGATAATAGATTAATATGAATCTTATTTTACCAGGCAGAAAAATGGTATACAGTGAAGAGTAATGCTTCCTCCAACCTCTGCCCCCAGGTAATACTGTTCTTTTCTCCACAGACAAATACCTGGTTATCTCTGGGTCTGGGTATTAACTGTATCTGTGTCTTCTCCCAGTCATAACATACAATATCTCTAATTCATAGAAAATCACTACCTCTTACCAAGGGAATACTTCCTGTAACACCTTTAGCAGGGAACAATATCGGATAATCCCAAAGCAAGATGTTAACGCAAACTAAATATGTCCTGAGAAGGACTCTGTACTTCTATATTTGAGTCCTTGTGGATGAACTGTAACCTAGCTTAATAGACAAGACTGAAAACCTGACTTAGGAGTATGCACCTGTAACAATAGTTGAGTCTTGGCCAATCCCAGCCGCCATACTTCAACCACCCATAGACTGCTAAGTGTTCAAAAAAGGCAAACACCAACCTGTCACCAGTTCAGCTGTTTGTGTACCTCACTGCTGATTTCTGTAAGTCATTTCCCTTTTTCTGTCTATGAATTTTCTTTCACCACCTTGGCTACGCTGGAGTCTCTGAATCTCATGTGATTCTGGGGGCTGCCTTCTGAATCGTTCATTGCTCAATTAAACTTCTTTAAATTTAATTTGGCTGAAGTTTTTCTTTAACCAGAGGGAAGAAATAAACTAATGTAGATTGCCTCTAAGTGCCAGCCACTGTGCCAGACACTTTCTAAAGGTGCATTTTTAAAGAATTATTTTTTAAAATTTTTGTGGATATACACATAGATGTATTGATTTATGGGGTACCTGAGATACAAAAATATTATCTTCCTCATCTACATTGAAGAGCTGTCATTCACCCCAGGAGGCAGTGTGGAATAAGTTTCTGTGCACCTGAGACTATATCCTATTGTATATGAAGCCTTCAACCAAAAGTGCCATAACCTTGGTACAGAATTGCTACCCCATCCGAAGTCCATAGGAACACAGCATAGAACAAACTGAAGTCTGAGAAGTTCAGGTGAGATACGTAGAGCTGCAGAAGAGGAGTTTTTCATTGTCTCTGAATTGGTCTTTCTCAGCGACAGAGTTATTTATGAGATGGGGCAATCATAGAAAGCAGTGGCTTTTAAAAAACACTTCAGCTGCCAAAAATCTTATTCCAATTCTCTGGAAGAGTGCTGTCGTACCAAGTGTAATTCACCAGTCCGGTGCCTTTCTGGAAGTTATGAAATTGGAGAGAGTTGCTTTTGTACAAATGAATAAACACCACCAAGATGAGCCTACCCGCTTGTCCTGAGTTGAGATTGATATGATCAGACATCTAGAGCTTGTTCTCCTGGGTGTCTCTCTGAAAAAATTCTCTTCTCTCTCACCTTTTTTTTTTTTTTCTGTTAATAAGTAGACAATGCTCTGGTCTGATGGGGTCTCAGGAAGGAAACTGGTATCTATCTTTTCTTGTCAACATTTACCAACAAATATGCCTCTTATGGACAGGGATAGGGATTACGGATCACTCTCATTGTCTTATGTGTGCAACTTGGAGTGGATTGTTAGCTATCCAGAAAATGTCCATCCCTCTTTTTCTTGGAGAAATTCACTTTTTACCACATTTTGTGATTCAAATTGGTCTGTCACTGAAATTATTCTGAAAGGTTAAATGAGACCCATGAGGGCCGTACAGGAGGCTTCCGTGCATTTTTTCCTCTCCTTGTCCAAGTGGTGAAGAGGTAGGCACATAAACTAAGCGTGGACAATGGTACTTTTTCCTGGGAGAAGGATGACTAAAAAGATGGCGACACAAAGGTATCTAATTTTCCGTTCATGGCACCGTTCATGAGTCTTGATTCTGTGAATGTCCCCATATGCCCCTCCAAAAACCTCTTTTTTTTTCCTTAAGTTAGCCAGTTATAGGTTTGTATTATGAGTTTCATAGTGCTATAAAGAGCTATAAAGAACTTCCTGGAGACTGGGTATTTTATAAAGGAAAGAGGTTTAATTGACGCAGTTCCACATGGCTGGGAAGTCCTCTGGAAACGTACAATCACGGTGGAAGGCAAAAGGGAAGCAAATACCTTCTTCACAGGGCAGCAAGAGAACGGAGCAAGAGCAGAGAGAACTGCGTCATAAAACCATCAGATCTCGCCAGAAGTCACTCACTATCAGGAGAACAGTGTGCCGGGAAAGGTCGCCATGATCCAATCACAAGCCTCCCTCAACATGTGGGGATTACGGTTCAAGAGCTGATTTGGGTGGAGACGGAGCCAAATCATATCAAGGTTCGGTTGCTTCCAACCATACACGTAACAGATATTTCACTAAATGCTATTCCAGAACGGATTTACACAATTTTTGGAAATAGTTACAGAACACACACAGAAAAACTGATGATGATAAGATACCCCGAAAAACACACCTGGGTATTTCTTTCTGGGATGTTGTGGCTGAGATACCTTGATAGAAAAGCCGATTTTGCTGAGTAACTTCTAAGGCCTCCAATTCTGAAGGAAGAATTAAGTGATATGAGAGTTTGGAAAATAATTGAAGAGACCTGCCTTTGCAGGAAATAATATAGGCAGGAAAAATCAAGAATGCCACAAAATTGAGTAAAAGAGAACAAAAGAAGAGAAATAGAATTACCTCTCAACTTTGTAAAATAGAATTGAACCCAGTAATACTGGATAAGATTTAAAAATATTATGGGGTAGGATCACTTCTATTAAATGTGATTAGCTTTTAGCTAGATAACATTGAATATTTTAATGTTTCATTGGCTATTATACAATATATTTTTTTCCTCTATGAATATTGTAAAATTCCTGTTTGATTTAGGAGTCAGGGATGTTTAAGTGATTATGTAGCTAGTCCTCAGACCACAGTTAAAAAGGTACTTTTGTTTTGTTTTCTGGCGTTGGGAAGATTAGCAACCTGGGTGCTAGCATGGAAAAGGCACAGGAGGCCAGTTACGGTGCCTCAGGTCTGTAATCCTAGCACTTTGGGAGGCTAAGGCGGGTAGATCATCTGAAGTCAGGAGTTTAAGACTAGCCTGGCCAATATGGTGAAATCCCATCTCTTCAAAAATACAGAAATTAGCTGGGCGTGGTAGTGCACGCCTGTAATCCCAACTACTGGGGAGGCTGAGGCAGGAGAATCGCTTGAACCTGGGAGGCAGAGGTTACAGTGAGCCGAGATTGTGCCATTGCACTCGAGCCTGGGCAACACGAGTGAAACTCCATCTCAAAATATAAATAAATAAAATACAAAATATAAGGCACAGAAAAAAATACTGAAATAAGTTGCAGACTGGAATTTCTTACAGATGTTGTTTCTCCTCAGCATGAACAGAGGTGGCCATGCCATTTCTCCAGATAAATAGTGCAGTACAAGAGTGTTGGTTGGTTTCATGTATCACCATATAAAGTTGTATTATCAGACTCCATATGATGAAGAAGCCTTCACGAGAAACTCACTACCAAAGCAAAATCGTTTTAAATTAATGAATGATTTTCAAGTAAAGGCCCCATAGGATTTTTTATTTGTCCTCCTGTTAGAATGAATATCTGTGAATATTAAGCTCCTCACATTTCCTGTTTTGTTAAGAAATTTGTTCAAAATGAAAGTATCTCCCTTTAGACCAAGCTAGGACGGTCTACTAACAGAACCTTAGAAAGGAAACACAATGCAAAGTGCCAATTAGCACTGCAAAGTTTTGGTTCAGTTTCTTATTTTTTATTTTTTTTGAGACGGAGTCTGGGTCTTGTCACCCAGGCTGGAGTGCAGTGGCCCGATCTCGGCTCATTGCAACCTCCACCTCTAGGGTTCAAGTGATTCTCTTGCCATAGCCTACTGAGTAGCTGGGATTACAGGCACATGACACCACGCCCAGCTAATTTTTTTTGTATTTTTATTAGAGACAGGGTTTCAGCGTGTTGGCCAGACTGGTCTCAAACTCCTGACCTCAATTGATCCACCCGCCTCAGCCTACCACAGTGCTGGGATTACAGGCGTGAGCTACCACGCCTGGCCTTGGTTCAGTTTTTAATGCCTAAATGTGGTCTAAATCTTTTAGGACAAGTGTGGCCTCATGCAACATGGATTGTTGGAGGCCTCATTTGTGCTCATAAGCGGCATTTTCCTTGTGGACCTCCTGTTTTACTCCATTAGGTTTTGCATACAGCAGTACCATAGAAGATGGAGCACTTAGAAATGGTGGGAAGCCCCTGAGTCCTTTGTCCATCATGTCAGAGTGACGATGTTTCTAGAGGTCATTGCTGTCTTTCTTTGGAGACTGGGAGAATAGGGAAGTAAAGGAAGATGTTTAAATTCCCTACTTCTCTCTTTTTTGTTAGATTTTTAAATAAAACTTTATTTCACAAAAGACCTATTGTCATGGCAACCAGTCAAACAATGCTGATGTATATGAAGAAAACCATGAATATATTTTCACTCCCATTAAAAAAAAAAAGTGCAACCTAAGTTTTCAGGCCTCACCTTTGTATGGTTAAATATCAGGCCACAATGACTTCCTATAACAAAATTGTGATTATAGCAAGGATGATTGGCTAATTACTGAAATTTACACTTCTCCGGTTCCCCAGATAGTATTCCAGTTCTTTCTGGCAGTCCTCAAAACAGCCATATTCCATGAAACAACCCTCTTCGTTTCTAGCCTCCAGTTGACCACATTCATGTAACTGCCTTCAGAAGCTGCTGCTTGTTGCAATTCCCATCTTGAGAATGCTCGTATGGGTTCCCAGGTGTCACCTCTGAATGTTCTCATGGCTCTAGTTTGGGGACCCCAGCTCCTTCTTAGGTTTTCTTCAGAGACAGGGCCAATGGCTCTTTCCCCAGCCCTATGCTATGATCTGTCACCTGGTCCCTAAAGTAGCTTTGCTTGTGCTGAATCTCACTAAGTGTCTCTTTCATCTTCTGCATCCAAACCTCTCTCTCCACAGGTGGCTCAAAATCAATCTGAAGAACTGAGTAGGGGGTGGATGCAATTCCTTTTCATTTTGAATTTCTTTATCACCTTTCCAAGTCCCATACTCTCTCACCCTATCAAAATCTTCTCCCTCTGTCCCTAGTTATAAAATCAAACCTCCTGGGCATGCCAATGGCAGCAGGCACCTGCAGAGATGCGGAGGATTCCTGAAGAATGAGTGAAGGGAGGAGGCGCTGTTGATACCCCCAACCCCTCTGGCTTCCATCTGAGCTCAGCCAGCCCCTTGTTAGGTAATGAAGGGAGATAATGGTCCAGACTGGTTACATTTCCTTCCTCAAGTTACCCAGCAAACTATTAACCAGTCCTTGCTACTAACACTCTCATCATGGCACTGGCAATATCTGAGGACCGGTTCAGTGATCTGCACAAAGGGAAATTAGATTCAAACATAACAACTTGTCCTGGAGTGAAAAGCAGATGTATAATTTCTCTCATTTGTCCCTACTTTATTTAATAGCCCACATAGGGAGCTTATTTAAAACTCCTAGAACAACAACACACCAAACAAGCCAATATTCTGAGATCTCATTGCATGATCAACATGATGATAATAACTGTTTTCTTCTTTCATGTAATAACACAGAGAGAAAATTGTGGTGGGGGGGAGGGAGGAGGTCTAAGAGAGTCAGAAATGTCCTTTTCTGATCTTCAAACTGAAAGCAAGAAAGTTGATTAAGACATAGCTCCTGATCATGTCCTAAGTGTTTCCATTTCTTTCTGACATTGTTTTCCATCCATTCTTACGGTAAATAATCTCTGTGTGTCAAGCCTGACATTGGGTGGTAGAAGCAGGTGGGTGAACAAGGTAGATGTGGCTTCTAGCTTCATGGGGCTTAGAGTCTAGTGGGAGACAGGCATTGATCAAATTAATAATGACAATCCTTAGTATGTGCTGTGAAGGGAAGTTACACTGATGAGCATGATAGATGCGAATCACAGAGATTCTCAAGTAAATGGCAGTTAAGGACAGAGCTGAATGACAGGTAGGGGACAAAGAGGCTAAGGGGGAAGGGCTCCTCCAAGCACAGGGAGCAGCATGTGGAAGGTCTTGGAAACCTGAGGAAGTGAAGTGAAAAGTCCTTCAGTCTGGAACCCTGGGGGAGAGGTGGGGCTAGAGTTGAGGTTGGATAGAAGCAGCACATCAAGGGGTTTGGGTTTATGTCCTGTGAGTGTTTCTGGAAAGGGGTCCTGATCCAGACGCCAAGAGAGGGTTCTTGGACCTTGCACAGAAAAGAATTTGGGGCGAGTCCATAGAGTAAAATGAAAGCAAGTTTTTTAAGAAAATACAGGAATAAAAGAATGGCTGTTCTACAGGCAGAGCAGTGGTATGGGCCGCCCAGCTGCTCATCCTTATCATTACTTCTTGATTATATGCTAAACAAGGGATGGATTATTCATAGTTTTTCCCGGAAAGCGGTAGGCAATGACTAGAACTGAGGGTTTCTCCCCATTTCCGACCATATAGCGTAACTTCCGGGTGTTGCTACAGCATTTGTAAACTGTCATGGCGCTGGTGAGAGTGCTGTTGAGCATGCAAGTGCTTTATAATTAGCATATAGTGAAGAGTGAGGATGACCAGAGATCACTCTCATTGCCATCTTGGTTTTGGTGGGTTTTGGCCGACTTCTTTGCCACTTGCTATTTTATTTTCTAGGTCTTTGTGCCCCGTATTGTGTGCTGAACTCCTGTCTCATCCTGTGACTAAGATTGCCTAACCTTCTGGGAATGCAGCCCAGTAGATCTCAGCCTTACTTTACCTAACCCCTTTTCAAGATGGAGTCACTCTGGTTCAAACACCTCTGACATTCGCAGTGGAATCCATTAAAAGATGTTAAGGAGATATGATTATATTTCTAAATTGTCACTCCAGCATCCCCTACGCCAGACATTATGCCAGTCTCTATCCATACAGTATCTCATTTAATCCTCCCGTCATTAATCTCATTTTACCAATGAGTAAACTTGAAGCAAATGAGTGACTTTCTCAAGGCTACCTACTTACGCCTTACCAGGGCCAGGATTCAAACCTAGACTTGTTCAGCGACAGAACACACACTTAACCATTACCCACTCTTCTCTCTGGTCCCCAGCAAAAAGTCTATAGTTTGCAGCCAAACCTCATTCTCTAATTCCAACTACCTAATAGTTTGCTCTTAATAGTTACTTTAAGAGGAAAAGCTTAATTCTCACAACATTTGTCAACACTCAGTCTGTTTGAATGGGTATAATTTAAAAAATAATTTACTTCCACTGAAGGAAAGAAAGGACTGTCTTGAGAAGTAAGAAACTTGAAGATCTTTAAGAGTATTAATATTAAGGTTGGCAAATCCTTTGAGAAGAGTTTCTTTCTGCCTATTGTACCATTTAAAAATAATCGGCCAGGAGCAATGGCTCATGCGTGTCCCAGCACTTTTGGAGGCTGAGGCAGGAGGATTGCTTGAGCTGAGGAGTTCGAGACCAGCCTGTGCAACATGAGGAGACCCCGTCTCTACAAAATTTTTATTTTTAATTAGGTAGGTGTGGTGATGCTCACTTGTAATCCCAGCTCCTTTGGAGACTGAGGTGAGGATTGCTTCAGTACTGGAGTTCAAGACCGTAGTAAGCTATGATCACACTATTGCACTCGCACTTGAGCCACAGGGTAAGACCTTGTTGCAATCAATCATTCAGTCAACAATCATTGTGTCATGTCTGCCTGCCTGTTGAAAAAGCCTTTTAGATGAAAGTCAATCTTCGGTTTTGTTGTTGCCAGACTGGCCCCTTCATGTAATTTTTTTTTTTTTTTTTTAAAGAAACAGGGTCTTGTTGGCCGGGTGTGGTGGCTTATGCCTGTAATCTCAGTACTTTGGGAAGCCAAGGCGGACAGATCACAGGATCAGGAGATGAAGACCATCCTGGCTAACACAGTGAAACCCCGTCTCTACTAAAAATACAAAAATTAGCCAGGCGTGGTGGCGGGCACCTGTAGTCCCAGCTGCTTGGGAGGCTGAGGCAGGAGAATGGCGTGAACCCGGGAGGTGGAGCTTGCAGTGAGCTGAGACTGCACCACTGCACTCCAGCCTGGGTGACAGAGCAAGACTGTCTCAAAAAAAAAAAAAAAAGGAAGAAAAGAAACAGGGTGTTGTTCTGTTACCCAGGTTGGACTGCAGTGATGCAATCATATCTCACTGCAGTCTCAAACTCCTGGGCTCAAACAGTCCTCCCACTTCACCCTCCCAAGTAGTTGGGACTAAAGGTAAATACCACCATGCCTAGCTGTTTTTTTTGTATTTTTTGGAGAGATGGGGTCTTAACTGAGTTGCCCAGGGTGGTCTCATACTCCTGTGCTCAAGCGATCCCACTGCCTCTGCCTCCCAAAGTGCTGAGATGGCAGGTGCGAGTCACCATGCTCAGCCTCTTTGACATAATTTTTGCAAATCAATGAATTGGACTTGACATCTAGGTGACTGTGGATACAGAACTGATGTATTAACCTTTGACATGGCTGCAACCTGCTGAGTAAAGGCTGATCCCTTGACTGGACCTGTTATACATCACTGTCCACTTGATTAGGTGCAAGGAACTTTGTTGCAGAGATTTTAAAGTGGAATCAGACACCCAGGTAACATACTTCTGACCACCTTAATGTGTCATAGCTTCAAACACATTTAACCAAAGCCCCTCTCCCATGTACGAGGACCCTGCTTACCTGTTAGCTGCGTGTGTCACCCTTCTTTAGTGTCTCATGGTAGAAATAATTCAGTTTTAAAATTAACTTTTAGCTGGACGCAGTGGCTCATGCCTGTAATCCCAACGCTTTGTGAGGCAGAGGCAGGCAGATTGGTTGAGGTCAAGAGTTCGAGACCAGCCTGGCCAGCATGGTGAAACCCTTTCTTTGCTTAAAAAAAAAAAAAAAAAAAAAAATTTAACTGGATTTGGTGGCGCATGCGTGTAATTGCAGCTACTCGGGAGGCTGAGGCAAGAGAATCACTTGAACCCAGGAGGAGGTTGCAGTGAGCTGAGATTGCACCACTGCACTCCAGCCTGGGCGACAGAGCCAAACTCTGTCTCAAAGAAAAAAAAAACAAACAAAAAAAACTACCAACAGTCTACATGAAGGTTGTGTGTGTTAAGTACATCTGTTAAACTTCTAAGTTTCTGACAAAAACCTTATTAACTATAACTCAAGAATTCATGAAGTCCCCTGTGAATGTGACTCATATCAGACAGGAGATCCCAAGCCCTTCATGAAGGCTTGCCTCATACCCTGTTCCTGGGCCATTGCCCAAAAATCTACTGTGTCTCTCTGTTGGGCTTCAGAATGAGATGATCTGGTTTTAAACGCAGGCCTGCCATCCTCAAGCTAAATGAGCATGGGTTAGTGGCTAAACTTTTTGTGTCTGCTCTCCTATATCTCACATGGGCATAAAACTATCTTAGATGTCATGATGTAATTGCATTATTGTTTCAGATTTTCCACCCCTCCCTCTATGGAAGCCCTTTTCTAGGTTCCTCTGGTAGAGTACCAGGCATATGGCTTCCTGCCACAGGGATCCTGCTGTTGGTCCTGTGACAGTTTGGCCAACGAAATGTTAGCAGACATGATACAAGCAGAGGCTTTAGAAGTAGGTGCTTGTGTAGCTGGATTCACCTGTGTGTGCGTCTTTCATTACTATGAGAATCATGGTTTCTAAATGGGTGTGACATACGGAGCTCACCTCACCCATCCCACAAGTGGGACTTAAACCAAGTTTAGAAGAAATGAACTTCATCTGACGTACAGATCCATGAGTGGCCAAAAAGAAAAAAAAAATATTATTGAATGCCAGTGAGAGTTTTATGAGTGAGTAAATGCCAGTGAGGTTTGTTATGTAGTTACTAAAGTGGCAATAATACAAGCTGTTGTAAGATTTAAACTCTAGTTCCCTTTTTTCTTCTAAAGTTGCTATGGCACTCTCATTTAACCTCTAGTAGGGCATGTATCACTCAGCACCTGTGATGAATAGCTGCTATTATTCATTTTTCCCCCCTTCTTCTGGTAAAGCCCCTTAGTGTTTCTCTAGAGAAGTCCTCTCTTCCACCCTCAGTCTGTGTCATCAGATAGAAAAAGCCCCAAGCTTCACAAGGGGGAGTGTGATCGAGGCCTGGCCACTGATGCCATTTCATCCTCCTGGCCTCCCTGACTGGTCCGTGCCTGGGCATATCGCCCAACTCAGTCCAATGAGATTAAATCTCAGGAATTTACATGGAATTCTTTGGAAAGAGACTCGATTTCCTCTGGGCATGCTGAACTGATAGAATGAAGTCGAAATTTTGGTAGCCACCTCTCCATGGGTTGAAAGGCACCTGTCTGAGAATCAAACTTGACACAGAGGAAAATAAAGGTAAGTAACAGAGATGGACTATCAACGGCATTGTATAAGCGACTTGAATGAGTTCTGTCTGAATCCAAACACCACAGACTTCCGGTTTCAGGATCCAACAATTTCCATGTGGGCTATGGCAGTTTGTATCATATATTTGACCCCTGTGAGCCTTGTACACTGGAGTGTCCTAACATTCTGTTTATTTCCGTATAGAAATCGTCTTCATTCCTGTGGTTGGCAATCCTGCATCATTTAACTTTGTGTCTCCCAGTGGAAATGGCATAGTCCCTTGTACATAGCAGGTGCTCACTTAGGTTTGAATTATTGCTTAGATGAATAAATAATATTGGTCTACAGTGAACACACACACACATCCTTTAACATGGCTGTAGAGTTTAAGTTGCAAAAGGTCATCTTCAGAAACCAAAAGGTAGGCCGGGCATGGTGGCTGAGGCCAGTACTTAGGGAGGCCCAGGCGGGCGGATCACCTGAGGTCGGGAGTTTGAGACCAGCCTGACCAGCATGGAGAAAACCCATCTCTACTAAAAATACAAAATTAGCCGGGCCTGTTGGCGTGTATGCCTGTAATCCCAGCTACTCGGGAGGCTGAGGCAGGAGAATTGCTTGAACCTGGGAAGCGGAGGTTGCAGTGAGCCAGGATCAAGGCATTGCATTCCAGCCTGGGCAACAAGAGTGAAACTCTGACTCAAAAAAAAAAAAAAAAAAAA
The DNA here is from genome assembly GCF_000001405.40 of Homo sapiens. NCBI lineage: Eukaryota > Metazoa > Chordata > Mammalia > Primates > Hominidae > Homo > Homo sapiens. The sequence continues at coordinate 6,819,726 of NC_000016.10, forward strand.
AAAAAATAACAACACCAAAAGGTATATAGTATAACAGGTATTAAAATCTATTTCAAAGAAAGGAACTTGTTGATTACGACACTGGTAATTTACAGAAGAGCAAGCATTTGAATCCAGCCCTCTGATTCCAGTGTAACCTACAATGTAAGTGCTTTCCTCAAGCATACCTTACAGAGCTCTGCACATCAGGGAGACTGTTCCTGCAGAGGTGATGTCATCTGGTATTTTCACTCATCCTCTGGCTGTGTCCCCACCCAAATCACATCTTGAATTGTAGTTCCCATAATCCCCATATGTCATGGGAGGCACCCAATAGGAAGTAAAATTGAATCGTGGGGCTTGATTTTTCCTTTCCTTTTCTCATAATAGTGAGTAAGTCTCATGAAATCTGATGGTTTTATAAAGGACACACTGTCTCTTGCCTGCCGCCATATAAGACATACCTTTGCTTCTCCTTCACCTTCCATCGTGATTGTGAGGCCTCCCCAGCCATGTGCAACTGTGAGTCGATTAAACCTTTTCTTCTTTATAAATTGTCCAGTCTCAGGTATTTCTTCATAGCATTATGAAAATAGACTAATACGTCCTCTTAATCATCAAATAATCTTTTGATTCCCTAATGGATAGATAGGATTGTTCAGGTAACTGTGATAGGCCCAACACAGTGGCTCCTATAATCCCAGCATTTTGGGAGGCTGGGGAGGAAAAATCAGTTGAGGCCAGGAGTTCGACACCAGCATGGGAAAGATAGAAAAACCGTCTCTACAGAAAAAGTTTTTAAAAAGTAACTGGGTATGGTGGCGTGCACCTATAGTCTCAGCTACTTGGGATGGTGAGGCAGGAAGATTTTTTGAGCCCGGGAGTTAGAGGCTGCTGCAAGCCATGATCACACTACTACAGTCCAGCCTGAGTGACAGAGCAAGACCCTGTCTCCAAAAAAAAAACAAGCAAAACAAACAAACAAAAACCGAAAACTGCAGTGCATTCTCATTCTTAGAAGATTTTTTAAGAGCCTCTATAGGCCTCAAATCGATGCTAAGTCAGAGACTTATTACTGCAAAAGGCCTGTGAATGAGCACAGATAAATGGACCATTGGTACTTCCAAAGAAGCCATGTAGAAGTTAATTATTTTTGACCCATAGTGTTGCTGTTTTTCATCCTTTGTCATCCTTAGCAGTTTGGACCATACATTTCATGCACAATGGTTGAATGATAATTAAAGCTACCAGTTATTGAATTTGTATTATGTGTTATATACAGTTACTTGTAAGGGAGTCTTAGGGTTATTATCACTTAATTCTTAACCCTACAAAACAGATTCCTATATATTTCCAGTGTGAGAAACACATCTCAGAAATGTTAAAGTATCAAGCCACTACACCATTAAAAAACAATAGTGATGAGATTCAGTGCCAGGTTTATCTGCCCATGTTCATGATCTCTTTGCTGGAAGGCACTCCTGGATTTGGCTAGAAGTCCAGTCATGGCCTCTACCCTTGTAGCTGTTTTAAATATGGTGTCTCTTTACATCTAACCAGGGCTATCACCTGGGTCTGTGGTGCTTTCCTCTCTTCCCTATTACTAAGTTTTGCTACCTGACATGTTTTGTCCCCAAATTGGAAAACTAGTCTAGTCTTTGATACTGTTTTATTTTAAAAAATTTCATTGAGGTGTATTCCACATAACTGATATCAATTATTTTTAAGTGAACAATTCAGTGGCACATAGTGCATTAATGTTGTGCAACTACCACCTTTATCTAGTTCCAAAACATTTTCATTATCCCAAAAAGAAATCCCATGCCTATTAATCAGATGCTTTTCATTTCTCTCTCCCCCCAACCGCTGGTAACCACTGGTCGGTCTGTCACAATGGATGTGTCCGTTTATGATATCTTACATAAATCGTACAACACGTGGCCTTTTTCATCTGACTTCTTTCAGCATAATGTTTGCAAGATTAATTCACATGATAGCCTGTATCAGTGCTTCATCAATTTTTATGGCTGAATAATATTCCACTGTAGAAATGAACCAATTTTTTCATTGATAGACATTTGGGTTGTTTCCATTTTCTAGCTGTTGTGAATGATGCTGTTATGAACATGAAGGTGCAGGCACTTGTCTGTTTTCAATTTTTGTGGGTATATACCTAGGCATGAAATTGCTAGGTCATATGGTTTAACCCTTTGAGGAAACTCTGTTTTTCACAGCTCTAGTTTCTGATGTGATTGCCTCTACTGTTTGGGGATGGATGATACTTCGCTGACATACCTTCTACATGACCAAATAGGGAGCATGGTTGTATAGACTTGACAAGTGATCATCATACTGAGACTACTGCCAGTGAAATGGTTGCGTGTGATTTTTCTGCAGCTACTGGGGGAGACAGACTGAGAAAGGATACAGGGAAGCAAAACGGGAGCTCGTGTGCCAAGTCGAGGCATTGTAAGAGGGGAGAATGATGGATGGTTGGATGACAGTCAGTTTGAAATGCTGGTATGGCAGATTTCCCTTGAGTATCAATGCTCAGTAGTCCCACTTTCTGCCTTTTCCATTCTATCACCATTATTCTTTGTTGGACATGCACATTCTTCAATGCCTGTTGACTCTCAGCCATTCTGTGGTCTGTTACTGTCACTTGCAAGAATTTGGCTGTCAGGGGAGATGCCAGCAAGTCTTTTAAAAGCCACTGCAAACTTTCATTGCTAACTTGTAACTTGGAGGAACTTTCAGAGAAAGGGTTATAAATAAAACACATGCATCAATCTGAGTTTCACAACAGGAATGCAATTCCACTTCGTGGCTAGAGATAAAACATGTCTTGCCGTGCACAGTGAGCTCTTCGCCGTGCTTGCATTTTATTTCCCATCACAATCTAAGTTATGGCAGATGAAGCTGCTCATAAGGTATGAGGTTAGACAACCCCATGCTAATTCACTTTTACACGCTATGGTGTGTTTTTAAAGATCCAAGCTCTGCTTTCTTCAGCAACTCAGGCTTGAAGGAAGGGAGAGGGGTGGAAAAGAACCCAGAAGAACCTATGGGACAAGCGCGAGTATGGTCTGACTCTCCAACCAGGTTAAGCCTTTTGAGAGCAATAGCTGAATCTTAGATCTCTTTGTGCCTTAAAATGCCTGGAACAGTGATTCACATAAAGGGCATGCATTAATATTAACAAGTGCGTGCTGCTGCAGCAGAGGATAGTTCTGATAACCATTAGAGTTCATGGACAAAAAACGATGATCCCTAACAGCTTCTCAACGTGTAGATACTTTGCTTAGTACTGTATGTGCATTATTCTGATGTCATGTTTGTTATTGGCATGTGTGTTGAATACAATTATTTCCATTTTACAGATGGGAGACTGAGCATCAGAGGGTCATAGCCATTTTATGAAGCCTGTATTTGATAGAAGCCAGGACCATCTCAGCCCCAAAGTGATTAGGGAGCCTGTGTTCCTTCTTAAGCATTAAGCATTCTACTTCACTGACCTCTTGGCCCATCTGAAATTGTTTTGTTTTCTTTTTTTTTTTTCTTTTTTTTCCCCAGAAAGAGTCTTGCTCTGTCACCGTGGCTGGAGTGCAATGGCATGATCTTGACTCACTGCAACCTCCACCTCTTGGATTCAAGTGATTCTCCTGCCTCAGCCTCCCAAGTAGCTAGTATTATATATGTGCGCCACCACACCTGGCTAATTTTTGTATTTTTAATAGAGATGGGGTTTTGCCATGTTGGCCACGCTAGTCTCAAACTACTGGTCTCAGGTCATCTGTATGCCTCAGTCTCCCAAAGTGCTGGTATTACAGGAGGGAGCCACTGTGTCTGGCCACCACATGAAATTCTTATAAGGGAGTATATTATCTTCTTCCTTCCTTGAATATTCCACCAGTTTTCCTCCCTTGATTTTGAATCTCCCTATTCTTGATTTCTTAGGGTCAGTGGAAATCATTCTTCTTCCCTTTTTCATTCATTTGTTCATTCATTCATTCAATATTTACCACCAATTGAAATTTTGAATGTTAAATATCAGCCACTGTTCTAGTTGTTGCAGATAGGAAAACTAATAATAGGAGATTCCTACCTCTGGGGACCTAGCCAGGTAATCAGAGAAATAGAGGGCTCTGTGCTGTGGGCTGGGGTTGAGGGGATTACAGATTGCTGCAAAAAGGAGCATGCTGGAGTTACACGTAAGAAATCAGTGTAAGAAACGGTGTCCTGGAAGAGGTGGCATCTGGTCCAAATCTTGAAGGATGGGTATGAGCTGGCCCCATGAATGAAAGTGTGGAGAAAGTGTAGAGTTCTCCATTATCTGGATTTCCATATCTTTGTCTACACCTTGTATTTTGTAGTAATGGAATGGTGAAGAGGAGTTTCCAGAATGTAAATAGTTATTTGGCTAGGCGCTGTTGCTGGCGCCTGTAATCCCAGCACTTTGGGAGGCCAGGGCGGGTGGATCACCTGAGGTCAGGAGTTCGAGACCAGTCTGGCCAACATGGCGAAACTCCATCTCCACTAAAAATACAAAAATTAGCCAGATGTGGTGGTTGGTACCTGTAATCCCGGCTACTCATGGAGGCTGCGGTAGGAGAGTCACTTGAACCAGAGAGGCACAGGTTGCATTGAGCTGAGATCATGCTACAGCATGCTCCAATCTGGGCAACAGAGCGAGATTCCATGTCAAAGACTGTAAACAGTTATCTTACTGTCAAGGCAACTCAAGATGTTCTATTGCTTTAAATAGAAAATGGTAGTGGTGTTTTGTAGTAAATTCTATATTTCATTTTTTAAAAATTAACATGTTGAGTATATCTCCTATTTTTCTTAATAATAATCATAATAAATACTAATACAAGTCTGTAAGTTAAAGGTGTGCTGTTTTGTCAACAGATTACTCTGAAGAGAAAATCCATTCCTTATCAAAAGAGGTTCTTGGATTCATCACTCACTACCTTGAAATAATAATGTTTTTCTTGTATATACTCTCTGTTTTACTTTTCTTTGAAAAAGTCCAAAAGCTTTCTTTAAAAACTTTTCTGGAAGAAAACATTTAAAAGGAATTAAATATATTTTTAAATTTGTAATAACATGTCAAAGATAATACATGTGGATTGGAAAGAAACACTATTAACATTTCAAAAGTGAAATAATTGAAAGTGGTATTGTTGGGTTCCTGCCATCTTCCCTAGAGGCAACCATTGGTACATGATTAAGTGCATCCTTCTACACTGAGGATTTCTTTTTTCTTTCTTTCTTGGTTTTTTTTTTTTTTTTTTTTTTTTTTTTTTTGAGACGGCGTCTGGCTCTGTCACCCAGGCTGGAATGCAGTGGCATGATCTTTGCTCACTGCAACCCCTGTCACCCTGGTTCAAACAATTCTCCTGCCTCAGCCTCCCAAGTAGCTAGGATTAACAACCTCACTCAGCACCCTTGGCGTTGCTGGTCAGATGATCCTTTCTTGTGGGGGGGCTGACGTGTTTTGGGAGGCTGCTTAGCAATTAACCTCACTGCCCTCTAGCTACTAGATACCAATGCCACACCCCTTCCCTACTCTAGATGCCAAAAATGTCTGTAGATATTGCCCATGTTCCCCTGGGGACAAAAATGGCTGGTGTTGAGAATCAGTCTTCTAGATATTTTTAAATACACACTTAAAATTCACGAATTAACGGAAAAGCCAGAGATTATTCAGCAAGGCAGGGATGATTTGAAAAGGGAAAGGAAAAATAACGACAGGAAAAGGGAGTTGTGTGTTTAGAACAAACAAGCTGAGAACACAAAATGAATCTCACTTTTTGAACAGTCTTTTGATATTGAAGGTCCAGGTACCTACGCACGTGTGAAGCATTTTTGAGTTCCATTTTCTCTTCCTTTTAGAAACTGCAACATCCTCTCCCTGGGAGTGGGTATTTATTCACCGCTTCACTGCAGAAAGCAGGAGTCTTGGATAGGTAACACAAGGAAAGAACCTAGTAGCAGATGAAGAGGAAAGGGAGGGAGGCAGGGCAGTCGATGCCAGGGACACGTGTAACGGGGTCCTGAAGACACGCAGCTAATGAAAGGTAAGGGTGGAGACAGAGGCAGCGATCCTGCACAGGAACTTGCATCTTCCATCCGGAAGGAGGAATGAATATCCTTGGGGAGCCTTCTGATGTAGGTGGCAGCAAGACTTTAGGAATCGTGTGACTTTAAATTCAAATCCTGGTTGTACCGCAGGGTGCTCATCCTTTAACGATACGAGTTTCCATGTCTGCAAAAATGTTGAACCTTCTTTACATTTTGGGTAGGCCGACCACATCGTGGTGATGTGCAGAGGTGGTCCACGTTCATTGCCCAGGTCCCCCACGTTCATTGCCCAGGTCTCCCGCTAGCTGTTTATTTCATCTTGGTCATGCCGTCTCACTTCTCCCTACCCCAGTTTTCTCATCTGGAGAAGACAGGACTCATCGTCGCCACGTAGGTTGTATGTATTGAGTCAGTCGACGCATGTAAGAGCTTAGAACAGACTGAGTGTGGTGCCTTGTACCTGTAATCCCAGCACTTTGGGGAGGCCGAAGCGAGAAAATCGTTTGAGTCCAGGAGTTCAAGACCAGCCTAGGCAACATGGGGAGACCCCCTTCTTATTTACAGAAAAAGGGAGGGGTGCTTAGAACACTGCCTGGTACATAGTAAATACTCCAGAGTTGCTCGCTGGGATCATTAGCACTCAAGTAATTCCCATGGGTTGTTAAGAGGCTTAGAGATGAGAAAATAACCTAGAACAGTGCCTGGTATACAATAAGCGTTCCATAAGTGGCAGTGTGGGCACAGTCTTCCGGGCATACGTGCTTGCGGGCATGCGTGCTCTCACGTGCTCTATTCCTCCTCTCTTTGGTCCCTCTCCCTCTTGACATTTTCCTTTCTTTTTTTTAAAAACCTTCCTTTTTTTCTTTGTTTGCTACCAGCCTAAGAGCTCAGGAGAGAGGACTAACCCTAAGACCAGGTGATTTATTTTTCTCACGCTCATTTCTCTTTAATAATTATCATATTGACTCTGAATTTATTATACTACAAGAATGACTTTATGTGAAATCTCATGAATTTAAACATTAATGTAAGATAAATTAATTTTAAATTGAAATCCTCAAACGCAGTTGGATGTGTTTCCGTATGATGAATAAGAAATTTTCCGAATAAAATCTGAATCTCTGATGTTCCATTTTTTGTGCAAATGGAAGAAATAGGTGAGGATATTTGACAAGGTTAAAATATGATTGCACTGCAATAGATAGGCCATGCTGTAAACTAACTTTTTAGTCTGGGGAGAAAGCAGTTTGGGGGCAGGCTTTGGTGGATAAAAAGTGAAGATTTCTTTGCACATACTTACCGAGTCTCTTAGTGTCCTTTAATCTAACACCAGTGAATATAAGATATACCATCCTAAAGAGGACACTATTTTTTACATTTTTAAAAATAAATCCATTGTATTAGAGGTGTGTTTTTTTTTTTCTTCAACTACTTTAATCTCATTTTCTCCTAAAGTTCTTCTCTTCAATATGATCTGCAAAGGGTTGAAAGTGCTGTCCTCCAAACCAGGCGTAAGAAAGTGGTTACAGATAAAGCAAGTAAATCCATTAAAGAAGAAATGGGAAGATGTGTTGTGTGCCTTATCTGACCCAGCATTATCGCTGGAGGGGAAGTGCTTATAGGGAAGGAAGAGAAGTTTGGTCAATTGATGCAGTCTCAGTATGATGACAGCTGGTGACTTCCTGAGGGTTATTCATCACACTTCAGCAGGGTGATGTTTTCAAAGCCTGAGTGTGACCATGTCACTCCTCTGTTCTCCAGCGCTTTCAAAATAAAACTGAAATCCGTCTCAGAGGGCCAGTCTCAGAGTATCCCCTGCCAGCCCCATCCTTCACTGCTCAGCAGTCACCTCCTTCCCCCTCCTCACCCTTTTGAGGTCTCTTCTGATCCTTCAGGGGCCAGCTTCTCTCCGTCCCATGGTTGTTTGCCCATGCTGATCCCCTACATGGATCTCCGGTCACCTCCATCACTCTTACCTGGTTAGTCTTTCCCTGGCCTTTATCCCAGGTCAGCTTCGCTTCTGCAGGAATGCCTGCCTTGAAACCTCAGGTCCTTCTGTTCCCCCTCTTAGAGCACTGGGCTATTCTCCTGGGAGGCAGTAATTCCAGTAGTAATTTGCATACATTTGTAAGCAGTTTTGATTAATGCCTGTTGTTTCCACTAGACTCTATGCTCTGTAGGGGACAAATCTTGTCTGCTTTTTGCTCATCAATTTTTCCCCAGCACAGAGCTCAATACTGGCACTGGTAAACCCTTGAGAAAATGATTAAAAGCCTCTAAGATGCATGCAGTTATGAAGAACCAACAGAAGGTACAGGTGGCATGGGACAGCAGTCAGGAAGCAATTTGGCTTAAGGAGGAAGGCCAGTGACTCACAGATGGAGTCTCAGCACTTCCCTTGCCCGTAGAAGTGAGAAACAATACAGGTAGTCACAGCATAGTAAAAATTTCAGGCCAGGCACAGTGGCTCACAGCTGTAATCCCAGCACTTTGGGAGGCTGATGTGGGTGGGTCACAAGGTGAAGAGATCAGGAGCATCGTGGCCAACATGATGAAACCCCATCTCTACTCAAAATACAAAAATTAACTGGGCATGGTGACACAGGCCTTTAGACCCAGCTACTCAGGAGACTGAGGCAGGAGAATCACTTGAACCCAGGAGGAAGAGGTTGCAGTCAGTCGACATCACGCCATTGCACTCCAGCCTGGCAACAGAGCGAGACGTGTCTTTAAAAAAAAAAAAAATCAGATAGCAGTTTCATATGACTAGAGGCTGTGGGCTGATCAGATCCTGAAAAACCGGGCATGGACCAAGCTGGCTAAGACCAAGTGGACCCAACATGGTGCTGAATTTGACCTAGGATTCACCTAGGACCTCATGATGTGTTTGTTAACATCCTAAGTCACTGTGACTTGGGATGTTAATGAGTGACTTACCATGTTAATGAGCATATCACGAGGTCCTAGGTGACCAGCACCATGAATTCCGAGAATACCTACGTTTGGTGTAAAAATGGATGGCATCACAATTCTAAGAAATTTCCACCCTTTCCCAGGAATTTTCATAAGTATTCCACCCCTTGGCTAAAGAAACACATAAAGGTAGCAGCCCCAAATCCCCTTAGGCATGGTGCTCTCTTGAGTCCGCCTACACTCCCCCTTTCTTGAGTGTGTACTTTTCCCGTTGTTATAAATCTCTGTACTTCCACTGTTGCCTGACTCATCCTTGAATTCCTTCTTGAGACGGTGTCAAGAGCCTGGACACCTGCCGGGATCAGGGTCCCACCAGCATTTGGGGACCTCCCCAAGCCCACTAGTATCAGTAGAGTCCCTATAGGTAATTGTCTAATAAGTGGAAGGTGGGTGTAGAAGTTTCAAGAAACCAAAGAAATGTCAGATGTGTCATTTGACCCAAAAGAAAAGCATTTTAAAGGAAGTTAATGAAATGCAGTCAGAAAAAAAAAAAAAATAGCATAAAAGGAGAAATCTGAGAAGTTCTACTTTTAGGAATTTAATCTACATAAATACATATATAAGGAGGCAAGAATATGTGAGGAAGTAAATTCAATGTGTACACACACATACATACACAGACACACATAGATATATAGAACGATTGTAAAAGGCTATTTGTAGATTTCTTGGGTAAGTTTTGGGTCTGTCCATGCAATGAAATACCACTCAACCATTAAAAAAAAAAAAAACAAAAAAACGTTAACTTATAGGTACTTAGTATGACAAAATAAGTACCATTAGTTAAACAAAAACAGGTATTTGCATAATCATGTGAGTAATATGAATGTATTTTCTTTTTTCTTTTGTTTTTTTAAGACGGAGTCTCGCTCTGTCACCCATACGGCAGTGCAGGGGCGTGATCTTGGCTCACTACAACCTCCGTCTCCTGGGTTCAAGAGATTCTTCTGTCTCAGCCTCCTGAGTAGCTGGAATTACAGGCACCTGCCACAACACCCAGCTAATTTTTGCATTTGTAGTAGAAATAGGATTTCGCCACGTTGGCCAGGCTGGTATCGAATTCTTGACCTTAGGAGATCTGCCTGCCTTGGCCTCCCAAAGTGCTGGGATTACAGGTGTAAACCACCATGCCCAGCCCTTTATTTTTATTTTATTTTTTTTATTTTTTTGAGATGGAGTTTTGCTCTTGTTGCCCAGGCTGGAGTGCAGTGGTGCAGTCTCAGCTCTCTGCCACCTCCGCCTTCTGGGTTCAAGTGATTCTCATGCCTCAGCCTCCCAAGTAACTAGGATTACAGGCACACACCACCAAGCCTGGCTAATTTTTGTATTTTTAATGGAGACAAGGTTTTACCATGTTGGCCAGGCTGGTCTTGAATTCCTGACCTCAGGTGATCTGCCCACCTAAGCCTCCCAAAGTGCTGGGATTACAGGTGTGAGCCACCATGCCTGGCTGAATGTATTTTCTTAATGTGTGTGAAGACATCAGTATCTAAGAAAAGATTGTGCATTCTGATATACACAACAGGGAAAGTCTAAAATAATACAGAACTATTATTCCTGGTTAGTTCCTAACATTGTTTCATAAGAAAATATTCCACTTTTTTTTTCCAGTTTATCTTTGAATTTTACTAACGGGAAGTAATAATAGATCAATGAAGAAAAATGTCACAGGGACCGTAAGAGGAAGACCTTAGAAAAATAAGCAGGATAAAAGCATCCTCTATGCCAGGAGTTCTCAACTGAGACTGTTTTGTTCCCCCAGGGGACAGCTGGCAATATCTGGAGGCATTCTGGTTTGTCAGAATGGGGTGGGGAAATTGATGTTGACATCTAGTTGGTAGAGGCCAAGGGTTCTGCTAAACATACCACAGTATATAGAACAGCTCTTACACAAAGACTTCCCCAAGCCAAAATAGCAACAGTGTCTTGGTTAAGAAACGTTGCTCTATCATGGTTAAAATATGGTTCTCTACTCTTTGCATTCTGGTAATTTTAGGAGGATGACGTCCTCTGTTGAGATGGTAAGGGGTCGAGAGAGTCATCCAGATAAAATCGGTGTTGACTTTACAATATCTGAATCACTCATAAAATTATTCAAGATAGTAACTCTCCCACCTCCTGGTCAGGTTGACATTTCAGCAACCAGGTAGAATTGGTCATATAGCCTGTTGTGAATCCATGGATATTTTATTTAATTGCGATATGTAAAGTTCTCCAAATGTGGATGCCATAGAACCTTCGGATTTACCATCTAAGCCTTTTCCCAATTGATCTCACTCTTTTTGCTCTAATCAAATGTACCTCAACCTCCATCTAAAGTAAAGCTGGATAGATTCATACTACTCCATTATCACTAAGGTTCATTTTATTTGCAAGCGGTTTTGCTCATTATAATTTCATTAGCATATTTGGAGGTGGGGAATGAGAGAGGAGACAACACAGCTTAGTCTTACCTTAAACCTTGGCTTGACTTGGTCGAATTTTAACTCTATTCTTGGCTCACCCAGGTCTTATAGTCCAAGATGTAAATTTACAGAAACAACTTCTTGGACTCTCCTGTTTTTTCCAATGTCTTATTAGATGATACGTATTTTCTAGATTTTACTGAGTTAACATATTTTAGTTGTGTTACCTATGCAAAAAACAGGAATACTCTGAAACATATTTAACCACATAATTATACCTCAGCAAACCCTCCAACCAAATGCCCATTATATATCATTTACTTAGCCTAATATATTTCCCTTTTTGAATATAAGAGATTTCACCTCTGAACATTACATCTAAAGATGGGCAACTGTTTAATTATTTGAGTAACTCAAAAATATTTTCAACAAGAGCCAGGGCTGTGGGAAGTGTCCTCAAATGGAAGGGTTTTAAGCATTTTTTTTAATACAAAGATGATAACTTGCAACCAGTTCTATTATTTTTAACTCTTTGCCCCTTCCTCCATCTCTTGGGTTTGAGAAGAGCTGGATCTTTGGGCAATTATTTATTCCATTTCCACATCTTTGGGAAGGAGGGACAGTGGGAAGAACAAGACCCAGCACTTGGGGAATTTTTATGATTATCTCCAGCTGTGAATGCTAGGGAGCATCATTTATGCAGTGAAAGAAGTAGGAAAAGCAATGTCTTACTTCTGACGAAGAACTTACAGTTCTCTCTAAAGGGGTGGAATAAAATTGCTATTGCAAAAACGGGAAGATGTTGCTAATGGGAATATACCGAATGGTATCACTAATTAAATAAAGTACTTTGGAATTCATTGACAGCCTGCACTTAAGAATATAATTGCATATTAATCAACCATTTGTAGACAAAACTGAATGCTATTTATTATGTTAGGATAAAACTTTTTCCTGATATTTCAAAGCCTGCGATTCAACTTTGTTCCTAAATTCATCTTCAGAAATGAATACACTGTATTTGTATGTGAGGAGCCCAAGTGAATAAATAAGCAGGAGTTTCTGAAGGGAACAACACAGTGGGATTTATCTTGAAAAGAGCAATTGCTGACATATGTCACATGTCATTACCAGAGAGTTGGAGACAGTGTTACTCATTATGTGGTTACAGAGTGTTCTAAATTAGAGAAATGGATTATTGGTAGTGGATGATTTCCCCAGATTGCTACTTAATAGTGACTGAGGGGTCTGCATTACTCATATTTGCGATGAAAATGGTGCCAAAACCCAGCAGTGGTTGACTGAAATGAAATGTAACACCTATTGGGTATTATCTTGAGATGCTGCCTAATTGTATGCCTCTTGCTTAGTATGAATGTCTTGGGGTCTCAGGGGCTGGGTGCTTGCAGCAGCCGCAGACGGAAAGTGAAGGTTTCTAAGTTATTTACCTTTTTGTTGCTTCCTGCCTCCTTGCTGCCATGCCTGTGCACTTCAGTAATTACTTTACCCACTCAAAATAAGTTTCTCCACTTGCCCTTTTTCCATTACTGGGAAGGGTCTATCTTTGCAGCTCTCTGTAACTGTCCCTACCTGTTTGAGCTGCCAGGCTTGTGCTCCTAGGTGAGCAGCCCAGCTACTGTTTTCATTCATTTATTGATTAAATAGTTAAGAATCCCAACTACGTATCAAAGCCTGTGCTAGACCTTGGTTCTGGATTGACAGGCGAACTAGTGTATCTGCATTTCTGCAGCTTTCAATCTCTGGGGAGACAGATATTAAAAATACAGTCACACAAATTGATATGTAACTCCTGCTCCTCATTTACCACTAATGTTCTAACTCAGCACTAGTCCTACAGGCCTCTTTTCTCTTATTCAAATATTTCAGGCTCTTTTCCACCTCATGGTCTTTGAACTCACTCCTCTTTCTGGAAGGCTTTTTCTGTGGCACTTTCCTTTTTTTTCAAGTCTTGTATTTTATTTTATTTTATTTTATTTTTATTTATTTATTTACTGAGACGGGGTCTTTTTCTGTCACCCAGGGTGGAGTGCAGTGGTAAAATCTCGGCTCATTACAACCTCCGCCTCCCAGATTGAAGAGATTCTCCTGCCTCAGCCTCCTGAGTACCTGCGACTATAGGCTCCCAACACCATGCCTGGCTAATTTTTTGTATTTTTAGTAGAGACAGGGTTTCACCATGTTGGTTCCGCTGTTCTCAAACTCCTGACCTCAGGTGATCAACCTGCCTCGGCTTCCCAAAGTGTTGGGGTTACAGGTGTGAACCACTGCTCCCAGCCTCAAGCTTTATTTTAGCTCCCACCTTCTCAGGGAGACCCTCCTTGACTTCCCAGACTGGAATGCCAGCCTGGCCAGCTACTCTCTGACAGTCTGACCGATCATTTCCTCCACTGCACTTATACACCTGTTAGTATGTTGTTAAAGTTACATGTCACAGGGCAGAGATTTTGTCTTCCTCATGTCTTCCCATTGGCACCTAGAATTGACTGGATGCCAAATAGACATTTGTTGTGACCAGAGAAAGACTCTAGATGCTATGGAATATTAAAACAAAAAGAATTAATTTGGATGGGAAGGTTCATTGAAGGTCTCTGTGAAGGACTAGCATTGAGGTTGATGGGTAGGTAGGAATTAGATAGGAAGAGAGATGGAAAGGAGTGGTGCAGACTGAGGAGACAGCGTGGGCACAGCTTGAGGAGGAGAGGAACCTGGCAAGGTTGATCAATCCACAGATGAGTGTGTCCAGAGTGATGTGACAAGGGGCTAGAGACATCAGCCTTGGAGGCACAGTAGGGTTTGGACTGGGTTGTGAGTACACTGGGAAGCCATTGGAGGAATTTAAAGGTTGGGGGTACCTGATCCAATAAATATTTTTTTTTCTATTTTTATTTTTTTGAGGCGGAGTCTCCCTCTTTCGCCCGGGCTGGTGTGCAGTGGTGTGATCTCATCCCACTCGGCTCACCACAACCTCCGCCTCCCCAGTTCAAGTGATTGTCCTGCCTCAGCCTCCCAGGTAGCTGGGATTACAGGTGCCCGCTAGCACGCCCCATTAGTTTTTATATTTTTTAGTAGAGATGGGGGTTTCACCACGTTGGCCAGGCTGGTCTCAAACTCCCAACCTTAAGTGATCCACCCACCTCGGCCTCCCAAATTTGCTGGGATTGCAGGCATGAGGCACCACGCCTGGCCCTGATCCAAAAAATATTTTAATAAGATCTCTTGGGCTATTGGGAGAACACTTGTTTGGGAGGGGAAGCGTCAATGGATGCCTATAGCCTTGCCTGGTACAGAGAAAGTACTCAGTAACTGTTTATTGATGAATGAATGAATGAATGAATGAATCAGTTAATTAATTAACAGGAGATATCAGTAAGTGATTTGTTCTTAAAAAGAAACCTTGCAGAAACTTGAAGGTGTTTGTTTGGGATGACTAAGCAAGGGTAGACAGATTGTTGTTACTCATAAATGTCAAAATAAGAATTATAAAATTTAGAATAATATTGTTGTCATGCTAAGTGATATCTGGAGTTAAGCGTCCTCTCTGACCTGCGACTGCTCGTGAGACAGTTGCATTTACTCAGGTAACTGTGGCTCTCAGAGTCATTCTTAAATGTTTTCTTTTTCTCCCCAATGTGTTTGTGACTTTGTCCATCTGGAAGTCAAGTTCATTTTGGCCAATTAACTTCAAAGGCCTGACTTCTCTATTTTTTTTTTTTTTTTTTTGAGATGGTGTCTCGCTCTGTTGCCCAGGCTGGAGTGCAGTGGCGCGATCTTGGTTCACTGTAAGCTTCATCTCCCAGGTTCACGCCATTCTCCTGCCTCAGCCTCCTGAGTAGCTGGGACTGTAGGCGCCCAACACCATGCCCCGGCTAATTTTTTATATTTTTTAGTAGAGACGGGTTAGCCAGGATGTTAGTGTTAGCCAGGATGGTCTCAATCTCCTGACCCTGTGATCTGCCCACCTCGGCCTCCCACAGTGTTGGGATCACAGGCGTGAGCCACCACGCCCGACCGGCCTGACTTCTCTTGTGAAGATGGCTCCGTTAGTGAGCGCTGTGGACTAAGATCCACAAACACAGCTGCTATGCGGGTTCCCTTTCTGCATCTTTGTGAGTTTCAGTGTCCTAAGCTAGCCCTCATATAGGCATAGACTCCTTGATATTTTACTCTGCATAATCAGGACAGGAAAAGATATAGGACCTGTATTAAAGGGACACAAGATTCAGAATCACATTAACTTCCAAATCTCAGTGCCTTAACACAATTTAAGTTTCTATCTTCTTGGCCGGGTGTGGTGGTCACGCCTGCAATCCCAGCACTTTGGGAGTCCAAGGTGGGAAGATCACTTGAGGCCAGGAGTTTGAGACCAGCCTGGTCAACATGGTAAAACCCCATCTCTACCAAAAATAAAAAAAAGTAGCTGGGCATGGTGGTGCACGACTGTAGTCCCAGCTACTGGGAGAGGCTGAGGCATGAGAATAGCTTGAACCTCAGAGGTAGAGGTTGCAGTGAACCAAGATTGAGTCATTGCACTCCAGCCTGGGTGATAGAGTAAGACTCTGCTTAAAAAAAAAAAAAAAAAAAAAAAAAAAAAGTTTGTATCATGTGTAGCTCTAAATCGGTGTCCTGATGGATGGACAGTTCTACTCCATAATGTGATACAGGGACCCAGGCTCCTTCCCTAGGTGGCTCCACCTTTATGGTTGCCAAAGAAAGAGAGGATCATATGTGCTGAGCCTAAAATGATAAAGAGCAGCACCTCCATTCCCATTCCATCTGCCAAAAGTGTCATCTGGTCACATCTAACTGCAGAAGAAGCTCAGAAATACAGTCTCTGTCCTTGGAGGAGAAAAGAAACCTACTGTTCAATAGCTAGCTCAGCTCTGCTACAAAACGCCTGCTATAGAAATGGGAGACAATCATGCATTCCTTTTCTACAATTTATGGTATTTCATGGGTGAACCATTAATACGTCACCGGGTAACGCATTATTGAATATGTTAGTCATTTTCTTTTCTCATCGTTTCTTGAAAAAGAAGTTGTCTAACAGTCCTAACTTCCCATCTGGCTTCTTAAAATCTGTTTTACAAGCAATGAGATAGTTAAGGATTTTCAGCTCTGTGGTTGAATTACTCCAAAGAAAGAAAACTGCTTTTGAAGTTAGAAACTGAAACACACAGCAACAGAAGCAACCAGAAACCCCATAGGGTTTTAACCTTGTTTTGTCATATTTCTCAACAAACTCCTTATTTGTTTGGGGATTCTGCTTAGCTCTGTGCAGAGGTATCTTGCTTTCTGTATCACTTCAAACCTTCCTTCTACGTGAGTTAGCCTTAGGGTATGACCACGAATGACACCTTCAAATGGGAACCTTTTGTGCCTAGAGAAATCAAATCATCTTTCAAGACTTGGCTCAAGGGGTGTATCTTCTGTGAAGGTCTTACGGACTTTCACCCCGCTTCGGGGGTGACAGTTCCTTTCTTATGCCCCTAATTTATCCTGTGTGGACTATGATAGCTCCCTTGCTACAATAACATAGTTCTTTGCATTTATTTTCTTAAAGTATAACACCAGTTCATTACAGAAATTTCTAATTTCTGTAATTAGAAAGTACAGATGTTTTTTAAAAAATCAAGTAAATATTATGTGTGAGTCCATGATGCAGAATACTTACTGCTGAACCACAGGGCCTGTATGGTTAATCATTGAATCAGCGTTGCCAAGCAAAGAGTGTGACACACATTACTTCCATATCAGTAGAAGGGTGGAAGGATGGCTGGATGGGTGGATGGATGAATGACTCACATAGCTTCTCACGGATGAACACACCTATTTACTCGGCTTTTACAGTAAGCCCAGGACAGGGTAAGGATGAGTTGGAAATGATATATATTGGTTAACAATAGCCAGAGCAGTACTGAGAGTTCCCTTGTTTGCAAACAGTACAGTTTTAAGTTATTCAGGAAAGCTGGTTTTCTGAGTTTAAATAACTAAAATCAGGTTAGGTTGTACTAGGTAACATACAAACTGTGGATCTCCGTGTTTTAACACTTGCATATTGCTCTCTCATCTGAGCGTGCTGCTAGTCTGTTCCACGAGGTGGCTCAAGACCCAGGCTGCTTCCATTTTGTAGATGTGCCACCTGGCTGACTCTGATAAGGAAGTGGAGTCAGAGTTCTTGGGTTCTCCGCAATGGTAGTGACTTCCAATCACGGTCCACCAGCTAGAGCTGATCACCCAGCCTCACCCAACAGCAAGAGTATTTTGAGCCACTCAGAAGGTGATGAGAACTAGACATGGATGAACATAACCATGTCCTATGCAGTACCGGGTAATTGGGAAGACTATAATAAAAATGGTTTAGCATGTGAGTACTGGGCTCAGACTGGTTTTGAGCCTCTACTGGGAACAATTTGTGCAATCTTGGGCAAGTCGCTCAATCTCTCTAAGCCTCACTCCCTCATTGAAAATTGAGGATAATAATAGTTTTAATTAAATAATGTGCTAATCACTGTGGGCATTGTGCAAGTTCAGATAAACATTAGTTATCTTTAAATGTCCATGAATACTTAAAATAATTGTCATTATTACAATCTTGTTATCATTGGTAGAAGTGGTAGTAATGAGGTAGCACTTGGGACTCCACTTCAGACCACATTGAAGACTGGCGGAAACTGAGAAGAGGCACTGAAAGCATGCCCAACAGCAACAATGACAGTTTACTGTCACCATGGCAACAGCAGGAAGTTACCACCTCTTTCCATGGCAACACCTGGAAGTTACCACCCCTTTCCATGGCAATACTGGGAAGTTACCACCCCTTTTTTTTTTTTTCCATTTTACTTTAAGTTCCGGGATGCATGTGCAGAACATGCAGGTTTGTTACAAAGGTATACATGTGTTGTGGTGGTTTGCTGCACCTATCAACCTGTTGTCTAGGTTTAAAGCCCCACATGCATTAAGTATTTGTCCTAATGCTCTACCTCCCCTTGCCCCCTAGCCCCCGACAGGCCCCAGTGTGTATTGTTCCCTTCCCTGTGTCCATGTGTTATCATTGTTCATCTGCCACTTAAGAGTGAGAAGATGTGGTGTTTGGTTTTCTGTTCCTGTGATGGTTTGCTGAGAATGATGGCTTCCAGCTTCACCCATGTCCCTGCAAAGACCATTAACTCATTCTTTTTTATGGCTGCATAATATTCCCTGGTGCATATGTGCCACATTTTCTTTATCCAGTCTATTATTGATGGGCATTTGGGTTGACTAGCCCTTTTCTAGAAATGTCTGAATAACCTGCCCCTTAATTTGCATGCAATTAAAAGTGGGTATAAATGCAACTGCAAAACTGCTTCTGAGCTGCTACTCTGCACACACTGCCTATGAGGTAGTCCTCTTCTGCTGCCCCTCTGCTGCTGCTGTGCACTGCCACTTAAGTAAAAGTTGCTGTCTAACACCACTGGTTTGTCCTAGAATTCTTTATTGGGCAAAGCCGATAACCTTCCCATGCTAATCCCCAGTCTGGGGGCTTGCCCGTCCTGCATCGGTAATACATTTGCTTAGCATCCTCCAGGGGTCTCAATTAGTGTCATACAAATGTACATGCCTCAAAAGGATATATCAGAATACTCCATTCTCAGCTTTCTCAGGTGCTTCCCCGTCATACTCTGAAGGAAAATCACACTGAGAATCTCACCCACAGAAAAAGGATTCTTCATTATTAAATACCATTCAAGACTGTGCACTGGTTTTTGATTTTTTTTTTTAAGAAAAAATAAGGGGAGGAGTGTATCCATCATTTTCTTTTTTTTCTTTATTTTTGTGACCGAGTCTTGCTCTGTCGACGAGGCTGGAGTGCAGTGCTGTGATCTTGGCTCCCTGTAACCTCTGCCTCCTGGGTTCAAGTGATTCTCCCGCCTCAGCCTCCCAAGTAGGTGAGATTACAGGCACACACCACCACACCCAGCTAATTTTTGTATTTCTTGTAGAGACAGGGTTTCACCATGTTGGCCAGGCTGTTCTCGAATTCCTGACCTCAAGTGATCCACCCGCCTCAGCCCCCCAAAGTGCTGGGATTACAGGCAAGAGCCACTGTGCCCGGCACATCATTTTCAACATAGCTGCCTCAGTCTGAAAACGATAACTCCTCACTCTACTATTAACCCCACTGACTCCATCTGGGCAGAAAGGCTGAGGTTAGGTTGTCAGCTGCGTCACTGCTGTGGAAACATCGACAGACTCAATAAACACCCTGAAATTTAACATGCTTCTGCTATCTGCTGAACAGCTCTGGGCACAAATAGGTTTCTTTTATTATGGACAGAAAGGCCAAGTGAAATTTTAATCAGACAGACAAGGAGGGTATCTGAGAACACTGAAATGCCAGCCCTGCTGGTATTTCCACAATATTGAACTTGTCTTTCGGGGACCTTGGTAGGTATTTCAATTAGCTGTGAGACACACAGCCTGTGTTTTTGCAAACTCTCCTATTTTTAATTAAGATGCTGTTCACTGGGATATTAGAAGGCACACGATTCTTCTTGTAATATGCAAACTATAGAAGAGAAAATTAAGCAGTTGAAACATTTGGATGTAGAAAGTGGATTGTAGTCATAGCTAAAATCATAGCACTTCGTGTACTCATAGCTATAATCATACCTCTGTTCTTACGTGATATTTGGGGTATCTTTTCCCCTCCCATCCCATTCTCTCGATTTCTTAACTTTCAATTGCATTATTATGTATATTTGCTTTAACGTATGATGAGCCTGTTTTCCTGTTTTCTTTTTAAAATAACGAAATATTTGGTATAAACAAAATAATATCTGTAGCAACTATGGACCCTGGGAAGGATAATAAAACAAAAATCCGTGAGTTTACTACTCAACTTAAAAATTAAAATGCTGATCAGTACTACTGAATTGACTTGCTTGCTTCTTGGTGAGTTTATTTTTTCATGGAGATAATCAGGCACCGTTTTGCCAGTTAAGGTGCCTAAAAGCACCATAAATCACTGGAAATTCTAGACTAAAAAGAGGTCTTTCTTTCTTTAAAGCTTTGTCCATCTTTTAGTCACACGGAACACACTGAAAGACCTTCCGAAAAATGAAAAGGCAACTTTAGGGTGTAAGGGGCTGCAGGGCCGCCTCTAACATTCATTCGTTCATTCATTGGTCCCTGTATTTCAGGATTCCTGCGTTGGTTCCTCCATTCCTTCATTAAATGTTGAGTATGATCACAGTCTTCTTTCAACTATAATTAGTAGAATTAACTGCTATTGGCTGAATGTTCATGTCCCCCTAAATTTGTGTGTTGAAATTCTAATCCCAAGGTGATAGTATTAGAAAATGGGATCTTTGGGAGGTGATGGGGCCATAGAGCATAGCCCTCATGAATGGGATTAGTGCCTTCATAAAAAGGCTTGAGTCTGGTCACAGTGGCTCATACCCATAACCCCAGCACTTTGGGAGGCCGAGGCTGGTGGATCATGAGGTCAACAGATCGAGACCATCCTGGCCAACATGGTGAAACCCCGTCTCTACTACAAATACAAAAATTAGATCAGTGTGGTGGTGTGCACCTGTAGTCCCAGCTACTCGGGAGGCTGAGGCAGGAGAATTGCTTGATCCTGGGAGGTGGAGGTTGTGGTGAGCTGAGATCGTCCCATTGTACTCTAGCCTGGGCGACGAAAGTGAGACTCTGTCTCAAAAAAAAAAAAAAAAACGAAAAAAGGTTTGAGAGACCCCTCACCGCTTTAATCATGTGAAGTTAGAGTTAAGGGTATCTACCAGGAGGTGGACACTCACCAGACACTGAATCTGCCAGCACCTTGGGCTTAGCCTCCAGAATTGGGAGAAATAAACTTGTTTTGTGCAAGCCACCTGTTTGTTTGTTTTTAATTTTTAGCACCTTTTTTTTTCAATTTTCTTGTGCATTTGCTTAAGTTCCTTGTACACTCTGGATATTAGCCTATGGCATTTTGCTAGAAGCCTGAACAGACTAAGACAATGATTATGAAAAGATTTAGTTATAAACATTATAATAATGGTCAGTTATCCTGCCCATTATACTCAGGTTCTTTTGAGAATTCCTTGCGAGGTTTGATAAGGACATTAGATTTTGTTTACATGTTTGTGGTTTTAGACAGCAAACATGCATTGAAGAATGTTAGACAGGAATAAAGTTGAAATAGCCTCACTCACACTAAAGAGCCCAGAGTGTTAATTGACATCCTGTTTTCCATAATTTTTTTCTTTTGTTTGCTTGTCAATAAAACCCTCATGCAACCTGAGTGGAAGGGGAGAGTCATTAATGCGGTAGATCTGGATGATTTTCTGAACAACCTAACCTCACGCTAATGAGGCGAGTATTACCACAGGCCCTTTCTCCTACGAGCTGTCCACCCACAGTTGAAGAGCTAATTTTACTCTCAAAACTCTCACGAATGCTTTTGGTTCCTGCCGGCTCTTGAGTAGTAACAGAGTGCTTTAGCCCTCTGTGGAAAATGATGGAGGCATTGTCAGGGCACATGAACCCTCTAAGAAGTGGATGTGGTCCCACCTCTACTTAAACCTGGACCATGCAGCTTAAGGGTTCCATTCTCAAGCCAGTGAACATCACTGTCTTCATGTGAATGTTCTTCAGGTAGAATTTTTTAGCATAAAAAATTCCAACAGGCCGGGCGCGGTGGCTCACGCCTGTAATCCTAGCACTTTGGGAGGTCGAGGCGGGTGGATCACGAGGTCAGGAGATCGAGACCATCCTGGCTAATACGGTGAAACCCCGTCTCTATTAAAAAAAAAATACAAAAAATTAGCCGGGCGTGGTGGCGGGCGCCTGTAGTCCCAGCTACACGGGAGGCTGAGGGAGGAGAATGGCGTGAACCCGGGAGGCGGAACTTGCAGTGAGCGGAGATCGCGCCACTGCACTCCAGCCTGGGTGACAGAGCAAGACTGTCTCAGAAAAAAAAATAAAAAATAAATAAATAAATAAATAAATAAATAAATAAATTGGAACTGAGTGTTAGCTATTTGAGTAGTCTCAGCTGAATAATACCTCTGACATGGTATCATTCTGTGGCATATATTTTTCTGTAAGGAAATAAAAACAACTTTCTTAATTATTTTTTTCTGATCAGAGAAACAACACATACACATCTTTGGAAAGACAAATACTTTGTGCACATATAGAGAAGAAATGTTCTCCTTATTTAATCCAACTACTTGGAGATTATTCACTGTTTGGGCAACTTTGCTGACCTTGCTCTATATTTATATACAAATATGAATGTGTGTGTTTGTTTAGAAAAACCAAATTGAATCATATATTTTTATCCTGCCCTTTTCAGCTTGATGAATATCTGTATCAACTTTTTAATGGCTCTGCAGTGTTCCATTGTATAGACATACTTAATTTATGTATCCAGTTTCCTGCTGACAGACATTTAGACTGTTTTTTTTAAATCTATTTGCTTTTTTTTTTTTTAATTTTACTTCAAGTTCTGGGATACATGTGTAGAATGTGCAGGTTTGTTACATAGGTATACATGTGCCATGGTGGTTTGCTGCACCTGTCAACCCGTCATCTAGGTTTTAAGCCCGGCATGCATTAGGTATTTGTCCTAATGCTCTCCCTCCATGTTCCCCCAACCCCCTGACAGGCCCCGGTGTGTGATGTTCCCCTCCCTGTGTCCATGTGTTCTCATTGTTCAACTCCGACTTATGAGTGAGAACATGCAGTGTTTGGTTTTCTGTTCCTGTGTTAGTTTGCTGAGAACGATGGTTTCCAGGTTCATCCATGTCCTTGCAAAGGATATGATCTCATTCTTTTTTATGGCTGCCTAGTATTCCATGGTGTGTATGTGCCACGTGTTCTTTATCCTTGATGGGCATTTGGGTTGGTTCCAAGATTTACTATTGTAAATAGGTTGTTTCTTATTGTTGTTGTTTTCAAAACATAACACATTTTAAGCATATGATTCTCTGAGCAAAGTTTTCTATTAGAGTGGATGTCTCTTGGGTTTAAAGAATGGGTGAAAATCTCTTTATTTCTGTGAACCTTTTGCAAAGTTGGACAGCAGTATCAAGTTAGCCAAGGAAGGATGTCACACAGAGTGGCCATGGTGGTCTTCTGGAGCAAATAGAGAAAACACATATTCCAGGGAGGAAAAAAAAAAATTCCTTACTTTTTGTATAGCCCAATCTTATTTTCAGTTAATAAAGCTTTGGCCAGACATGGTGGCTTACACCTGTAATCCCAGTACTTTGGGAGGCTGAGGCGGGCAGATCACGAGGTCAGGAGATCGAGACCATCCTGGCTAACACTGTGAAACCCCGTCTGTACTAAAAATAAAAAAAAATTATCTAGGCATGGTGGCGGGCACCTGTAGTCCCAGCTACTCAGGACGTTGAGGCAGGAGAATGGCATGAACCCAGGAGGTGGAGCTTGCAGTGAGCCGACATCGCGCCACCGCACTCCAGCCTGGGTGACAGAGCGAGACTCCATCTCAAAATAAATAAGTAAAATTATAAAAAAGCTTTACAGGTAGTTCCTTTTCACATATAAATTAAGTTAGTAGATTTAGGAACGTATCCTTCACTATTCTGTTCCATGCCAAAAGAAATAACAAAAACAAGATTTGACCCTTAGGTTGAAGTTCTCCTGAACTGACTGTTCCCTCAATATCTTCATATCCCCTGGATTGTCCTTCAGTATCTAAGAATATGGGGGGGAAATTACCAGAATTCTCCACTGTCTCATGGAAATCACAAGGCTTGCTTGGATCGTAATGTGTACAATTCACTATTAACAAAGGATATGGCATTTTCTGTCTGAACCTTTTCCCAACAATCCATTTTCTTTCTCTCTCTCTTTCTCTGTCTCTCTCTCCCCACCCCCAAATCCCTCTCTGTCTCTAAGCCACCATCACATCTTCCCTGCATGGCTTTTCTCTCTCTCCATCATTACCCCTACAGGCCAGTCCCCTTATAGCTTCTGGAGGAATCTTCTTTTTTTTTTTCCTTCATGTTTTAAGTTCAGGGGTACATGTGCAGGATGTACAGATTTGTTACATAGGTAAATAGGTACCATGGCAGTTTGCTGCACAGGTCATCCCATCACCTAGGTATTAAATCTGGTGTTCATTAGGTATTCTTTCTGATGCTCTCTTTCCTTCCCCTCAGCAGATCCCCACGCCCATTGTTCTCTCCCATGTGCCCATGTGTTCTCATCATTCACCTACTACTTATAAGTAAGAACATGTGGTGTTTGGTTTTCTGTTCCTGCGTTAGTTATCTTCCAACTCCATCTATGTCTCTGCAGAAGATATGACCTTATTCTTTTTTATGGCTGCATAGTATTCCATGGTGTATATGTACGACTTTTTTTTTTATCCAGTCTTTGTCATTGATGGGCATTTAGGTTGAGTCCTTGTCTTTGCTATCGTGAATAGTGCTGCAATTAACTTACATGTGCACATACCTTTATAAAAGAATGATTTCTGTTCCTTTGGGTATATAGCCAGTAATTGGATTGTTGGGTCAAATGGTATTTCTGCATCTAGGTCTTTGAGGAATTGTTAGACCATCTTCTGCAATGGTTGAACTAATTTACACTGCCTCCAACAGTGTAAAAATGTTGCTTTTTCTCCATAACCTTGCCAGCACCTGTTTTTTAATATTTTTATTAGTAACCATTCTGACTGGTGTGAGATGGTATCTCATTGTGGTTTTGATTTGAATTTCTCTAATGATCAGTGATACTAAGCTTTTTTCCTATGTTTGTTGGCCGCATGTATGTCTTCTTTTGAGAATTGTCTGTTTATGTCCTTTGCCCACTTTTTCATGGGGTTATGTTTTTCTTGCACATTTGCTTGAGTTCCTTGTACACTCTGGATATTAGACCTTTGTCAGATGGATAGATTGCGAACATTGTCTGCCATTCTGTGGGTTGTCTGTTCACTCTGGTAGTTTCTTTTTCTGCACAGAAGCTCTTTAGTTTAATTAGATCCCATTTATCAATTTTCGCTTTTGCAGCAATTGCTTTTGGCATTTTCGTTATGAATCCTTGCCCGTACCTGTGTCCTGAATGGTATTGCCTAGGTTTTTTTTTTCTAGTGTTTTTAGAGTTTTGGGTTTTACATTTAACTCTTTAATCTTTCTTGAGTTAATTTTTGTGTATTGTGTAAGGAAGAGGTCCAGTTTCAATTTTCTGTGTATGGCCAGACAGTTGTCCCAGCACCATTTATTAAATAGAGAATCCTTTCCCCATTGCTTGTTTTTGTCAGGTTTGTCAAAGATCAGATGGATGGGGGTGTGCAGTCTTATTTCTGAGTTCTGTGTTCTGTTCCGTTGGTCGTTGTGTCTGTTTTTGCACCAGTGCCATGCTGTTTTGGTTATTGTAGCCTTGTAGGTAATCTTCTTAAATCATACATTTTATCAGGACACTATCACTTACGACCCTTCATTGGTTTCTCATTCTACAAAGAGAAAATTTCAGAGATCTCACCAGAACGTTCCAGGCCTTGCTTCTCTGACACAGACCCATGTACCTCCTTCCTGACCCCCATACACAACTCACACTGGTCTTTTATCAGATCCTCAAACAAGTAAGGCTCTTTCATATTTTAGAGACTTTGTACCTCTTCCTTACCCCTCTTGGGATAATCTCAGTCCCACTTGTGTATGGCTATTCCTTCTGATTCTTTATATCTCACTTTAAATGTCATTATCTTAAAAAGGCAAATCTCAACCTGCCATGGACAGCAGATGCTTCTTCCTTAGGTGTTACTGATAAAATAATGCATCAATGCATCTCTGTAAAATGAACCTGTGCATCTGCTTCAGGCCATATTTCTGTCCCTCAACAAGCACATCACAGTTGTAATCTGTGTCCATTCATATTTCTGTACCACTAAAATATAGGTATAGTCTTTGTTTTTCATTCGTATATCAGACTTGTTGCCTAGCCCAGAGCTGCTTACACGGTGGCCCATCCAATAAATATTTGTTGAAGACTGAGGACTTGGGAAGGGTGTGTGCATGTTTTCAGTCTGTGTGATAGCTTCACCTCCTATTACGTGAATTGGCCCGAAGATCCCCAATTCCGTGTCATCAAGAAACATGGACACATCACAGACTCACTCAACATGGACACATCAAGACTCACTTAACGCAGGGTGGCTTCCCAACAGCAAGCTGTATTGCTGAAAAGCAGGCCTTTTCCAGTAAGAACATGGACAAGGACAAACAAGAGACTGCACTGTGTTCTATAAGAAGACACCTGGGTCATAATGAGGGAGAGAAAAATAAGACCACAGCAAATGAAACAAAATGTGTAACATACCAGACAGGGGAGGAATCAAGGGAGCTGTTCGGGGAGCTGCTGCAATGCGAGATTGGAGCTACAAATGTGGAAACGCACGAAGACCTTTGCCCCTATGAATCATGTATTGGGAAAACAGTTGAGCATCTACAGACGTCAAATAACCAATAAAATTTCATGAATGGTAACGTTCGCCAGTATCCGGGAGAATAAGGCTGAGCTCTCAACATGATCTGCTAACAAAATTAGGTCATTTGTCTTTGATAGGAGATGGCCACTTTCTTATTTTTTATTTATTCATTTGTAAGCAGCTGCTTTAATAAGCCTACAGGATCTTGGATGGCATGCTCATAAGTTCTAGTAAAGCCTGGAAGAAAATTACAAAGGGAAAGACTGCCTCTAAATTACCCTAGGAAACAAAAAAAAAAAGAGGTGATGGCTACAGTTTTACCATGTCTTTGGGGGCAAAGTGATTTCCTTCTTTCTGTGTTCTTGTTGGGGAAAAGGGGAAGGTGTTAAATCCCACAGCTGCAAAATAGATTCATTTCTGCCTCTCTTGTAAAGTGAAGCATCTTTCCTTCCCAGAGAACTTTATCTTGCCTCAGTCAACCCTGCTCAGAGATGGTTCATCCACTCCTGTCTTGCGGCCATTAAACATAGCAACTCAAGCCCTCACTTCCAGGGACTTAATATTGGTCATTTAATACTGCATAACAACATTTCATGATATACAACATGTATCTCTCATGCCTTTCTAGGCTGGCTGGGGTTTGGCTGGCCCAGACTGTGCTCATTTGGACAGCTCTGCTTCATGCTATGGGTCCAGCCAGACCTGTGTCCTCACAACTGCAAGGGGGTCTTCAATCTGCCCTATGTGTGCACATTCTGGGGCCGGGTCTAGGGGAAGCAGCCGTCTAGACTGCTTGGTGCTCTGTCATCATCTTCACAGCAATGGGGAGCCACAGGGGGTGGGCTGGAATCCTTACCACTGTGGCCCACGTTTTATTGGCCAAAGCATGATACGCAACTGATGGCACAGTCAAGGTGTAGGGAAGTGTGGTCCATGGTCAGTCGCTGAAAAGTTGCATGGCAAAGGGAGTGAATACAAGGGACGTGAAGAATGGAAGAATTGCTGCCAGTAATTCAGTCGACCACAGCATAACTACAAGAGGCTGATACGGTTATTTGACAGTGATCGTCAGGATTAGAGCACCCATCAACCTGTGAATGCTTACACATTTTTATTCTGTTTTAAAACAGTCACGTGTGGCTTAGAAATTAAATAAAATCTGGTAATTTTACTATGAAAAAAATTATTCCCACCAAGACTTCCTTTTGGTGGTGGTTGTTGTTGAAATGGAGTCTTGGTCTGTCAGTCAGGCTGGAGAGTACTGGCACAATCTTGGCTCACTGCAACCTCTGTATCAAGCAATTATCCTGCCTCAGCCTCCCAAATAGCTAAGACTATAGGCACCTGCCACCATGCCCGGCTAATTTTTTTATTTTTAATAGAGACACGGGGTCTTACCATGTTGGCCAGGCTGGTCTCCAACTCCTGACCTCAAGTGATCCACCCACCTTGGCCTCACAAAGTGCTGGGATTTGCAGGTGTGAGTCATTGTGCCCGATCCAAGACTGTCTAATGCTGTGTTACCCCACAAGGAGGCTGATCACAGCCTCCTTGTGGGGTGATACAGCAAGTGGCGACACCATGGTGAGCTCGGGCCCATGACCATTCAAAGGGAGTCACTTCACAGCTGCAGCTGATTGTGACCATGTGGGAAGGTGGGCATAGTATGGCCAGGCTTTCTCATTTCTCCAGAGAAGTTTGGCATCTGCATTTTTTATGAGTGAAATTTATAGTTTTTGAATGTTAGTCACTAATACAAAGTTTTATGAAAATGCTTTGCATGCCAAACAAACACTTCTGTTGACCACACATGGCCAGCAGGCACCCGATTGCCAGCCCACCTTAGACTGAAGGCACTATTTGCTATTTTCGACATTATTGGTCAAATCTAAATAGCTAGATGGATATATAGAAAAAGAAAAGAAGAGATAGAAAAAAAGGTGATAGAACCAAAGAAAGAATGAAAGAGAAGATGTATGTGTATGTGTGTAGAGAGAGATGATGGAAGGAAGGAAAGGAGGGAGGGAAAAAAGCAACCTAGGTAGATAGCTGGGCAGATGGATGGAATGAGAGATAATAGATGGATAATCTTTAACGTTCAGTAACATATGACAAGTCACATTGCCAAGTAGAAGAAACTCAGCAGGCAGCATTTAAAGAGAAAGTTTCACACTCATGGAGGAGCAGGCCAGTGATTAGTGTCAGGGATAATGACCCAAATTCACTGATTGTATTTCCTCAGGTGTCAAAGAGGAACAGAAAACGATAGTGTTGCAAAGAAAAAGACCAGAGAATGTCTCACCCTGGGTAATTCTACCTTGCTTCATGCACGCTTAACTAGCAACTTGCCTGTCCTGATTCCAAAGCACGTTTAGGTAGTCCCACCATTGGCCAGGCTTACGTGTCCCTGAACCTGCAGATTTAGGAAAAAGTAAACAGCTGTCCTCAAGAGTGCATGAGACGCTCCACATTTCTCCTTTGTGATTTATATATAATCATCCCCAGAGAGTGAAACAAAGGAACCAAGTAACTTGCTGAACACTCTTGAATGTAGAGGAAAAATTATCCACCTATCAGAGAGTGTGTTGACAGTAGTGAGCTTTTAATACTGAGGAAGTCTTTCCGTGGCACCTAAAAGTTAGCTCCTGCAATATTCTGCTCATTGGCAAAAATCGTGTTCATTTTTAAGAGAAATAGATTATGACAAAAGTAGAAAAAATATAGTCTTATACTTTAGATAGAACTGAAAGGCCTGGCTGGGTGTGGTGGCTCACACCTGTAATACTAACACTTGGGAGGCTGAGGCTGGTAGATCACTTGAGGCCAGGGGTTCGAGACCAGCCTCGCCAATATGGCAAAACCCTATCTCTACTAAACAATACAAAAATTAGCTGGGTATGGTGGTGCATGCCTGTAGTCCCAGCTACTCCACAGGCTGAGACAGGAGAATTGCTTGAATGCAGGAGGCGGAGGTTTCAGTGAGCTGAGATTGTACCACTGTACTGCAGCCTGGGCAAGAAAGCAAGACTCCATCTCAAAAAAACAAAACAAAATAAAACAAAAAAAACTGAAAAGTCCATCTGCCATGACTGTCTACATCGCCTACATCCCACATATCCCTAAGACCCAGTACAAATGCCATCTCCTCCAAGAAGCCACCTTGATTTCTACCCACTGAAAATCCTCTCTCCCTCTTTTCTTTGTCCGTTGTGCCTTATTTTTCTTCCTACCCTGCCACTTAACTCTCCCTGATTTATAATTATTTGTGTGTGTATATCTCCCAGTTGACTAGGAAGATGACTTGGATTAGAAAGCTGGAGACTTTGTCTTTGAATCTTGCAATACTGTTGATTTTGGTAGATGAACAAAAGTGACAAGTGACATCTTTTTTCTCAAAGAAATACACCATGTACTCCTTTGTGCATAGATACCTTCTTAACCGAGTCGATTGACATGGACTCTTAAGTATTTAGCTTCTTGGATTCTAAAGTAAACTTACAAGTTCCTGCACCCTAGGGTTCCTTTCCCTTTATCATTTAGTCCTTCATTCAGTGAATTCAGTTGTTCCTCAAATGAAGCAGAAATGATTCCTCTTTTGGGGCGTAAAGTGTAGTGTGAAGCTTTAAAAAATAAAAGTAAATAAATAATTGCATACTTACAAATATTGACAGGTACGATGAAAGAATAAACTACGTTGTTCTACAAAATAAAATTAAGGTGAGTGTAGTTGGGAGAGAACCCTACTTAGGTAGGTTGGTCCTGGAGGGCTTCTCTGAGGAGGTGATGTTCAAGCTGAGGGGTAAAGGATGACAAATGAGGTTTGAGTTGAGAGCTTATCAGGAGACTGATTGCCTAAGGTACAATAAGAGAAGAGATGGGAGAGGAAGTTGGAGGAAGAAACAAGGCCAGATCTGTACCCACACAGCTAAGATTATATCCCTACTGGCCTTAACAAATTAAAGCACTTCTTCCCATGCCTTCCACAGATGACTCCTAATGTCATTCTTTTGCAATATTTCTACCTTCTTTCATTTTAACTTCCGTTACATATAGCTATGCAGAAAAAAAATCAATTTGTTGGCTAAAATAAAGAATAGTGACAATACCAAATGCTGTCAAAGATCACTCAAATATTGCTGGTGGGAATGTCAAATGACTTAATCACTTTGGAAAATCATCTCTCATTTTCTTGTAGAACTAAGCATGCACCTCCCATATAATTGAGCAATTGCACACTTGGGCATTTATCCCAGTAAAATGAAAACACATCCACAAAACAACCTGTATGCAAATGTTCACTGCAGCTTTATTTGTAATAATAGCTAAAGACTGTAAATAGCCCGTATGTTTTCAGTGCATGAATGGTTACACTGTGATAATCCACACTGTGGAATACTATGTAGCAATAAAAAAGAACAAATTATTGATGATAGACACACAACAACTAGGATGAAACTCCAGGGTGAGTTTCACTCCCTTGTGGTGAGTGGAAAAAAAGCCCATTTCTAAATCATTTTGTCCAGTCTCAGCAATCATTTTTATGTATCTAAAGGTTACATACAAAATGATACCGTGTATGTAGCATTCTTGAGTTTAAAATTCTAGATATAGAGAATCAATGCGTGGTTGCCGGGGTCAGGAGTGAGAGGTGTGGAGTGACAGTAGGGTGTGGTCATAGAAGGCGTCTTTTTGTCTGTGGACTATTTTTTGTCCTGGCTGTGATATTTATAGTTTTGTCAGATGTTACCCCTGGAGCAATAAGAGTAGAGGTCATGGGCTCTCTGTATATTACTTATTAAATTACATGTGAATCTACAGTTATCTCAAAAAGTTTAATTTTTAAAATTCCTTCATATAACAACTTAGAGTTTGAAAGATATTCACAACATATTTTACATATTAAATTTTTATTTAAATATTTGTGTTCTCCTCTGCCAAATTGTAAGAGCTTTCCCCTAAGAGATCTTGTCTTAATTATCTTTACATGCCTCCTCTCAAGCCTCCTGTTGTCAGGGAAAGAACAAGGCTCTAGGGTCGAGAAGACATGGGTGAGATAACAATTTCAATGCCAGGCAAAGGACTTTGGCAAATTCAGAGCATGATTTGATAAAGACTGGAACTCACAGGCAGAAGGACTGGCAGGTGGCACCCGGACCCTTAACTCCTTCCTCTGGGCATCAAGGCGCAGACATGGATGATGCCCTGTGTGCTTGCATTCTAGAACAGGGACACCACTATCCTTTAGCTGTATTTTTTGGGGGGTTGGAGAGTACGGTGTATTAGTTTCCATTGGGTTTTTTTTTTTTTTCTTTTTTTGAGATGGAGGTTCGTCGCCCAGGCTGGAGTCCAGTGGTGTGATCTCGGCTCACTGCAAGCTCCATCTCCCGGGTTCATGCCATTCTCCTGACTCAGTCTCTTGAGTAGCTGAGACTACAGGCACCTGCCACCACGTAACTACCACAGATGTGGTGGCTTAAAATGATATAAATTTATTATCTAACAGTTTTGGTGATCTGATGTCTGAAATCAGTGTCACTGGCCTGCAACCAAGGTTTTGATAGGGCTCTGCTTTCTCTGGAGTCTATTCTTCTAGCTTGTAGTGGCTACATGACTGCAGTCTCTGCCTCTGTGTTCTTGCTGTCTTCCGTTCTGTGTGTGCCTCTGCGTCTTTCTTTTAAGGATGCTTGAGGTTGCGTGTAGGGCCCTCTGGATAATCCAGGTTGATCACCCATTTTGTGAGCATCAGTTCAGTCACATCAGCAAGGAAACTATTTCCTTACAAAGTTTATAAGTTTCAGGGATTTTTGACCTGAGATATCTGAGTGGCTATTATCTGGCTTATTAGGGTAAGTGTGAGAACAGTCTTACAAGTAGGGAACAATTCCTTGTGTCTCAGAAATTAACTTTGGCGAGATACATGGTGGCAACTAGCTGTCCAGGAAAGGTGCATGTTGGAAACTAGCTGTCCAGATGAGATGCATGCTGGGAACTAGCTGTCTGGGAGAGGTACATGCTGGGAACTAGCTGTCCAGGTAAGGTGCTTGCCTAGGTGAGGTGCATGCCAGGAAATAGCTGTGCCAGCGAGGCGTGGGCTGGGAACTAGCTGTCTAGGTGAGATGCATGCTGGGAACTAGCTGTCTGGGAGAGGTACATGCTGGGAACTAGCTGTCCAGGTGAGATGCATACTGGAAACTGCTTTCCAGGTGAGGTGCATGCTGGGAACTGCTGTCCAGGTGAGGTGCATGCTGGGAACTAGCTGTCCACACAAGGTGCATGCTGGGAACTAGCTGTCCATGCAAGGAGGATGCTGGGACTGTGTTGATGACATCAAGAGACCATGTGAGCCCAGCACCCTATGGATGGACAATCTCACTGGCAGAATTGGAACAGCTGGTCCCAGCTGGCTTATTGCCAGGCAACCCAGAGACAGCCTCTGGTGTTACCCTTCACACAGTTCTATCCCTCCCTCCATATATACTACCTAATGATTGTGCGAACTTGGGAAAGCTGCTTAACTTCTCTGAGCCTGAGTTTCCTCCTTTGTAAAAGGAGACTAATACTGGTGTTTACCCTTAGGGCTTTTGTGAGCATTAATGATAGTATGTATAAGGTTTGTAGTAAGTGCCATATAAATGTTGGCTGTAATTATTATATTCTTGTTTTTGATATTGTTTCTATGAGGATGGTGGTGGTAGTGGTGGTGGCATACCTCTGTGCATTGTAGCATACCCTAAGGGTTGGCTGCATAACGTTGAATTTTAGTTCGCAGAGTTACTGATAGTGCCTGCCCCCAGCCATTGGGCTTCCTGGTTTAAAAGGCAAATCATCCTGATGGAGGATGGTGCCTACAGTGTGGTGCTCGAGGACAATCCCTGTCTGCTTGGGACTCTGACAGTGGTAGATGCTTTCAGAATTTGGGTTATGAGTGATTGAGGGAGGTTAGCAAACGGATTCCTACCTCCTTGTACTGTATGAAGCAGTTTGATGGGATTAATTTGCATGGCCCATAGTAAATGCTCTCAGCCTGTATGGAGGCTAATTTGTGAACCTGTAGCAATTTATCACCCTGGTTGGATTCGTTTACCAGTAGACAATGTGATTGGGATAATGCGCCTCACTGTGCGTGGAGAGGAGCTGCACTCTGACCTCACTTGAAGAAACCACCGAGGGGTAATTTCCTCCCCAACGGATGACTGACATTACAGTGTGGTGACAAATGATGAGTATGGTAAATGGTTAATATAGCCAGGGCCAGGATCTATATGATTTATGCAAATAATTAGCTCTTCCTGGGTAGTAGCCTGCATGTCTAGGTAACTTTTATTTTTTCAGACAGTCATCTCCGTAATGAGCTATTAGTCTGCAGGCCAGAAAGAAAGAAAGGTAGAAGGAAGGACAGACCTCAGGCAGTTAAGTCTTTGTTCCTTCCAGAAATCCTATTTATTTAAAGCTGAGTGTGATAATGTTTTCTTTTACAAAACTCCATTGCTCTGTATTGTAAAAGCAACTCAAAATATGAGTGTCTGACGTTTATTAGTTTCAATAACGGTTTCTGGGGTTTAGACAGAGCTTGCATTCATCTTCACTGAGTTCCATTAACACGGAGGGACATATACCATTAGCACCATTTCCTAGTTAGAGAATGTAAGGAAAGATGGAGGATCAATATGACTGTATTAGGAAGGAGTCTTTGGGTACAAATTATGGAACCTATGAAGAGGAAAGGGCTTAAGGGGTTAATTATTAAAAAGCTTATCTAAGGAATATTTTATATAAATATAGGATGATCTGGGAAGCTAAATTGATGGAAATTCAATGGCATGTTACACCTTGAGGGCTGCCAGAAATAGGAAGTTTAGCGAAGTTGGGACTTTCTCTCAGGTTACCTGTTTTGCCTGGCCAACGACATCTTCTGAACCTCACGCATTACCTCCCTGCCAACTAGGAGAGGTGAATTTTTTTTTTTTTTTTTTTTTTTTTGAGACTGAGTCTCGCTGTTTTGCCCAGGCTGGAGTGCAGTGGCGCTATCTGGGCTCACTGCAAGCTCCGCCTCCTGGGTTCAAGTCGTTCTCCTGCGTCAGCCTCCCGAGTAGCTGGAACTACAGGCGCCTGCCATTGCGCCCGGCTAATTTTTTGTATTTTTAGTAGAGACGGGGTTTCACCATGTTAGCCAGGATGGTCTGCATCTCCTGACCTCGTGATCCGCCTGCCTCGGCCTCCCAAAGTGCTGGGATTACAGGCGTGAGCCACCGCGCCCAGCCGAGGTGAATAATTTTTTTATTCTGGTTTCTATATGACAGAGGAGAACTTTGATCACCGAGATTAGAATCCCTTGTTAATGCTTGGACTAATCTTTGGTGGCAAAGGAGTCAGTGCCACCTAAGGACAATGTTTCACTGTTGGGAGGTGGGTGGGAGGAGTAGGTCCTGAGAGGAGAGAGTGATGATCCCAACAGAAGAGAAGGATGCTATGTAGGGAGTTGACAGATTCCAGCACTATACTGTAAATTCCGTGAGTGTGTAGCTATACGTGTTCTGGTGAGCATGATATCCCCAGTACCCAATATAGTACCTGGCAAAATGATAAGCATGCAGTGAACATATGCATGAGGAAGGGAGGGAGGGAGAGGGGGAAGGAGGGCAGTCAGCATTCTAGTATACAGGTCTGAGATAGCCAAGAAAAAGCAAGCAAAATTTTCAGCAGGTAGTCACACAAAACAGAAATAAGAAGAGATCTTGGCCGGGCGCAGTGGCTCACGCCTGTAATCCCAGCACTTTGGGAGGGTGAGGCGGGCGGATCATGAGGTCAGGAGATCGAGACCATCCTGGCTAACACAGTGAAACCCCGTCTCTACTAAAAATACAGAAAAAATTAGCTGGGGGCGATGGCAGGTGCCTGTAGTCCCAGCTACTGGGGAGGCTGAGGCAGGAGAATGGCGTGAACCCGAGAGGTGGAGCTTGCAGTGAGCCTGGATCGCACCACTTCACTCCAGCCTGGGCAACAGAGTGAGACTCCATCTCAAAAAAAAAAAAAAAAGATCTTTTAACTCTGGAGAGTTATCTCAGCGATCGAAACCTTGATTGCACTTCCTAGATTTATTGGATTCATTTAATTGCGCAGCCCTTGGAAGTTTTATCCTCTACCTTTAGAGGATTTGAGTGATAAATTTCCTTCTTCCCTTCCTTCCTCCTTCCCTCCCTCCTTCCCTCCCTCTTTCCCTCCCTTCCTTTCTTCCCTGCTTTCTTCCCTCCTTGTCTCCCTCCTTACCTCCCTTCTTTCCTTCTTTCTTTACTCATGCACATATTCACTTCATGGGCTCTGTCATTTGTACCCAAAGACTCCTGCCTAATACAGGCCTATTGATCCTCCATCTTCCCTTATATTCTCTAACTAGGGAATGGTGCTCATGGTATATGTCTCTCTGGGTTAATGGACCTCAGTGAAGATGAAATGAAGACCCTTCCCTTCCCTTCCCTTTCTTCCCTTTCCTTCCCTTCCCTTTACCTTCCCTTCCCTTTACCTTCCTTGCTTCCTTTCCTTCCCTTCTTCAAATGTGTATTGAGAACCAGATACTGTGCCAGCCACGAGAAACATCTGAATCATCAAGGCAGCCTCCATCTGCTCAGATCTTTTTAGTAGGTGTTTTATTGTTGAGTATGATGATGTAGGAGTTCTATTCCCAATTCATATTGTTTTGAAGCCACGTCTGAATTCTGAGTAACTAGGATGATGAGTAGACTATGTCTCCTTGGAGTCCCTGTTTGAGGCTAGGATTTAGGTGAGCAATCCTGATCCCACTCAGGAGACAGCAGGACCACCTGAGCCACTGACCTTTAAACCCAGGATATAAAGGTTATCATTGCCCTCTAGAAATATCAAATTGGTAAGAAAGGAAAATGCTCCCTCATGAATGTTCATCAAAGAGTGTTTCCCATCAGGTGATATTCTGTCCCTTCAGGCCACCGTGGAATTCATTAAAGATGAGAAGACAGTGATAAACCACCTCTTGTGCAGGAATATTTATATATTCCTGTATTCTTCAAGATGTTACAAATTCCATTTAATAAGTAAAGTGGTTATCTCAATCACAAACTACCATGAGGCAATAATGATGATCCATTTGTCAAAAACCGCCACTCAAGCACTAAGGAGATGTGTGTAACAGTTGGCATTTTAAGCATTGCGATTGTCAAACCACTGATTGACAGATCCCTTAATTGTCAATTCAGATAATAATAATTCTGCTGCAAAATGTTAGAGACAGAGAAAGGGAAAAGAAAGAAAGAGAAAGAGAAGGAAAGAAAACGAACGGAGGGACATGAGAAGAAAGGGAGGGACAAAGAGAAGGAGGACTTGAGATAAATATTAGACATGCTTTGGAGTTTTTCAATGGCTTACTGCAAATCGTGTTCAACCCCACATCATTGCTGGCTGGTTGTCTTTCTTATTTGTTGTGAAGTGATTGCTTCAAAAACCCTGACACAAATCTCTGTAGAGTGATTTTTTGTGTGGTCAAGAATTTTGTGATTTTAAAAAGACTTTCAGGTTCCTGCTGATTTGGGACTTTGGCTCTCTCTACGCTGATATATAAATCATATTACACAATATTGATAACTCCCCAATCTCTAAATAAATCGCAAACTTATTAGGAAGAATCCCAAAGAAGAAGTCAACACCTTTACTGAAGAACTATTTAAAAAGATGTATGGGTAGCATCTAAGTGCTCACGTTATTCTTAGTGAATCAGAGGTCTCCATCCTACGAAGCATGGGAGAGGTCAAATCCCATGTACGCCAGCTGAAAGAGTTAAGCCATTTTTCTATTTACATGGTTTATTTCACAAGGGTCTGACTCATTGGGCATAACCAGCACAGTTAAATTTCAAAATTACTATTTGGTCCTTTTTTTATTGACTACAATTCAAGGCTGCTTCAAGCCTCCCAAATTTAATCGCCGTAGCTCTTTGCCAAGAACATTATGTTTTATTTTCAGTGTTAAACTGTGTAAGATGCCCCTAAGGCTACATGGAAACTTACTCTCTGTGATAGCAGCTAACGGAGTGTATCAGTTGTTCATGATTTCCCATTCTCCTGTAAATTGGGAGAGGCAGGGAGAGCAGTGGAATGCGAATTTTGTTCTGTCAGCACTTTCTTGCCCCAGCTTTAGCCCAAGCAGTGCCTGTTTTGGTAATTAATTATAGTGTGTTTGTAGCTCTTCATGCTCAGTTACCATTTAGCAACCTGTCAAATCCTGAGCTAATGAGCCTATCCCACAGAAGTCATTGCATTTACTTTATTTTATTTTTAAGCATCAAGACAATACTGGTTTTTCGTAGGTCAGATGAAGTTGAGAGGGAGATTCTAAACCAGCATATGGAAAAGGCAAGGCTTTTCTCTTCTACTCACAAATGTTCATCCCAAGAATGGCCTTGCTTAAAGTTTTTCATTGATGTTTCTCTAACTAGAAATTGGAGTTATTAAATACAGTTATTAAAATACAGTTATTAACGTGACTGTAATTTAATATTTGAAGGAAGAAATAGCTCACTCATAAGTGTCCTTTTCAAAGTGTTGTTGGTAAACGAAGGTTGAATGGTTTTGAGATTTATCTCAAATGATGAACTACACTTTGTAGGGAATGTTTCAGAGGTCTTCCCTCTCTGTGTTGAGAGACTAGATTAGGATATCTAGCTTAGGATTTTCATCTAAAATACAGGAAAAAGCAGAGCAGATTCGTGATACTTTCCTCTCCTTGTTGGTTTTGTGTTGTTCTTTCTTCTTTAATTGTGGACTTGAAGGAGTTCCACAATCTCGTTATGGGAAGGACTTAGGCATAGCACTTTGGTTTCCGGGCAGAGGTAGAACATACTCCTTGAAGCTGCTTTTGTATCACGCTTGCTTGTTTTACTTAGAATCGTACGGTTACAGCTCAATTAAAATAGCAGAGTTTTCTGAGAATGATTTCATTCTCTTTATGTGAGACTCAGACGATTTCATTTAGTTTATATGAGACATATCACTAATCTCTACTAAAAAATAGAAACAATAATTTTATGGAATTACATATCAGAATATGAGTGTTCAGCTCAGCCTCTTTATGGAACAGTGTATACCAAAAACACATCTTTATTCTTAGTTGAAAGTTTTAGAAAACCCAGAAATTAGAGCAGTGGCATTCGCCTCTGCTGGTTAGAAGTATAATCTTCAATTCAACATGCAAAACTCAGACTCGTAGCTATTTCTGAAGCTCAGCTATAACTACAGTATCATGTGGTCAGTAAGTTCTGCATTTCTAAAGGAAGATATTATTTTCACTGTCAATCAAAGGTAGGTAAAAACACATGTACACATTTTAGCTTAGCTGACCAGGTCACAGGGATGTGTACCTGTTTATGTATAAGTGCCAGGACTGAGGCTGGAAGGAGGAATTAAGTTATGCTCCCTTAATACCATCAGTGTTGTATTGTCCTAAAAAAAGTGTATATATATATATATATACATATATATACGTATATATATATGTATATATATACGTATATATATGTATATATATGTATATATATATGTATATATATATATACAAAAATTAGTTCCTCAATCCAATAAGAACATGATTCTGACTCTTTATAAAAATGACTCCTCTTGAATATTATTTGTTCCCATCTCAT
Organism: Homo sapiens; assembly: GCF_000001405.40. NCBI lineage: Eukaryota > Metazoa > Chordata > Mammalia > Primates > Hominidae > Homo > Homo sapiens. The sequence continues at coordinate 6,859,300 of NC_000016.10, forward strand.
TCGTTGATAATATCTATTATATTTTTATAAGAAAGAGTCAAAAATTCTATGCAAAATTCTCTGTTCTCCTCAAACAGATGACGCTTTTGCCCATACTTGGCTCTAATATCATAATTGATTTTACTTGTCAGCTCTCTGTTCATCAGAGAACTTGATAAGCAGAAGAACAGTTGCTCACTCTTGTTCAAGTCTACTGCCCTAATGCCCATGGACCTGCAAATTTCCCAAATGTGAGTGGTTTTTATGCTGCCTGTGGAAATCTGAATTTAGATGAGCCACACTTTGTAGAAAATGCTTCAGAGATCTTCCTGCCGCCTCTCTGTGTCGATAACCTCCATGGAACTGTGTTTGTGAGATACTCAATAATGGAACCATTTAATTCAAATTTTTTAATCGACTACGGTATCAGCAAAATGAGAAATGTCTTTCACCCTTGATCTTTGACAATAGCAGACATGTTAATATGAAGTTACTGCTAAGGCTCCAAAAGGCATTGATACAAGTATATTTTTTCTGCCATTCTTGTTTCTTTATAGAATCACACTTTTGAGTATTCAGAGCTTGCTTTTCCTTTGAGTTAGAGGAATGCATTGGAGAGAAGTGTTATTGATGAGGGCTGATTAAGCAAATTAATGAATTGAGACAGCTGAATAGTAAGTGAGAAGAATTTGAGGAGTGGAATTGGTTTTTGCTCATTGACTGTAAAGTGTAGGAGTTAACACCACAAGGGTACCTGATGGAACGAGCTATAATACCGAGGTAAGTGAAGAGAGAGCATTTGGAATTGTGTACTATTTTTCCTCTTCCAATGAATAGCTGTGCGCTAGCTGTTCACTGCTTTCCTGGCATATGTTTTTCTTGCTTCATTTTCTGAGTCATCTGCAATAGCGGAAATGAATTCATTCAACAATATATATTGAATGCCCGTTATGTTCCAGACACAATGTTAGGCACTTAATGGTACTTGTGGAAATACATTATTTAATGTCTGATGACTAAATGTTCTCAGTTCTGATGGAGTCAAGTGTTTTTGGCTGGGGGTGGTAATATTTGGGAAGCATCTTGGAAAGCATTTGTTATTTCAAACTCTTCAAATCTGCAAGTCTTACAAAACACTACACGTTGGCTAAGACGCGGGGGCAGCGGGCGCTCTACCGTGCTGCTGATGGAAGAGTATATTGATGCACCTGCTTTGGCGCTCACTTTAGTAACATCATGGGACATTCAAGATGCATGTAGTTTTGAGATATTTCATCCCTAAATGCACACATGAAGGAGACACATAGAAGATTCATTGTGGCATCCAAGCAAAACATTAGGAAGACAACAATCAACCAGACATTAATTGTCCACCAATAGGGAAATAGAAGATAAATTGTAGCAAAAGTCATGTCTGGTGTGTCATGTTAAAATAAATAAATTAGATCTCTGTGTGCCAGTGTGGATAAATCTGAAAACCATAATGTTGAACAACAACAAAAAGTAATTTGCAGCAGGAGACATACAGTATGACATCATTTATGTACAGTTTTTGGACACAGTAAAATGTTTTCAAAAATATATAAATGTATTCAAAAATAGATATTCCAAAATATACATTTATATGTATTTATATATGAATGTGCCCAAAAATATATATTCTCTTGGGGTCTATGCATATATGGTAAAACGAGATAGAGCTATGTGGGAATGATACACAGTAAGTTCAGCAGTATGCCCACCACTGTTAGGGAGTAGGGGAGCGGTTGTAATCTGCGAGAGTGACTGACAAGGATTCCATTATATTTGTTATATTTTATGTTGCAAGCTGCGGGGTGGACATACGGCATTTGCTCCAGCATCTTCCGTATTTTTTATATGTCTCATGTATTGCATAAGAAAAAAGAGTGCATCTGAACAGCTACAGTTACCGCTGTGTCTGTGTGTATTTGCATGCTGAGTTTTTTGAGCACCACACTCTAACCATAGTCTTTGCAAAAGGGTTTTATACAAAAACAAGGTCCCTTTCGAGTGCATTGTCTTGGTAAGATTGTTAAGGGCAGATGAGTAAAGAGATGCAGTACCCTCAATCTACAAGACAAAAGATGGACCAGTCAAGCAGTTCCCTAATGTCTTTGATCAATGTAAACTGCTAATTGCAAGGCCTGACTCTCTTTTCCAAAAGGAATGATTCCCCTCCCAACCCCCTCCCCCCCCGACTCAATTACAAGAATAATTGCTTCAACTCTCAATGTTCCTTTAACTGGGCACGTTCAGTGTTAGCATCTTAGGCTCTCATTTCATATGAAAGTACTAAGTTGTTCCAGTAAACAGCCTCTACATTGGGTCTTTATGTTGCAATATTACAGACTTGGCATGCAACCTCCTCTATTTTTCACTGTGTATAATGAGGTCAAATTCGTTTTGGAAGGCCCGGAAGTCTTCAGGATTTACAGCTATTTGAAAACCCTATTGATAATAAGTATTTGGCCAAAGTGTTTCCACGTTCATACACTCCCCCTCTTTCCTAGCCAGCGTCCCTTGGTTTTTTTTTTTTTTTTTTTTTGGTTTTTTTTTTGGTCTAGCTTGCACTTTCTCCCTGCCCAGAAATGTCGTTAACATTAACAAGAGCTCTCTCTGGCACTGGCAGGGGGTCTGCAAACAGAACTGGTTTGGAATATGCAATGGGAGGCTTGAATCAAAGAAAAGCTGTGATACAGACTGTGGAGTGTGTAAGACAAACTCGATAAGCTCCAGTCAATACTGTCAGGAAAAATCACAGCAAAACTGATTTCGATGAGAAGATGTCATTGGGCTGTGAGGGATACTTGGAAAGGATGCTTCAGCAACAATAACAACAAAAGAGTTTTTCATTTAGATTGTGAAGGGCTTGCTGTGTGTGTCATGTTTAGGGACATAAATAAGTACTGACCCTTACTCTAGAGAGTTATTGCACATAAGAAACCCAGAGTCCTAGGCCACCTCCAGAGATTTTAATTCTGTAGGTCTGGAGTGGAGACTGTTTGCCTTGTGAACAAGCTCACAGGCGATGCTGATCGTGCAGGTTCCTGGAAGCACATTTTGAACACCAAGGCCCCAGAGCAGGTTCAATGAAATGGAGGAAGAGAGTCAAATAAAAATCCTTTCATTCGGTGCTATGGGGATGCAATGGCAGAGTTATTAGCAATATTACAGTTACCTAGGAAAAGGAGCAAACAGCTCTGCCTTGCCCAGGCAACCAGCAGAATGGAGGTGATACTTAACCAGCATCTTGAAGAGTGAAGAGATTTCCAGGAAGAAAAGAGAGTTCATGTTACAGGCAGAGGAAGTGACATGAATGAAGTACAGGACACAAATGGAAAATGAAAGTGGTTTTGTATGAACAGAGCTGGAGGTAGAATTGGAATCATCACAGATGCTGTTTAAGAATTGTCTGTGGCTCACACCTGTAATCCCGGCGCTTTGTAAGGCCGAGGCTGGTGGATCACCTGAGGTCAGGAGTTGAAGATCAGCCTGGCCAAAATGGTGAAACCTCGTCTCTACTAAAAATACAAAAATTAGCCAGTCATGGTGGCCGGCACCTGTAATCCCAGCTACTCAGGAGGTTGAGGCAGGAGAATCACTTGAACCCAGGAGGCAGAGGTTGCAGTGAGCTGAGATCACGGCACTGCACTCCAGCCTGGGCGACAGAGGGAGACTCTGTCTAAAAAAAAAAAAAGGAAGACAGGCCGCAGCTGATTTTTGAAGGAATTTGCAGAGTCCTTCTAAGGTGTTTGGTACATTATTCTATGATGTATGGTGGAGAACAGTGGAAGGATTTTTACAGATTATTGGTGGGAGAGTGGATGAAGAGAAATTAATAAGCAGGGGATCAAAAGTCTAGGTGAAAAAACAGGAGGGCTTGCCTGAATTACTTTTTGGAATAGAGAAGGACATGGCACAAAACATTCCAACCTAAAGGCAAGACCCTCAAGGTTGGAGACGAAGTATCTTCTGGATGCAGACTGGGAAAAGTGATTAGCAGCAAATGGTCAAGATGAATGGGTAGAGACAAAACGTGGCTCACCAGGAGGGTGGTGACTCACTAATCTTCAAGAATGTATGGCTAAAGATTCAAAGCTCCTTACTAAAATTTAGAAAAGGCCCATAATGGAAGGAACTAAGCAAGTTTTGCCTTCTGCTACCTCTGAATTCATTATGTTGCCTGTACAAGTAGAACACATAGCAGGAACTGTGTTTTAATACTAATTACAATTATTTTCTGGTTACATAGATAAATGTAAATAACATTAAAGATGTGATCTGTTCCTGGACGCCATTTTTATCTTCTTTGTCAGAAGGAGGGAGAGAGAATGGCATCAAAATACCAAGGTTCTGTTTTTTTTTTTCCTTAAAAAAAAAAAAAGAAAAAAAGAAATGACCGGAAGCACAAATTGGATGCCTGCGCTTTTTTTTTTTTTTTTTTTTTTTTTTTACCAAAACCAAATACAACCTTACAGAGGTAATAAACCTTGTGATACAGTCTCAGGAGGATGTGCTATGAAAGGAGCCAAATCAGGTAACCAGAAACAAATACCAAGTTCTTTACTGGTATTTTGAATGTTTATTAAACAGTTACCAATCCATTGCCATTTGTTTCCTTCACACTTTGTGCTCCCTCCTTCTTCCTTCTCTTGCAAAATCCTCACAACTTCTTCTGTCTTTATGTTCCTTTTTTTTTTTTTTTGTTGAGATTATGCCTTGCAAAACCTCTAATTAACCTGCCTAGCAAAAGCTGAACCTTCTTCAGACTACAGGGAGAGTAGCAGAAAAAATAAAAGTGACAAAGAAGAAAGCGAAGGAGTCTCTTTAGCAGGAAGAAGGAGGGGTCATTTCAGGGAAATTATTTTAATAATTCTTGTCCCATTACATAAATAATTCACTTTTTTCTTCTATGTCACTGTATTCCTAGGGTTCTTCTCAAAGCATAACTCTTCCACATTTAGACACGTTCAAAAATAAGAAATTAGAGAACACACTTCATTCTTTCCTTATCCTATCCAGTTATTTCAAGACAAACATTTGAAAAACAATAATAATTTCAGACTGCAATAAAGGAAGGCTATTTGTTTTACTTTTGCAGGCACAGAAATTTTGTGAAATCACCAACAATTCAGAAAAGAAATGACATCATCATGCCCGAAAAAGTATAAATGACATAATCTCAAATTAACACATAAAAACGTTAATTAAAAATTTAGTTTTAAACCCCCCTATTCTCTCCTTCCTCTTTTTTTTTTTTTTTTAATCATGGCCTAATACATCAAAACAGGCTGGATGTGTCAACGGCAGGATATTTGAGAATCAAGGATCTGATTCAAATGTTTTATTTGTTCTTGATGGAAAATTCCAAACTGGCTTTTAAAGCCTTTCAATAATGCATGGAATCCTGAAGAAAAAGTTGCTTCCTAGAAGATGTTGCTCTGTTCAACCTGTATTTTTAAGTGTCTTTTTCCTCTAATGTGGGTTTAAAAACAATAAGGAGAGACATATGCTACTTGGGTATTTTGTTGAGGCCATTTCCCTTTTTTTATCTGAGGTCATGTGAATGGATACTCATCAAAACAAGAGGGGCGTTTTTGGTTTCTCTTTTTGCTGATAAATCGAAAACACAAAGGTCAAAAATAAGCCCTGTTCCTCAATCCCAGTGCCAATGTTGGAGTGGGTTTTTCTTTTTCTTTTTTTTTTTTTTTTTTTTTTTTGAGATCGAATTTTGCTCTTGTCACCCAGGCTGGAGTGCAGTGGCGCGATCTTGGCTCACTGCAACCTCCGCCTCCTGGGTTCAAGCAATTCTCCACCCTTAGCCTCCCAAGTAGCTGGGATTACAGGTGCCCACCACCACTCCTGGGTAATTTTTGTACTTTTAGTAGAGATGGGGTTTTGCCATGTTGGCCAGGCTGGTCTCGAACTCCTGACCTCAGGTGATCCACCCGCCTTGGCCTCCCACAGTACTGGGATTACAGACGTGAGCCACCGTGCCCGACCTGGAGTGGGTTTTTTAAGTACTTATAATAATTACTTGAATAATATGTGTTCATTGTAGATAACATGAAAAATGCAGAAAAACACAAAGAAGAAAAATCATTTCTAATTTTACCAGTGTTTATCATTAGTGTGTGCCATGGGGATATTTCCTTTCTAGCCCCACACACCCAGGCACCTTCTTGTTTTTTAACATTTATTTAACACATGGTTAATGACTTGCTACTATGCTGCAGGAATTGTATCAGGTGGTAGAAATACAATTTGTATTAATTGTAGATAATATTTTGTGATACATTATTTTTTAATTTAATAAGATACTATGGACTGAGATGTATTCTTCATGACGTGTGATGACAACGTAGTAATCCCTAATTCCTTTAGTTAATAAGTTCATTTTACCTTCTCATTTTGCCTCTCATTTGCTATTTTATCACCTTTCACAAATAGGTTTATTTGTTGTTATTTTTTCCTGCTTTATTTGTAAGCAGTATTAGATAACAGTTGCACACGGAGAATTTTCAGGTACAATTAACTTCTCTCTTTTTTGCGTGTAGGCTTATTTCTTCCTGACAAGTCTTTTGCCTTCTAAGTAACTTAGTGTTGAAACATTACATGAAAAAGCCACCTCATTTGGTTCTTGCACAGTAATGTCTAAATCACATAAGAAATGCATTGAAAAAAACAATCGGGGAAAAAAGAGGGAGTAATATTGGCTAGCACATCTTTGAATGCATCTGGAAAGAAAAGAGTAAATCAGGATTGAAATAGAAGCCAAAAGATGATATTTTTATGGAAAATAATTCCCCTCTCCTTTTCTTTCCCCAGCTCTTTTTCTATCTAATATGCATTTTTCTTTATATTATAAAACAGCTTTGCTCACCTTATCTCTGGTAGTTCTTTATTACTTCAGTGTCTTCTCATCATTTTTTAAGGTTCTGGAAATGTAAACTACTTTCCTACCACTTTTCATTTTTGTGGATAGGGTGGCTGATGGGCTTTAAGTTTCAAGCTATGATGAAACAAGGAAATAGATCACTTCTTACAGTGTAATAATGGAACTCTGTTGATGGGTCTAATAAAGAAGAAAAAAAATCAAACCTTATCCATCATCTCCATGACTTCTAGTGTCTTTCCCATCTGCATCTTCATGTTAAGCAAAAAATATATAATGCAAAAAGTGTGTTTCACAAAGGACTTTTTTTAAAAAAAAAAATAAGGTTAGGGCTTTCTTTCCTTCTATTTTTTTTTTTTTTTTTTGAGTTGGAGTCTCGCTCTGTCCCCCAGGCTGGAGTGCAGTGGTGCGATCTCGGCTCACTGCAAGCTCCGCCTCCCCGGTTCACGCCATTCTCCTGCCTCAGCCTTCCGAGTAGCTGGGACTACAGGCGCCTGCCACCACGCCTGGCTGATTTTTTTGTATTTTTAGTAGAGAAGGGGTTTCACCGTGTTAGCCAGGATGGTCTCGATCTCCTGACCTCGTGATCTGCCTGCCTTGGCCTCCCAAACTGCTGGGATTACAGGCAGGAGCCACCGCGCCCAGCTAAAGGTTAGGGTTTTCTAAGGTTGTAACTTTTGCATGTGTATTACTTGCCACACAAAGCATCAAGATAAGGAAACCAGCCCTTATGGGTCCTTAGCTTCATGACAATATCTAAAGGTCATACTGTTTTAAGCATACAGAAAACCCTCTAGTCAGAGTCTGTGTTAGCTGTTCTTTAAAAAAAAAAAAAAAAACTTCCATGTCTTGCTATTATTATGAGTTTGTATTTAAAAATTTCATTCTAACCAGCAAGAACACTTCCAGTGGGAATTTCTGATAAAGCAGTCAGGTTTTAGCTTGGAGATGTACTAAGTGCAGAAGTTTTGTGAGTTTTCTTCTTGGTCTTGCAAAGAAAAGCATGAAGCTATATAAGTCTTTCTGTAGGGGAAAAAAAAATACTTTTTTTCTTCCTTTTTTTTCCTTTCTGATGAGCATGGATGGAGGAGAGATCCATCCATATTCTGGATCATTATTGGCTCTGATGATGGTTTTGTACAAGGAATAACCTCTCTTGGGGTAGTGATTCTTTTTAATGACCTTTATAAACCAGAATTTTTGTTCATCTGAGAAACTAATGAGGATTAAGGGAAGAAAGGGGGCCGGGTGTGGGGGCTCACTCATGTAATTCCAGCACTTTGGGGGGCCGAGACAGGCGGATCACTTGAGGTCAGGAGTTCGAGATCAGCCTGGCCAACATGGCAAAACCTCATCTCTACTAAAAATACAAAAATTAGCCAGGCGTGGTGGTACCGGCCTGTAATCCCAGCTACTTGGGAGGCTCAGGCAGCAGGATCGCTTGAACCCGGGAGGCAGAGGTTGCAGTGAGTGCCGAGATTGCCTGGGTGACAGAGCACAAGACTCTGTCTCAGAAGGACAAAAAGAAAGGGATCCAACAGATATTTATCAGTTAATGTGTGAATTACCCATGGCATCATTACCTTTAGGTTTGCTCAGAACAAGTCCTGTTTATCCCTTGATCCTGGTGTAATTATTGACATCCCCCTTTCTGCTGACAGGTGTCCCAGTTTCAACGATGTATTATATAGTCATTCCATACTCTTAAACAAGAGAGTAATCAAATATAGAAGCCAAGCGTCCAGAACTATGGCTCAGACAAATTGGCAGTTGAATTTTGATTTCTGTACTTGATTTTTTCTGAGAAGCTGAAACTACTATACTTCAGTTAACTTATTTGCGAAATATAGGTATTATAGTAATGTTTTTGCCGTATGGGTGTTGAGAAAATTAATATGTGAAATTTTGATCAAAGTACCTGATAAATAGTAAATACTCATTTGAAATTAGCAAATAATTATTCCTATATTTTTTTTCATTGAAGTCTTTCAGTGCTACATGTTACAGCCTCCAAGTCATTTAATTTATAGAAACAGAAATACTTCGTGGTCTGCAGCAGTGGACACAGGAAGTGGCTTATAAGAAGATGGACACAGAAAGTGGTTTGCTGAAGTAAGAGGATGGTAAAACAGAGTGGATTCATCTATGATAAGTGTCTATAAAGGGATTATGGATCTAGAGAAATTTCTGTAAGTTTTCTTTTGGGTTAGTGTTCAAATTGGTAAAGTTGCCAGGGCGAGGTAGGAAAGTCACATTCAAGCCAGTGTTTCATATTTATTGGTTTATGATTTTTTTTTGAGACAGTCTCACTCTGTCACCCAGGCTGGAGTGCGGTAGTATGATAACGGCTCACTGCAACCTCTGCTTCCTGGGTTCAAGCAATTCTCCTGCTTTAGCGTCCTGAGTAGCTGGGATTATAGGCACACACCACCACGCCCAGCTAATTTTTGTATTTTTCCTAGAGATAGGGTTTCACCATGTTGGCCAGGCTGGTCAGAACTTCTGATCTCAGGTGACCCACTTGCTTTGGCCTCTGAAAGTGCTGAGATTATAGGCATGAGCCATTGCACCCGGCCAGTATTTCTTAAAGATAGGTAATAAGGTTGCATCTTTTTGCTCCTCGAAAGATGGGCTTTGCCATATGACTTACTTTGACTAATGAAATATGCAGGGAGGTGATGTGACTTTCTCATAGGTGGATGCTTGAAGTGACATTTTGTGAGTTACCACATTTTCTAGCCCTTGCCTTAGAGATTTTGGATACATGAGGTGAGAGAAACCGTCTGTCAGCTCATGTCCCTGAGTGACTACAAAAAACAAAAGTTCCAGCCAACCTGTATTGAGCACATGGTACGAATGAGAAATAAACTTCCATTGCTATAAGCCACTAACTTCAGGGGCTGTTTATTACAGCAGCATTGTGTTGCCCATACTGGCTTATGCATCTTGCCTCTTGCTTACCTGTCATATCTTCTGCTGCTTTGCACGCTCATCTCTTCCTTCCCCCACTTGCCATTATCAGCAACACTTGCTGACCACCTATATGTGCAAAGTGCTTGGTGTCAATATGTTTCTCATAAGAACCTTATCAAGTAAATACTTATTATATCTTGCCACTGCCAGATGAAGAAATGGGCTCAGAGGGTCACTGTTCACAAATCCCATAGTTGTAGGTAGAGAAAGAGTCAAACATGGGTCTTTCAAGCTCCAAATTCTGTTATTAACCACTGTGGTATCTGTCTTGTATTAGGAAGGAGTTCCCTTACTGTCTTTTGAGGTTTTTTTTTTTTAATGTAAATGCCCTGAGTTTTTCAACACATATAAAAGGGTTTTATGAATCCTTTTTGTTCATAAAAGGAGATTAACATTAATTTCTGTGCAGAGTAGGATGAAATAGAGAAAGAAAGAACAGGAAAAATATAATTGGAATCTGTTTTCAACTCTGACGTGTTAGAACTAGGATTTTTACCCTTCTCAAAACAAATTCTAGGACACACATTCATGCAGTTGGCAAAGCCATGTGACTCTAGAGAACCGTGTTGACTGATTGGAAATGGGTAAAATTCTAAACAGCATCAGCTTGATGTGGAATTTCCAATTACTTAATTCTGGTTGGTTTTGAAGACACATGAGCTGACTGCTTCACGGGAATCAGGAATGAAGGGGAATCTGTTCAGAACGTATATGTCTCCCCGCAGTAAAAGCAATTCAAAGCCATAAATTACTTATATCATCTCAGCGTCTTGGGGACTGCTTACTAATCTTAGGACCTATAAAATAAGGGATCAAAGGTAACATTTTCTACGTTGATGCTGTGAGATCTATGCATATCTATCTCTCAGCTGGCCCTACGAGTTTAAAAATTGTTAAACTGACAATTTACTAATCCTTCTTTTTGGATGATGATAATAATGATGATTTTTTGCATAAGGCTCTTGGACCACCTAGTTTTCACAGGATGGTGATGAATGAGTTTAGGGTTTGGCCCGAAAACCTTATTTCATCTAGAATTTTGCAGGCAGAGCCAAGAGAGTTAGCAGCCTGGGGTGGGGCAATGGAGAGAGCATTCCCTTTGGTCGCTTGAAAAAATCCGTGCCTTTTTGTTTGTCAGCACTACTGAAATTCAGCACTGCTAGGAAACAGAAATCTGATATTCCAAGATGCTCCTATTGGATTTTCACATATCTCATTTGCATTTGGATTGTTTCAGCAAGTCTTACCTCACTTCTGATACCTATAAATATCTAAGGTTTTAGTTGACACACGTCTGGCTAGCTTCACAACAAGGATTTAAGAGCTTCATGATATTATTTGCCATGAATAATTGCTAGTGGAACATACTGGATCACCTTGTATAACTTTTGCAGGCTGGTTTTAATTTCAGGTTTGACTGTTACATTGTAGCTTTGCAAAGCAATAACAAATCATAATGTAGATGAGCAGAAACAAAACAAACGATGATGGGAATATTACCATAACCATAATTTTACAGCACAGTTTAATTATTTGGTTCAGTAATGTTGAATAATTATTTCACCACCAAAACTCCTCCCCACCCCAGCCCCTCAACAAACTAAACAACTGTTTCACTACTAGCAACTAATTTATGAGGCAATTTCAGATTCTTATGACTTCTTGTCGCTCTGAGATTTACAGTCACTAATAAAAGGCCCTAACTTTGAGAGACTTGAATTAAAACTCATTTATAAAGAGAATAAAAAATCAGACTTTTTCCATTTCTATCCGTAAGTGTCCATATTCCTGTAGACCTGGATGTAAGTGGATGAAGCCCACTATCCAGTGAATAACAGATGCTCATTAAATATTGGAAAGCAAATGAAGTCATAAATGCGTATAAAGTAGGCAGAGTCTTAGGAATGGACAAGATGACTTATCTTTCTTCTTACATTCTTTAGGATGGAATTTGATGAAGGTTCCTTTCTTTTGTTTTTGAATAAACCAACTGAAGTTTAATTCCATGTTTCAGAAAATCACCCCTGCTTTTTTTGGAGATGGAGTGTTGCTCTGTCCCCCAGGCTGGAGTGCATTGGCATGATCTCGGCTCACTCTAACCTCCCCCTCCTGGGTTAAAGTGATTTTCCTGCATCAACTTCCTGAGTAGCTGGGATTACAGGCATGTGCCATCACGCCTGGCTAATTTTTGTATTTTTAGTAGACATAGGGTTTCAGTATGTTGGCCAGGCTGGTCTCAAACTCCTGAGGTCAAATGATCTGCTCACCTCAGCCTCCCAAATTGCTGGGATTACAGGTGTGAGCCACCGTGCCCGGCCTCAAAATCACTCTTGACTCTTTCCTCTCCCTTATCCCTCATGCCCAGAGATCAACTCCAGTGGTTTATCCCCTCTTAATTACTGACTGAAACTTTTTGCTTCTCTCCATTCTCCTTCTATTCTCCTGGCCAAAGCCACTCTTCCCTCCTGCCTGGAGTGCTGTCAACACTTCTAAACTGGCCTTTCTTCCTCCACTCTTGTCCCCATTAATCTATTCTCCATATACCAGAAAGAGTGATTTTCTGTTACATGATCGCCATCATTCTTGCTGAAATTTCTACTCTACCTTCCGCTGATTTTAGGATCAAGTCTGGAAATGTTGTCAGTGGCCCTCAAAGTGCAGTTGCTGCTTAGCCTATCGTGTCCTAAATCCGCATCTGATGGCACTTTGTCACAATCCAGGCTCTTTGAGAGAGGGAGAGAGTCTGTGTGTGTGTGTGTGTGTGTGTGTGTGTGTGTGTGTGTGTGTGTGTGTGTTTCCCTCGGTAGAGTATGGGGATCTCTGAAACCCTTTGTATACTCAATCCTATTGTTCATTATGATTGTGTGTAGGTATCGTTTCTGGAAAGCCTCTCAGTTACATACCCTTCTTTGTCTTTTCACAGCATAATTGTAATGGTACCTGTTATGTTTTAATATGATACGCTTTCTTTTCCACCAAATGGAAAACTGTGAGAGCAGTACTACGTCTGTCTTAGTCACCAACTTGTGCTCAGCACCTAGCATGGAGACCAGCACATAGTAGAGATTTAATAATTGTTGTGTAAATGAATAAAACACATCTATCCAGTTGGATAACTTGGGGTAGTTTGCTTCTCTGCAGTCTGTCTCCCTCTCTTCCTTCCTCCCTTCTCTCTGTTTCTCTCTTTTTCTCTTTCTCGTAGTAATAATAGCTTTACTATGACCATAGCTCTTTTTTTAATCGATCACCTTTTAACACTTTAAGAACTATTTCTAAAAACTCAACTTAGGAAACAGCTGAATTAGCCCCTTGCTTTAGGTTTCAGGCTTCCCTGAATTCCCTATGATTTTCTTATTTGAAAGTCTGGTTCCTGTTTATATTGGAAACATTCTTTAAAAAAAGATAAGAACGTTTGGAACGGCAACAAAACACCCAATTAATGTGCAACTACTTTGAATATTCCTGCAGTGGCAACGGTTAAAGTAGAATGATTGGACACTGTCACTGCTAGCAAAATTATAATCCAGGGTAAGCTAGATTTAGAGTTGTGTCTCAAAACCTGTGTTTTTTGTCCTTCAGGAGTTAAAAGTGCAAAAAAATAAAATAACTGAGATAAGAGTTGAATTGATGCCTTCGAACAAAATGGTTAAATTCTGTTTGGGTCTTTAAAAGAGTTAACAGAATATAACAATTCAAAGACTCCATGTTCCATAAAAATTGTGCTATTAGGAAGAAAGCCATACTTCTCAGTAACCTCCCTGACACTTGCTCTGTTTTACTTCCCCGGCCGCAGCTGGTCTTGAGTATAATGCCATTGATTTTGAGAGATCTTATAAAGATAATTAGATATACTGCAGTGTGTTCTATATTCTCAGCATTTCTGAGGCTATGCAAAGCCACCCAAACTTCTGAAATATGTACCTTGTATTTCTTACTTGAGAAACTTTTAGTTTCTATGCATTGGAAAAAAAAAAAAAAGCTCTATAGCAGACTTTCCTCCTGAAGCGTGAAGAAGGAATAAACGAGGAGTAGAGATTTTTGCCTCCTTTTTCATTTATGTAAATAAACGTATGAAATGGATTTTTAATTTATACATTAGTTATCTTGGTCCCAAAGCATAACTCTTTTAACACCTTGAGCTTCCTTATGTTGGAGGGGGAAAAAGAGTGCAAAATCATTAGAGACATGATTATGCTTTAATTTAGGTCTTTGAGTTATGTAAGCAGAATGCAATTAAAGAAGAAGTGCTCACTATGACTACCTATTTCAAATAGGCTTTCAATTTTTCAGTTTTATGTGTATCTTCTGCAATTGCATAAAACTTCCTCAAGGCTATGACAGTGGATTATGGCTGTGTTCTTGTAATTATTTTCAGCTTAAAAAAAAGAACAACTTTGCTGCATAAACTATTGAGTTAAACATATTACACGTCTAGTTTTTACTGGGATTGTGTAAGATTTTACACCAGCCATGAGATTCTCTGCATTCATAGGTTTAGAAGGAAAATGTGAGTATTTATGGCATCATGATTGTCACTGTCACTATCATCCTCTCATTGTCGTCATCACCATGAAAATCAGATCCACAAGTGTTATCTTGCTTAATTATTGCAGCAACTCTGTGATCTTTATTATTGCCATTTTCCAGATAAGGAAACCGAGACTTTGAAACATTAAGTAACTTGCATAAAGTCAGACAGCTAGGAAGCATAGTATCTGAAATAGGAAACCATTGCTCACTTTGGCAGCACATATACTAACATTGGAATGATACAGAGAAGATTAGCGTGACCCCTGCACAACGATGACATGGGAATTTGTGAAGCGTTTCATATTTTTAGTAAAAGTAGAAATACCTGTTGATCCATTATCTACCAAAAGGAAAAGAAGTCATTATATGAAAAAGACACTTGCACATGCATGTTTATAGCAGCACAATTCACAATTTCAGAAATATGGAACCAGCCGAAATGCCCATCAGTGAATAAGTGGATAAAGAAACTATGGTGTGTGCATACACACACAAACACATGCTACTCAGCCATAAAAAGGAATGAAATAGGTCAGGCAAAGTGGTTCACACTTGTAATCCCAGCACTTCGGGAGGCTGAGGCAGGTGGATAATCTGAGGTCAGGAGTTTTGAGACCAGCCTGGCCAACATGATGAAACTGCATCTCCACTAAAAATACAAAATTAGCCAGGCATATTGGCAGGTGCCTGTAGTCCCAGCTACTTAGGAGGCTGAGGCAGGAGAACTGCTTGAATCCAGGAGATGGAGGTTGCAGTTAGTGGAAGATCATGCCACTGCACTCCAGGCTGGGCGACAGAGCAAGACTCCATCTAAAAAAAAAAAAAAAAAAAAAAAAAAAAATGAAATAATGGCATTCGCAACAACCTGGATGGAGTGAGAGGCCGTTATTGTAAGTGAAGTAACTCAGGAATGGAAACCAAACATCTCATGGCTTATCTCCCACTTACAATGGTTTTCCATTCCCGAGTTCCTTAACATTGTGTTAATATACTAACATATTCTCGCTTATAAGTGGGAGCTAAGCTATAAGGACACAAAAGCATAAAAAATGACATAATGTACTCTTGGGACTTGAGGGGAAGGGTGGGAGGTGGGTGAGGGATAAAAGACTACATACTGATTGGGTGATGGGTGCATCAAAATCTCAGAAATGACACCCAATGAACTTACCCATGTAAGGAACATTACCTGTTCCCACAAAACTATTGAAATAATAATAAAAGAAAAACATTGTTGAAAAGATAAAATTAGAAACCAAGAAGCTTGGCTTCATAACCCATGTTACTAATCTTAAAAATGATTCCAAGTTGGGCAGAAAATGGGGAGAAGTTGTGAGTGGGAGCAAGTGTGGTCAAGAACAGGGCGAAAAAAATGTAAGGACTCAAAATGTAGGTTGTAATCTTATCAATTGACTGTGTTACCCTAAGTTGCTTATACCATTTAATCATATAATGCCTACAGTGCTTGTGCACATAATCATCTTCTTTGTATTATTATAGTGCTACGGTTGATGATGATGATATTATCACTATTGTAATTCAGGAAATTTCAGTATCTCTGAAGACTCTTCGGTTGTCTAAACAATACAACTCGTTATGGTGGGGGTGCGTTTTTTAGAGAAACATTTATATTTTAATCTGTCCTTTATACACAGCTTTGACCTCTCCTGTCCAATATGACCTACTTCTCTGAAGCTGGTAGTGGTTTTTGAGGTTTCATTTGCAATGTGTGGCTTCTTCCCAGGACTCACACAAGATTCGCTGAGAGTCTTCGAATTTTTTGAATCACCCTTAAGTGCAGTATACATCAATTCAGTGCTCTGGCAAAGACTATGAATTATGTTTATGTCTGAAGCAAGGCCGTGGTTAAGGAAAATAGTAGATGTGTTAAGACCTTGTTTATTTCAGCAGAGAAGGTTAGAGTTGATCCACATCTGGATAAAAATAATTTTAACCTAGGAGAAGTTATATTTTCTTTATACCATAAGCTCCCCTTCTCTGGTAGCCTAAATGAATCAGCGCCACATCTGGGCATGGTGGCCCATGCCTGTAACAGCAGCACTTTGGGAGGCCATGACAGCAGGATTATTTGAGGCCAGGAGTTCAAGACCAGTCTGGGGAACATGGTGAAACCTCATCTCTACAAAAAAATTAGCCAGTCATGGTGGTCCATGCGTGGAATCCAGGCTACTTGAAGGGCTGAGGTGGGAGGATCACTTGAGCCGGGGAGGTGGAGGTTGCAGTGAGCTGCAATTATGTCACTGCACTTCAGCCTGGGCAACACAGTGGAACTTGTCTCAAAAAATAATAATTCCATTTAAAAAAAATAAGCAGGCATAGTAACACACGTCTATAGTCCTAGCATCTCGGGGGGCTGAGGTAGGAGGGTCACTTGATCCAGAAGGAACCCCGGAGATTGAGGCTGCAGTGAGCCATGATTGCACCATTGCACTCCAGCCTGGGCAACAGAGGGTGAAGGACCCTCTCAAAAAAAACAAAGCAAAGCAAAACAAAAAGCATCAGCAACACAATCCATCTTAGATTCCTGACATCCAGTCTTTCTATTCTTGGGAATTGTCCTAGAATCACCCAGTTGCTTCCTGGTCAGCATATTCAATGGACAATGAATGACTTGTTGACTATTCCACCATCAAAGAAAAATAATATTAATACCATCCAACCCCTGAAATGAGCCTATGTTCTATGAAGTAAATTAGCTGAAACAAAGTCACTCTTAAAAATGAAGTGATATCAAAAATCACCACCTTGGTTTTTGTCACTATTTTATCTTCATCACATAGCGCTGTACCTAGCACACAGTAGGCATTTAATATTTGTTTGCAAAAAATTAAGTCACTTCTATAAAAATTAATAGTGTGAGAAACCTTGGACTTTATGATGCACCATACTAGAGTAAAAGACTTGTATCTATTTTTTTTTTCTAAGAGTACATTTCTCACCTAGGGTTCTATTTCTTAATCTTGGCTGGAACCAAAGAAGTTGTTATCTGCCGTCTGATCAAGAGAGAACCCATAGTCCCTGCATTGTAATTTGTGTGCTTTTTCTTATTTATATTTGCATTACAAGAAAACATGAAATAACTGTATCTGCTAAAACTGACCGAAAGATGGATTTCAGATGTGAGCAATGGAAGTGGGATTGGCATTCATCATAGTGTAAATGCAAAAGTGCTTTTAGCCCACCAAGTACTGGGTACACTATTCTGACCTTTTTTCAAGTTTCTCAGTATTTATGGAAGAATAATTTGTAGAATAATGAATATAGTTTTCCAGTGGAGCAACAAATGCATACTATATTTCTGCTATTGTTTCTTATTAAATATTCATATGTATATTTTGTGTTTGCTTCATAACTGGCCATTTACTGGTGCTTAACAAGCATAGGCAGTCCCGCTGAAGAGAAATAACACCAAACAACAGTAAACAAAAAAGCAGACGAATGAAAAAAGATATCTTATTTCTGCAGCCGTTACATTTAAAAAGTGCATTTAACATTTTTAATACAGTCCATATTTCATAAATCCCACATGTTGACATGTCCTAGAGAAAGATGGATGGGTTGACTTGGAGGTATGCTTCTATCTAGTTTTATGTGTGCATCTGGCAGAGCTAATCTTTACTTCCCTTTAGCAGAACACAAAAATGTAATTCTCTAATAACTGACATAACTGCATCATTTTCCAATATGGACTGCATTATTAAATCACAGAGACAAGCAAAACCAGAGTAGTGGGGAAGCTTGACTTCTGCTTGATATCAGACCATAAAATGCCTACTTACTGTGGCCGAAAGGAAAAAGAGCATCGACTCTCAGTGCTTGGAATTCGGAACAACTTCTGAATTCACAGCCCCAGAGTCTTGTGTGTGTGCAACAATAACCGTGTCTTTGCATTTGCATATTGCTTTAGAGTTCACAAAGCATTTTTACGGACAAGCCCATACTGAGAATCAGAGCAAGGATTGCTATTCTCTGTGTATAGTGAGAAAATAGAGGCTCAAAGAAGTTTCCAATATAGTAAGAATTATTTCTGTAGGACTTTTAAATTGTATAAATTGCTTTAACGCATGCAGTTACATTTTGCTTGTGTAACTAGGAGAATAAGTCATCTAACAGTCTTCTTCCTATCCCCAAAATACCCATTCAAAGAGAATAGGGAAAGGATTGCTTCCAGACTAAGAACTTAGGATCTTGCGAATGGTAGTTGCAAAACATACACAGAGTCTTGGATTAGCAAAAAGTAGGGGATAAGGGTTTCAGAGAGCCGAGTCATTGTGCTTAAGCATATAGGAGGAATTTAAGGATGTTGTTGCCTCTAAGAGGGATGGAGCTGAAAGACACACAAGGGTAGGACAGATAGAAGAGAGAATGGCTGAGATATATGGTGGCGTGTATGCAAGGACTTCTAAGAGAAGTGATAGCTAATGTTTGTGTTGCTACAATGTAAATACTTCCACTTCCCCAAGCAATATATTGTATGGTCACCATGCAGGCTCATCAACAAAGATTCCGTTTCTTCCCTGCTGAGCACTGCTTGAAGTTCTTGTGATTTGAGTGAGGCCATGAGAGCAGTTCTGGCTAATGAACTATAAATGAAAGTGACAGGTGCTGGAACATTTTATTGCTGATGCAAGAGTTTCTAGAAATTTCTTATCTCTCTGATATGGTGGCTAGAAATATTTCAGATGATGGATTTTCCTTCATCCAAGATTGCTGAGAGTCTTTGAGAAGCAACACCACCCTGTCTCTTACCACCAAATCCATGATGGACATGTGATATGAGCAAGAAATAAACTTTTGTTATTCCTGGACCTTTTAGATTTTGGAGTCATTTGTTGCCACAGCATCACATGGCGCATCCTGACTGACACATGCAGTGTCCTCATGTGAACATTTTGTTTGTGTGTTGTCAAGGAAAGTCACTGTGGTTCGTGTTAGCGTCAGTTTAATTCAAAGGTAACTCAACAGCAAGAAACAGAAAGTAACAGAAATTCAGCAAGGGCAAGAAATGGAAACCTGATATATCCCATGAGAGTTTAAGGACCCTGACAATCTGCAGAAATTTTAAAAAGTGCTTTGGGCTTTTCACAAAGTATAGAAAGGGGTTTTGGAAAAACCTATTTGAAGTTTTAAGGATCAGAGAGAAATTAACAGCTAATCTTTGATAGTTCTCCCAGTACCATCTTCAAGTTAAAGAAAAGGGTAGGATTTTTTTTCCCCTATGTTAGGGGAGGAAATTAAAACTGAGATAAATAAAATGACTTGTATAAGGTCATGCAAATGCTAATAAGCAAAGCCCAGATTACTAAACCATTTGACCACACGTGTAGTAGTGTTTCAGCCCACTCTTTTAAGAAGTTTTCAGAAAGCCAATGAGCTAATAGCTTGAATATATTACAGTTTGACCTTCATTTCAGCAGGACAGACAAATCATTGACAAAACGGCTGCAAGAATATCAGCCCTTTTAATAAGTTGTCCAGTAATATGATATTTTTATGATTATTCAATGAATTGATTTTTATGGAATTGGCTTTCAGTGAATTTATTTATCAGCCAGTTTTCTGAAGGGCAGCCCAACACTATATGCCATAAATTTTCTTTGCTATAATTAACTTCAGACACTCTGTCTCCTATCTTTCCTAATTTCATCTCTCTCTCTGCCCTGTTTATATTTATTGGATGCTCTGGTATGTAATTATTAGAATTTTCCCTTTACTTTAAAAACTGTTCTTTCATCTTTGTGTGTATCATTGATTGATGACCCCATCATGACCTTAATTGCAATTTACAAACTTACTTGCTACAAAGTTAGGTTAATGAGATTATTCACTATACAGGTAGATTCAACATAAGTTTCCATTATCATTTTTAAAGCCAGTATCATCCACTAAACATCAATATGTCATGCGATGTTTTAGGAGCTTCAAGTAAGGTCCAGTTGTGTTATTTCAGTTAACTATGTTGTACGTCTCTGTTTAATTGTAATATTCTTTTCTGTGGAAGTAAATTCTACCTCTGGATCCTACTTAACAGTGTTCCTGGCTGTTACTAACCCTTCCTCTGATTTGACATTGGAATGGAAGCATTTTTGATGTTCTATTTATGATGTTAAATTTACAAAGAGGTTTGAGACATTTTGAATTATCTCATAAATGTGCAATCTTGCCTCACAGTTAAATCTGATCATTTCTTTTAAAATATTATTTAAATTTTCATTGCATCATTTCTTCTATCTGTTCAGTGGCATTTCTACTTCTTTATTTGTTAATCTTCTGAAATAGTCTTAATCTTTCATACTTGAAGCGCCTCTGTTTCCTCCATCCATGCAAGTAAATTTTCCTCCAGATTCAACTCCTTTCTCCTTAGGGATGTTCCTGAGAGTCCCCTGACCTTTCGAGTTACTTCTTGTCAGTGGCTGGTGTTAGATGCACAGTTCTCTAATCATGGGATATTCCACCTCAATCTGTGTACTCCTTTAAGGTATAAAAGAGCAAAATTTTCCACCGGGGGGTAGCAACATGACAAGAAGGGAAAGAGCAGAGTTAACCTTGGGGAAAAAAATGAGACATAAGGTTGGCTGGGTAGACGAGGCAGCCAGAGAGACAGCCTCTGTTGTTCCTGACCACTGCCTTGGTTTTTAGTATTATACTTTCCACTTCAGTCACTGCAACCCACCGCCCTGTTGCAGGAATGAACATGTGACCCAGGTGCAGCCAATCAGGGTTTGCTCTTCCCCTGTGTTGGTCATTGGTCCAAGGTGGACAAATGATGCAAAAGCTGGGCCAGGTAGAGAGATTTCCTGGAACCTTGCTAGTCAGGTTAGACAGCTTCAGACACGTGAACTCGGAGAAGGCCAGAATCTGTTTTTCTTTC
The DNA here is from genome assembly GCF_000001405.40 of Homo sapiens. Classification (NCBI taxonomy): domain Eukaryota; kingdom Metazoa; phylum Chordata; class Mammalia; order Primates; family Hominidae; genus Homo; species Homo sapiens. Next base: position 6,880,590 of record NC_000016.10, read on the forward strand.
TGGACTGTCTGAAATGTGAACTGGAAGAGGCAGGGTGGGGAAAAAATCAACCCAAATAAAATTAGCAGTAAAGAAATCTAGATAAAAAGAGCACTGAGCTGTATGATGTTCCAGAGTCAGTTTGACTTCTTGGACGATGATTATTTTATGATTGTATTTGATTGCGTTGTATTAAAATTATTGTTATATTTTTATTACAGTATTTCTTATATTATTGAAAGAATAAATCAATATATAAATGTGTTGGAATTGCTGGACAGCAAACTATATACATTTTATGTGGTTGACAGAAATAAGCTACTTGAAGCTGTTGAGCTTGAGCAGAGTGACAAAAAGATGTAAATGCTACATTAGGAGATTCAATCTAATAACAGTTTTTCAAGATGAATACACAGTGAGAGCCTAGGCAGGGCTGAAAAATACGTGGCCCATACCCTCCACCTTCCCCTCCTATGCCTGTGGCAGACATTGCTAATCAATCATGGCACTTTTACCCACTGAGTCTGAGCTGGTCTTACCATGCTTCTCAGTGAAGCGCTCCAGGCAGTGACTATAGATGATCAGAGCTGGCACACAAAATGAAACCCATTTGCTCTCCCAAGCTCACAGGCAAGGAGAATAGCCAGGAGTCTGAGCATGAATTAGATATAAGGTTCCCAAGATTGGACCTAGGTGGGGAGAGAGCAAAGGAAGGGGTAAAACCTATCGTTGACAATATTAGTTTGCTTGGACTGCCATAACACAGTGCCACAGGTTGGGTGGCTAAAACAACAAACAGTTACTCTCACAGTTCTGCAGACTAGAAGTCCAGAATGAAGGTGTTGGCAAGATTGGTTCCTTCTGAGGGCTGTGAGCAAAGGGTCTGCTGCAGGCCTATCCGTGGCTTGTAGAGGGTCAGCTACATAGAGAGCCTGTGTATCTTTACATCATCTTCCGTCTATGCATGTCTGTGTCCAAACATGCATACTCCTCTTCCTGTAAACACTCCAGTCATACTGGCTTACAGCCCACTCTGAGGACCTGACTTTAACTTGATTCCCTCTGCAAATATTCCATCTTCAAATAAAGTCACATTCTTAGATGTTGGCAGTTAAGACTTCAACGTCTTAACGTTGAATTTGCGGGGACAATTTAACACATCACACTGGGTGCCTACCATGAGCCAGGCATGAGCTTATATACCATTATCCACTGGAGCCTCAATGCAACCTACATACTGGGTACTTTTATTCTCCCTATTTTACAGAGCAGGAAACTGAGGCTGAAAAATCTTAAGAACTGTAGTAAAAGTTTCACAGCTGGAGTTGCTGTATAGCAGGATTTAGATGTAGGCTCCTGCTGGCTAATTGACATAGTGTAAAAAGAAGGGAACTTGGTTATGGGTTAGACATAAAGGAGAAATTTTTTTAAAAAAACTAAAATCACCAAAGACTCTAGACTTCATTTCTGGAAAAATGGTGATGTCAGTCTTCCTGCTTAATATTTCAGTGGCCCCCTATTCCCTGCAGGTTAAGATGTAAATTATTTAGCAGGAAAGTCAAGGCTGCTGATGGTCTTAGATGCCTCATTAATTCTGTCTCTAGCTTCTCTCTTCCTGGCCCCTTTGGTCCAGCAACACTGGGCAATTTATTTGCAGTCTCCACCTTAGAGAGATGGAGAGGGAGAAGGCTTGGAGAGAACAGAGGATGATGGGGAGGAACAACCTGTGCACTGGGTCTCATCCTTGTTGTTTGCAATTCTGGCTACTTTTAGCAGTGAGCAGTATAATTACAGTTTAGTCACCTAACCTCTCTGATTCTCTCTCTTCCCAGCCTGGCCAACATGATGAAACCCCATCTTCACTAAAAATACAAAATTATCTGGGCATGGTGGTACGTGCTTGTAATCCCAGCTACTCCGGAGGGTGAGGCAGGAGAATCACCTGAACTTAGGAGGCAGGGAGGTTGCAGTGAGCTGAGATCGCACCACTGCACTGCAGCCTCGGTGGCAGAGTTAAACTCTGAAAATAAATAAATATAAATAAATAAATAAGATCATGTTTGCAGAGTCCTCAGTGCAGTGTCTAGCACTTGGCAGGTACCCATTGGCTGTATGGATAACAACCATTCAGTTTGGGATATTTGGAGTCTGACATAACCAACGGCAACCAAAGAGACGAGTTCCTTACCAAGCCAGAAACGCAAGACCAGGATGCAAGTGGCATTCCTGGGGGGTATCAATTCTCTGTTTCTTTGCCCCTTTTCAGAGGCTTTATGTTCACCCCCAGGAGTGAACAACCATCTTCCTGCTCTGTTCCTATTTTCCATTATACTTACCAGGAGTTATGAATTGAATCAGGATGTCTTAGGCGGCTTCCCCTCCTGCTTTAGCAATCAATAAATTGCCATTTCTAAAGGTGAGATTGTGAATTGTTAAGTCCAATCTGCAGATATTCTAGATAACCCATATGTCTCCTGACATTGCTGTATTCATAGATGGCTTCTCAAACCATTATTAATGATGTAATTAGTATGAATGGCTACAGTATATATCAAGCAGATCATTAAGGCAGAGGTGGGGAGGTAGCCATTTATATTAAAGATACGTTTAATGTTCTGAACCTAAGCAATAGAAAGAAAGTACTTAGCTTAGAAATCTCGCTTTGCTACACTATGGGTTTTCTTTTTTAAAGTTGTCCTAGACCTTCTTTTTGCTTGCTTAATGCTACTTTTTGTTGGAGCCCCTGGGAATTTGAATGAGTTAATAAGGCAGATCTGTTTGTAAAAGAGTATAATCAAGTAAATCACAGCCTTTAAAATCACAGATTTCAAAATCCAATCAACTTAATTAATGTGTTGGTTCATAGACATTGTACAAGATTTTATTTGATTGCACTAGCCGCTTTCTCTTAGACACCCATCTGCAAGAATATTTACTTATAACTTGTTGTGTAAAGGGATCTTCCTAAACGGCACACTGCCATATGTAACTGCTCAGCTTACCTTTAAGAGAAAATATTGAAGTAACACCCTCAAGCTGTTCTACTCTGTGTTCAGAACTTTTCAAAGCTAGATTTCTATCTTTGTAGTAAGTATTGAAACCTTGCCTCCCACATCCAGGCTGTTCAAATATGAGATAAAATAGTTTCTAAGAATGATAGAGTCCAAAAGTTTTCTACAGTTCTTATAGATGTTGTGAGCTGAAAATACATGGGTTAGTGAAGAGGTTTTTTTTTTTCTTTTCTCTATTATTATCTCTTTTTTCCCCCTAGGAATTAATGTCCTTTGTAGTAGCCAAAATGTTAAATGTTTTTAATAAAAGCTGAGACTTAAGTTAGAGGGGAACATCTTTACCCCAGGTACAAATGACGTTGCTACTTGCCACGGTCCAAAGCGCAGAGGAGATGGGGAGATTGTGAAAACTGGGGAGTCACACACAAGGAGGGGGTGTTTTTTGTTCTTCTGACAAACTGATCCTGTTAAGCATCCACTGCAGAGCGGTGGCTGCTGTGTTATGCAAGCACCTGCGATGCGCTGCAGAAGAAGAGAGGCATCTGATGCTCGACCGAGCAGAGCTACTGCAGACAGAAGCTGCTTCCGAGGCCCCTTCTGCTCACAGGGCATGCTTCCTGGCTCATGTGCAGTCAGCCATGCTGCAGAGGCCAGGGACCCAGGGAGCGTGGCAATAAGTATGTGTCCAGCTTTCCAAACTCTGGGTACTGTGAAGCAACTGCAGCTCTGAGCCTTGCTTAACCAGGGCTGGGGACCTGGCAGCTTCTTCCAAAGTCACTTGACAACAGTTGCTCTGCCCTCAGTCAATGCAAGCAACCACTTGTCTACAAAAGGAGTGAGGACAGTAAAGTCTCTGCCTTCAAGGATCGTACTGTATTCTTATTATTAGTGGCTACAAACTGTTAAGTACCTACCATTTGCAAGGAACTGTGTTGATGACATGTTACATGTACATCATCTGTTACATTATCATAAGACCTCAAATATGTTTTATTACCCCCATTTTGAAGAGATTAAAAAACAAAAAAAACTAAATTGGCCAGGTGTGGTGGCTCACACCTGTAATCCCAGCACTAGGGGAGGCTGAGGTGGTGGATCACTTGAGGCCAGGGGTTCCAGACCAGCTTGGGCAACATGACGAAACCCCATCTGTACTAAAAATACAAAAATTAGCTAGGTGTGATGGCACATACCTGCAGTCCCAGCTACTTGGGAGGCTGAGGCAGGAGAATCTCTTGAACTCAGGAGGTGGAGGTGGCAGTCAGCCCAGAGTGCTCCACTGCACTCCAGCCTGCATGGCAGAGCAAGGCTCTCTTTCAAACAAACAAACAAAACAAAAAAACCCTGCAAATATTAAGTGTTAAATCGTAAAACTGAGACCGCAACCCAGATCTATCTTATTCTAAAGCTTTGGTTGTTTT